>NC_000002.12:166239618-167489618 GCF_000001405.40 Homo sapiens
TTCTAGCCCTCAGGATTTTCCTCCCCTCCACTCCACCCCCAAATTCTGGAGGAATCAGGCAAGCCATCTAAACCGAAACTATGGCAATGACTCAGTCCTTGAAATACAAAGACAAGGAAGGGGCTTAGTCACAAGGAAAACGAAGCCTGTTTCTAGAACTGGTGTACAGGGTCAGAGCAGAGCCGCAGGAAGTCTTGATGATGAGAACCTCTCTCTGACTGGTCCCAGAGCAGGAATTAGAATTCAGCCCACAGGGGTTCTAGCTTCCAGAACCAATTTTGTGGATGTAGGAGCAAGGAGGCAAGAATGACCTTATGTGAGCTCTATCTGATTTAGGACTTAACGCTTTACTGTTACTAAATTCAGTTACCACTCATTTATTTCTGTTTTGTGTATACTCTTCTTTCTGAGGAGCCACAACACAGTGAAAAGATATGGTGACTTTGATTTTAGATGTCAATTCAGTGATAGCTCTGTCATTTACTAGCTTTGGGACATTAAGCAACTTTTAAAACTGTACCCAGCTTCATCATTGGTAAAATAAGCAAAATATCATAATCTCACAGGGTTGTTTGAAAATTAAATGAGAAAATCTAAAAGAAGATTCTGAAACACAATAAGTATAAGCTAAATGAGAGCTATTACTTCTTTTTAACTTTTATTTTAGGTTTGAGGGTACATGTGAAGGTTTGTTACATAGGTAAACACGTGTCATGGGGGTTTGCTATACTTTTAAAAAATCTAGTTTAATTGGCAACCTGTCTAAGTACAAACACCAGCTTCTTGAAATATCTTTCCCTTTTCTTCCTCATATGATTTATTTAAAATACACTTTTGAGAATGCCCTCCCCAAATGTCTTCCTCTGTTTTAGACATTTTGAACAAGGAATTACTCCAAACTTTAATTTTTTTGTAATCTCCTCTCTGAAATTCTCAGTCACATATGTGAGTCAGCATGGGATAAACCTCCTTAGTTACTAGGAATACATTGCATGGTAGACACTATCATGATTTCTACTTGGATGACTCCAGGTAAGGAAAATAGAGCTTTTCTGATCACATTTTCTGTTTCTGAGAGTTGAGACTTGATAGGAAAGGAAAGCCACAGTGGGTCCCTGCAGGTTGTTGGGGAGTGTGCCAAGAATGCCAGGCTCTGCCTGCTCCTTACCTAGGACATTCCTCAGGGTTGTGTTTGCAGTGAGCAACCTTGAGACATGAGGTAGGGTCTCTGGGACAAAGAGCAGGGTTGCTTATGTTGCTTGGTATAAAAGGATGCATTCCCTAAGCTCAGTGTTCCTCAGCTGTGACATCAATCCACTATATGTGTACACACTCATTCAGGCTCATATAATGCCCCCATGAGACCTGGGTAAAGGGGGAACCAACAGAAACATGTTGAAACTCATGCTACTTTCCACACATAAGTAACAAAGTCCTTTATCTCTGACCCAAGCACCTCATATCTTCTGCCAGCATCCATGAAACAGTATCAGATCAACCTATTAGCATATAAGTACAGTAAAATCAAAGTCCAAACTCATGAAGACTGTCTATGAGGCAAGTTACAAAGTTCTTGAGTATTCTATTTTTAGTATAATGAAACTTCCAGTGGTATATCTAGCTAGATCTGGGCTCCTAATGGCTTCTAATGGCTCATCTCTGTCAGCGTCAGCAGGAAAAATGACAATTAAGAAAAAGGTTCAGGTAGCTTGTAATTCTACTAGATCTCTTTCAACTCTCATGGAAGCTGCTTGTATGTGTACAAGAATGAGAAACTTGTCCTACTTTTATCCTAAAACTACCATCTGTTTTCCCTTTTTATAACACACAAGATGCTTCACAAGCTGACCTTGCTTTCTCATAGTATCTCTGGCCACCTGTACTTGTTCTTCTTCCCACCACACTTGCAGTTCAGCAGTTTTTAATTTCCTGAATATCTGATGCTGTTTTATGCCTCCTTACGATTGTATACTTGTTCCCCTCAGCCTGCCTTGCCTAACTAGAAAATTCCTGTTCGTCTTTCTAGACCCTGAAAAGCACCATTTACGTTTCTGAAATTGCAAGCAGTTGTTCTCCTTGCTACAGAACTTTGTCACATTTACACTTTGCTTACAAACACATCCAAGCTCTACAGTTACTCATTTGTATTCTTCTCTTCTCCATTGCTCTGAGCTCCTTAAGAATAAACAGTACCTGGATCTTATTTATCTTTGCATTGTGAAAGTTGATCATACAAATTGGGTAGTTCTTGTCCTACTCAACTAACAGTCAACTAAGAGTCAAGAAGGCAGGGGGAAAAGCTCTCAGGGTACAAAACATTACTCCAAGAATTATAATTCTCTGCAAGACTGACTGTTGAAGCTGCTTGTTGTAACTTGAAATTAGTTTTATCTATAGCTTCTGAGGAAACCTGTTACACTCTAGGACTAATTGTGCCAACGACTGTTGCTCGCCAGTTGGAGCTTACCAGTTCCCCAGATCCTTACTAGGGCCAATGAACTTTCTCAAAGAGCAATATATAACATTTTCCCATTTTAATAAAACCTCTAACCTTCTCTCTTTGTTCTACAGGGAAAGTGCTTTCAGTTTATGCCACAGACTCTCTCCCTGTTTTGCAAACTGATATTGCCAGTAAAATTCTCTTTTCTATTATAGCCATCTGGGTGGTCCTTTGGACAACAGCATTCAGGGCAGCAAGGATAATGCCTGGCATGTAGGAGTGCTCAGTAACTATTTACTGAGCTCAAGTAAAATTTTGTCATTGGCACTAATCATAGGGATTAATTCTAGGTAAAACAACTTGCCATGATATTTTTATCTTTTAGCTCATTTTAAAGAATATTGACTTAATCAATATATTGACTTAGGTGTCAGATCATTTACCAGGGCACCACTGCTGAGCAGGATCATGAGGACAATGAAGCTTTCAAACCAACTGTGTTCAACAATCTTGTAGCAGGTTTTCCTGATGTTCCACCAGATTTTTCCTTTCCCTGACTCTATGTTAACTTGGCAGCATGAGAACCTCCATACACAACCTGACAAGAAAGACATGCATGTTAAATCTTGATATTCAGAATAAATAAAATTTTTAATACATTATTTAATGCAAACTGCTTTCTGTGATACTCCCTCAACCAAATAATTTCAACACCTATACTTGCAATTTCAGATAGATTTAATTTGGATGCTGCCTTCCTTCATCTTCTAACTTTGCATGATGTTTTCTAAATAGTTGTTAGTTAGTTTTAGCTTACAATGTATTCTTGTCTTCTGTAATCCCCAATTTCTCTTCAGTCTCCTCCACAGTCTTTAAACCACTTTCATTTTATGTGTGAATGAATGAATGAACTAAAATCTGAAGACGACATGAATTTTAGGGTCTTCTTTTCTGACAGATAAATTTTTCTAGTCTATAATTTTAGATACTTCCACTCCTCTATGGTAAAAACCCTCTGAAATACACCTTTCTAAACAATATTGAGAAAATTAGTGGAAACTCCTGAAATTAAGTTCAAAAGAAACTCATCTTGATTAGAAGATCCAGATGAAACTGTTTCAAGTATTCTAAGTTAAAAACAAATGTGACTTTAAATTTTTATGTACAAAATATACTGCTACAAAAAATTGAAAATTGTACTTAAAAATGGTTAGGTTTATTCATTCATTAACGCATTCTTTTGTCCATCAAACCCTTGTTACGTATCTTTTATGTATTCACCTCTGTACATGATTTCCTTTCCTCAGTGAATTTATGTTAGGTTTTGGTTAGGTAGATAAAAACAGAAATAAATGACTATAACTAGATATGGCAACTAAAGTGACAGATAGTCAGGGTTCATTTTGATAGCATGGAAGAAATCAATCTCACCTGGCTTATTTCTTGAGAAAGAGAGATCAGTAGAGGCTTCCTAGAAGAGATGGAGCCTGGGTTGAATCAAAATATCAGTAAAAAAGAGTTTGGGTGGAATTCCAGGCAGCAAAAATTGTTATGCATAGAAATTTAAACCAGTTTAGAATTGTGATGCAAGCAGAATGTACACAAGAGGCAAGGGTGAGAGGTGAGCTTAGAAAAATTGGTCAGATTATGGAAAGCATTGGCCTTTACCTTAAGGAGTTTGGCTTATATCCTATTGAGGTTGAGGAGTAAGTAAAGGGTTATAAGCAGGGAACGAGATACGCAAATTGCAATGTAAATAGATGTCTCCACGGTACATGGAGGATAAGTTGGAAGGGTGAATAGAGAGGAGTAGGGGTGAAGAAAGTTTCATACCCAGAAAACCATTTGGATTCTGGTCCAGTATCCTGTCTGGAGGGAAAGATTAGTTAGGAACTAGAGTTGTAACAGATTCAAGACATATTTGGCAGATAAAATCAGCAGGATTTGGTGATTGATTGGATATCAAATGTAAGAGAAAGGAAGGATCCCAGGACTACCAGGTGGATGTTAGCAGTGAATTGAAAACCACAGGAGGAGGAGCTGACTCGGCAGGTAATGATTTTGAGATGCCTGTGAATTGTTTAAATACAGATATCCTATAGATTTTAAAAATGGGGGTGGGAACCTGAAACGGGAAAAACCTGTCTAGAAAAGAATTCTTAGTAATAATTAGCATACATGTATCTGCTGAAGTCAGAACAGTTTTTGAGGTCACACAAAAAGAGTATTTAGGGTGAGCAGAAAAAGGGCCAACTCCGAAACATTCTGAAACAACAATATTAAGGGAGAGAATTCAATGGTGTGCTGAAAGCAGACCATACCAATTCTTGTTGTTAAACTGTCAGAAATTCCTGCTTGTCTGTTGTTAAAAGCAGCCATTATTAAATATTTGACTATATAAACTTAGAATTCTATAACTTACCTTAAGGAAAGGTAATAAATACTAAGACATATCACTTCCTAATTATTTTACTGTATTTTATTTGTCTATTCCGTTTGAATAGCAGAAGTATGGCATACTGTCGGGCTATTGTGCATCTCTTCTTTCTGGACGGTGGTCTATTCTCTCTGGATTATTCTCTCTGGACAGTAGTAATATGCTATACTATTGGGCTACTGTGCAACTCTTCTTTCTGGATGCTGGTCTATTCTATCTGGCCTATTCTATCTGGATGGTGGAAGTATGTCACACTGTTGAGCTACTGTGAATCTCTTCTTAACTCTGCATTTAGCAATTTCACATCAGTAGTTTGAAATCAGTGATGGTGGGAATCTTTACATTACAAAAATCTCCAAGCACTACAAATGAGAGCTTCTTGATTTTCTAGAGTAGAATTAAGAAGGTGATGGAGGAAATGCCAATAAAACAGATAAACAGTCAAGGTGTATTGTGTTTGTAGCCATTACTCTGAATAGCACAAAAATTAAAAAATATCCTTTCATTATTGAAATTCTGTTTTTTGATTTGCAAATAATTGCTTACATCACTGATGAATGAGTAAAGTTCTGACATATAGCTTCTTCATTTCTTTTTTATTTCACTGACTAACATAAATATCAAGCAGTCTTCATGCTAAAACTATACTTGTTTATTAGCTGCAAAAATAGGTTGCCTATACATGCAAAAGTTTGGCAAAGTTCAAAAAAAGCATTCTTTGAGAAACAATTTGATATACAGAATGTTCAATAAAAAGTTGTAATATTTTATTATTTGTAAATTGTGTGTCATATATCCTAATATCAGTAAAATTTATAGTAAATGATATAAGTACACATTTTTTATTTTCCTTGGAGAACCAGTTTATAAAAATATTTACCTACACATCACTAGGACAGGTAGAGGAGAAAACTTTGAAGTAGATGAAATGAGAGATGAACAAGAAGGACCAAGAGGGTGCAGTAAAAGAGAAACCAAAGAGTAAAAAGTTTTATAAGAAGTGATAAACAGAGCTATGAACATAAGAGGCCCAGAAAGAGAATGATTGAAACATTGAAAAATTTTAATCAATTTAAAGTTTATTAAAGCAACTAGAATTACTCTGAAGAAAAGAGAGACTCTTTAAAAAGTAACTACAGTGAATTCTTCCTCATAAAATTTTAGATGAAAAACCTCATTTTAGATGAAGGCAGGAGGTGGGAAAGTAAGAATGGGCAGCACTTTTTTGATACCTGTTTCAGAAGTTTGAATTTTAGATATTTCTAAAAGATTGATCTCCTTTTCTGTAAAACAATATAATTCATTAACAAGTATTGAGTTTTCAAGTAACAACTTCAGATAATCATAAGTTGTATGTTCTAAAACAACAAAACTAGAATCCTCTTGACAAGATGCACCTGGTAGAAAATGTTTTGTAATGAATCTTTTCATGTTTCTGAAGTCTAATTAGTGCATTGATCCAGTTGATATAAGGTTATTTTCTAGCACTTTAATTTCCAGCTCTATAGAAATACAGCAAACAAGGTGTTTCCCTCTCCCCCTATGTCTCTGGTGTTTTTGTTATCATGTATATTTTATGTGTTCCTGTTTTTTCTCTCTGGAAGTTTCTAAGTTCCCAGAAGACTCAAACTGAGTCTGTAATGCTTGCTCTTTGTGCTTATAGTACTCATCATAGTCCTCTACTTGGCTTAATAGGTCATTTATAGTTGATTTTTAAAAGACTTGATTCCCCAAAAAGAGTTATATAATCTTCTAAGCAGTTAGTCATAATTTGAAAGGTTACATCTCTGTGAATTCTATACTTTACATAAACATTGGATGAAAAAGAAAAAAAAAGGTGAATGGAAAATCTACACATAGCTTCATTTATACAATGTTAATTACAGTGAACATGATCTCAGATCTGAAATTATGTATCATCCTATACTTAAATAATTATTATCTACATGCATTTAGTTAAGAGAGAACATTCGATAAAATGATATAAAAACAGAGTAAAAGGGTAGGGTCAAAAATTAACTCTAAGTTAATCTTTTTCAGGGAAAATAAAAATACCAGAGAGAGCGAAAAAAATGAGATGAATTTTTTAATATTAACTTAGTGCTTTAGAATTTGTCTTAAACTTAAAAACAATGATCACATATAAGAAAGAATTTATCTTTCTCAGGGGCAAATTATTGGATAAGAAAATTATCCCTTTGGTTAAGAAGATTTTGCTCTCTGGGATTTACTTTTGTCAATCTTAAAATTGAAGGGAAACATTATTCTTATGATTGAGGAAATAAAAACACTAAAAATCCTAATTAGAAAAGTTAGTAAACTTTCAATCTGAAATGAAGTTTCATAAATATTGCCCTCAGGGTTTATTACACCTCAGAGAGTTTCTTTCTCTTATTTTGAGGCAAGAGTGATGGAGCGCCTGTCTGGTTTTTGTGCAAAGGTATATCCCAAGAGATTTCCAACTAAGCTGGTTAGCAATGTTATCATACCTTCTCTTTAAAAGGACTATTAATTGAATGTAAACATAACAGAGAATCTCTCAAACATTTTAATGGGTCCCAGTGAGTAAATGCTATTTCTTTTGGGTGGTTTCACTAATGTGCTCTCATGGTGCATTACATAAAGTCTATGCTGAGTTTCATCATGTTAAACCAAAGCTCTCAAAAAAAAAAAAAAAAAAAAAAGGAAAGGAAAGAAAAAAGAAACCACTGACCACTTCAAAAGACAGACTATTCATTAAAAACCATAACAGCATGATCAATATAATTAATTTAAAAATTGATTATGAAAACAAGCTTTTTTCACCATTTCTTAACATCAAATATAACTAAAACAAATATTTGTTAACATTATCTTTCCAAAAGAAAGAAAAAATAAAAGTCACAAAGGAGTTGGTTATTGTGTTACTAAAGTTAGAATTAATTATTAGTTATTTTATAGGAAGGGGGTGAATACAAAACATTTTGAAAGGAAGATGATTTGGCTTCTCCTACCAAGTTAACAGAAAAATACATTACTATTATTACCATTATTATTTTTTGAGACAGAGTCTCACTTTGTTGCCAGGCTGGAGTGCAGTAGCAGGATCTCAGCTCACTGCAACCTCTGCCTCCTGGGTTCAAGCGATTCTCCTGCCTCAGCCTCTTGAGTAGCTGGGACTACAGGCGCTCACCACCAGGCTCAGCTAATTTTTGTATTTTTAGTAGAAACGGGATTTCACCATGTTAGCCAGGATGGTCTCGATCTCTTGACCTTGTGAAAAAGGTTATTTTTCGCTAACTCTAATCCTGATTATGTAATTTACTAATTTGATAATCTAAAAGCAGCACAATATAAAACCACATAGACCCAAAGAGTCATGTCATGTTCATAATTATATAGGTTGCCAAGTCATGTAGAACTAAGGATAGTAAAGAACAGGGCAAGATATACGGAAGCAGTCTGAAGTCTTCAAATACAAAGTAATAGACACAGAGCTAAGGAACAACCTTGCATAAGAGGGAGAGAAAAGGTGAATAAGAGGAACCAGATGCAATCAATGAAATACATTAGTAAAGTGATAATTATGAAGCTGAAATGAATCAACAAATGTGAGACTATGAACAACAAAATCGTTTTAACATTTATCTTCAGTAAAAACATGCTACTTGGATTTAATTCTTTTTCATACTTCATTTAATTTTTTCTGTTACCTTTCAGGTAGCAGAGATCTCTGGAGGTGAAACATTGCTCTGAACTGGCATTGATTCTAGCCCAGCTCTTGTAGACCAATTACCAACTTGTAAGTAAACATGTTCATGATTCTTCATTCTGACAAGCCCATGCTTCTCAGTCTTCATGTGGAAACTATGCATTTCCAGTTTTTAAGCACCCAATGTTCAATCCATCAACAAATCCCTTCAGCTCTAACTTCAAAATATACTCAGCATGTCACACCCTCACTATACAAAACTCTACCATACTAGTCTAAGCTCCCATCACCTCTCACCTGGATTTATGCAGAAACTCCAAGAAATCTTCCAGCTTCTGCCATTGCTATTCGCCCTTCCACTCTTAAGATTGCACATTGTGAGATTTTAAAATCACATCCTTATAATGTTCTTCAAATGTCTTATAATCTGGCCTCTACTACATCTCTGATCTACACTTTTTAAAAATAATGTCATTTGTTTTATTTGTTTGTTTGTTGGAGACAGAGTCTTCCTCTGTCGTCCAGGCTGGAGTGCAGTGGCACAATCTTGGCTCACTGCAACCTCTGCCTCCTGGATTCAAGTAATTCTCGTGCCTCAGCCTCACAAGTAGCTGGGATTATAGGCATGTATCACCAAGATCAATTAATTTTTTTTTCATTTTCAGTAAAAATGGGGTTTCGCTACGTTGGCCAGGCTGGTCTTGAACTCCTGGCCTCAAGTGATCGCCCACCTCGGCCTCCCAAAGTACTGGAATTATAGGTGTGAGCCACTTCACCCAGCCTCTGACCTTAACTTTTAATCCTCTTCCCATCTTTCATTATTCTCCATCTATTTTGGCCTCTTGGTTTTTCCCAAATGTTATGCATATCCTCACCTTGGGGCATGTGCCTTCATTACTCTGCCTAAAATACTTTCCCTCCATATATTTGCACGGCCCCCTTCAATTTTCTTTACATCACGGAAGAAACGCCACCTTTATAGGCAGGCTTTCTCTGACCAATCATTCATTGATAGCATATTTATGTGCTAGTAAGTTCTTCCCCCTCACTCTTGGTATTCCTCTTTTCCATATACCTTCTCCATAGCACTTTTCACTTATCTGACCTGCTACATCTTGATATGTTTCTTCAGCAAGGGGTATTGTTTTGTTCACAGCTCCATCTCCCTCCAGTGCCTGGAACTGGACCTGGCACACAGGTATTTAATAATTATTTGTTTACTGGAATAAAGAATGATTATGTGAATACACGGTTGAAAGGCTAAGCAAATTGGCTGCTTCACTGAATTTATTAGGCTACAGATCCAGAGACTGTATGAAGTCTCTGCTGGAGCACATAAAAGGGATGTGACTCAGAGATATATGCTCCCTCAGTAAATTTCAATGGTCCAAGCCCAGGTTCATTGGAAAATGTGTTTCCATAATATTTCTTCTATACTGGCCTCAGTTTGGAAGCAATGAATAATCTCAGAGTATTCACAAAAGTATTTTCATTGATGTTTATAGGATTAAAAAAACTTTGTATTATATCTTATTATAACAGCACCTACAGTCTGAAATAGCATAGTATTAATACTTTCTGTAAGAGTTTAAGTTTTTTGAAGTCATTTTTTGGTTTGAAACTTTAAGTTGATTGATAAGCCCAACTTCTTTCTAGTTATCCTAGAATTTTAAGTCATGATCATTCATAAAATGAATAGGGAAAATCTTGGTAGCATCAATACAAATTTAAGTCTATATACTGCTAATAAATTTCTTGAGGAGCAGGCCATACATGTTGATGAAATTCTTAAATCTCTGTAACATGGACACTTTTAAAGGAAACTGTGCATTTGCTTATAGCACTAATTTCAGCAAGCACAAAATTTATATTGACTGGATGTCGTACACCTTTGCTTCTTACATAAAATGATATTTGGTGTGTATTTAAAGAAAATCCATGCACTCTTTGTAGTTTGCTGATGTCTTTATTTTCCAATCATTTTGCTTAACCCATGAATGTTATAAGAAACCAGTTGAGAAAATCTTGGACACTGAAAGCAAGTCGATGATTTTTCAAAAAATACTAATGCTGAGGGTAAGCCCATGACTAGATAAGTCATTAGCATCTGTGCTATCATAACTTCTGTATAAGATTGTTAACAGAATCCTTGAAGAATAAGAAAAGTAGAAGAAGGAAGATAGGCACTGTGCTAGTAAGTTTATAATCATTATCTTATTTGATCCTCTTAGCATCGCTGTGATGTGGATGCTGATATCCCCATTTTACAGATGAGATATCTGAAGAACAAGATTTTAAATTGTGCACAAGTTCTCACAGGCAGATAAGTCGGCAAATTAGAACATATGTTTATCAGGCTCCAAAGTTTGAACTTTGTATTACTGTATTACATTGCAGCCCTACTCTGGGCTTGTATTTTTACCTAGATGATACAATACTTGTTCAGACAATACTGCATTATCCCTGACAAATTCCAGAAGTAGTAAGAAATTCAGCATATCAGAAAGCATACAGGAGTAGAAGGAGGTACTGTTACAAAACAAGAGACTAAGGCCAAATGTAAAGAACTTTACATGTCAAGTTAAGGACTTCAGACTTTACCCTAGAGGCCAAGGATTCTCACATTTTAGTGTGCATGCAAATCCTCTTAAGGGCTTGGGCCCTATCTCCAGAGTTCCTGATGAACTTGTGACTAGCAAGGAAAACTTTAAGGGTCTCTCAAAGTCTTTAGCTTGAGGGTAAGGTAGATCATGAAGTTACTAATAAAGACTGGAGGAAGCTGTAAACCATACTAAAGTTTTGTTTTTGTTTTTGCTTTTCAAAAAAAAAAAAACTTATTAAACTTGGAATGTTTTACAAACAACAGATGGTGATGACCAATGGGGAATTGTAAGCAGATCTGGGACTCAAGAGTGAGGTTAGAGGTAAAGACATTGATGTTAAGAGTCAATAGCACAGAAATGGCTTTTCAAGCCACAGGCATGCATGAAACACCTCAGAGCTTCAGAATAAGAAAAGATAACTGAAGATTGAACATGTGGGGAGAAATCATTATTTACAGGATGTGCAGAAAAAATACTCATTAAAGAAATAGAGAGAGGAACTCAGAACTCTAAGACAAATAAAAGACCAAAGGTAGACTATGGCCTCTGAAACTAAGGAAAGGAAGAATTTTGAGAGAGACTGTAGTCAACAGTATCAAACAGTTTTCTGAGAGTTAGTGAGTAGATTCCATTTTTGATTAAAAGGACCAGAGTACAGACTCTTTCATTAACTTGTATTCTGGTGGTTCCATTGATCTGGGAATACGAATTAAGGCTCTAAAATAAGAAGTAGTAGCATGCTTACAGTCTAACATACAGTGATAGGAAATTACTGTTAGTCAAGTGCCATAGATGTGGAAACTCAAGCTTAGAGAGCTCTAGTGACTTGCCCTTAATCATCATACAGCTATAGCTGAATCAGCATGGAATGGAGTCTTCTGACTTACCGACAACCTCTGGTAAGTATTAGGCGTTAAGACAAACCCCAGAACACTAATTAAGGAATGCTAACCAAGGTCTCAATTTTTGTCTTACCATCTGTGAAACAGGCCTCTGGCTCATCGGAATTCATAGGTTCAGCCTCTGCTTCTTCTCCTTCTCCAGGCAAAGGGTTATCAACTGTGCTGCACTCTGAGGAGCTTGACCGGTTTAATCTCTAGAAAGGAATTCACCACCCCACCAGGTAGTTCATTTAGAGTTCATTCAAATATGATATTTAAGCCTTATTTAATAATCAGACTCATGCAAAGTATTATGAAAAAAGATTAATAGTATGATGGCCATAAAAAATGTATAAACACATATTGAGGTCAAGTAACCTTAAATGTATCTATACTTGATCTTTCTATCTACACCATCCTGTAAAATAATAAACTTTATTATGTTTATTATACTAACAAGTACGTGGCCAAAATTAGATAAGGTAATATATTGATGTTAACTATCACTTTTGGAAAGTATTGACCACATCTTATTTTTTAAATTTTTAATATAAATTTATGGACACTGACAATCATTATTTGAGGACAACCTATACCCTATTTGCAATATAATACAAGTGTCAAATTACTAATGCCTGATCATTGAAAGCTCAGATCAAATAGTTGGCAAAAAACTTATTGATAGTTAAAATTTTTTAAAAAGATAAGTGCAAGATAAAGTCCAAATGTATTTTTTATTATCTCTTGAATTTAAATATATGTAGCAGGATGATATAGATAGAAGTTCTTTGATCAAGACCACAAAATCAAATACGGTTTTGAAATCAAAATGCCAATGACCATACCAACACCACCCATTTTGTATATAACATTTTAGTATATAGTAGAAAAGATCAAACAGTATTATTTATAATGTCAAGAAAGTGGCTACTAAAGTAAGCACCACATGCAAACTCTGAAACAAAGATCGAAGAAAATTAAACATGGCAGACTTACACATGGAATAATGAATTCATTGTCATTATGATCATATAAGTGATCATAACGCAAATAGGTTTTTCTCACCCAGAGCTTTATGAGTAACCATGATGTTTACACATACACACACACACACGAAGAAATCTTTACAAAAAATACATACAGCAACTGTAGCAAAACTCTGTCAAATTTCCCAAATATTGTTTTATAAAGGAGTAAAGCAGCATATCAATGGAAGAGTTAATTTTTCATTCTCATTTGCTAAATGACATGTGAATATTGAAAGCTACTAGTTACTACAACACAATTCTCTTATTAAGTTACAACTTTATCTTTTTTAGAGTAGTTCAAGCAAGTGCAAGTGCTAAAAATAATAAAATACTTATTTCAGATAAATTGATTCTCAATCTATGAATTTGTATTAATATGATAGCCCAATCTAAAGGTTTGACTTTTAGAGATTGACTTGGAAGCTAGAAGTATTCTTGATGGGTACCACATTAAATTCTCAATGCTATTATTATCACCTAGTATACAACATCATAAAAATGGCATGGATAAAGTATTGTACATAAGGAATGATGTAAGCAGACAATGTCTTTCTTATAACTGGAGTAAATAATTATGAACAACCTATTAAGAGAACTCCTCCAATCTATGTTGGCCTAGAGGCATTATTCCCACCAGGTCCAGGAGTTTGATAACAGTTTCAGTTATGAAAGTATCAGTACAAAATTTCACTCAAAAACATGTTATTTAAACTGATTGAATTCATCTAAATTAGTTTAATTTAAAATAAGATAATAGAAATTAATTATAACTGAATATTCTATAAAACTATAGAATAGGCTTTAAAGTATAAACTATAGAATGAGTTTTAAAATATATAAGTTTTAAAATACAGATTAATCCAGGAAACGATGTTGGATAAACTTATAATTACTAATATGTATTTTGTGCCAATTGCCACAAAATCCAAAGTACCATATTTAGAAGACTACAGTTTTAATGGCTTCAATTCCTGACCTCTCGGCTGCACGTGAACTATCACCAGAGAAGTGAAAGACAAGGCCCTATTATTCTGTGAAGTTAAGACCAGGCCCTTCATTTCTGAAAAAAGAATTATTGGCCTGGGTTTTGAGGTAAAGCAGTGAGAGGAATTGCTGATAGAAAGAATACAAAGCACCCCCCTGCTATTAGACACAATATTAACAATAGGAAATAGTTATAATGGTTTTTCTCTGAGCTGGTAACAACTTTTAAATAAAATGATTCTTATTTGCAGAATTCTGACTTTAGCTAAATTCATGAAAGCATCTTCAAACATCAATAATTGGTTTTCTCACTGTTTAAGAGAGCATTAACAAAGATTTATGCCAAATTAGATTATGAGCAAGTAAAAATTCACGTGATTTTATATAGTGTATCTTGTTGTTGAAACTTTTTTTCATATGCAGGTTTTATGTTTTTTTAATGGTCAATTGAATTCAGCTTGGCACAGAATTTTACATCATAAAGTTATTCAATATTATTGTTCAATGGGACAGAAATTATCAAAATATTTAACATGAACTATTATTAATTAATTTGTATTTACAGACAAATTATTATGGCTAATAGATTCTTAGACATTCAATGTTTTCTTGGGAATGCATTAAGTATTCAAACAGTAACTATTTCCATACTGTATATAAAATTAAATGTTTATAAGCATGCTTTAGCAATATAGACAGTTCTAGTCAATTCAGCCTTTGAAATCTATACTTGCTACAGTATAAGCTTCTTTAGCAGATTTCTAAGAGAATACCTTTATATAGAAAGGCTGATATATATAATAAAGTTTTTTTTTCCTGCGGTGAAATATATTGAATTCTCACAGTAGGCATCACCATATTTAAGTACTTTGAATATATGTTTTTTACTATACAAGGAAGATCATATCAATTATTTGTATTATTTTATATGATTAATTTCTATATTATCTTCATTTCTTTAAACTCAATCATCTGTTGTTTAGTTTTCCATGTAATTTTGGAAATGAAAGAATGACTATATTAGAGAAGTGAAATAAATGCTTTAGTATGAAAGAAATTTCTTTTGCTATTATAAATAGGACCTTCTGTAATTTTCACATGGATTTGATTTCTAATAAAAGGGAAGTATCAATTTTTTTCATCATTGGCAGTCTAGTTATAAATAAAGTAAATATAAATATAAGCATAGGATCAAGAAGGTGGACTCACTAGTATTAGGAATCAGAAGTGTACCATAATTAGCATTCCTGCCTTTTTATTGAATAATATGATATTGACTGTGCCTTCTAAAAGTGTTTTAAAAATATGAAAGTGATATAGTTGACTCAAACATTTTAAATGTATAATAGTATTTACAGTGCAAAATAAAAGTTCCCTCCACTATCTCCTTGATTCAACCCCCTTGAGGTAATCGAGAGAGAGAAAAAGAGAGAGAGGAGAGAGAGAGAGAGAGAGAGAGAGACATATCTTTCCATATTTTTCAGTGTGCATCCATACAACACTATAGCTGTGAAACAATCCTTATCTTGATTGTAAACTTATGTAGCTATTTAAGATGCTCCTTTTCAATTACTGAAAATATGTCCAAATTAAAAGCTTTATTATTCTTCATGGTTTTCCCTTTGATTGCCTTGAAGCTGTGTTTTCTACTATACTGCTTGAGTAGAAATTGTGTTAAATATATGTATCATATTAGAACATGTCCTAAGTTGTTCACTTACAAATTTATCACTGGCATTTCCTAAGATAAACATTAACGATGTAAGCCTATTTCATGCTATCATGGATGATGGTTAATGCTAGTTATTTATTGTTCCAAGAGGTGTGAGGTAGGAGTGTCTAATGACTTGATAATCTAACGCTCAAAAGAAGAAACTATCAAACACAGCAGCACTGTACAAAACACAGAACTCAACAAAAACCTTACTCAAAGAGAATGATTGATGCTGAAAAGAACTGAAAAATGTTACATTTCAAGTACATACTATAAACTGTTTGCTTCACACAACAAAAAAAAAGATATTCTTTAAGGAGCAGAGCCTAGAATGGTTATTTCACCTGAGCCTTAAAATACTCACAAAAGACAGTAAGAAAGTTGAGAGAAGCAAATCAAAAGGAGGAGATGGGTATAAAAGAGAAGAAAAATTATGGCAGACAGTGGTAAACTAAGCTCCATTATCTGTTAATAAGCAAGAAAGACATTTTAAAATTAGTTTCAAGTTACTATTATCCATCTTTTAATTTAATTGTGTAGTTTTACGGTCAATATCTATAATTGTGTTCTTGAATCATTAAGGAGTAAAATAGTAAATTTCAATTAAAGGATCAAAGGATCCTTTGAGAAGAAATCCACACATAGTTACTATGTGGCATAAGAGTCCAATATTTTCCAAGTTTCCCATTATGTTACAGGACAACTAGATGTTTAAATACTCTCTTCTGGTGTAGAACAAAAATAACCTTTCTTCTCTCTTGCAATCATTCAGGGCCTTTATTTTTTTCCTTCTGGAGAAATGTGAACATTATCCTCTTATAGAGTTTTTAAAATTGGAGGTCATTAATATTATTGATATTACTATTAGTGCTTTTCATCTTGAGTGTAATCACATTTCTTAACATGATTTAGATTTCTGGGCCCCTTGAGGTCTCTACAATCTTTTTTTTTTGATATGAAATTTCTCAAGATTCTTTTTAAAAGGTAATGCCTCAAGTTAAAAAATCACTGAAGCTCAGGAATTTCAGGAAAAAAATGGAAATAATTAAAAAATACTCCAGATATTATTGATCAGTGGAAAACTCAACTGTATTTTCTTCTGTTGTCTAAGTTTTAATGTTACTTCCACTAATTTAGCAGAAAATTGTCAGTTTATTAACTAGTTGCAATAAATTCTGGGCTCACATTCTAATTATGGGCAACTAAAACTTTAGCTCTTTTTTTAAAAAAAGGGCAAGAAAACCAATTTTTTTTCCTTTCCTATTTTTCTTTGTCTATTGCTAGCAGAGAAATATTGTGTAGGCTCTGGGAGGAATAGCTACTTATTCAGCGTGAAACACACAGTTCCATCACAAGGTCAACATGATATATAGTATTCTGTTGGTGAAATAATGAGGTCAAATCTCAGCCACCACCAGAGAAATTCAGAATAAAACCAGTGATTTCACGGAGACCTCTTCTTTTTCTCAGAATCTTCTACCTAGGGCACTTTCTATCCAATAACATGAAAACTTACGTGACTAAATGATAAGATATGAATATAAAGAAATCATATAAAAGCAACAACAGTTGGCCATGTAAGAAGGCTAGACTGGCTACAGATTTCTCAGCCAGGTCCTATAGTATCATCTTGAAGCATCTTTCTAATGAAAAGAAGAGAAGCAAAGAGCTAGGAGTGTAAAGTGGCCATTGATATTCAAGGGCTCTCTCTGTGCTCTGTCACAGAACTGCTACACTGTTTGCAGAGAAAGCAGCTGGAATACAGTGGGTCAAGTCAGAGTGTCTTAAAGTCTTTAGAAGCAAACATTTAAACAATTTTGCTATTTATGCCAGCTTAAAAAAATGCAACAAGTAGGTAAAGAAGGATTGGAACCTTAGCAAACATAAAGGCAAAGTGTAGATACGCAGACTCAAGCTTCGTAAATATTATCTATAATTTTGAAACAAACAAGAATGACAAACACAAAGTAAGCTACCTAGATATCTGAATCATTTCTGTTAACTACTAATACTACCCACAATGAAGGAGGGCAAGGAAAAGTGAATTTTAATGAATGGAATAATTACTAGCTTTTTAAACATGTGGATTTCTAATATTGAAAATATAAATAGAAATTTTACATGGATAAAATAACTATATCCTTTATGTAGGCAGCTTTTGCTAAAGTGCCATATTTCAAGTCATTCTTAACTGAATATTCAGTTTTTTTCTTAAGAGGATGACCATTCATTAACATGTACCTCATCTTTTCTAACAGCTTGGTAAAAAAGTAATAAGAATTTATGAATTCAAAACATATATATGCATATGTTTATATGTCTATGCATGTATATATATTTCTAGAAATAGCTTTCTCAAAAATTATATGTTTTATCTATACCTATATAGATAATATTGGGTGTATATGCATCCTTATTTAGGCTCTAGTTGAAGAAAATTCACCATATTCTGGAATAAAATAGTTTTCTATGAGAATATTGCCTCTAAATCCCCACCAAATTTGAAATAGAAAAATATATCTTTTACTTAGGCCACCTTTAAAATTATCTTCAAATAAACTGGAACACTAAAATAACTAATTTTTCATTTGAAACTGTTAGCAATATTATCTCTAAGGTGTGTCAATTTCAGGATAAAGTTTTGCTTTCATCATTGCACAATAGATAACAATAATACAAACATCTCAACAATGACAGAGAAATTCAAAATATGAACTAGATTATAAAAAGGAGTCAAGATTCTTATTGGCAGAGATTCCTGCCCCCATCCTAGAACTATTAAAGTTCAGTCATTCAACAAAGTATGCTAAAATTAAAATATATCTTAGTATGTATTTTAATACATTTTAGAAATATTCAATAAGGCAATACATATTAATCTGTATCTAATTTCAGTAAAAGTGTTCTATGTGTTATTGATAGATAGGATTTATAATATGCTCTATCTAAACCTCTTAGTTTCTAGAGACTGATCTGATTATGTATATAATCAGAAACTTATTCTTATCAATGAGTAATATTACTTCTGGAATAAAATTAAACATTTTGAACACTTATCACTTATTCATTCATAGGCAAGGCCTATCAACTTTTAACTGATGCATTTTATATAGGAGCAAATAAAATCAAATGTTAATTACTGAGTTGATTTAAAAAAATAAAGTCCCATAACTAACAGTGCATAAAACCATTTCAAAATGTATTCAAAGTTTATACTAGAAGCAGGGTACTTTGGCTTTGACCCCAACTTTCTAGATGTGTACTAAGAAAGCATGAGTCTCAATTTGCTTATCCATAAATACATAACCAGAATTATTAAATACAAAGCTAGAATTACAATGATCTTTTCCTGCTCTGAGATTTTATATTTATGCCAGAAACACTTCTTCCACAATTTTTTAGAGTTTTGATCTACTTAATTTAAATGTGACAATTTAATGTGATATACATCTCTCCATATTTTTATGTAGATTAAATCAGGAAGGGAAGTTGATAGAGGTTTTCAAATTAAATGTAGCTTCAATGGCTACTGTTACATTCTGCATTTTACTTTTATAATCAATTCAATAAAAATCTACAGATCATGCACTTGAAATCACTTAAGCACATGAAGGTTACATCAAGAAGTCATCAAGAGAATCACAAAAAAATAATCAAATTGCCCTGGTGACATGCTGTGATGTCACTTTATCTATTGAACAACTGTATATGTTTCTACTTTCTTGCAGTGGGTCAGGCAGAAAGGTTTTGTAGCTGAACAGCATGCAAGACATTGAAAAAATATCGTATGTATGATTTTTTTAGGTAACCTGTGTAAAAGTGGTGACATATGTCTCTGCCTGGTTAAAAGCACAGAGCTGCATCCTTGACTGATCCAGTTTGATATTACCCCTGTGAGAAGAAGGTTAGGTACTGAATTTTAGAAATGCAGCATGATGAAAGAGTTTAGTCAACTGTGTTTTAAAATGTTTAAAGTCATATACCTGTAAGTAGAAATTAGTTACATATTTGAAAGTACATGCTATATACTCAACGTTAAGCAATATATTTGAATCACAGTACTAAGATTAAATGTCATTCAACAGAGACTTAAAAACAATCAATTAAACAGTTACATAATTCTACTCTACTATTTAAAAATTGAATTTAAATACTATAATGTGCTAATGCAATGTTTTGCATTCTATTTTTCCTTAAATGCAAGCAACATTTAAATATAAGTGATTCTCAGTATAGGGGGTGAGGTGGCAGTAAGAGTATGCAGCTTTAAAAAGCATATTCTAAAATTAGCATTTCTTGATTGACTTATTTTTATTTAATTAATTTTGACATTTTAAACAGCATTGCAAAAAAGTGAAGTTTCCAAATTTATCAAAATATAAAGAATAAGACACATTGATTTGAATATGTCAGACAAATATTTCATTGTTTTTAGGCACGTAAACAAATCCAATGAAGATGGAAAGATTTTTCAAATTCTTTGGAAACAACCTGAAAAAAACAAATGGTCTAAGTGCAATTCTACAGAAGAGTGCTTTTAAAAAAAATCTATGCATAAAATATAGAATCAAATGCCAATTTTACGAAACAGCATAACTGTAACTAATCCCTAAATCTTTCAAAGTCAAATGCATTTTTAAAAGATTATTATATTTTCTAAAGTGTAGTAATAAGCAGAAGGTAAATCTAAAACTTTGATTAAAAATCTAAAGAGAGAAAGTCTTGATAACAGTGTAATTAAAACCACCACATAGTAAAAGGACATTAAATATTTAATTTGGGAACTGCAAATATTGAAACAACTTTTTATCAGGTCAACAAAATGACTACATTTCATAATAATAAGCATATTTAAGTATCTCCAAAGATAATGACTTTGTAAACTGAACACTGAATAGATGAATGGGTGGATAGATGAATGAATGAGTGAATCAGGTGAACAATATGAATGCTTGTTCCTCTGCCTGAGATTTCCTTCTGTACCACATCTGCCCAGTGAAATTTTCTCCATACTGTAAGGTCTGGTCTAAGTGCCACCTCCTTTCATGTGAAGTCAGCCAGATACAGCCCCTTACTCAATGCATCCTCAATGGACTAGTTTAGTGTCCTGTTACGGATTGTGCTTTGCTTTGTTCTGTGTTATAATTTTTTGTATATTTACCTAAGGTGCAAGCTATTAGAGTGTATACTTTTTGTTGTCAATGATCAATCACCCTTTACCTTTGAAGTACATGAAGTTTTTAGTGTGGTTTTTGGGGGACTCAATATTTATAGGGGGCCAAAAATATTTCATGAGTGTAATTTAGGAGAGAAAAACTCTATGCCTATTATAATTCTGGGCAGAGAGTCATAGAAAATTTTAATGTGTTCTCTACTATGCACAAATAAAAGAAATGAATAAAATATCTGTGTTCAGTAACATAATATTTATGTAATTAAGAAATAAGATTATACAGGTAGAATGAAGTTTATATTTTACTTATGCCTTTGTATTATGTTGAGCCACATGAAATTTCTAGTTTTTGCAGATTAAAAATGGTTGGATATTTAGTTTTTTATTATTTAACTTAAAATATTCTTATTTTCATATATATTTTCTAATTCAATAAGTAAAAATTAACTTTTGTTTTTTGGTAATTTTATACAATATGTTTCAAAGTATAACATTACAATTGATGCATATTATTCCAAATTATGCCTAGTAACTGCATCTCTTAAAATAGAAAATTACCATCCTTCAATTCTTTTGACATTTTCATAAAGGAATAATAATAATTAGTAGCAGTAGTAATATTGGAGAAGCATGCCTGACCTTGTTAATACCTTCCAAGGTATCTTACCAAGAGAATCCAGATTTTATTCAGGGTAGCAATATGCCCAGATAAATGTCCTGCCTCAGCCAGGCTACCTTGTTGTTAGGGGTGGCCATGTCACACTGTTCTTGCCAATAAGACATAAGCCAAAGTTGGATAAGGATCTCTGGGAAAGTTTTGCCCTTCCTCAGGCAAGTGGGATAGTCATTACTTCTGCTTCGTTCTATTTCTTTCTCTACCTGGGTATTGGATATAAAGCTGTAGGTGGAACAGTCACCTCTAATCATAGGCATTAATATAGAAGAAAAAACACATGTGAAGATTGGCAGAAGGGAGAAGAGATGGAGCCTAGGACATGGAGGCCACGTGGACTGCTGATCTGTGGATGTTTTAAAATATGAAAACAGAATGTTCTATCCAGTTATGCCAATGTAGTTAAGTCTCTGTTGCATGCAGTTAAACAGAGTCCTGACTCAGAAATAGCCAAAAATAACAAAACACACACACAAAAAAATAGGGATTACCCATGTACCCTTAAGTAAAATAGGTTTATTCAAATAGTTAAGATCTTAACATGTGTACCTTGGTGTGGCAGTAAGTGTACTCCCTAGCCCCTAATATAGCCTTAATGTGAAAGATAATATAATAATAAATCAATTCTACTTAATACATTGTCCTGAGAGAACACAAAGGTTCAAAGAGAGCAAAGTGATGTGTAGAAAAAATTATGCCAAATTGATTTAATACTTTTCTGTAATAACATAATAAGTCATGACAAAGGAGATGCTTTAAAGGCAATGATCTGGACTTTAGTGATATTTCTGAGTCACTTGCCAATTTCATCAACAAGCCAGGGAGAGCTGGATAAGTCTTAGTAGCACTAAGAACCTCATAGTTACCTCAGCAAGGTTTTCACCTAGAGAAGAATGAATGTATCAGGCAGAAGCTACAAGAACTTGAATTTGGTCTAGATGAGTTTGTCATATTTATCAATAATTTGCATGAAAAAATAGACACATTAATATATGCAAAAATAAATATACAGATACACATGAAATACCATAATGTATAAAATATGCATTTAATACTGAATAAATGGAAAGGAAAGGGTTATGTAGTCTTGAGAAAGAAATATATTCTAGAAGTAAAATCAGTTTTACTTTTCAATAAAGAAGGGAATAAGATAGTTTTGAAGAAACAAATTTAAACACCTAAAATATAAAAATCACACATTATTACCAAGGTAGACTATAACCTAATCAGTCAGCATTAAGGTGGATTAGAAGCACAATATCAGAATCCCAATGAATCAGCAAATGTACAATACCATTACAACAGAAAATTTCACCCTGAATTACACCATTACAGAGGTATAGCAGAAAACAATTATACTACTACTCATTTTCTTGCCTTTCTATGGCATGTAGTATAATGATTACAGCTTGGGGTTTAAATTTAAAAAGACCCCCAGATACGTCCATGACTAACCAAATCTTTTCTTAATCTTTTAGAATCGCAGTCATCTGCAAATATAGATGCATTATATTTACTTCCTAAGGAGGTCACAAAGACGAAAATTATATAATGTGTGTAAAGGGGCTACTGTATACATTTTATCCGTGTGTGTGTGCGTGCTTTCTTCTTTTGCATCCACCTCTCAAATGTGTTTGATCCGCTGTTCTCAGCTGCTGTCTGTGGTTCTGTCATGAAGTAGATGCTCTAAGGCACTGTCCACATCCTGCTTTCCAGCAAGCTGCTCATTCCCCCAGCTGCCAAAAGTGTTGGATGCTGAAGGCTCACATCTGAATCCCTCTTTGGGCCTTATCGTGGCAGAAGGGAGGTGCTTCCCCCAAGGTTATACCCTTCTCCCCTGGAAAGGTAAAGGGAGAGCCTGCATCCAATGAATGGTGTGGAGAAGAAAGGCCTGACCCTCTTGCTTTGTTTTGGAACTACTCCAGAGGGTTGTCACAGCATCAGAGATGCCAATAGGATCAGCCGAAATCTCTGTTGCAATTTTAACAGTTCAACTTCTCTCTCTGCCCAATAATTTTGCATGCCTCACTTTTTACAGATGTTACGTTTCGTTCCTGAAAACACTTCTCAGTAAATCTCAGATTTCTCTCTCAGGATTGGTTTCCCAGGGAACTGACCCCTACACAATCCCGTGATTAATGAAAGTTAGCATACAAAATCCCAACCTATCTACAACTCTGACTTTTCTTCTTTCCTTAAGATTTATCTTTCCATATACCTCCTGTTCAGGTTCACTGCCTGTACTGCAAGTAGTTCAAATTTATGATGCCACCAAATTAAACTCTGTATTTCCCCTACCTCCTCAATTTTCTCCTCCATCAGTGTATTCTTAATTGTATCAATAACCATCTAGTCTTCTAAGTCAAAATTCTTTGTTGTGGGTTGAATTGTAATCCTCCAAAAGTTATGTTGAAGTCCTAACCCTGGCATGTTTGAGTGTGATCTTATTTGGAAATATGGTCTTTGCAGACACAATGAAGATGAGGTCATTGTGTGGGTCCAAATCCAATATAACTGGGGTCCTTATAAGAAGAAAAGACCGAGACACACAGGGAGAAAACTACGTGAGTACCGGGCCAGAGATTGGGATGATGCAGCTGCAAGCTGCAAGGATTGCCAACAACCTCCAAAGTTAGAAAGCAGCAAGGCAGGATACTTACTAGAGCCTTTAGAGAAATCATGGCCTTGCTCAGACCTTGATTTCAGACTTCTAGCCTCCAGAACTGGCAAAAGAATAAATTTCTGTTGTTGTAAGCCACTGAGTTTTGCTAATTTGTTACAACAGCCGTAAGAAACTAATACATCCTTGGATCAGCTCACAATCTTATATATCTAGACCCTGAGCCCTTATATTTTAACTTTCAAGTTAATCCCGATATTAAATTGTTGCAGCTGTGTGAGAACATGATCTTTTTTCCCTCAGCAATTCTTAGCACAGTGCTTAGAGCATAGTAAGGTGTAATAAATATTTATTGACAAATGGGTGCATTTCATACTTCCTTTAAGGCTTCTAATGAGGAAGCACTTCACTGCCAGTGGTAAAAAAGCCTGTGTAGTGTGTTGTTAATGTTTGGAGTGTGCTTGGAGGGCTTCATTGCACTTCAGGAGAAGGCTGACTCTGAGAAGAGCCATCAGTTCAGTGCCTGCATTCTTAGAAACAGTGAAAAGAGTATTATTCTCATGGGTACCTTTGAGATAACAGCATGTCTTTCTTGATTCTGACACTGACTATCTCTTCAGAGAAGTGCTATTGTTCTATTTCCATTTGTTTCCTCAGAACTGTTTAAGATATTTGACTAAACCGTTTGTTTTAACTCATCTCTTTGGTTATTTTCTGATAAGAGGTTTTACTGTAAAATATTTTGATTTGATTCTGGAGTGTATTTTTAACTGTCTATCAGGTTGAGGAAATCTGTCAACCTGAAAACTTATACTAGGAGAGCACTGAAAATTCTCCATAAACTCTGTTGAGAAACCAGGATGCTAGGTCATAAAAGAGAGGGTTTTTGGGTAGGGAGAAGAGAGGGAGAGATATCAAAGGTCAGTGATGTTTTTTCCCCTTGCTCAAAATGCAGGTTCTTAAACAAGCAAAAGGGGAAATATACCCATAGCCCCTGAATAAAGAAAATAATATCTCAGAAACCTGAATCCAAGTAAGCTAGGGATTAAGTTGGCATCATTTATTTTAAAAATTATTGACACATAATAATTGTACATATTTATGGGGTACATGTGATAGTTTGATACATGTATACATTATATAATTATCAAATAGGGTAACTAGCAGATCCATAGCTTTGAACATTTACCATTTCTTTGTGAGGAGACCATTTAAAAACTTCTAGCTATTTTGAAATATACAACACATTATGGTTAACTCTAGTCATCCAACGATTCAATAGAACACCAGAACTTATTCTTTCTATCTCACTGTAGCTTTGTACCTGTTGACCAATCTTTCCCCACACCTCGCTCCTCCAAGCCTCCCATCCTCCGATAACCACTATTCTACTATCTACTTCTATGACAACCCTTTAGATTCCACATATGTGTGAGATATTTGACTTTCTGTGCCTGGCTGATTTCACTTAACATAATGTCCTCCAGGTTCATTCATGTTGCCACAAATAACAGGATTTCATTATTTCTTATGGCTGAATGGCGTTCAATTTTTCTTATGTACATTTTCTTTATGCATTTATTTATTTACGATCATTTAGGTTAATATGATAACTTGGCTATTGTGAACAGTGCAGCAATAAACATATAGGAGTACAGTATTCTATGTTTACTGTATCTCTTCAACATACTGATTTCATTTCATCTGGATATTTACTTAGTATTGGGACTGCTGGATCATATGAAAATTCTATTTTTAATTTTTTAAAGAACCCCCATATTACTTTCCATAATGGTGGTACTAATTTACATTCTCACAATCAGTGTGTAAGGATTCCCTTTTCTCCATATCCTTTAAACACTTATATCTTTTGATTTTTTGATGGTAGCCATTTTAACTAGGGTGAGGAGATACCTCAAGATAGGTTTGATTTGCATTTCCCTGGTGATTAGTGATGTTGAGCATATTTTCATTTATCTGTTGGCATTTCTTTGTCTTCTTTTGAGAAATATCTATTCAGGTCTTTTGTCCATTTTTGAATTATTTGTTTTTTTTGTCGTTGTTGAGTTGTTTGAGTTCCTTGTATGTTTTAGATATTAACCCATTATCAGATGCATAGTTTACAAATTTATTTTCCCATTCTGTAGGTTATCTCTTCACTCTATTGATTGTTTGCCTTGCTGTGCAGAAGCTTTTTAGTTTAATATAATCCAATTTGTCTATATTTGCTTTTGTTGCCTGTGCTTTTTAGGTTTTATCCAAAAAAATCCTTGCCTAGAACAACATCATGAAGCTTTCCCCCTGTTTTTTTTCTTCTCTAATAGTTGTGTAGTTTTCAGTCTTACATTTAAGTAGTCTATTTTGAGTTGACTTGTGTATAAAGTAAGAGATAAAGGTCTAATTTCATTCTTTTGCATGTGGCTATTCAGTTTGCCCAGAACCATTTACTAAAGAGGCTGTCCTTTCTCTATTATAGGTACTTGGAACCTTGTCAAAACTCAGTTGACTGTATATGTGTAGATTTATTTCTGGGCTCTCTATTCTTATGTATTGCTCTGTGTGTCTGTTTTATGTCAGTATCATTCTGTTTGGTTACTATAGCTTTATAGTATGTTTTGAAGTCAGTTAGTGTGAAGCCATCAGCTTTGTTCTTTTTGTTCCAGGTTACTTGGGCTATTTAGGGTCTTTTGTGGTTTCATACAAATGTTAGGACTTTTTTTTTTTTTTTCTGTAAAGAATGTCACTGGTATTTTGATAGGGATTGCATTAAACCTGTAGATTGCTTTGGGTAATATGGACATTTTAAAAATAATAATTATTCTAATCCATGAACATGGAATATCTTTCCCTTTTTGTGTCCTCTTCAATTTCTCTCACCAATATTTTATAGTTTTCATTGTAAATATATTTCACCTCCTTGTTTAAATTTATTTCTAGGTATTTTATTTTTTGTAGCTATTGTAAATGGGATTGCTTTCTTATTTTCAGATTATTTGTTGTTAACATATAGAAATAATATTGATTTTTGCATGTTGATTTTGTGTCCTCCAACATTACTGAATTCATTTATGAAATCTACTACTTTTTTTCATGGGGTCATTAGAACTCTCTATATCTAAGATCAGATCATATAAAAACAAAGAGAATTTGACTTCCTTCTTTCCAATTTAAATGTCCTTTATTTCTTTCTCTTGCCTGATTGCTCTGGCTAGAACTTCATTACTATGTTGAATAAAAGTAGTGAAAGTGGGCATCCTTATCTTGTTCCAGATCTTGGAGAGAAAGCTTTCAGCTCTTCCCTGGTTAGTATCATGTTAGCTGTGGGTTTGTTACATATGGCCTTCATTACATTAAGGTATGTTTCTTCTATACTTAATTTGTTGATAATTTTTATCAAATAAAGGATACTGGATTTTATAAAATGCTTTTTCTCTGTCTATTGAGATGATTATATGGTTTTTATGTTTCATTCTGTTGATATAATATAGAAAGTTTATTGTTCTGCAAATGTTGAAACATCTTTGCATCCCTGGGACGATTTCCAGTTGAGCATGGTGAATAATCTTTTTGATAGGCTGTTGGATTTGAGTTGCTAGTATTTTGTTGGGGCATTTTGCATCTGTGTTCATCAGGGATAGTGGCCTTCAGCTTTCTTTTCGTGTGTGTGTGTCCCTGTCTTGTTCTGGTATTGGGGTAATATTGGCCTTGTAGAATGAATTTAGAAGAATTCCTTTCCTTTTGATTTTTTTGGAATAATTTAAGAAGAATTAGTATTAGTTCTTCTTTAAATGTTTGGTAGAATTCATCAGTGAAGCCATGTGGTCCTGGACTTTTCTTTGCTAGGAGAGATTTTATTACTGATTCAATCTTGTTACTCATTATTGGTCTGTTTGAGTTTTCCATTTCTTCATGATACAGTCTTGGCAAGTTGTATGTGTTGAGTAATTTATCAATTTCCATTAGGTTTTCCAATTTGTTGGAGTATGATTGTTCATAGTAGTCTCTATTGATCAGTAGCTGCTGCAAACGTTGTTAATGATTCTGAAGTTGCATCCAAATTTAGGCAAACAATTCAAAGGATATGATCCAGAACAGGCATTTGTAATAAAGTCCCCAAGTATGTCTTTCACACACTAAAATTCTGAAGCACTGATCTTCATCACGCTATCTCTTTTAAATTCAATCTGTAACCAATAGCTACTTACAGTGTGTATATAAGCACTCAATTCCATACTTATAATAATTGTACATTGAGCACTTTTCAATAAGCATTTGTCTAATTATTTATGAGAATCATATAATCTTTATTACAATCTATTTTACACATAAATAAACTGAAAAAAATGTTTTTGTAAATTGCTCAAGGTCTTATCAAAAGCTAAGATTTGAGGCAAATATTCTATCTTAAAAAGTGGCATTCTTAACTATATCCCAAGGTAGTGGCTAAGACTTAATGACATAAATATATAAATTAGGAGTTACTTTCTATTGGGTAATTCAATTTGCCTCTTTGGCTCATCCAGGCTCATCACAAACACAACCATCACTATTTCAAAGGCATCTCAGATACGAAAAAAATAAAAGTTGCAAAAGAGGGAATTCACAGTTCAAGACTCTGGGAACTCAAGTGGGAGATGAAGATTATGAGAATTAGAGCAGGAAAAGTTAGCATAGGAGGATTAAAGACATTTTAGACAAATAAATAAAATGTACACTATTTTAGTGATCTGAATGGGAAAACAAAACAAAACAAAAATGACAGAATTTAAACTGGAAACATTTTAATCTGAAGAGGCTGGAAAGAAAGACCTTAGATGTAAGGTTTTTATAGTTGACCACAGCTTAATATCTTATCAAACAAATTTCCTCTAGATCTTGAACCTTCATTATTTCTCAATTCTTATATTTTCAGGTAGGTTTGTCTATACTTAATATGACATACTTTGAGATACGTCATGGAAAATTTTTTATGAAGAAGGGTAAACTTTCAAAGTTCATAATTAGAAGTCAGTAGCACTAAGAACCTGAGTTCTTAAGTAATAATAATGATGCAGAAATCGATGACAACAAACACTTTTTTTAAAATGGCTTGCTAATTCAAACACTATGCTACATGACTTAAAAATACTAGCTTGTGTATCTGTTACTACAACCTCTAAGGTAGCCACAAACTCCTGTATATTTAATTGTGCATACCATGGAAATGTAATAGAGTAAGAATGTACACTCTTTTATCATATAGATATAACCATTATGTAATGAGAAAAAAATTAGTGAAAATCAAGAATATTAGAATATTAACATCAAATGATTTTTAGACAACTCAGTTTATAGGGCACTAGATTTCATACGCTTTCGGAAGGGCTCATGGAATAAGTGACAGAGTAATTTTATGAATGGTTAAAATAATCTATTTCAGTTATAAAATACAAATAAAATCACTAGTTATAAAAGATAGCTAACCATTATGACAACACACCTTCATCTGCATGCCACAGATATATAAATTCTATAGCTGCATGGCTTTATACCCCAGGGGAGACAAATTATTAAGTCCAATAGGAATGTTTGTTTTGTGTTTCAAATGGACAAAGAGAGGACAAGAGAGGTAGAAATTCCATTGAGCTATAAGTCACAAGCCTAGGACTCTTGACATGGCTCTGCCTTTATAACTGTATAACTCTATAACTCTAGATTTATAACTGTATAACTCTAGCTTTATAACTGTGAATAAAATCACTTCCTTTTAATGAGTCTGCTTTTTCAGTTAGAAAATGAAGTGCTAAATGGAAAGTTCTATAAGGTTCCCTTAAAAATGTTGCAACTCAACATACTAAGAATAAGAATTTTGTCAGCAGCTAAGGAGATCCATGAAAGGTCAGCCATTGACTTTAAATGAAAGAAAAATGAACAGGTAAGAAATAATTCCTCATAAATGTTAAGAAATAATTTCAGAAGTCTTTGGTTGACTTTCCCCAGCTCCTGAAGTGCTTTAACACCTAGAATCCAAGTTTTATTCTGAGAGCAACTGTCTGCCAGGCAATTGGAGTTTATAATTTTAATCTTCTTTAAATGGGTGACAGAGTTAGTTAGAAAAAAATAGGTGACTGAGTTAGTTTCCCTTTCCATATGATACTAAACCTAGATGCCTGCTCCTTAAAAGGCATACGTGGAATCTGATTTTCTAACTTTAAGCTGAAATGAACACGGTTTTAAAATTTTGGGAGTATTACTTCTTCCATGTAGAACATTTTAAAATATACAAATAAAATACAGCTGGCCTTCTGTATCCCTGGGTCCCACATCTGTAGAGTCAACCAACTACAGATGGAAAATAATTGGAAAAAATAAATATAAAAATACAACAATAAAAATAGTACAAATAAAAAATATAGTAAAACAAATATTTACATTGTGTCAGTGATTTACTTTTACATTATAAGTAATCTGAAGATAATTTAAAGTGTACATATGAGAGGATGTGTGTAGGTTTTATGGTAAACATTGTGCCATTTTATATAAAGGAATTGAGCATCTGCAGATTTTAGTCTCTGTGGGGGGCCTTCAAACTACTCGCCCATAGATATCGAGGGATGACTAGATTTGATTCCTTACTTTACCGTCTTGGAAAAAATGTCCTTGGCTACATAGAAACATATATCATGATTTATTTATTTAATCATTTATTCACTCAATTAAATATAGAGCATTTTATTTTATTTTGTTTTAATTTAATTTAATCTTATGTATTTAATTTAATCTTATGTATTGATTTTTTTTGAGACAGAGTCTCACTCTGTAGTCCAAGCTGGAGTGCAGCGGTGCGATCTTGGCTTACTGCAACCTCCGCCTCTGGAGCTCAAGTGATTCTCATGCCTCAGCCTCCTGAGCATTTTACTGATATATATATATATATATATCAGTCATGATTATTCCATATAATCTCGTTTTCCAAGTCCACTATAAATTCATGGAGGGTGGAGTCTTAGTAAGTTAAGGAGATAGAAGATATTTGGTAAATATCTGTCAAATACTTTCTAACATGAGCTAGAGAAAACAAAAGATTATTTTTAAATGATGCCTTAAGACTTGAAAGCAATCTCATAAAAGTAATTTGTAATACGGTTGTTATATTTCACAATAAAAATAAAACTCAATACATACCTTGACTCACTAGAAATATGCAGGTAAGGGTGGGAGAGGAGGGCACAAAAAAAGGTTTTAAAGAGTTCCTGTTCTCAATGAATTTACAGTACTATTTGATGCATACCATAATTTCTCAAAAAATTAAAATTTAAGATTACTGAATCCAGGAAGAAGTATAAAATTGTTTGCGGTTCAAAAATGAGAAGGGACTACATCCATTTGGGGAGAAATTAGGAGGGATGAAATAAATAACATTTTGAGAACATTGAGTATGGTTCTAAACATTTTACATGTATTAACGTGTTAATTCATTTAACCCTGACCCAACTGCGATTTAAGTATTAACAATTTAATAGATGATAAATACAAGGGTGATGCCTTGAAGGATTTTGACTGGAGAAGGAAATCCCAAGCAAAGTGTGGAGAGTGTTTATGACCTAAAAGGAAATTGGTTTGGTACAGGTAAAAATCTATGGGTGAGCACTAGGAGATAGAGCTGGTCAAAGCTGGTTAGGGCCATAGTGTGAAGGCTTTGTGCACAGTACATAATTCGAGACTTTGGGGATGGCCAGGCGTGGTGGCTCACTCCTGTAATCTCAGCAACTGGGGAAAAAGTTTGAAGAATTGCCTGAGTCCAGTAGTTTGAGACCAGCCTGGGAAACATAGTGAAACCTTGTCTCTACAAACTTTTTTAAAAAAATTAGCTGGGTGTTGTGGCATGGGTGTGTAGTCCCAGCAACTCAGGAGGTGGAGGCAGGAGGATCACTTGAGCCCAGGAGTTCAAGGTTGCAGTAAGCTATGATAGCACCACTGTACTCCAGACTGGGCAACAGAGTGAGACCTGTCTCCGTTTTTTAAAAAAAAGAAGAGAGAGAGAGAGAGAGCGATACTTTGCGGATCATGGATACATCATGAGAGTGAAATGATTAGGACTGAATCTGCATGAGCGAAAATAATCAAATAAGTAAACTAGAGTAAATGCAAAATGGAAGCAGAGGCATCAGTTGAGACTCTGCTTGAAATGGTTTAGGCAAAAAGTAGTGAGTACAAAGGAAAGGTGATGAAAAGGAGAGGTGGATTCAAACAGGCACTGTGGAGGGAGACTGTGTAACTTTTCAACTGACAGGAAACATGGGATGAAGCATGGGAAGGCTCAAAGATACCTTTGAGCTTTCTCATACAGCTAAGTAAGATTAAATCAATTATTAAGAACTAGTAAGAAAACTTTACCAGATGAATCTTCAGGAAGCTGTTGTGTAAAGTCACGCACAAAAACTATCCATCACTACATGCAATGTTAAGAAGAACTTATGACAATAGAAATATGAAATTTTCATTCATTTCATACTAATTGTTAATATGAAACACAAAGTATATGAAGCATTCTTACCACTTTGCTGTATTCACTATCCGAATCACTGCTAAGTTCCTCAGCATTCATATTTTCCAAATCGGATTCCCCAGGTGCAATTGGCACTGTCACTGTGAGGCTGGGATTGTGAATAAATGATTGACCATCACTGTCTTCCATCAAGTGTTTGTCCACGCTGCTTCCAAAACCACTGATTTTATCTTTTTCCTTGAGGAAATTGTGACCTTTGCTCATTTCAGCAAGTGTATGGTTAGAAATATAGTTTTCCTTCTTAGTATTCAGATCTTCTGCTTGTCTTATCTCCCTGGAAATCTTTGGCTTTTTGGAAAATGCTTTTAGAATAAATTCACGTAAGGTTTGTTTCACATAATTTATTCCCTTTTTAATTCTAGTCACTGCAATCTGGAGGTTGTTTGCATCAGGGTCTTCTTCAATTGCTGTAAGATTGTCTGAACTAAATGAGCTCAATAATAAGGCCAGAAATAGGTTTAGGACCTATATCAGGGTGGGGAGAGGGGGTAGAGAAATAGGGAGACAGGAAATATAAAAAATAAAATAAAATAAGTACACTTTTCCGAATATAGGCCACAATACAAACCAGCAACGAAGATTTCTGCACCTTTTCACACACGGATAAGACCACATGAGAGAGACAGAGGCGAGGGTAGACTCCTCATCACTGTATCCCTAGACTAGCCCCTGCAGACTCAGCAGCAGAGGGTCAGCCATACCCAGGAAGAATTACCATGGGGAGCAGAGAGAATGATCCCTCACCATTATCATTACATCATTTCTAAGTTCATTTCTGTAGCAGTAGTGCCTTAATCAAGTTCTCTTTTATGAACCCAAAAAACTCTCCTAGCATTCATCTATCATTACTCTTTATTACCTGTGAGAAACAGGTAGAACAAAACAATTGTGACTATTTTCTATTGTGCTAAAGATCTTTGTTCACTTTACCAGAAGATAAATGTCACTTGTTCTAACAAATGGAACACATAATACTTACAAAGTTCCTGTAATAAAATATTCTGTCCAAGAAGCGTGCTAGAATACTGCTTAATGTGACTTTTAAAGCACAGAAAAGGACCTGCCCCTTGAACCTGATTCACATGCAATAATGGCATTATGATTGGCTGGCTTCATTGCCTATTATGTTTGCCCTAGAAGAGATTACAAAAAAGGTCAGGACAATTTCTATTCTCTTGAAGCAAAGTTTTATTTCTGAGTTAATTATTTTTTTTTCTCACTGAAGTAGAAGTGCAGGTCAACTCCACATTGTAAAAAAAAAAAATGTTCACAGAGGGCAGGAAACATGTAAATTGTAAATTATATTTAAACATTGTTTTATCCAGGAAACAAAAAAGGAAATTGAATTGGCATTTGATGTAAGTCTTTTCATGGCCCAAATCATCTACCTCATGTTTTAAAAATCGAAGTAAGACCTAACTGAAGAGAAGGTACTCATCCCTCATTTTGGTCATACCTAAAACAATTTCTCTGAGATGTAAGTAAAGACAGCAGGCTAAAATTGTGTGTCTCAATAAGTCTGATTTAGGAGAAAATTCTGGAGGTCGGAGGTCTGGGAATCATAGTGAACAATTTTGATAATTGCTAAAAATCCCTGAAATGGTTTAATAGTTGTCAATGAAAAAGTATATTTCACTATGAAATACATGTTTGTGTATATTTGTTTTAATAGGAATATTGGTGAAGATCTGAGGGTCCATTTTACTGCTTTAGTCTCCTTAATCTGTTCAAGCGTTAAACCATTTTAACAGGGTGCAGTGGCTCATGCGGTTCTCACTTCGTTGAGAACAGCTGCTGTGACAACTTTCTTTCCTTCAAAAATCATAAGTCTCTAATATTTCTATAACCTAGTGGGTATCACAAATCAAAATAAAGTCCATTTGTATCATCTTTGTATTATCATGTTAAACAAGAGAAGAAATATTAATAAAATGTATACTTGATTCAAAGTCTCATTTTGATTAATGGTCTTCGCAAGTTTCCTGATATAGACCCGAGCTGACTAAAACTTATTTTTCCAAATGTTTTCCTAAACCTATGGTCCTTAACCATTTCAATTAACTGGCAATAAAATGATCAAAAGAATAAATTAGAGAAATATAAAAAAAGAGAAGCCAGTTTAGCATATAACTCTAATGTGGAAGGCTATATCAGGAATATATTTTTTTCCTTAAATTTTAATTCTATGATATTGGTAGTTCCTCCATTAGTCAAGAGTTGGTTATCAACTTTATGAATTTTCTTCTGTATACTTTCTTTGCCAAGAATTAATAATTAAAGAATAATAATATGAGTTAGTTAACACTAATTCTACACGAATGAAACACTCACCAATATATCCCCTCTGTTTTTTACTATAAATCTATATTGCCTTTCAAAGGAAAACATAACTCTCACACCAGTGTCCATGATCAAATATTATATTATCCATTGTTCAAAGGCCCACTTCAAAAACCTCCCTTAAGTCTCAATCTAGAACTCTTTCTTTAAGTGTCAGAAGCATTTTATTTAACCTTATTGGTAGAACTCATCACTTCTTCCTTGTCTGATAACTTTTGTGTTCCACTTTTCTGTGCCCTAATAAGCATCTTAAAAACAAGGATTAGACCATGGGTAATTGGTTTTGGTCTTCCACCCTAAATAATACCTAAACAATGCCTTCCTATCTAAACAATACCTAAATACCTTTCTTTTCACAGAGAAGATACTAAAAAATATTGAGTGGAAAATGTGGTGAGAGCCAAGGGAATGCCTTTCCCTTTGAATTTGCCTGAATAAATAATAAACATTTAAATTATTTGTGATTATTGGCTTTGATGTGGCATGTTTTCACAAGTTATACCTTTCCCAATTTCACGATTTTATGTCAAAATTTTGTAAGAAGAAATGCACAGCTGGGCGCAGTAGCTCACGCCTGTAATTCTAGCACTTTGGGAGGCGACGGAGGCTGGATCACCTGAGGTCAGGAGTTCGAGACCAGCCTGGCCAACATGACGAAAACCTGTCTCTACTAAAAATACAAAAATTAGCTGGCACGGTAGCATGCACCTGTAATCTCAGCTACTCAGGAGGCTGAGGCAGAAGAATTGCTTGAACCTGGGAGGTGGAGGTTGGGGTGAGCCGAGATCACATCATTGCACTCCAGCCTGGGCAACAAAGCGAGATTCCATCTCAAAAAAAAAAAAAATACACAAGCAAATCCTGCTATAGGAGCTTATAAATACAAAACAGAGAAGAAGAAACAAAGAGAATGTGCATTTCATTCCATATTGGAAGGAATTTGTAAGGCTATATAAAACTAGGAAGCTTATTTATTACTACAACTTGAGGGTGATCAACAATTATAGAATGGTAATCCAGGATGTATATTTTTTGTGCAGTAAAAATCTAGAATTTGTGCTGCATAAATGCCTTTGTGTATGTCTGGCACAGTATCATTTAGTGTGTGACTGGATGAATGTAAGTTTCTGTCCTGACTTCTGAATCCTCTTTTTATGGTGGTTACAAGGACAACAATATTTTAGTAATTTTTTTCAACTCAGTGGGAAGTGAAGGCACTTACCATATGGCTGTTACCATATCCCACCTTCTGGATACCTGATGAGAGATTTGATGTCAAGCTGACCAACTGTGACAAGTCAACGTGGCAGATTTGAGAATTGAGATGAGTGGCTCATAGAAGAGCATTTTATCCCAATTTTCTCCTGCTTGTAAGCTTGAAAGTTTTCACTAATCAGTATAAGGAAGAAAAAAAATAAAAAAAAAGTACAAGCCAAGAAAACACTAATTCAAAAAGTAGGCAGATTGCTATGTCCACGCGATGCTATAGGCCAGTGGCTGGAAAACTTTTTCGTAAAGGGCCAAATGATAAATATTTTAGACTTTATTGGGCATACGATTTCTATGGCAGCTATTCACCTCTGCCACTGTAATGTAAAAGCAGTCATAGAAGATACGTAAATGAATTGACATTCCTATGTTTGAATAAAGTTTATGAACACTAAAATTTGCATTTCATATAATGTGCATGTGTCATTTATTCTTCTTTTGATTATTTTAACCACTTAAAAATGTAAAAATCATTCTTAGCTCCCAGGGCCACACAATAACAGGCATTGGACTGGCTTTGGTCTGTGGGGCATAGGTGCTGATCCTTGCTATAGAGGCTAGTCTTACACATGGCTATAAGGTGCGGGACCAGTCCTTTCATTTGCCTTGGTCCATTATTAACTTCATTTTTGTTATTATTAACTTAATTATATTTTATTTACTAGTATAGCTTCAAGAGAGCATATGCCATCACTTTCAAAATTAGAGAAAAAGATAGAAACCTTTGCCTTAAAATGAATAGGCAGTGATTTTGAAAAATATAAATATGGGTTATTTGGCTAGGAAAACTAATACAAAATTTCGTTCTCTTTCCTGTTCTTTCTTGTATTAAAATTATCACTATTCTTTTGCAATTAATAATTGTAGATATAATTAATTATAAAATTATAAAAATAATAGATCACATCATCACAAAATAATTTCCACAGAGAAATTAAAATGCATGAACATCTGGTTACATACCACCAGGTTTCCAATGACCATGACCATCATGTAAACAATAAGGCACATAGCTTGACCAGCGACCTCCATACAGTCCCACATGGTCTCTATCCACTCTCCACACAGCACGCGGAACACAATCAGGAAGGAGTGGAAGAAGTCGTTCATGTGCCACCGTGGGAGCGTACAGTCATCATTGATCTTGCAGACACATTCTTTGTAGCTCTTACCAAAGAGCTGCATGCCGACCACAGCAAAAATGAAGACGATGATGGCCAACACTAAGGTGAGGTTACCTAGAGCCCCTACTGAGTTACCAATGATCTTAATCAGCATGTTCAATGTTGGCCAGGATTTTGCCAACTTGAAGACTCGGAGCTAAAAGCAAATATAAAGTTTAATGTTAATCACTATGAAAATCTTTTCAATGTTTCCAATCTTGATTTTTGTTCAAAGGGTAAAGCAGACTTTAAGTCCTATAATATTGTCATTATTATCCAGCTAAAATATTCTTATTTTTCATTTTCATCAATTTTCAATATCTCTGTTATTTTGTTCCACTTGCCACAAAAAATTACAACACATATTATGAAGAAACTATGTACTTTTAGTTCAGGATTGCTATAGAAACCTCTTATCATAATTTGTGATATTTTTCTTTTAGAATTGATAATTTATCCTTAATTCTACTTTCTAATACTTTCATACATTTTCTCATGCCGACACTTAGATAAAATCTAGCATATTAGAGGAATGTGCTTTAAAAAGTCTTTATTTGTTTTTATATTGTTAAGATCAGACAACAATTGTTTTGGGGGATAACAATTTGATCTTTAATTACCAAATTCATAAAGTTATGAACATATAATCATTGAAATTCTGTAAGCCACAAGCTTCTTACTCTGAAATAAATTATTGTACTATATTAATAGAAAATATTTATATTATATTAGCGTGTACTTCAAATTAGAATTGAGCATGTCTTCAAAAATTGTAAAAATATTCATGTGGTTTTAGTTCTTTAAGTGCATTTGTCAATGAATGGATTTTATTTTACTAGATATCAAGATATAATCTTGCCTTTTGATTCAAATTCCCAAAAGTTTTTAAAAATAATGCAAAACCAAAGAAATACCCCTTTATTATAGAATATAATGGCAACCTTAGTTTATGTTTACCAGTCTGAATGATCGCAGAACTGACAATCCTTCCACATCTGCTAGAAAGAGCTCCACTAAACTTAAAGTCACAATAAGGCTGTCAAAAATATTCCAGCCTACTTGGAAATACTCATATGGATCCATGGCAATCAGTTTTAATACCATTTCAGCTGCAAAGATTCCAGTAAAGACCTAAGTGAGAAAAATAATGTTTTTCTGTTAATATTAGAAAACAGGAAATCAACACAATGATAATAATCACTGTTTGCTTAGCATTTACTGTGTTCCAGACAGTTTGCTAAATACTTTATAAATGGATATTCTTATCTAACTTAGTCCTGTAAATTAGGTATTGCTCTTCCCTGGCTCCCATATCAGCATCAAAAGGTTGAAAAGCTCTAACTGTCCTGTCAGTGCTCATCATTTTTAGACAGCATTTTAGAATAGCATATTAAAATTTCAGAAGAGTAAAACATTTGGTAATTGACACAGTCACTATTTTCAAAGAATTTATGTGGGTCAAAAAGTTGTTCTGGAAGAAGATAAAAAGAAAACATAAGTTGATACTGAAATTTTGAGCCAGTCTTTTTTTTTCTGATCTGACTACTGTTAGAGTAATAAAGAACATGTTGACTCACTCTTTAAAGATTTATCAGCAGAAGAGAAAAAAGTATTTAATTGACAATGTGGCAGCTAAAGTAATACTTCTAAAGCTTTGACACAAAAGTGCATTGCAAAATATCATTAATTCATGATACTGGTATCAAAGGACTCACTTAAAAAGGCAACACCGAAATGAATCCTTTGGGTACACTTTGACTCAAGGAATCTGACCAAAGAAGATTCTAAGGGAAATGTTTAGGTCTATAACTGCAGGAGTCAATTTTCAAATAATGCAGGATCAAGAAGATTGGCAGGGAGCAGCTGGACTTGAGGTTGTGGTAATAGCTGTGACCAGGTAAATCCTTTCTGAGTTCACAGGGATGCAGTCGTCTCAGTGAGAAGGTACTTATTTGCAAGATCCGGATCTCCACCAACAATTAGAAACTAGATATTCCTGCCTTTTTCCAAAGATAAATAGAAGGGAAGAAGAATGCTAACTCAGCGAGCACATGGGGAAAAACATTGGGAATATTTGTAGACAATTTAGAAGAAAAGACAGACTCAGAAAAGAACTTCTGGTCTTCAAATGTCAATTTGTTTGGGACCACAGCAAAAGCAAAATTATCTTATATAGACATTGACAAAGATACCCAAAGTTATTCATGGTTTATGAAGAGTCATAAGCTGAGATTCTCTGGCCCTAAAAATGAACTGGTGCCTGCCTCACATCCATAGTCAAAAACTGGCATTTTGTTTACCCTGAGTTAGTGTGACCAGCACTGTACATTTTAGAGATCACTCTGGCATCAATTTTACTAATTGGATCTTATATCTTCCAGAAGTCTGTTGATCACCTTCTTGCCTATCCTTGAGTCTTCTATGTCCAGTTCAACCATTTTGGTTTCTCAAAATAGTTGTTTTTAAAGCTTGTTTCATTAAGTCTTTGAAGTTTTGATGACAATGATGTTGATGATGATGATAGCTTTAATTTATTGTGTATTTACTATATGCCAGGCTAATAAGCAGAAAGCATTTAATCCTCCCAAGAATATGATAAATGAAATACAGTTACAATTATATTATAAATAATTATTTTATAATGAAGTATTATTTTATAAATGATAAAATTAAATACTACAGAGTTAAAATATTTGTCCAAGGGCATATCACTCATATAATGCAGAATCAGCATTCAAACCCAGGACTTTGGGACTCTGAGGACCCAAACACTTCACTACTATTATGTCAAAGCAATACATCCATAGGTTTTCTGAAAATATGTGAGGTGTGTACTTACAAGAAAGCAGCAATGTAATTAGGAAGGTGTGAGAAAGAACCAAAAATGTTAAGTGTTGCTCCCAAGAAATATGCTGGCAGAAAAAATCATTATCAACTCCCAAGATGGTAACCTTTTATAGAAATAGTATTGTTATTTGTAGACCTCAACAGTACTGCACAATTATTTTAAAAGACATAACCAGAAACTTGACTCTACACATCCATTCATATGGAAAGTTCTGGATATGCATAATTCTGAGGCTGCAGATTCATCTGACATAAAAAATATGAAATGACAATGATGACAACTAAAAAGAGAAACTATGAGTACATAACACACAATAAGAGACTTACCAAATTTCCTATAGCAAGTACATTTTTGAATTCCTCAGTCATTGGGTGGTGTTCCATAGCCATAAATAATGTGTTTAAAACTATGCAAATGGTAATTGCAAGATCTACAAAAGGATCCATTACAATAAAATAGATACACTTTTTGAATTTTATCCAATATGGAGAGCAATTCCAGATCAAGAATTTGTGTGCAAATCTGTACCACCAAGGTGGACATTTTTGTCTGGACTCTTCAAGTTCTGGGAGAAAAAAGCAGAGAACATGGAGTCAGCCATTTGTCTGTTTCACTCCTAACCAGATACAAATCAGTCAGGCATTCTAATATTGAAACAAGGTTTATAGTTTAGATTTTGAAAATTTAACAGTACTATTTCAATGAAAGCATAGCCTCTTATGTAAGTCTATTATGACATGTTCGTTGCCTAGATGAAGCATAAGAGAGGGTAAGGAAGTGAAATTTATGACTGCAAGCACATATGTGGGCATCTTTCAGAGAAAAATGCACCTAACATGTGATGGTAAACAGGAGAACTATGTTTCCTTAACAGAGAAATGTATGTTTTCCACCAATATGCATATTTTTCACCTGTGTTTTTAGTCCCATGACAACAATAAGATGAGACTATTCTGTCCAGAAAAAACTCTTGCTGTAATAGTTCACAGGTGAAAACAATCCTAGAACCAAGCAACTAGAAATAATTTATGGAGGACTCATGAAATAGACATTTCACACCATTAGCCCATTTACTTCTCACCATTTATTTAGGAGATGAGTAGACACTTTGCCCCCACAATGGGAATGTGGGGGGTGAAGTGTTAGACCCAGGGACCAGGTGGGACCTGGGGCATATTGTCAGGGGAGAGGGTAGAAGCCAGCACAGTTTGTAAAGTTGTCACCCTTTGACTATCTTTGCTTATTAGAAGAGACAATTTTTGAGCGAATATGTAATTTGTAAGATTATATAGTGACAGAATCACGTAGCTCTGGGTTAACCTTGTTTTCTGCATCAATTACTATTAAATCACTTATCTTTGAAAGGTCAGATCACCCAACATCTGTCTTTGTGGGTTTTCTTTTTTTCATTTTGCAAAGTCATTTTTGCCATGTTATCAATGTCTGTGTTTAATAGCAAATAATTTTATCCATTTTTAAGCACATAAAAACAATTCCATCAGTATCCATTGGTTATCTTTACCATCATTTAAAACCATTTTATGGTCTCTGAATTCTTCCTAAGAATTTCATGTGCCTATTTAAGGTTGACCAGATTTATGTTAATTTTATTTAAGAATCTGTACAGTAAAAGAAGATTATTACATACCTTCCACAGTGTTTGTTAATATGCTTGCTCTACTCATTGCTCTCTGTCTGAGGTTGGGATCATTCAGCATATCCTCTGAAAGGAGATAGGAACTACAACGCCTTTTCTTGTGTATTTGATTGGTCGTGCCCTAAAAAAAAAATCAATTAATGTCTTAAGAACAGAATCCTAATAAATTGTAGGTATAAGATAAAATCTTGCTTATATAGCTGTAGTGAGTAATTAAAAGTAGAGCCTAGATTGCTGGGTTCAAATTATGGCTCTGCTACTTACTGGCTGTATATCATAGGAGAGCTACTTAACTGTCTCAGTTTTATATTGGTAAAATGGGGATAATCATAGTGCTTGCTTCATATTCTTGTGAGGATTAAAGGAATTAATATTTATGAGATAAAAAATAAAGCTAGCTGCTTTTTTGTTATATCATCACTATCATCACCTCTCTGCCTTTCTGAGTGTTCAATTTATTCAGATAGTTTGTCATGTGACAGTCCTACATGAAAACAGTGAAAGTGCTGTAGTGCTGTGTATCTAAAGGGGTAGAATCTCAGTATTCTCTGATAAATTTCTGGAATTACTTTTTATTGAGGGAACAACATTAATGAAGCTCCTGTAATGGTTGTCTCTTACTGCCAAGGAAGACCTCATGAACTGAGCAGAGCATATGATGATAAATGACTCAGTTTGAAAGGAACAATTAGTGAAATGGAGAATGCAAGCTACATCTGAAAGAGGTGACCTCTCTTCAGCTCTAGAAATTGTTGCCATGCAAAAACATGAACTCATGCATAACAAGTGTATTTATTTTTGTGAGAAAATGTCTTATTTTTAAAACTTGGAAACTAATTCAAATTTAAAACACTATGTTGGTTCCATGCAGGCCAGAAATACACACACACACTCACACACACATATATACACAAACAACTATACAACTCTAGATCTATCATGTTTGTCTGCTTGTGTGTGGTATGTGGTATATATTTTAAATATATATTTCTAGATTTGTAAAGTTGTATAGTTGTATAGGTATAGTCATGCATGTATGTGTATCAAAACACAGACATACAGGCATAGATATGTGCATGGGTGTATTATGCATCTATGTGTATGTGAACAGACACACCCATTTGAGAGATCTCTGTAAAAAGTCAACTTTTTGAAAAGTCTCGAAAACCAGGTTTTCTGTGCTATAGTCTGTCAAACAAGAATTTGTCAGATTAAACAAATTATTTTCCATGTAGACATGTTTCAGGTATAGAGATGACGTTATTAGTTATGCAGTGTTTTCATATAAACCATATATTGTGCCACAATTTTATGTTTACTGTATTTCCATTGTATCTTATAAGTATCCACTAATTCCTCTAGTTTTGTAGTTTTCACTTTAGGATTTATTGTGATACTGATTTTTCTATGGTGAAAAAACTCTTAAATGAAGAAACTTCATTAAAAATATGAAATAATCTCCTAATCTGATATAAATTATATAGTATTTTACATATTACACACATAATTGCAAAACAAAATGCAAGCAAAGTTTGATTCCACAGAAATTTAACATGCTCATTCAATAATGAAAAATACCTTGCAGAAGGGCTTAAGCTGTATCATGCACACATAGAGGTCACATGTTACCTAAAAGCACATGCATTTATTCAAATTGAAATATATGTGTGGCCATGGATTTGATGGAACTTTACTCTCACTTGAAATACTACATTGTCTGCAAATATAAATATATAAGCATGTAGCATATGTTTGAAGCTTATTGGGTTAGTCAAAGCCCTTGCTGATATTGGTAATGCAGCATAGCATAGTGAGTGGGCTAAAGAGATATCCTGGAAACTCCAGGAATGAGAAAGATCTCACTTTCAAGCCTAATCAGACACCTTTCTCTAACCACTTAGTGACTCGTAGACCTTTGGAACTGCTGTAAAATGATTGTTTTGCTTTTATGTTTGTTTGTGTCAATGCTTGCATTTCAGATATTTTGTTTTGATTCATAGACTCCAGATGAAATATTTTTTAAAAATGAAAACAGTTATGTTTCATTTATATGGAGGACCTAATACATAGCCATTCTAAATTTTTTCAAGATAAGAAGCCTACTGCACATTGGAGAGATAGCAGAGTGAGTGGTTAAGAGCACAAGATCTGAAACAGACAGCCTCCGTTTCAACTTAGGAGCTACCATTTATTAGCTGAGTAAATTGGGGCAAGTTGCTTCATTTCCCCATGCCTCAATTTTCCCATTTGTAAAACAGAGATAATAATGTATCATCTCATGGGGTTGTCATAAATACTAAATATGTGTTTGCTGTTATTAACAACTCAAATAAGATTCCTTGGAATAGGTACATATTAAGCTGTGACCTGAAAAAGATAGCAGTAGCTGGCAAGTAATCCAAATTTCTTCATAGAAATGGGATCTATTATTAACTAATATCAGCATTATCCTTGCATTTTCTGTACTGATATCTATCTATATATGTATCCGTCATAAATTGTTCTCTAAAGAGATTATTTATAATCTTCAATTATAAAATTAATAGACAAGTACCTTTTTACAAAAATGGGATTTTATCTTTGAGTTAGATGCCTACAACACATAGAATGAGGATTAGGCTAATGAATCAAAGGTGTGTTCCTATAGAAAAAGTATTGCAAAATGCAGAGCCATTCACAAGACCAGAGAAGGCCCTTCAGCAGAGAGACTGACTGATGCAGGAACAAGGGCCCAGCCATGCCTGAGCTATGTAAAACGTCCTTACGCTGTCATCAGAAGTTGCCTTATCTATTATCACCTCTGGCAGAAGCTGTCCATTGGGGAGCATGAGGGCTGAGCGTCCATCAACCAGGGAGACCACACCGTTGCAGTCCACAGCACTGTGCATTTTCCCGTTCACCGGCAGCATTGGTGGGGACCTACTGGCTTGGCTGATGTTACTGCTGCGTCGCTCCTGGGGTCTGTGGGGCACAAACAGTGAGCCCCTTCTGCTCTCATTGTCTCCAAAAATGCTGTGCTCATCATCGGCAAATTCAGTCTCAGATCCTATATCTCTTCCTCTGCCTTTGAAACTAAAAAGACTTGTTCTGCTGCTTCGCCTTGCAGAAAACAAGGAGCCACGAATGCTGAGTGGTGACTGCAGAAAAATTAAAAAAAACGTGGTTGCTGAAGCACCTACTGATAGAAGTACACTTCATATAAATACCACTGAACCCACTGGCCTGAGGGCAGGTGGCTCTGTACTGACTTAAAAGAAACATACTTAAAAACGAAGCAATTCAGTGAGAAGAAAACTTCTTCCACTTAAGGGATGAAACAATTTGTAGAATTCATCCTTTCAGGACCAGGTAAATTATTTGTTGCTATACAGCTCTCTAATATTCTGGCCTAGAGTTACTGCTCCATTCTTTTAATGCCATTCATTTTGCTGCACAGAACTTATAACTTAAAAAAAGAACTTAGTATTGCTACTGGTCATTCAACTTTTTATATATCAATCCCCAGGCTTCACAAAAAAATTGGAAATCATGCTGTATGGTTCTTTGCATTGAAAATCCACCTTACATACTAAGAGCTCAGTTAAAGTGTATTTAAAGAGAGCTTTTAGCACCAGTTAATTTATAAAGTCATTAAATATTTAAAAAGAAGTTGCCCAATACCAAAGAGGAGGAAAAATTCAATTCATGCTTATATGACTCATGTCCAGGGTGTAAATCCTTTGGAAGGATCTAGTTCAATAGACATTAGTGCTTACTATGTAAAGAACAAAGTGGCAACTATTGTGAACAATGGAAAAAGTATGGTAAGGTCTTTGCCTCAAAACCAGCTTGGACTGCTCCTGTCATATTTATTTTTATTGATATATGTGTCCAAGTTCTGTATCATCACCTAGGTTCAAGTGAAATTTTGAAGGCAGGGACTCTATCTTTTTTTACTGTGTATATCAGGAGAATCTTGTAGATTTTTAACTAGATTTTTAGTTTAGAAAAGTGATTTGTGGGGTTGTGTGATGGAAAACAGGGAAGACCTAAGGAAAACAGAAGCAATGGTTCATCTTGGGGATTTGTGCAGAATTATAAGCAGGGAGGCCTGAGAGATGAAGGTTTCAGTGAAAAGAGAAAGGGAAAGAGAACTTCCACATAAACAGAATTAACAGACTATGGCACTACATATTAGTAGTTGATGTGGTTGGGGGTGGAGGATATCAAAGGCTTCTCCAAAGTTCCAAATGGGTGAGTGATACTATTACCTATACTGTTTAAGAAAGAAGAGAAACTAGTCTAAGATTAGTTTTTAACCAATGAAGCATTACAAAACACAGACTAAATACAAATATAAAAGTTATTCTATAGTGTGAATGGTCTCTTTATTTCTACAATGGTTCTCAGGAACATTTTGCTTCTGAAAATTAGTTTATTAGAGAATATATTGACAATTCTGAAACTATAAGGTCTTTCAAAAATGATTGAACCCAAATGGAAACCTGTGTACATCTTTCCATAAATGCCTAGCGATACTAGGTTTTTACCTAAAATCATACCAATGAAATCACTCACTATCCTCTCCCGAGTTCTCTTACCCTAAAATAAGACATTTTTCTCTAGCATTCTGCCTCGGGTGATACACATTTAGCAATTTGGGTGGTACCTGATTGGGGGTAGACAACCTCTTTTCATGTGCTCGCCTATGCCCTTCGACACCAAGGTGGAAACTTTTTCTTCTGATGCTGTCCTCTGATTCTGATTTCGACAATTTCTCAGCATCTCCCTTTTCCTCTCCACTGGAGAGCTTCTTTTGATTCTTTTTCTTTCTTCTGTTTCTTCTTTCTTTAGCACTTTTAGAGCTCAGTTTGGATGTTTCAGAAGAACTCTCTGAGAGGCCCATAATTCTGCTTCTCCTAATACTTGTATATTCAGCCGCTGCCGCTGCAATTGCCTGGTTGGGCCAAGACGTTAACACTTAAATGAGTCATTTCCAAATCCTAGGAAACCCTAGGACAGGACATCTTTCACCTATTAGCATAACAACATGGTGCATATAATCATGTCCTTTAAACATGAAATGATCGTTTTCTTTACACAATGATCAGAATGCTTACAAAGTATATATTTGGTTTTTGTCTCAGGTTGAAATAAAGCTCTATTGTATTTTAGAATTAAACTATTACATGTTATTAATTTGCTTACAGTAAAGACAAATTAAATATTATATGTTAAAGTTTTACAAGGTAATTTTGGAATGTAAAACTCGCATAAACCATGCAATAAGACAGACAATTTGATTATCAGGCAATTAACTCCATATCATCAATAGAATCAGGCACTCTATGGTTTAATAAAGATTGAGTTATTTGAAAAATAAATGAATTATTAAAGCATAATATTGTAAGAAAGTGGTAAGGTCAATGACTATTGGCCTAAATGAAACTTCTGGGAATTCCCTAGGTAGTACCTGGGATAACCTAGTACTATCCCTTTACAAAATGTTTTGTTTATAAACACTAAAAAATTCTTGTAAAAACATGGGAAATAAAGATATAAATGAAAAACAGAAAAAAAGTCATCTTACCTCCCAGAAATAATTGGTGCTAATATTTCTTCCATTCTTTTTATATGTATGTATAATTTTAAAATTGAGATTGTATCGGACTATATTATTTAATCCATCATTATTCTAAAAGATTTTTCCTCATGATAAAATAATTTTAAAAAAACACATAGTTCTATGGCAAAATAATACTTTAAGATATACAATTTTCATAATTTTCTTAGTTATTTTCTAATTTTCCAAAATTTAAATTTTTTCTGATTTTTACCATTATTAAAATGCTGCACTGAATATTTGTGCATCAGAATTTATCTGCATTGCAGATGATTGCCCTCCCCTAATACATTAGACTCCTTGAAGAGATTTAACTAGGTGAAACCTTCAGACAAATGTTAAGGCAACTGCAGTACATTTGAAATTATGTTTCTCTTAGTACAAGCCTTCTCAAACATTTACACTGAAGAATCTCTCTGGAAAGAGGATTAAGGAGGAAACTTTCGAGAATCTATGACAACCTAAATTAGCCACACCAAAATTATTTTCTTAATATCTCATGTTTTATCTTAAAAATCCTTGTGACATTAACAAAACATGATGCACTGTTTTAGTCATACCCCATAGAAGAGTATCTGTTAATTTTAACGTTAAAATAATTTTCATGAAACCACTGTATACAATTGGTACTCTGGGGAAATCCATTGTGTGTATGTGTGTATATATATACATATATATATTGTATATATATATAAATTGAGATTATATATATATTATATATCTGACTATATTATTTAATCAATTATTCTAAAAGATTTTTCCTCATGATATAATAATTTAAAAAAACACATAGTTCCATGTGTTTATATATATATATATATATATATATATACACACACATTTATATGTATATGTGTATGTATATATAGACATACACACACACACACTAAGTCATTGTAGGTAAAAGGTTTAAGAGGAACAGCCTTAGATCACTTTTCATGCAGTGAGATGATTATGGGGAAAGTATCAATTCTAGCTCAGCCCAGAATTGGTTCCTTTTTCCACACCAGAAATGAGGATACAGTTTATACACAAAAATTCATTAAAGAAAATCTAGCTGGAGAAGGCCAAGCATATACCGCAGAGCCTCTGTTGTAACCGTTTGCATTTCTACCTCTAGGAAGAATTTTAAATCAAATAACAGTACCTCAGCTTCTTCTTGCTCTTTTTTAAGACGGTCTAACATCTGTTGAAATTCTAATTCTTTCTGTTTAGCTTCTTCAATGTTTGCCTGGTTCTGTTCTTCATATGCCATGGCAACCACAGCCAGGATCAAGTTTATTAGATAAAAGGAGCCCAGGAAAATCACTACGACAAAGAAGATCATGTAGGTTTTGCCAGCAGCACGCAGCGTCTAGGGAAAAATGGAAATTGTCATTTGAACAATAAAAAGTTTTTTTAGTAAATTATTTCAATTTGACAGGCATGAGCAAATCTGACAGTTTGGTATAATCTCATGTTATCAAAAATATAAAGAGAAAAGTTATATCTTCATGGAAAACAAATATTAAACACATTTTCAGTACGAAGAATATAGCAATGTAATATGCTTGTACTAAAGTCATGTAAGATTCTTGATTATTAAGTGTAGTAGTATAAAAATCATGCATTTTTTCCTACAGTCTGAAAATTACTCATAAAATTAAATCCTTTGCTCACTTTCAAATTTTAGGAACAGGTGATATCCATAGTCCCTTTTACTGTTAAAATTCTATCTTTTCTTTCTTTATCATCAAATATTAATAATATCATTGAATGTTAACACTAGGCAGATGGTCTTATTTAATTACTTTATTCATCTCATAGGTATTTTCAATTAACTTTTTTTTTCGCTTTCTTTGCTTTTTAAAATAGAATTTTTTTTCAAAATAGTTTTAGGATTAGAGGAAAATTAAACTGAAGGTACAGAGATTTTTTTTTCTTTTTTTCTTTTTTTTGGCATAACGTGCAGGTTTGTTACATGGGTAGACACGTGCCATGGTGGTTTGCTGCACCCATCAACCTGTTACCTACATTAGGTATGTCTCCTAATGCTATTCCTCCCTTTGCCCCCCACCACCGACAGGCCCCAGTGTGTGATGATCTTCTCATTGCCCATGTGTTCTCATTGCCCACCTCTCACTCATGAGTGAGAACATGCGTTGTTTGGTTTTCTGTTCCTGTTTTAGTTTGCTGAGAATGATGGTTTCTAGCTTCATCCATGTCCCTGCAAAGGACATGAACTTATTCTTTTTTATGGCTGCATAGTATTCCATGGTGTATATGTGCCACATTTTCTTTATCCAGTCTATCATTGATGGGCATTTGGGTTGGTTCCCAGTCTTTGCTATTGTGAATAGTGCCACAATAAACATATGTGTGCATGTGTCTTTACCATAGAATGATATGTAATCTTTTGGGTATATACCCAGTAATGGGATTGCTGGGTCACTGTCTTCCACACTGGTTGAACTAATTTACACTCCTACCAACAGTTTAAAAGCATTCCTATTTCTCCACATTTTCTCCAGCATCTGTTATTTTCTGACTTTTTAATTATCACCATTCTAACTGGCATGAGATGGTATCTCATTGTGGTTTTGAATTGCATTTCTCTAATGGCCAGTGATGATGAGCTTTTTTTCATATGTTTAAGTTATGGGATACATGTGAAGAACATGCAGGTTGGTTACACAGGTATACATGTGCTATGGTGGTTTGCTCCACCTATCAACCCATTATCTAGGTTTTAAGACCTGCATGCATTAGGTAGTTGTCCTAACGTTCTCCCTCCCCTTGCCTCCCACCCCCCAACAGGCCCCGGTGTGTGTTGTTCCCCTCCCTGTGTCCATGTGTTCAAATTGTTCAACTCCCACTTATGAGTGAGAACATGCAGTGTTTGGTTTTCTCTTCCTGTATTAGTTTGCTGAGGATGATGGCTTCCAGCTTCATCCATGTCCCTGTAAAGGACATGATCTCATTCTTTTTTAATGGCTGCATAGTATTCCATGGTGTATATGTACCACATTTTCTTTATACAATTTAACATTGATGGGCATTTGAGTTGATTCCATCTCTTTGCTATTGTAAATAGTACTGCAATAAACATATGTGTGCATGTGTCTTTGTAGTAGAATGATTTATATTCGTTTCGGTATATACCCAGTAATGGGATTGCTAGGTCAAATGGTATTTCTGGTTCTAGGTCCTTAAGGAATTGCCTCACTGTCTTCAAAATTGTTGAACTAATTTACACTCCCACCAACAGTGTAAAAGTGCTACTATTTCTTCATAGCCTCACCAGAATCTATTGTTTCTCAACTTTTTAATAATCACCATTCTGACTGACTTGAGATGGTATCTCATTGTGGTTTTGATTTGCGTTTCTTAATGATCACTGATGTTGAGCTTTTTTTCATGTTTTTTGGCCGCATAAATGTCTTCTTTTGAGAAGTCTCTGTTCATATCCTTTGCCCACTTTTTGATGGGATGCAAGGCTGGTTCAATATATGCAAATCAATAAATGTAATCCATCACATAAACAGAACCAATGACAAAAACCACATGATTATCTCAATAGATGCAGAGAAGGTCTTCAATAAAATGCAACATCCATTCATGTTAAAAACTATCAATAAACTAGGTATTGATGGAACATATCTCAAAATAATAAGAGCTATTTATGAAAACTCCATAGCCAATATCATACTGAATGGGAAAAAGCTGGAAGCATTCCCTTTAAAAACTGGCACAAGACAAGGATGCCCTCTCTCACCACTGCTATTCAATATAGTGTTGGAATTTCTGGCCAGGGCAATCAGACAAGAGAAAGAAATAAAGGGTATTCAAATAGGAAGACCGGAAGTCAAATTGTCTCTGCAAATGACATGATTCTATATTTAGAAAACCCGATCATCTCAGCCCCAAAACTCTTTAAACTGATAAGCAACTTCAGCAAGGTATCAGGATACAAAATCAATGTGCAAAAATCACAGGCATTCCTATACACCAACAATAGACAAGCAGAGAGCCAAATCATGAATAAACTCCCATTTGCAATTGCTATAAAGAGAATAAAATACCTAGGAATACAGCTTACAAAGGATATGAAAGACCTCTTCAAGAACTACAAGCCACTACTCAAGGAAACAAGAGAGGACACAAACAAATGGAAAAACATTCCATACTCATGGATAGGAAGAATCAATGTCATGTAAATGGCCATACTGCCGAAAGTAATTTATAGATTCAATGCTAGTCCCATCAAATTACCATTGACATCTTCACAGAATTAGAAAACTACTTTAAATTTCATATGAAACCAGGAAAGAGCACATATAGCAAAGACAATTCTAAGCAAAAAGAACAAAGCTGGAGGCATCAGCCTACCTGACTTCAAACTATACTATGAGGTTACAGTAACCAAAACAGCATGGTAGTGGTACCCAAACAGACATATAGGCCAATGGAATAGAATAGAGACCTCAGAAATAACACCACACTTCTACAAGCATCTGATCTTCGACAAACCTGACAAAAACAAGCAATGTGGAAAGGATTCCCTATATAATAAATGGTGCTGGGGAAGCTGGCTAGCCATATGCAGAAAACTGAAACTGGGCTCCTTCCTTACACCTTATACAAAAATTAACTCAAGATGGATTAAAGACTTAATGTAAAACCCCAAACCATGAAAACCCTAGAAGAAAACCTAGGCAACACCATTCAGGAAATAGGCATGGGCAAAGACTTCATGACAAAAATACCAAAAGCAATTGCAACCAAAGCCAAAATTGACAAATGGGATATAACTAAACTAAAGAGCTTCTGCACAGCAAAAGAAACTAACATCAGAGTGAACAGGCAAACTATAGAATGGGAGAAAAATTTGGCAATCTACCCATCTGACAAAGGTCTAATATTAAGAATCTACAAGTAACTTAAACAAATTTATAAGATAATTAACATTTCTATTAATAATTGTATAATGTAATATACTTTTATCATACAAAGCATTTTAAAGTGAATTTAGGATAGTATCAACTGATATTAAATGAAAAATAAGTCTTACCTCTGATGAAAAATTATTTTAATTTTTTTATTTGTGTTTCTTTAATTTTGAGTAAAGGTGACCACTTCTTGCATATTTAAAAAATATTTGCATTCCCATTTTTGCTGTAAAGTGCATCTTACATAATTTCCGAATTCATTTATAATATTCTCGGAAATAAAGTAAATATAAAATAGGCCAAAAAAGAAAAAAAAACAGATCTGCAGCTATTCTGAGAAAAGTGAATCATTGTTATGTGTACTATAGAATAATCATTTTGGTCTCCTTCCTTTTGGCTTGGCTGCTGAGACTATACAAGTAAATGGAGACCACAGCCCCAAGAGGTTCACATTCAAGTTAGAGGAAATAGCCACATGAATTACCACTTGCAATACAAGAGATCAATGATATAAATGGAAGAAAATACAAAAAATCATGGAAGTCTACAGTTGGGAGCAATTGATTTGGGAGAGAAAAACTTAGAGAAATGAATTGCATCTTTAACTTTAAATAGGAGTTCAAAAATAAAACATGGTGAGCAGGTGAACATCAGAGAGCCTCTTCTCTTCAGGCCATCCCAAGCACGCATGGAAAACAGTCCATGTGCAGGAGCAGCTTGAGAAAACATTACAGTATGTCCTGGTACTTAACTAGGACCCCATGGGATGATATACTCAGGAAGGCGAGAGATCTAGAGATTAAATATGCCCAGAAAAGATAAGAAAATTATTTATGATTCGAGAACTACCCATATTATTAGTGATGGGAGTAAAACACTTATAATTTTGGTAATAAGATAATAGAGTTTCCTCCATTCTCAAATAAATAAAAAACCTCCTAATACAGGCTCTTAACATACACCAGGTACATATGCCATTCAAAAATACAATGCATGTTTCTCTTGGTACTCACCTGTTGGTAAAGGTTTTCCCAGTAATCTTGGGTCATTAGCCTAAACAAGGCTAAGAAGGCCCAGCTGAAAGTGTCAAAGCTCGTGTAGCCATAATCAGGGTTTCTGCCAATTTTCACACAGGTGTACCCCTCTGGACACTGACTACACACGAGAAAGAACATTATAGGTGAGAGTGTCTTCAGGACACAAGCTAAATAGCCTTACTGAAAAGTTACAAACTCAAGGTTTCTTCTATAGGGGGACAATATTGAATAAGGATTAAGAATACATGATTTGGCTACTGACTACTTAGTGACTTTACCAAATTCTTCAAGGCATAAGTCTGTCTGTGAAAATAGGATAATAACATCTACCTCAAGAAAATAAGACTTGTAATAAGTTTAAATAAGATAATGTGTACAAATTACTTAGCTTACATCCTGCACATAGAAAGTGTTTAATAAATCATAGCTGCCATTAGCATCATCATCATTAAAACATGGAAATTTTCAACAGACGTTTTGTGATAGTTCTTGGTTCAGTAAATATTGATATGTAGGCTGTTACCAAAGCTCTTTCTGTCTGTATAATTCTTGGAATAGATTAGAGTCAATAATAGTCAAAATATAGTAATTGTCTAAGTTCATAAAAATGTGCAGCTTTAAGACTTTTTTCTTTCTAAAATTGGTGGACTGGTTTTTCCTGATGCCATTAAATAAATACAATATTCTGAGATTCTTCTGGGAACAGCAACCTTATCCAGTTTATTCCTATGTTGCCAGTGTACACAGAGCCTGATGAATAGATGTCTGCATAGGGGGAAAAGCAAGAGCTTATGCAGCTGATGCTACAAAATGAAGTTGGTGTAAGAGAGAAGCAGCAAGATGGACAGTTGAATATATACAATATTCTTATATATACAATATTCTTAAAATATGTGTACCCAAGTCCAAGGAATCCCTTTGCTTAGAGTGGCCAAAACATGACATTCAGTCACCTATGAGTCACATTTAATTGGAGAATGAGTGGAACTTGGGAGTAGAAAGAAAAATAGACTTTGTGACTCTTCGTTTTCCAGAAAGAAGACCTGAAATTATCCAACCAACTTTTGGTGGAGTTTTCTAGAAGTAACATTTTCTACCTTCTTAAGATTTATATGACTTCTGTCTTGTGTTAATTCGAGCACTGTCTCAAAGTCTTGCTTTCAAGAGTATGCATTAACTGTGAACATTTTAAAGACTGGATTTGCTGTGGGACAGAATGAGTCAAATAATACCATGAAATATATAAAAAGCAATATAGAATCAAAGACTAATTTGCAAACTGACTGAACATTCTTTTCCTTCTCTTTCAGCCTTTAGACTAAAAAGAAAACAAATATTACATACCCTGAATCTGTGCTGAAACCACAAAGGAGAGCATCTTTGGATCCTTCCAAGTAATAAAAATATTCTGTTGAAGAAGAATTTGAACAGTTATAACATCACAGACTTTAATCTGTGATTGTGATAAAGGAGGTAAATTAATTGATATAGACATTTATCTACAAATTCAGGCCTGGTCCCAGGCAATATGCATCCATTTATTTACTATTTTCTCATATATTCTCCCTCAAATATTTATTGATAATCTCTTAGAGGCTAGGCAATAAACATGACAATAAACACGATAAATAAAATCATTAGTTTTATGAGACCTCCTTTATGTTTAGGTGAGGGTGGAGGTTGTGGTTGGATAAAAATTTAAGTAAATAAATAAATATACAAGATATTTTCAGATAGTGATAAATGATCTAAAGAAAATAAATTAAGGCAACGTGGTAGGCTGCAGTCAGGGACGGTCTTTCTAAGGAGATGATATTTAAACTAAGACCTAAGTGTGACAAAGAAGACAGCCATGAAAATACTGGTGAAGAGATATTTGGGCTGGGGGAAGAGAAAGAACTAAAGCCCTAAGGCAGAGATGAAGTTGGTGTGTGGAAAAGCCAGCAAGATGGCCAGTGTGGCTACAGTGTGGTGAGAGGGAGGATTGTGATGGCAGAGGTAGGCAGGGGCCGGATCATGTCGGAATTTGCATATCATAGAAATGAGTTTGGATTTTAAGTATGATTAAAGGTACGGTCATGTGTCACTTAATGACTGTGATACATTCTGAGAAATGCATCATTAGGACGTTTCGTCCTTGTGCAAACATCCTAGGGTGCACTTATACAAACCTAGATGGTATAGGCTACCATACACCTAGGCTATGTGGTATAGCCTATTGCTCCTGGGCTGCAAACCTGTAGAGTGGGCTACTGTACTCAATATTGTAGGCAACTGTTATACAATGGAAAGTGTGTATCTAAAGACAGAAAAGGTACAGTAAAAAAATACAGTATTATAATCTTATGAGATCACCATTATATATATGGTCCGCTATTGACTAAAACATCCTTATGTGGTACAATACTCCGGAAGAGGCAGACTCAGTAAGGCAGTAACATAAGTGAGTAAAATTTGTTTTCTAAAATTATCTTACTTTTCATTCACCAGTCCATACTTACTTAGGACCTACTAATTCTAGGTGTTGAGGAGATGACAATGTAATCAATGCAGATTTTCCATGTTTCACCTTTCATGGTATTCTTTGTGCTAATTTTTAGTAGTAAAAGTTCTCATCAACTCTTCTGTCATTTGCTGTTAAGGCTTGTTCCTAAGACTGGGGGCAGATCTATCCTTGTATAGTAAATGTTTAAATGACTAAAAAACCTTTTGTCATCTCTCTTAAATATCTATTCTACTATAAGAACCTGACTTCCTATTTTACTCAGGTCAAATTAAAAAATCTGATTATTGGGAGACTTTTGGAGTAATCATGGAAGAAAGACTATGAAATCAGATATTCTTGGATTTGAATGTTGCTTCTATCCCTTCTTAAGTAAGTGAATTATCTTTAAGCCATTAAGCCTTAGCTGCTGCATCTGTAAAATACGTATAAGAATACCTACTTTATAAAGTTGTTAAATAGTATAAATAGGATATTGCATGTAAACCACTTGATACTGTGATCCACACATTCTGTACTAGCTGCTCAAAAACAGGAGTTATTATAATTAGTTAAACTATTATACAATTTGAGATAAAACTATTGATTGAATTACACATCATCATTTTATCTTACTTAGAAGACACAGATAAAACAATAAAGCCTTGCAGTTTGAGGTGCAAATGTAGGTGAAAATGTGCATGAAAAGCTTTCCTGAAAACACTCCTGAACCTCGGGAAGGATGGGCCTGGTAGAGTGAGTATGGGAGAGGATAAGATGCAATTTTGCATACATAAACATCCAAAATATTTTAATAAGGATGGATTACTTTAGAATTATCCTTTAAACTAATGCTGGTTCACATTTATCAACCACTGAGGAGCTGAATTATATGAATGGGCTCTGGAGCTGTCTATTAGCACACTGCTATACTACTGTATTTAACACAGTATAAGAATGATGAAAGGTAAAGCAATGCAGGTAGCTCACTCTAGGTTTGTAGAAAACTTTACAATAATTTCTAAACAACTAGACATTAAATTATTAAGATGGTTGGCTTCAAGAAGATTTAAGGTTAACATCTTTAAAAATGGGAAAAAATTGAATGCAAAGAAAAATGAAATATTGCTTGTGCATATTCAAAAGTGGGATGATTCTGAAAGATAAAGAATGAATCACGGCCGGGCGCAGTGGCTCACGCCTGTAATGCCAGCACTTTGGGAGGTCGAGGCGGGCAGATCACGAGGTCAGGAGATCGAGACCATCCTGGCTAACACAATGAAACCCCGTCTCTACTAAAAATACAAAAAAATAGCTGGGCGTGGTGGCGGGCACCTGTAGTCCCAGCTACTTGGCAGGCTGAGGCAGGAGAATGGTGTGAACCCGGGAGGCGGAGCTTACAGTGAGCCGAGATAGCGACACTGCATTCCAGCCTAGGCGACAGAGTGAGACTCCATCTCAAAAAAAAAAAAAAAAAAAAAAAAAAAAAAAGAACCATGACTCAGTAATCCCACTACTAGGTATATACTGAGAACTGAAAATTGAAAATGTATTTCCACAAAAACTTGTACATGAATGTTTACAGCAACATTATGCATTATAACCAAAAGACGGAAATAACCCAAATGTCCATCAACTGATGAATGTATAAACAAAATATAGCATATACATACAATGAAATATCATTTAGCAATAAAAAGAAATGAAGCATAGATACATACTATACCATGGATAAATTTTGAAAACATTATGCTAGGTGTAAGAAGCCAGATACAAAAAGCCATATATTATATGCTTCCATGTATATTAAATCTACAGAGTGGGTAAATCCCTAGGGACAGAAAGTAGATTAGTGGTTGCCAGGGGCTGGGAGAAAAGGGAAATGGGGAATGACTACTAACGGGCCCTGGGTTTCTTGGTGGGAAAGATGAAAATATTTTAAATTAGATAGTGGCGATCGTTGCACAACTCTGAGTATAGTTTAAAAAATGAGTTATACAGTTTAAAAAAAGGAATTTTGTGGCATATAAATTATTCCTCAATAAACCTATTTTTAAAAGGGAATGCAGCATAACGGCAAAGGTTGTGGGTGGGGGTAAATAAATGCCAACTTATCACTAAAATACGTATGGGGAAAATGAAAATTGATATAACAAAAATACAGAATTGATATTAAATCTAATGAAGATTCTGGGTGAAGTTTTTAAATTAATTTTCAAGATTAATGTAGCAAAATAGAAAAAAAAATGGTAATTCTGCCCTTGCTCAGAAAGACAACTTATGACAATTGTGTATGGCTTGGGCCTATGGAAGTGAAGAGTATATCCCCAACGAAGGGCAAATAATGCAACTCTGAGAAAACTAGTGCAGGGGATCAGGACTGGGCAGAGGGCCTGCACATGATACTCTACACTCTGGCAAATGTAGTTCTCACAAGAAAACAGCTGTAGATGAAGGAGATAGGAAAATTCCTGTTAGTAGTGAAGGCCAATATTGCGGTTTTTTCAAAACTTTCTCTATTAAATGTCAAATATTAGAAAAACAGGAGGAAGAGAATATCCTGTTTTAGCCCAATATAACCACAGTATATTTCTCCATAATACTGCACATTTAGCTACACACTGTGCACATGAACCCCACTTTCATCTGTAGCAGCATAAAAAAGTGTTTGATGAGCATCAAAGTAGACAGCAACACCAAAGGAAATCTACAAATTGTATGTTTTTCAGCAGGAGGTGAGACAGTGGGTTAATTTATTTGATTGTGAATTTGGAAAGGCATTTCGGAAAATACTTTGCTATAGGCACCAGAAAATGCTTTTAGATTATGCTCAGGTTCTCTGTGTAGATTGCCTTTACCATTATAATTCCTTGATCTTTTAAATATTGCCAATTCATTTGCCTTAGCACTTTCTCATGATCTATCAACCAAGTTCTTGTCACTCTTTGTACAGCTTAAATCCATGGGCATTCATTATCATCAGTGCCTAACCTGGCAGAACCACAGTCTACACATAATCTGGCATCTGTCTTTTCCATGCTGGCTACCAAATGGCTGAATGTTGGTGGAGAAACTCTCACAACCAAGTGAATGGTTATATTTTAAGTAAGTAATCTCCAACATCAAATTTGCACTCAAAATACACTAAATTTCTCATGCCCTGATATGACCATATATATAATGCATTCTCATCAAATCATCTGTAGAATTTTCTCTTCCTCATTTGCACTCTCAGGCAATGATCCCATCTTATACTTTGAGGAAATAAAAACCATTGGGTTTGAACTCAATCATCTTTTGATAACTCTGCAGTCTTCTCTTCTATCTTTCCTCCTGTTTCGGTGGAGCTGTCGCTCCCCTTTACTCTTTCACTTTCACGAGGACTTGACTTCTCCCTCTCTCTCCTGAATTGATTCATATATAACTACTCATTCATTATCACTAGCAAAACATCCATACAAAAACCCATATATTTTTTTAAATGCCAGCCATTTGCCCCATTATTCTGCTTCCCTTTATAGCCAAATTTCTTGGGAGAATTGTCTACACATATTACCTTCTTTCTGACCTCTTCTTTTCACCCCTGTATGCACCTTATTCTTACCTTGAACCCTACCACTTACCCAAATTTTCTCAAGAAATTCTCTGATGACTTCCCTGTTACTTAACCTAATGCATATTTCTTTCTTCATCATCCTTACTCCTTGATCTTGCAGCATGATTCTACACAAGCACATCTGTTTCTACAATATGTTTTCTTCTCTTGGCTTCATTATTTATATCTTTGCTTCTTACTTTATTGGCGGCTCTTTCTCTGTGTTCTTTTCTGGGTCCTCTTTTCTACCTGAATTCTAAATGTCAGAGTTGTAGATCTTGGTACCAGATTGCTTTAAATACCAGGTTTCCCATTCTCTATCTACTTAAAAATATCAGGGATGTTCAGAGGTAGAGGTGTGTGTGTCCTTTCTTTTTGCTGATTGCTCTGGAATTTATCTCCAAACTCAGCAGGCCCTCTGATTTCTATACTTAAATCTCCAATTCTCTATATTATATATCCACCTGGACATCTCAAAGGCATCTCATTTTAATTTTAGCTAGCTAATAGTGACCTTCCTCTACAAATGTGTCCACCATTTCCTCATTAACCATCACCACCCATCCAGTTATTGCAGCCAGAAACTGAGAAGTCATCCTCAATGCTTCCTGTCTTCTTTAATCCATCAGCAAGCTCTACAGACTTTGTATGTTGAGCTCATCTTTTTTCTCTTCATTTCTCTGCCATCACTCTAGATGAAACCTTTATTTTCTCTTGCCTAGATGAGAGAAGCAACCTTCAACTTACCTTTCTTATTCCCATCTACCATCTACCCTTGCTCAATCAGTTGTGCACAAGACAGACAGCAATAAAAATGACTGCATTTAAAATAAAATACAAACTCCTTCCCATGGGCTGAAATGTCCTGCATGATATGACCCCTATTTTTTCTGCTACTTTCTCTGTTGCCATTCTTCCTTTCTCTTACCAAACCACGCTGCTGTTTTTCCATTCTTTAAACCCATACCCTCCCTTTATTCAGGACCTTTGCCCATGCTATTTCTCCTAATTGAAGCAGCACCCCCCACACATAGACTCACACCCACACTTAAACTATTTTATGGCTTCTTACTATCTTTTAGATCTCAGCTTAAATGCCATCACCTCAGAGATGTCTTCTCATCTAGTTGATATCTCAGCACCTGAGACTCACTTCCTTTGCATGGCATTTATTATAACTTGAGATATTTTTAATTTATTTGTCTGTTCCCCCTTAAACATTTTTTTTCATTCCCACTAGATGATAAGCTCTGTGAAAGCAAGGGCTGAGGCTATCATTTATTGCTATAGCTCAGGGAAACCATGTAATAAACGCACCAATAAATGAAAGTTTGAATCAATTATGCAGTCAAAAATGGCTTCTATGACATAGGAAACAGAAGCAAAATTCAGACTTGATTTAAACACCTCTTCACTAAAACTACATTTCAGAAGAAAATAAAGAATAATGTACAGATTTGGAAGACAGGATTGTGGTATAAGATTCATTATTAGCTAATTGTCATGCATTCATGTTTAAATATAATATAAAGATAATTCACATAACTCAAGGGCTCTATTATTATTATTAATTTATTAATTTATTTATTTTTGAGACAGTTTCGCTCTTGTTGCCCAGGCTGGAGTGCAATGGCACGATCTCGGCTCACCGCAACCTCTGCCTCCCGAGTTCAAGCGATTCTCCTGCCTCAGCCTCCTGAGTAGCTGGAATTACAGGCGCCCACCACCATGCCCGGCTAATTTTTTGTATTTTTAGTAGAGACGGGGTTTCTTTTTTTTTCTTCTTTTTTTGTATTATTTTTTAGCAAAAAAAAAAAAAAATACATGAAGCAATTCCAGAAAGCGATGAATTAAATTAAATTTGATTAAAGGCTGTCTGTGTACATAGAGAATTGCAATCTAACTTCATATGTAAACAAATTGCATTCTAATCTATTAGTATATTCTTGTAACAAGTAGCTGTCTCAGCCAATCACAGCAGCTGAGCTTCAGCCAACCACAGCCTGCTGATTTATCAGACAATGTCCACATAAGGCAAATGTCAAGCTATAAGCAATCAAGCTGTTTTTGTGCGTCACTCCCTTTTTCTGTCTATAAATACTCCTGCTCATGTTGCTGAGTTGAGCTCTCCGAACTTCTCTTGGTTCTGAGTGCTGCCTAAATCATTATTATTATTATCTTATTTCAGCAATAAATACTATTTCATTGCTGAAATAAGCTGCTAAATTTAATTTGTTGAAAATTTTTCTTTTAACAAAGGTTAAGAAAACCATTCACAGTATAAACTCAGAAATAGGAGCAAGACTCAGAATAAAAGGACAGATCCCAGTGAGAAAACTTAAGTTTAAATAAGTGTGGTAAAATAATCTACAATATTAAATGTAAGTTACTCATCAGATATATTAATTTTACAGCATATAAATTAAGAAATAAAATTCTCCATCCATTGGAAATAAGTTTCAAATCATGTTTGTAACAATCAGAAACTGGAAAAGAGGGTAAATATAAAAAGAAGGGGAAAATATGCTAAATTCCTCATCAAATGGTGGTAGTAAAAATATATATGCTAAACATTTTACTTCAAAACTTTCAGTTTTCTTGTTAAGGCTTCTATTTTTTTCTGTCATTTTATTTATAGTCTTTTACCATGTGGGCTAGGTGTTATTTGATTTTATTTATCACAGTGAGTGAGAAAGGACACATTTGGTAAAATAAGAAAATGATGTATATTACTTTTTATTATCTAAGGAGAATCCTGACCTTTCCTCCCTCATTTCCTTTTGGCAACAGCACATATATTTGAAAGGTTTCGTGACTTCCATACCACACCTGGGTCAAATTATCTATTAAGATTTATGTATTCACGTGGGCACCATCAGATAGATACATTCCAGGTGTCAGACAGAAAGTACAATCTTGATCATATCTTCATCCAATATTCATCAACCGTTCCAGTGAGAGACACCATGCTAGGGGATAATTGTTTAGAGAACATTCAATTCATGCTTTATGTAAGAAACTCTAATTGATACTTCTGAATTAAGCAGACTTCTGAGAGTGCATACAGATGATCTCATGTGGTACCTACAGAAATAATTCTACTGAACTAAACTTTGATATCTTGCCATCAGCCTATATTGAAGGAAGCCATTAAAAACAGCTATGAAACTCGTCATTGGTTACAAAGTGGATGTTGATAAAGCTGAGCAAATGATTTTGCTTTGTACAAATCTTTAGGAATACTATCAAGATACAGATACTATCTTTATATTTGATAATTAATATTATCATTATATATGATTAATAGAACTTTAAGATGTTATAGTTATGAGTACAATCTATTAAGTATAAAAATCTATCATAATAAATATGTCACATTATATATAATAAATATAAGTATGTACTATATAATAAAATTATATAAAATATATAATCTATTATATTGTTAAATGTAATGGTTAATGTTATTAATTCAAGGCTACATTTATTTCTCTAGAGAAAATAATTCTTTTTTATGATATAGAAATTAGGAATTATGGAACTATCCTGTGTTCCTTTTGCCAGTACTGCTAGATAGCTTAGAACCAGGATGATTTATGAAAATCATATATAACATGACCCAAATTCACACTGTAGCAGCTTTCTATATATTTGAATAGCTTTGAAATGATTAAAATGAAAGCAACATTTCATTATTAAAAGAGAGCAATGTTTTTAGCATTATTTCAACCTAATAACAAATGCAAGGACATTCTTACTTCTAAAGTCTTCTTCACTCTCTAGGGTATTCATTATGCTTTCTAATGTTTCATTATTTTCAAGTGAATTTCGAAAACATTTATGCTTCAGGTTTCCCATGAACAGCTGTAGTCCAATTAGTGCAAACACACTCAGACAGAACACAGTCAGGATCATGACATCAGAAAGCTTCTTCACTGACTGGATCAAAGCCCCTACAATTGTCTTCAGGCCTGAAAATGGGAGAAAAAAGTGTTTGTAATGACATAAAGCCTCTGAATCGAAACAAAAAACACAAGCTTTCCTAGAAAGTCATGCATTATATCAAATCAATGACCTTAAGTAACCTAATTCAAAAAAAGCCTTCTGGGTTTGCTATTTTATATATACTTTGTTTTTATATATTACAGCAAATGGTTAAAAATAGGAACATATTCTCAAAGAATACCTAGGTTGTCAAAATGAACAATTTGGCTATTCAAACCACTTTAAAAATAATTTTTGTAAGTTCTAATGTTTGTCAAACAAACCACTTCTCTATAAATGGCACCAAAACAAATTACAGCATATAGTGACACCTTGTAATAATTTTCAATAAAGAAATGGTTTGCTGAGAAAAAATAAAAAACAATGTCATGCAATATCCCCATGCTGATATTTATGATCTCTTTCCTAAGTATTTTAAAATCAATTAAAATGGATTGAAATTTTCCTTCCTGTATAAGCAAATGGAAAAACAAACCCTCAGACAGGAGGGAAGATTTCAAGTTGAGATGTGAGCCAAGTAGTCATCCTCATCCTAAAGACCCATGCAATTGATTAAACTCAAAGGTTGACTTTTGATAATGATTGTGGAAAACAGAAGAAATCAAATTTAATTAAAATTGCATAAAGAAAGGTTTTTTTTATGTCTTTCTTTCAAAAGATCAAAGTCAGCCCTGGTGTTTAACCCCACTCTCACCTGGAATGACTGAAATTGTTTTCAATGCTCGGAGAACTCTGAATGTTCTCAATGCTGAGACATTGCCCAGGTCCACAAACTCTGTCACATATCTGTAATAGGGGAGTTTATACACACAGTGACGACACACACACAAACGAACAAAGAACAACTCCCAAATAGTTGGAGTTATGAGTGGCCTAATGCTTCACACCAATTACTTCTTACCTGGGATTACAGAAATAGTTTTCAAAGCTCTCAATACTCTGAAAGTTCGAAGAGCTGAAACATTGCCTAGGTTTACAAATTCTGTTAAATACCTGTAGAATTAAATCAGAATTATTCAGAATTTAGATAGAGTCTATGATACTTACCTGAGCCTTTAGTCAAGGTATTTTCTACGTTTGGGGCTTCTATTTTAAATGTATAGTTCTGCAAGTCTTTTTTGCTATCATAACTAACTTAATTTAATTAGCATTGATTTGACTCATTTGATGCAAACAAAATACAGATATTATATATTATTAAATTGGATTCATACACTTAAATGCGTAAACAACTAAATGTTTCAATTGTTGGACCCTTAACATTATGGTAATTTAGACTTTTAATTTTTTATAAAACATTGAAAATAGTATGCTAAGTGTCAGACACAAAAGGCTGCATACTGTTTGATATTTCCATTCATAAAAAAATCCAAATAGACAAATCCATAGAGATAAAACATAGATGAGTGGTTTCCAAGGGGCCAGGGAGAGAAGGAAATTGAAGTGACTGCTAATGAGTACAGAGTTTCTATTTGGGGTTGTTAAACTTCTCTAATTAGGTAGTGGTGATGTTGCGCAAGTTTGTCAATATACTGAAAAACACTGAATTGTATACTTTAAAATTGTGAATTTTGTAGTATTTGAATTGTACCAATAGGAAAAAAAGGAGACCTATGAGAAGAGGCAGTCTTCTTTGCACAATGTTTTCTTAGCAGCAGGTAGCAGATGGAACTGCCCCATCATATGTGACCTCAAAAGGAGGGAGCCTGATGGAAAAGAGGTTAGGCAGGGATGAAGGAATCGGATATTAGGAATCTTAAGACCCTTCTGTATTGTCTAGGTGGCTCCAGTGAACCTGGATTACTTTGATAATTCAAAGTCATTAACGGAAAATAGAATATCTAGATATGAGATTGTAAAAATCCATTTTTCTGATAAATACATTTGGGAAAAGAGTAACAATTATGAATAAATTAAAATTATACTGTAATGTAATATTTTCCTTGAAAATAAACTGAGTGTATATATAATGTGTATACAATGCATTAATCTTAGGCTTAGTAAGCAGTGACAGCTCTTTTACAAATATATACTTTTATATTTTAATACAAAAATATAAAATAATTGAATAATACAGGGTAATATAAAGAGCACTGTACTTGTATTTAAAGGCCTGAGTTTTTTGTGTGCTTCTTATAGGTTTTATTCATTTTTAAACAAGAACTTGGAAAAAGTGTAAACCTAATTGGCACTGCATAGACTATCCATCCAAGTGCTGAGCATGGAGGAAGATGATCAATCTCAATGATGTCACATACCTCTGAGTGGGAGATAGTCTTTTTGAAAAATTTAGTATTTGCCTATCAATGACTAGCTTTCATATAGCTTCCATTTTCCTTTAAATACAGACATTCCATGCTGGAAAAATCAGACCCCAGAGGTTTGCTGTTATTGGAACACTGTGCTGCCTGAGATTTTCATAAATTTGCCGTTTCAAAAAGCTGAAAGTACTTACGCAAAAACAATGACGACAAAATCCAGCCAGTTCCACGGGTCACGAAGAAAAGTGAATTCTCCTACACAGAAGCCTCTTGCAAGGATTTTTACAAGTGATTCAAAAGTATATATTCCAGTAAAAGTGTACCTAAACACAAGATTCCATTGGGATACTAGATGTGAAAAGAATACAACCACCATGTAAATCTTTATAACTTATTTTCTCTAATTAACCACTGGAAGACATATATTGGAGGATGGCTGTTGGGTTATGGACACACCCTATTAAACTACAATAGGTCTATCCAGAAAATATTAAAATGTCAATATCAGAAACACTCCCAGAAAGCAGAGGTACTTGAAATAACTAAGAATATAGGTCTCAGATCTGCCTAAAAATTTCCTACATTGCTTCTATCAAAAATTCACCCAATCATTTAAAAATACACCCATATAATTATAAAACATACACCCAAGAATAAAATATGTGTAACATGTCTAAGAACAGGATGGAGCATCTGACAAGTTCATTCTTTGAGAAAACACTGTAGCATCTAATTTTTCTAATCTAGCAGGTTAATATCATAGAGGAGGTAAAGAACAAAAGAAAAGCAAGCATATAACATGGGAAGGTAAAGATTCCCCATCTTCATAAATGCAGTAACTTCCTGGCAGGAAAAGGAAAGGATGAAATGATAATACCAAAACTATATTAAAATGTACTTATACCCACTTACTCGACATTTTTGGTCCAGTCCGGTGGGTTATTCATGGTCATAAATATGCAGTTTGTCAGAATAGTGCACATGATGAGCATGCTGAATAAGGTAGCTTAGAATCAAGGAACAAAAGAGACGACAGTGGGAATTTGAAATATTTGAGGATGACACTTGTTGAAATGCTTACAACTTTTCCTAAGAAAAAAATTCTAAATGAGCTTGTAGACTATTTTGTCTCTTTGAACAAGAGAGTAATAAATAAAAGTAACATATCCTAAAATCTTAATATTGCCACTCTCCCAGTCTTCTCTGAGACCCATGACAAATTATATTAATAATACTGAAATTAATAAACTAAAACCAGAGTCTTTCAAGGTGCAAAAGGTATAACATCTATATTTGAATAAAATAGCAAAAATTACACCATAAAGTGCCACTGGATGTAATCATTTTTAAAAGGATATGAGTGTACTAAAATCTTAATAGATATTCTTCTTAGAGGACTGAAAGGAGAAAGCATATATAAAGCAGGTGTGGCATTGAAACGGAAGATTGTTTTCCCTTTGTTCAATACTATGAAAGTCTGCAGGAGGAAAAAGAAAGGATGAAATTGAGAATCCAAAATATCAATTTTTCACATCAATATCAGCAGTTTACCTTTCTACATGGCAGTGTTATATTGAAGAAACACTGCCATCAGACTCCAGCAATGTGGTTCCAATGTCATCAACGCATCTATCAATGTCACCTTGGCCAATGAACTCCAAGTCCACTTCTTCATAGTAACTTTAAAAATTGAGCTATTTGTTAGCATGTATTGCTTAGAGCTTTCAAAATACTGTATTTCATATTTTTCATTTTCTTTCACCAGTAACAATAACTGTGGTTAAGTTATTTTAAAGTACAACTTCTTTCCCTTCCATTACACTGCATTTTAAGAAAGCCAAATAGAAACTAGCTATCTCTAATATTTTTATCATAAAACCTTGAGAATTTTAATACTTGCTGGCAATTGTTATGGTTAGCAGCACATGTTCCAAAATATGAGTTATTTCAAAAAATATTTTCCTAAGTTGAAGGAACGTCAGAGTTGGAAGAATCCTTCCAATCACTGAGTTCAATTTCTTTATTTTAGTTATAATACTAATATTAGCTTTTAAAAGGGACTTAAATTAAGAGGATTCCTCACTTACTAACCACGGTAATTTAAAAAACGATATGAATAGAAGCAAACATTCTTGAAATGTTATTGTAGCCATTCCATAAGTGTCCTTTTCCATAGCTTTAGTATTCAGTTAAGAAATAAAAACAACCAGCAGTAACAACAAAATATTAAAGCAACCTAAAGCATTGGCTTAGAAATCAGAAAGACAAAGTTCAAATCCCAGCCTTATTTTTCTCCGGTTGGCAGGAAGATGACTTGTGTTAGCTGAAAGACACTGACTTTCTAAATTTTATATAGGGTTATCAGTGGGTTTCTGGCAATAAGCATTTCTCACCGTATTCAGGAGGTAAGTCTGTGAGTCAGGCTTTTTATTTGTATGCGGCAGCGTTCCCTCAAGAAAACAAATCAGAGTCTATTGTTTTCAGGTGTCCTTTTATTTTCCTGCTCCCTTTCACTGTATCAGTTCTATCTAAATACAATTTAATGTAAAATTCACTTTTACATGGAAAATTATTTTAAAATTAATACCTAGTCCTCAAGTACAATCCTTTTTGTCTTAAATCTCAGTAGACTGTATTTTTAAAAAATTATTCATCCATTCTTTCTGCAATTGTATTGACATGGTTTGGCTCTGTGTCCCCGCCCAAATCTCATTTTGAATTGTAATCCCCACGTCTCAGGGGAGGGACCTGGTGGTAAGTGATTGGATCATGGGAGCGGTTTCCCCAGTGCTGTTCTCATGATAGTGAGTGAGTGAGTTCTCATGAGATCTGATGGGTTTAAAAGTGCGGCATTTCCCTCCTCTTTCTCCCTCTCCTGCACCATGTTAAGATGTGCCTTGCTTCCCCTTTGCCTTCGACCATGATTGTAAGTTTTCTGAGGCCTCCCCTGCCATTCAGAACAGTGAGTAAATTAAATCTCTTTTCTTTATAAATTACCCAGTCTCAGGTAGTTCTTTATAGCAGTGTAAAAATGGACTAATACGGCCGGGCGTGGTGGCTCACGCCTGTGTTCCCAGCACTTTGGGAGGCCAAGGTGGGCAGAACACAACGTCAGGAGATCGAGACCATCCTGGCTAACACGGTGAATCCCCGTCTCTACTAAAAATACAAAAACAAAATTAGCCAGGTGTGGTGGCGGGTACCTGTAGTCCCAGCTACCCTGGAGGCTGAGGTGGGAGAATGGCGTGAACCCGGGAGGCGGAGCTTGCAGTGAGCCAAAATCGCGCCACGGCACTCCAGCCTGGGCAACAGAGGGAGACTCTGTCTCAAAAAAAAAAAAAAAAAAAAGACTAATACATGTATAGTCAGAAACTATATCATAACAGGTAATGAAAAGGAGTTTGAACAAAAATAAGGCATGAGTTTTGTATTCAAGGAACTTCCTAGAAAAATGAAAAGAAGAAAGTAACTAATATAAGGCAAGATGTGACAGATATCATACAGAAAAATATAAAGGGGGAAGAATGAGAGTGAAGAGGGAACAGGGTCACATGACTGTCAAAATTATCAGGGAGACTTTATAAACCGGAGGTCATCTGAGCTAACATGAAAAATCACAACATACTACATAGTATTGGCAAGATCAAGTTACCTTATACTTGAAATTTTAATAAAAAGAATTGTTGGTATTTTAAAATTGAAATTAGCAATTTTCATTCTCATTAAAAACTTTTAAGTGATTTTTGGGTCTGCATACACATGAGAGTTAATTATTAGCAGGAAAAAATAGGTATGATTATAAAATTTGGCAGATCACTGTGTCATGTCCAAAAATGTTATGCTAAACAATTATACTAAACAATGTATACTATGTTATACTAAACATTATACTAAATTTCACAATTGCTTCAAAGAGAATAAAATACCTAGGAATCCAACTTACAAGGGATGTGAAGGACCTCTTCGAGGAGAACTACAAACCACTGCTCAAGGAAATAAAAGAGGATACAAACAAATGGAAGAACATTCCATGCTCATGTGTAGGAAGAATCAATATCGTGAAAATGGCCATACTGCCCAAGGTAATTTACAGATTCAATGCCATCCCCATCAAGCTACCAATGACTTTCTTCACAGAACTGGAAAAAACTACTTTAAAGTTCATATGGAACCAAAAAAGAGCCCGCATCGCCAAGTCAATCCTAAGCCAAAAGAACAAAGCTGGAGGCATCACGCTACCTGACTTCAAACTACACTACAAGGCTACAGTAACCCAAACAGCATGGTACTGGTACCAAAACAGAGATATAGATCAATGGAACAGAACAGAGCCCTCAGAAATAACGCCACATATCTACAACTATCTGATCTTTGACAAACCTGAGAAAAACAAGCAATGGGGAAAGGATTCCCTATTTAACAAATGGTGCTGGGAAAACTGGCTAGCCATATGTAGAAAGCTGAAACTGGATCCCTTCCTTACACCTTATACAAAAATCAATTCAAGATGGATTAAAGACTTAAACATTAGACCTAAAACCATAAAAACCCTAGAAGAAAACCCAGGCATTACCATTCAGGACATAGGCATGGGCAAGGACTTCATGTCTAAAACACCAAAAGCAATGGCAACAAAAGACAAAATTGACAAATGGGATCTAATTAAACTAAAGAGCTTCTGCACAGCAAAATAAACTACCATCAGAGTGAACATGCAACCTACAAAATGGGAGACAATTTTCGCAACCTACTCATCTGACAAAAGGCTAATATCCAGAATCTACAATGAACTCAAACAAATTTACAAGAAAAAAACAAACAACCCCATCAAAAAGTGGGCAAAGGACATGAACAGACACTTCTCAAAAGAAGACATTTATGCAGCCAAAAAACACATGAAAAAATGCTCATCATCACTGGCCATCAGAGAAATGCAAATCAAAACCACAATGAGATACCATCTCACACCAGTTAGAATGGCAATCATTAAAAAGTCAGGAAACAACAGGTGCTGGAGAGGATGTGGAGAAATAGGAACACTTTTACACTGTTGGTGGTAAACTAGTTCAACCATTGTGGAAGTCAGTGTGGCGATTCCTCAGGGATCTAGAACTAGAAATACCATTTGACCCAGCCATCCCATTACTGGGTATATACCCAAAGGACTATAAATCATGCTGCTATAAAGACACATGCACACATATGTTTATTGTGGCATTATTCACAATAGCAAACACTTGGAACCAACCCAAATGTCCAACAATGATAGACTGGATTAAGAAAATGTGGCTCATATACACCATGGAATACTATGCAGCCATAAAAAATGATGAGTTCACGTCCTTTGTAGGGACATGGATGCAATTGGAAATCATCATTCTCAGTAAACTATCACAAGAATAAAAAACCAAACACCGCATATTCTCACTCATAGGTGGGAATTGAACAATGAAATCACATGGACACAGGAAGGGGAATATCACACTCTAGGGACTGTGGTGGGGTGGGGGGAGGGGGGAGGGATAGCATTGGGAGATATACCTAATGCTAGATGACCAGTTAGTGGGTGCAGCGCACCAGCATGGCACATGTATACATATGTAACTAACCTGCACAATGTGCACATGTACCCTAAAACTTAAAGTATAATTAAAAAAAAAAATTAAAAGTAGTATGCCAATGCCAGAGCCAATTTCAATGAAAAATTTGAAAAAGTACAGATTCTGAATATCCTATATATATATATATATATATATATATATATATATATATATATATATTTAATTTAACATTCTGGTCATGATATGGTTATTCACTAAATTTCACTAATCTCAATTTAAAATAATTTTTATACAGAAGGAAGCCAACAGAAACTGACCACTGAAGTCAAAATAAACTCACCTTTTTGTCTGCATAGTAGGGGTCCAAGTCCTCCAGGGGCTCTGACACCATGCCGGGAGGAATGTCCCCATAGATGAAGGGCAGCTGTTTGCCAGCTTCCAAGTCACTGCTTGGCTTTGGGGCTTCTTCATCATCATCTTTCTTTTCTTCTTTGGGTTCCTTTGATTTTCTTTCAGCAATGCGTTGTTCAATGAGGGCAAGAGACTGTTTTGTGAAATGGACAAAGCTCTGAGGTCCTGGGGGAGGCAACATTGCCATCTTTTCATCCTGTATATTTTAATTCCTCTTCAGCTCCTCACATAAGAGGCCTGGATGGAAACAAAGAAATAAAGACTTAACTATTTGCCTGCCAAGAAAGGCCCATTAAAAACTAATAATAACAACATAAACAGATTTTTAGTTTCAACTACAAAAGGTAACATGTTCTAGAATTATCAGCTTGTTAAGGGATTACTATGTGTCAGGCAATGGGCGGGACTTATCTTTCGTGCCTTCTAACCATCTTTATACTCAGAAATTTGAAGTTTACGCTTCATAGCTTTAAAGTAAAAAATGACAATTTTCTGAGTAAATTTTCCTAAATTCCCCTTCTTTTCGTCTATATTTACCTTTGGTGCAATTCAACTCAACTTTCCTCTTTTAAAAGTCTTTATGATAATGCCTTTGGTAGCACCACTCTCCAGCCTGATGCTGTTTTACCAACTAAACTTATGTAATATTCTAAATCCTCTGCTGTCACTTCAACAATGTTCATAACATCTTGACCAGGAGAAGATTCCATCTCACGAAACCACTTTCTTTGCTTATCAATCAGAAGCAACTCCTCATCCATTCAAGTTACCGCGAGATGGCAGCAATTCAGTCACAATTTTAGGCTCCATCTCTTAATTCTAATTCTCTTGCTATTTCCACCACATCTGCAGTTCTTTCCATCACTGAAGTCTTAAACCTCTCATAGTCATCCATGAGAGTTGGAATCAACTCATTCCAATTTCCTATTAATGTTTGTATATTGCCCTCCTCCCACAAATCATTAATGTTCTAATAACATCTAGAATGGTGAATCCTTTCCAGAAGATTTTCAATTTACTTTTCCCAGACCCATCAGAGGAATCACTATCTATGGCAGCTATAGTCTTATAAAATGTATTTATTAAAAAATAAGACTTAAAAGTTGAAATTACTCTTTGGCCCATAGGCTACAGAATGGATAGCGTTAGCAGGCATGAAAATAACATTAATGCCCTTGTACCTCTCCGTTAGAGCTCTTGAGTGACCAGGCACATTGTCAATAGGCAGTGATATTTTGAAAGAAATCTTTTTTTTTTTTCCTGAGCTATAAGTATCAACACTGGGCCTAAAATATTTAGTGAACCATGCTGTAAACAGACGTGCTGTCATCCAGGCTTTGTTGTTCTATTTATAGAGCACAGGCAGAGTAGATTTAGTATAATTCTTAAGAGATTTTCTGAATGATTAAATAATATAATTATTATTTAATTTTCTGAATAATTAAATAATATAGTTATTATTTAATTTTCTGAATAGTAAAGAATATAATTATTTAATTTTCTGAATAGTAAATAATATAATTATTATGTAATTTTCTGAATAGTAAATAATATAATTATTATGTAATTTTCTGAATAGTAAATAATTATTAATATTCTGAATAATTAAATAATATAATTCTAAGATTTTCTGAACGATAAATTAGCATTTGCTTCAATTTAAAGTCACCAGCTGCATTATCCCCTAACAAGAGAGTCAGCCTGTTCGTTGAAGCTTTGAAGCCAGACATTGACTTCTCCTTTCTAGCTATAATATATTCTTCTAGTAGAAGGCTGTTAGACCTTCATTGCAAATCTGTTGTTTAATGTAACCACTCTTATCAATGATCTTAGCTAGATCTTCTGAATAACTTGCTGCATCTTCTCCATTGGCACTTGCTGTTTCACCTTGCATTTTTATGTTATGGCAGTGACTTCTTTCCTTCAATCTCATGGGGTACCGTCTGCCAGCTTCAAACCTTTTTTTTCCAGCTTCTTCACCTCTCAGCCTTCATACAATTGGAGTTATGGCCTTGCTGTGGATTAGGCTTTGGCTTAAGGAAATGTTGTGGCTGGTTGATCTTCTATCTAGATCACTAAAACTTTCTCTATATTTGCAATAAGGCTGTTTTGTTTTCTTATCATTCATGTGTTCACTGGAGTAGCACATTTGATTTCCTTCAAGAATGTTTCCTTTGCATTCACAACTTGGCTAAGTACTTAGTGCAAGAGGCCTAGATTTTGGCCTATCTTGGCTTTCAACATGCCTTCCTCACTAAGCTTAATCATTTCTAGCTTCTGATTTAAAGTGAGAAATGCGCAATTCTTCCTTTACTTGAACATTAGGGGTGGGAATGGGTTACTAATTGGCCTAATTTTAACATCGTTGTGTGTCAGGGAACAGGGAAGCCTGAGGAAAGGGAGAGAGATAGGGATGCTGAAACAGAACACGTCACATTTAATGATTGTTTGCTGTCTTATGTGGATGTGGTTCATAGCACCCCAAAACAATTACCACAGTAACAACAAAGATCACTGATCATAGATCACCATAACACATACAGTAATAATTAAATAATGGCAATTACAAAGTTGAAATATTGTGAGAATTGCCAAAGTGTGACACAGATGCATGAAGTGAGCACATGCTGTTGAAAAAATTACGCTGACAGACTTGCTTAATGCAGGGTTGCCACAAACCTTCAACTTGTAAAGAATGCAGTATCTTGAAGTGCAATAAAGTAAAGCCCCATAAAATGAAGTATGCCTGTATTTTGATGGAAACCAAAGTTAGGATAAAGGTTTTTAAAGAATGTAGTGAAAAATAAGGGATATTTCATATACACATTCAAAAGTAGGATGATTCTGAAAGGTAAAGAGTAAGTTATGACTCGGCAATTCCACTACTTGGTACAGACTCAAGGGAATTTAAAACATATGTCCACACAAGAACGTTTACATGAATGTTCAGCAGCATTATTCATACTAGCCAAAAAGTAAACACAACCTCATTACTCACCAATGAATAAATGGATAAAGGAATGTGGGATATTCAAACACTGAATTAGTATTTAGCAATAAAAACAAATGAAGTATAGGTACATGTTACAACATGGATGTGATGAAAACCCCGTGAAAGAACACAGAGCCAAAAGGCCACATACGATATGATTCCATCTTATGAAATGTCCAGAATAGGCAAATCCCCAGAAACAAAATGTAGAGTATTTTTTGTCAGAGGCTGGGTGTAATAGGAAGTGATTATTGATGGTTATGTGGTTAATGGTTAAAGAGTATGGGGCTTCTTTTGGGGTGATAAAAATATTCTAAAACTACATAATGATGATTGTTGCATACCTTTGTGAACATACTAAAAACCACTGAGTGATACACTTTAAAATGGTGATTTTTTATGGTGTGTAAATTATATCTTAATAAAACTACTATGAATATGCATTAAGAATTTTGAATCCTAAAATATGTGAAAATTGTCCTCAGAATAGGAAGAGATTTAGTAAAAAGGAAACAAATCAATGAATCAAATCAAAGCAGTTGCCACTTGTGCTTTGGAGATTCCTCAACACTTTTGGAAATCATAAAGGTGAGAAGACGGGATAACTTGCCTCACTAGACTTTCAGTGTAGACATACTGTGGCTCTTGAAGAAAAGTTGGCTTGAATAACTGGTGTTTTTGTAGATTCTACATTCAACTGGAGGGTACCATCTCTTTCAAGAATTATTTGACAGAAATCTAGGTACAAAGATGTTGTGAACTCAGATGTCCATTACCAGTTTGATTCTTCCAATATTCCTATTCTCCTCTGTCTCTGTCTCCCCCAACCCCCATGCACATGCTCAACACAGCTCCAGAATGACTAAAGTATATGAAAAAAGCAGAGGCAAAGGGTGGTCAATGCTAGTGGTACCATGCATGGGCAATATTTCCCTGATCAAGCTAAATTAAAGGAAGACACTAAGCACCTGCTTAACATCATGATCTGTGAAATGGAAGTTGAAGAGACCTTGATCAGATTTCATCATCATCCTCTAGTTTGGAGAGGTGAAACTTCCTTTCATTTTACTAATTTTATAGCTTTGAAGAAGAGCAGCTTTAGTTGGCATCTGAGTTTGCTTGGAAGTTATTGTACCAGGCCAGTGGGGTGGCAAGATGATAGGCTGACAGGGTTACAGAGGGCAACATAAGTAAAAATGGAGCCTCACACTTCACCAACACACACAAAGAAGATGCAATGATGGGGCAGGACCTATGTGTGACTACAACTTCTTTCCTCTTCCCTTAGTCTTCTGGATAAACAGGCCACAGGAGTTTTCATTAGTCAGGCATTTAGTTTAAGATTTGAGATTTCTGGTGGAGTAAATATTTAAATGGAAAAATAAAGCTCAAACATTCTAATAAAAGTGAAAATGAATACTTATTTAATGTGAGAGTAGAGAGGACTTGTAAAGCATTACACCAAAGGCAAAATCGAAAAAGATAAAGAATGCTAGATTTAATCTCATAACAATGAAGGTTTTTAAAAGTGGAAGGCATCCACAAAATAAAAAAAGTACAATACAAATGACAGATGAAGTGCTTTTCCTTTAATGAATAAAGATATTAATATATCTCATAAAATTTAGTAAAAAACATAATTATCTAAAAATACAAATGGTTAATAAACACTTGTAACCATGTCAAACCTCACTAGTAATCAAAGAAACAAATATTAAAATAAACATGGGGAACCAAATTTGGCCTATTAATCATTAGCAAAGATTTTAACAAAAGTAATAGTGATATTAGAGAGGTTATAGGGGAAATCAGTGTTGCCTGTCTGGATGAAAGTAATAAATAATGTGTACTGTCTGGGTGCGGTGGCTCACGCCTATAATCCCAGAACTTTGGGAGGCCCAGGCAGGCAGATCATGAGGTCAGGAGATCGAGACCAACCTGGCGAACACTGTGAAACCCTGTCTCTACTAAAAGTACAAAAAAATTAGCCAGGCATGTTGGCAGGCGCCTATAGTCCCAGCTGCTCGGGAGGCTGAGGCAGAGAATGGCGTGAACCCAGGAGGCGGAGCTTGCAGTGAGCCAAGATCGTGCCACTGCACTCCAGCCTGGGCAATAGAGCGAGACTCCGTCTCAAATAAATAAATAAAGTGTACAAACTTTTTGAGGGTAATTTTGTAATATCTATCAAAAGCCTTAAACACGTGAATTCGTTTATATTGCCAAATAATTTTCCTTCTAGGAATTTATTCAAAGACAGTAATCTCAGGTGTCCTCTAACATGTATAAATATATTTACTACAATATTTTTATAATATTGAAAAATTATAATCAATCCAAAATCCTAACAGTAAGGGTTACACTAAATGAAGTAATGAATGTATAATGAAATAATGAGCAGCTTTGAAAGAGAGCGTTCAAAGACTATTTAATGAATTAAATGAATTATAAAAATATAATGCATAATAAGTGGAATCCAGGTTATACACACAGATAGATGTAAATTAATAATAATTTTTAAAATGATATTTAATTTAAATACACAATGCATTTAACAAAGTTTAGCCCTAGTTAAGAGATTATGGATTATTTTTATGTCTTTATACTTTACTTTTCAAATTTGTACAACGAAAATGTCATGTTTTTCTATCCAGAAGAAAGAAAATATACTTTGAAAAAAATCATTTAAAATTATTTGACCTAATTTTATATAGTCAATGAAATCAATCAATATTTATTCTTGTCATGTTTAATTTACAATTTTGAAAAATATATTGCTACATTTCCACTTTTATTAACATTACTATGATTGTATCTTCTTTAGAATGAAATCCCAATGTTGCATATAAAGGCAGTACTTTTGTTTTCTCATTACTATCTTACCCACTCACCATTAATCTCATATTAGAGAATACTTAGGCAACTACTAAAATTAAAAAATGAATGTGTTATTCTTGTATCTAAGATTTCCTATAGTTAAAATCAATATGGAAATATTTATTCTGAACTCTTTCTTATTTTCTATGTATGCAGACACACACATATATATAGATATGTTTTATCTATGCTTATCCATCTATGGATCTATGTCTGTCCAAATATCATATCATGTATTTGTCTATCTAGCATCTATTTTTCTTCACACATCTTTCCAGTCAAAGCAATGTCAGCTCCCAGTTCATGAAAATGGTCTTATCCCATGTGTTTATCACACTCTCTGGCCTTCAAATTTCCATTGCAGTAAAAACAAAGATGTACAGTGGCGAAATGTTAGATAATATCACTAAAAACCAGAGGAAGACAAAAAAAGTTATCATAAATCATAAGATTACCCTAGTGAGGAGATCAAAGCAGAAGCTACAGTCTAGAACACTCATCTGAGAATGTTAGAATTTCTTTCTAGCAGAGAAGTCACAGATTTCTATGGCAAATATGTGATGTAGATCAGAAAACAAGTTGATTAATCCATGGATTATTTATTCAATAATGTTGCAGAAAACATTGTCCCACTTCCCTCTCTATGTTAAATATGTAGCAGAGTGGTTTATCTCCAAGCTATCACCAAAAGGATAATATCTGCATTAATTAAGGTAGGACTCCTAGGGTATCCATGTCCATTTTAGCTAGAACCAGGGTGGAGTCGAGGGAAAGGTGACTCCCTTATCTACTCCTCATCCATACATCCTAAAATGTAGCCTGCCTGTCAGTACACCATACATGTATATACACAGACCTTTCAGTCATCCCTCTCTTTCAAGAGAGGATTTGTCTGGGAAACAGACCTGTATAAAGACAGATGCAAACCTGGCCAACACCAACCTGGCCTTTCTTCCATAAATATTAATAGATTATCAAGAATAAATTGGTAATGAAGATCTACCAAACATAAAATTGAAAGACTAAGATGAACAGACCAAACTTTTAACTTTAGAAAAAAAAAAGCAAACATTGTGGGATATTGAGAAGTTAAAGTTAGTATTCCTAGAGAAATTTGAGGAGACAGAGTATCTTTTATTAAAAAAAAAAAATAGGCTACCAAAAACAACAACATCAATTCTGGGTAAAGGTCATGCTTTGTGAAACAAAAAATTTCAGTAGAATGCTTGCTGAAAAGGAGAAGTCATAATTGTAGTTACCTTTTACTTTACCCAAAAGGGGCACTTTACCAGAATGGGGCACCAGTGAGCATTCTCAGGTGCTAGAAACGTTCTATACCTTGATCTATGTGATGGTTACATGGGAAAATATGTATATGTAAAAATGCATGGAGTTCTATATCTTAGATTTTTCTATATATTTTAGGAGAATTTTAAAAATTAAAAAAGTACAAAATAAAACTTAGAAGATACAGAATAATCCATGTTGTTCGACATTAGTCTCAAGAGAGCAGCAAATAGTAGATAGGAAATAATAAACAAAGTAATGGCAGAAAATTCACCAAGAGTCATCAAGCTAAAAGTACAAAAGAAGATCAATTTAAAAGTTCCATTCTTGTGAAAGTTTAGAGCATTAACAATAGAAACAAGATTTTATAATCTTCCAAAAATAAGATAACTAACTAAAAAGAATGAAAATTAGATTGCCATTAAAATTTCCTTAGCCATAATTGACACTAGAACACAATCAATGCTTTCAGTGTGATGAGAGAAAATATTTTGAATCAAATTCTATTATCAGACAACCTATTATCAAGTGTGATGGCAAACAAAATATATTTCTAGGTATAAGAAAATTCAAAATTTAACTCCTTTTTATCTTTTTTTTTTAAGTTACTTTGGATTAAGGTAGAGCAAAAAAAAAAAAGTACTTCTAAAACACATAGAATACAAGATGTTTCACAAATAGTGTGAATAAAAGCAAAGGGAATTTGTTTCTTTAGAACGTGTAAATAGCCATATTGTCCAAATAGGAATCAATTCAAAATGAGGCATGAACTTGAACAACTGGTAGAATTGAAGCAGAGAGGATCCACTTGAGTTTGATGTGTTCTTCAAGTAGCAGAGTTTGAATGAGAGGTTTAAATTCCTCCTCTAGATCAAACCATGTTACTTGTTTTAAAATGAAAAATACATACATAATTATAATATTGTTAAATTGTATCAGTTAATCATCTCACAAATGTGCCAATTACCAAAGCATATATAAAATGTAAGTACAATTATAGAACTTTATTTACACAAAGACAAGATATACACATATATGTGTTAAATATTATCAGTGTAAAAGTAATGGAATAGCTTACAAAAATTGAGAGGTAGAGGGGGATTAGTGGTGAGGGAAAAGTTGGAGAGCTGACCCCTTATCTTACATTGAAGGCAGTTAGTGCATCCTGGCTAAAGTTTAAGTAACAAGAAATAGAGGTTCAGGTATATTCCATTTAAAGGTATAAATCCAACCCATAGAATTACTTAGAAATGAAAACATAACTGCTTGGAATTTGAGAATGGGGCAGAAAGAGAAAAGTTTACATAAATAAAATAAATTCCTCATTTTCAAATTAGAAAGTTAGAAAACATTACATAAGTTGATGAAATAAAAATGAGACATAAGCATATTATTTAGAGATAAAAAGGAAAATATCAGAAAAACTTTTTTTTAAAAAAGCGGGAAGTGATTATTCCCTAGATAATGGCTTTAAAGGGATAAAGCAAAAATTGTTTGAATTAGTTACCATGTGCATTTGTTAATTTTATAATAGTTATTATTATGATTAAAAAGCTGTAAAATAAAAGAAGATATTATACCTCTCTCTTGAGCCAAAGAAACCAACAAACAGCTGCTTAAGTAGAAACTGTTCTGTTACCTTCACTGGGCTTGAAAAATATGGACTGACTCTACACCTTTCAAACACCATATATTTAGATACATTATTTTGATCTCTTTCAGGTAAATTGGAGACAATTTGCAATTCATTTTTATTAATATTTCTTCTTCAAGGGACCATCTGACACACTGCAAACACTCAAAGTTACAGTAAAGATTGTGTCTTCTACTTTCTCTGCTTAGATGAATACTGAACACTTCATTGGGTGCTACCAATGGCTGGCTTGCTGAATGCATGGTTTTCAACAATATCAATCTTCCTATTATCTGACACCAATTCTTCCATAGTGAGCTTTGAGATGTGGGCATTACATGATACTTAATACCAATAACCCACAACACAAAATTAATGTTTTATTATCTGCTGTTTTCCAAAATACTACTGTTTTAAAATCCCTTTCACTTATGTTAGGTAATGTTAAAAATGCAGCTAAGTATCATTTGTCTCTATGGTTGTCAAGAGTGTATATATCAGAATGCAGGTATACTCCACTGTGGCTATTGACCAGGGTATACAAAAAAATCATCTGTGTAACCTAAAAAAATACAGATGCCAGGGCTTATCTAAGTAATGCTGAAATAAAAGTTTTAGGGAAGAGCATAAGCATGTCTACTTTTAAAAAGCATAAAATACTAACGTGAACCCTCCATTTGATTTTGTTAAATCAAAAATATCAGATGAGTACACATACATCAATGACCAGGTTTTATTATTCAAAAGGAGAGAAAAAATTCAATTCAAAAAGTAGAAAAGTTTTTGGATTTTGTTTGGTTTGAAGACAATGAATGTAAAATACACAACTTTAAAGTTAACTATTTTAAAATTGGAAAGGATAAACATAAATTCCATTCAATAGACCAGGCACAGTGGCTCGTGCCTGTAATTCCAACATTTTCGGAGGCCAAGGCGGGTGAATCACTTGAGGGCAGGAGTTCAAGAACAGCATGGGCAACACAGTGACACCCTGTCTCTAGGAAAAGTACAAAAATTAGCCAGGCATGGAGCTGTGCACCTGTAGTCTCAGCTGCTTGAGAGTAGCTAAGGTGGGAGGATCACCTGAGCCTGGGGAGGTTGAGTCTGCAGTGAGCCATGATCACACCACTGCGGTCCAGCTTGGATGACAGACAGAGACCCTGTCTCAAAAAAAAAAAAAAAATCTATCAATTCAATAGAAACAACACATATTTTGAACTCCGAGTCTCTATTATGTTCAATTAAAGAAAGAAGAGTTGGAATGAGGGGAAAAACTGAATGAAAAAAATGGAAGTTGAAGGAGAGAAGGAAGATGATAAACCAAAAAGGGTAAAAAAAAGTTTTTCAATGTTTTAATATTTACTTTTTAATTCTCAACATTTTAAGCATCATTCATGTCACTTATATCACTTCATTCCAATTATAGCCTGGCAAAATCTTTTTTTTTTTTTTTTTTTGGTAACTCTTATTCTCTCCAAGTTCTTTTGAGGCATGCAGTGCTCCTCCTCAGAGTTTTGCTCATACTCACTCATCCCTCATCCTCCAAACCTGTCAGCTCTAAAGCATCCTCAGTCAATCTGTTGTCAAGCAATAAGCAAGAAGAAGGAAGAACTCTTGATGCTGTAAAATAATCAAGAGTTACATTAGGTCTTTCCTAGCATTTATTTTAAAACGCTGATCTTCCAACTTTCAGGAATGTGTAACAACATTCAAAAAGAAAGGACAAAGATACTAAAAGAAATAGATTTATTTTATCAGCCTAATAACTAAAAATTTGTATTACTTTATGAAACACTACTTAGAAAACACTTTTTTAAAAAAAATTTCATTTTATTTGAGTTTCTATAGTTTCTTCTTAATTTGGAGCTTTTGTAAAATCTTTAATATACAGCTCGATTTCCATTTGATCCAATGTAAAATGAATAAAATCCTTCAGCAACAGTTACAATATATATCATGAAGTGTACTTCTATTCCATACAGAACAATTCACACTGGTTTCAGTGGCTCACAGGTCAATAATCATCTTGGCCTTTCCCATTACAATTTGTGCTCCACATTTTAGAGCTGTTGACCCTGTGGAGATGACATAACCTCTCTGAGCCTAAGATTCCTAGTTTGAAAAATTGAGTTAATAATCATGCTCCGAAGAGTGGTTTAGATTGTGATGGTTAACTGTATATAAAGTGCTTAACAGGAAGAGTTTTGCACATAATGAACACGTATTCATGGAGCTCATAAGATTATTAACTTGTCTCATCCTTCTATTTTAATTCCTTGCTTTGGATAATTTTATCATGCTTCCATAATTAAAATATATTAATTATATTAAATGAGGATATTTCCATTTATGGGAATGTATTGGCCTTTTAAACATGAAACATTTCATATGAGCATGTAATATTAAACAGAGATTTAGTTTAGAGTAGTGAGTCTAGGACAAGTTCAGGAGCTAGAAAGCCTGGGTTTTGAATACTGGATTCACTACTTACTAGCTAAATGATCTTGGACATCCCAGTTAAGCAACTTTTCTGATTCTAAAAATGTTGAGGCATTTAGGACATTATTTATTTTGTAAAATGTAATTTTAAACAATACAAGAGTATCCCTAGAATGACTGTTGATTGCTCAAAGGATTGGGTCACTGCAGAATTTCCTTTCTTAAGAAAATTCCCATCATTTCACCTTTGTTGTTTTGAACTTTATATGAAGACTTGCAAAATATTTTTTAATTAGACAAAGTCATGTGGCTCAAGAACTATCATTAAGACTTTTTTCTTTTTTATTCATTGAATATTGCTGAACAGGGTCAAAAGCAAATAAATTCCAACACTTGGTTTATCTTCTGAGAAACATTTAAATATCATTAATGTAATCTCTGAACAGAATACAAGAATGATCCCTTCCTTCAAGCAAAGAAATATTACAGTCTCTCCAGAGTTTTAGAGACTCTGTGTGCCTGGTATGGCTCTGAACATACTATTTGGAAAACGGTATTCTTGAAGTCAAATATTGGAAGCAGACATCAGGAAAATTATTTGGGGGACTTCCTTTCATCCCCAAGGTACTATGAAAACCCTTCACATAGGGAAAATCTATAGGATGAGGTGGGAAGTGGGTTTCCCTAAGTGTTCACAGTAAAAATTGTAAATCCTCTAAAAAATCACTGAAGTAAACACCAACACTAATTTTTACCTAATAACTAAAAGGAAAAAATGTGAGTTGTGCCCATTATATTAGACTGGAAAAGGTCTCAGTGGCCTCTATTACCTTCTTGGCCACATAACAGGTACTAAATACTCCAAACTGCAGTTCCCAAATGATTTATTAGTGTCAGGGCACCAATTCTATTGTGGCTCAGTTAGAGTATGTGCATATTATGTCCATATAATTTTGTAATATGTTGTGCTTTTGTAATAATTAATGTTTATCTTATATATGAAAGCTATATTTATTTAAGAGAATAAGTTATTCTCTTAAAAATATCTCCCAGATAATTCCTTTAAACAGTATGTTTCCTTTGATAACTTTTGACATCTCTTGTAGAAAGCAAGTAGTGTTTACTTGTTTGTTTCTTTAATCTTGATTAGAGGGACTATGATATGACATTTTCTTATTTCAAGGAGCAGGAAAATAGCTACACGCTCACAACTCTATATTTTCTTATTTCAAGGAGCAGGAAAATAGCTACATGCTCACAACTCTATAATAATTTCAGGCTGTTTTGCATTCCATCACTGAGCCTCTTACCTGTAAATAACTTAATCTTATTTCGATAAAATTACAACAATTAGCCAGGTGTGGTGTGGGCGCCTGCAATCTCAGCTACTCAGGAGGCTGAGGCAGGAGAATTACTTGAACCCAGCAGGCAGAGGTTGCAGTGAGCCGAGATCGCGCCACTGCACTCCAGCCTGAACCAGAGAGCGGGACTCCATCTCAAATAAATAAATAAATTTATTTATTTAAAATTGGTCCAATTAATCATTTGGAAGATCTGCCAAAATCTGAATGAGATTGAGTCAGTATAAATATTTAAGACAGTGGACAAATGTAAAGATAAATAAAAAATACATTTTTATTGATGCTAACTGTTGTAAAATGAAATACTGCTTTGAAAATGTCACTTCTCTAGAAACACATAGTGATTTTTTCCTGCAGGTAAAATCTTGACTGAAGTACCATTAATTTTTAAAGCATTCTCAAGGCACCATAGAATCAGAACATGAGAACCTAAAAAGTTTATTTAAATCATAGTTAACATCAACAACGATAACTCATTGACAATGTGTACCATTGATACTATGTGATGAGAATGGCCTTTTACATATGTGATCTTCCTTCCCAAAACTTATAGCCTTAATCTAACCATGAGAAAAATATCAGACAAATACCAATTCAGGAACATTCTACAAAATACCTAACCTATACTCACTCAAAGTATCAACATCATCAAAAACAAGGAAAGCCTGAGAAATTGCGACAGCCTAGAGATGCTTAAGGTGATATGATGGTATGATGGTTAAATGTAATGTGGTAGCCTGGGTGAGATCTTGAAAGAGAAAAAGGAAATTAGTGAAAAACTAAGGAACTCTGAATAGGGTAAGGGCATTTGTTAATAATAATGATGTATCACATGGTTTTGTTAATTGTGACAAATGCGCCATACTAATATAAACTGTTAATAACAGGGGAAACTGGATGTGGGGTATATTGAAACTGTCCTTACTATCTGCACCATTTTTCCATAAATCTATTCCAAGACAAAAGTTTAAGCAAAAGGAAATCACAGATGTAGAATTATTCTAATATTAAATAAAGGTAATAATAGCTCAGTGAATTTGAATTTATCAGGTAAATGCATTGCCATTATCTATATTATCTATAATATACCTAAGTGATAATAGACATAAATTTGAACCACTTTTAATTAAAATGAATTACAATTAATACATTAAAAATACATATTTTACACAGTACAAAATAGCATTGCTTTGATCAATAGGAGATCCATTAGAAATGCTGATCAGTTTTCTTAAAGTAATCATGCCTGGGAGGATAATTTTCTATAAATGCACTCTCCTGGGTCAGGAATGAGCTTATGACTTATAAACATAGAACTAAACTGGAGTCACAATGTCTGAGTCCTAATTATACTTGAGAGTCATTATGTCTTATTATAATAGGCTAAAAAAATACACTTATGAGGGAATCTGTGTGTATTTTCTTTTAGAATAAGTACAATTTAACTCCCTCAACCATGGTAAGCATACTAAATATCTTTTAAGTTGTTAAATTGAAGCTTTATTACATATCCATCTTAATGATGCCGTTAAGGTACAAAAGGCTGACTTTTGATTTCTGTGTTACTTTAGGAACTGTGAGGTAACATAGAGATAAAAGAAATGTATTTGACTCTGAGATTCTCATTTTACTGAGCTCTGAACACCTGATAACATCATCAGAGCAAGACAAAAATACAGCTCCACTCTGGCTGACAAGGATACGCTTAACCCTGGTTTATAACTACAAAAGCCCCTTTTGTCAATAATATTTTAAATTACTCTCCTATGTTCGATAACATCACCTTCATAACTTATCTACTCATAACATAAGACTTCCCATGATAAAAGAGAAATATGTCATCAGGAGAGATGAGAGAGGCAATGTTTCCTTCCAGTATGAACTCTTATAGGCCTTCTCCCATGAAAACAGAAAAATTTCCAGATGGATCTGAAAACTCTGTTCTATGTCTTGGCACCAAGAAAATATTGGAGTCCTTCCTACACCTGGCCTCCGATTGAATAAGTGAAATATCAAGATAATAAAAATTCTATATGTCAATAACAAGATAAAGCTGAAACATTCAAAGACAATAAGAAGTACAATTTAGTCATTGAATAGCTCTACAGTTTAGATAAGAAAGTCAAAGGTGCGAAACGATTGAATCTGGAGAATACAGGGGAAAAATAATACTTAAACCAAGTCTATATCCATTCCTATGTGCTCCTTGAATTATAAGGGTATCTCAGTATTTCTCATTTTACTAATCTAAATACCTGATAACATCTTTGGAGGAAGGAAATAGACAGCTCTACCCTAGCTGTCAGGGTTACACTTATAAATTTGATTCAATCCTTGGCAGGATGTCTACAGCATTTATGTTCCAAGCCAGGATTTTGTGTCAAGAATAAATGCTACACAACACAGAAAATACCAAGACAGCAGGAATGACCTTGGACTGTTCTAGGCAAGCTTAGATATATGATGATCTTACCATTGAGAGATCCTTGGAGAAATAGCCAAATAGGACCCAAGGTCCTGGCACCACCTCATAATACTTTTCTTTTTTTATGAGAGCATATTAGACTAACCATCCTACTGACTATTCTTTATCAAAGTAAGCCATAGTTATTGTGAACTTTTCTGAAAGATTTTGTGGCTGCACAACAGTGCTGTAGTAAGCAGATGTCATATATTAATCACTAGTGTTTGGAAATCCTGCACTTTGCTTAAATAACATCCTAGGGAGTCTTGGAGCTTGAGAACATTCAGATAACTAAAGGTTCTTGACTTCAGGCTGAAGACTGGGACCACTATGGGTTATCTTCAAATATTGTTTAGCATTGCAATTAAAATTCAATGAAAGGTCTGTGAAACCCCTTGACAAAACTTTTCATTTTCTGTCTTGAGAATTTCTGTCTTATTTTGATAAAAATAAACACAATATTTAATATTGCGTTTATACCACAGAAGGAGGCAGCTGTAATATGGGCAGAAAGTATGAGTTTAAATTTTTGAAAGGTATAAATTTTCTTATAAACACAAGGTCTCACTCACTCTGTTGCCCAGGTTGCAGTGCAATACTGTGATCACGGCTCACTGGAGCATCATCCTCGTGCACTCAAGCGACCTCCCACCTTCCCAAGTAGCTGGGACCACAGGTGCGTGCCACCATGCTGGGCTAATTTTTTAAAGCATTTTTTGTAGAGACAAGGTCTCACCATGTTGCCCAGGCTCGTCTTGAACTCCTGGGCTCAAGTGATCTGCCCTCCTTGGCCTCCCAAAGTGCTGGGGTTACAGGCATCAACCACTGAGCCTGGCACAATTTTTTAAATTGCCAACATTCTACTTATCTTGTTTTATCTTACTCTTCCCCTAGTCTAGATTCAGTAAAAACAATGGTTGTAATTTATTATATTTAGGGATTTCAATGATGACCATATTATTTGTTACCTGAAATTTTAAAAATTAACCAAATCTATACACTTAAGTAGAGTAAAAACACTGGAATTGAGCCAGCCATTATGAATCTATACAATCCTCTTTCCTCACTACAACACCTCAATTTGCTTTTAACTTTATAATCTTTTTATAATCTTATTAGAAATAAACAGTCAAATATAATATAATCTTATCAATTGACTGCCCATCTTCACTATGAATTTGTCCAGGCCATTTCACTAAAAGACTAGCATGAGCCAGGATAACTCTCCCCAGACCTCTAGCCCTGATAACTCTTAGATGTCCTTCACATCTCATTGATACTAAGGAGCTTTCTCTAACAAGGTGCTAGGTACACTCATCTGTGTCACAATTTAACTATTGTCCATGAATACACAGCTTCATTTAACTAATTAGTAGAATTTTATGTACCTGGGAACTTTTAAGAGTATGAAATCCTACAAGCAGTGTATCTTTAGCCTGTAACATTGCTTGGAACAAAGCAGACCTGTCATTTGGTTTTGTAGCCTTTGTAGTCCCTGACACTCTGGAACATTAGAGAGAGTGAAAATATTATTCTAGAGTGAAGGAATTCTGTGTTTTCATCCCAGTATTGGTTACATGGTTTGTTTCGTTTGTGAAGAATTCATCAAACTATATTTTTAGGATATATGCATTTTTTTTTTAACTTTTATTTTAAGTTCAGGAGTACAAGTCCAGGTTTGTTACATAGGTAAACTTGTGTCATGGGGGTTTGTTTTACAGCTTATTTCATCACCCAGGTATTAGACCTAGTACTCATTGGTTATTTTTCCTGATCTTCTGCCTCCTCCCACCCTCTACTGTATTTGAAAGGTTCCAGTGTGTGTTTTTCCCCTCTATGTGTCTCACTTATAAGCGAGAACATGATATATGCATTTTTATTTAAGTATGTTATACTTAATGAAAAGTTAAAAAGATGAACGTAAAATGTTTTTAAAAACTTCTTTTTCTGAAAACTCAAGTTGAGAGAATTAATCATTGTACTAAAATATACACTAAAGGAAGTACTTTAGGCAGAAGGAAAAGATCTTAGACAAAAAGAATGGAAACACAGCAAGAAATGAAGAATATTAGAATAGGCGCCTGTTTACATGTAAGGAAAAATGGACTCTACAAAGGTGAAAAATGACTACACAAAGCAATAAGGTTTATGTTTTATGGTTTTCAAAACTATATAGGTTAAAATGCATTAAGTCCAATTTTTATTTTCTTGAATCCCTTACCATTATTTGTATATGAAAACTGATTTTCTTTAATCTTATTTTGACTTTCAATTATTTTAGTCTACAACATTTGAGTGATTTAATTGGTAAAGTAATTGCTCTCAGGTTTACATAAAATTTTTTCTCTGTTGTGTAGAAAACACCATCCATGAATTCCCTTAATGTACAATATAGTATAAAAATTATTTTTTTACAAAAGTAGCCTTATTTTGAAAGACCTTTTAATAACTGAAAATTAGAAAGCGATCTTAAGTGACCAGCCATCAATTAAATTGATTATCTGCATCATTATTATTTGCATTAATTTTTTAAAATGCCATCATAATAACTTGCTAGCACAATTAACAGAATGTAGTTTGGAAATTTTTCTTTATTAAACTACAAAAGATTAAAGTAAAAAAATGCCTAAATATTATCGGTTCCTTACTTTTCAAATTACCAAAACAAAATGAAGGTAGTCTTGATTTTAAGGTTTACCCCCGCAGCAAGTTATGAAAATAATGGTCACATGTGTGAAATATTATACTGATATTCCTTTAATAGGTTCATTTCATTTTACTTACTCTTCAACAGATATTTTAAAATACACTTTATTGTGTATATTTAAGGTATACAACATGATGCTATTGGATACATGTAGATAGTAAAAAAAAGGTTACCATAGTAAAGGAAATTAACATATCTACCATCTCTAGTTGTTACCCATTTTTGTTGTTTGTTATTGTTGGGGGGGGGTTGTTGTTGTTGTTTGGAGGTAAGAGCAACAAATATTTTTAAGGTGCCAGGTGCCTGGGACACAATACTAACTAGGTGGCCTTGATCCTTGTCCTCTAGGGCTTACAGTCTGTTGGGGAAAACCAGCAGGTAAACAATTACAACACACCTACTATATGAGAGCAATGAGAACACACAGAAAAGGCACCTAACTTGGACTTAGGAAGAAAGATTTTGGTCAGGGAAGGAAGATGAGTAGAAATTTGCTGGTCTGTACTATGACAGGTATCTCCTACAATTCCTCCCTCTTGTGTTAACAGTTTGCTATGATCCAGGAGCTGTCTCCTTCATTTTTGGCTTTGTCATCAAGTCTGATTGTCCTTACTTACTCTCAACTTTTCCAAACAAGAAAAAAAATCATCTTTGGCTTTGTCCTTCGATGGAATTTGAAATATATAGCTTCATAAACTCTCTAGATTTTCTATTCCTGTACTTGTCTAGTCTTCAAACTATTCTAATTAAAAATTTTAAAGGATGCACAAAGCTTATTTTCCTTCTAAAGGTTAAATCATAACTTACTTGTATTGTGGATAATATCAACCAAAGTTCCTGCATTCTACAGATTTTTTTAACCTCAAGTTCCAGGTTAAATTCCCAGTTTGTGGCCAATTGTTATCATTGGCCATGCAAAGCCTCCTTTTATTAATATTTTTTCTCCATTGCCCCCATATCCCATTCTCTGCCACTCTACCTGTTTTTCATTCCCATGCTTAGCAACCATTATAATGTGTTTATGAACATCTTTCTGTTTTCTTGAAAATTGAATATTGTACACATGAATCTCTAATTTACATACATTTTCTCATTGTTTGTTTTTATTTACTAAGCACTATGATTTAAAGTACTTAGCATTCATGTTGTTGTAAATACATCTAATCTGCACTTCTAACTACTGCATAATATTCCAGTGTATATTACCAGACATTTTACCTATTTGCTCTCTTAGTGATAACACCTGGCAATCCAGCAGTCCCCAACCTTCTTGGAACCAAGGACTGGTTTCATGGAAGACAATTTTTTCAGGGCAGCAGGGAAGGAGGTAGGTTTTGGGACGAAACTATTCCACTTCAGATGATCAGGCATTAGTTAGAGTCTCATAAGGAGTGTGCAACTTAGATCCCTCGTATGTGCAGTTCACAATAAAGCTTGCACTTCTCTGAGAGTCTAATGCCAAGGCTGATCTAACAGGAGGAAGAACTCAGGTGGTAATGTTCACTGGGCTGCTGCTCACCTCCTGCTGTGCAGCCTGGTTCCTAACAGGCCATGGACCAGTATCTGTCACTGGCCCAGGGGATGGAAACCCCTGATCTAACCCACTGTGGCCTATAAACAGATCCAGGTTTTATGGATCTGTGGCTTATACAACTGGGGGAGGAGGTTGAGAAAAAATGCAAAAATACAAGGGCAAATTAGGCACAAAAGACAGATTAATATAAAAGTGAATGTTTATTAAAAGTGAGAACAAAAATTAAATAAGTTGTCTCTGTATTAAAAATAATTAACCAATACCATAAATTCCAAAATTTTATTAATTTACTCCTTAACACATTTCTTTAGGACTTCCCTTCATTTTTGGCTTCATTCTCTTTGATCTTCCCTTTACTTTGTATCAATTTTGTAATGGAGAAGATAGAAAAATTTAGTCTTTCTTTTACCACAACTGAGTATAGTGTGTGTATGTTCATTACTGATAGTTGAGCAAATTTCTCTGAGTTTTACAACTTGTTTTTGGTAATGGCATGAAAATTTTCAGTATTACTGTCAAATTTGGGAACACCTCCATCAAGTTTCTTTCACATATGAGTTGTAAGATATCAGAGCCTGTACAGTGTCCTTATTCAGAAGCTAATCTTATATACTCTAAATCGACAACACCCAACCACTCTGTTATCAATATCCTCAATGTAGTGATGTATGAAGAGTTTGTTATCTCAACATGTTTGGCCATTTTATGGCAAATGAGCAAGACATCCTAATATTTTTCCTCAACATATTCATATGATTCACTCTTCTTTATAAACTGGATTATTACACAATCCAAGAATTTATTTAATAGTGCTATAAGAGATGAGTGTCTTCTTCTTTGAGAAATAATACTTTTTACTTTTGCTTCTGGTATGACAAAACTTTGTTATAGTTCATTGCTCAATGTTAATATAATTTCTGTTTATTTTATTGCTCATCCTTGTAACTTTTGTTTCATATTCCACTAACTTTCCATCACTACTTTAATATAAAAAGTCAAAAATGACAAAGAATGTCATATGATATGACCTAATTATATGTCTACTTTTTTTTCTATCCAATATCCAATCTTCCTTCTTATCTAGAATGAACAGGTATTTCCCATTGTGTGTAGTGGTGATGGAATTCAGAGCCTTGACACCTGCCGTGGAAAGCTAAAGTGACTAAAGTGACTATATTTCCATTCCACTCCTGTTATTTTAAGTGGTGAGGCCATCATCTCCTAAGCTTATTCAAATGGATTCTGTTGCCCTTTACTTTGAACTTGGTGAATGAAGCCAAATAAAGGAAGATTTTATTGAAATTCCCTTGTGCTGGGTCTATGTACAGCTATAGTAGAATCCTGTGTGGCAGCAGTGACCAGTAGTCTAGCCAGCTGGGTCTGCCAAACAGCCTCTAGATTTCCCTTTTGTCAGCTCATTTTCCTATACAGCTGCTCTAGTTTCCCAAAGCCTTCCAATGAATGCATGAGTACCCAACAACTTCCAATAAATCTCCATTTGGCTTGGGACAGCCAGTGTTTGTTTCTCTTGCTTGTAATCAATATCTTTGCTTAATATGAGAAATTACTTTTGGCTCACTTTGTGGGAACTAGGTTATGACCAAAACAAGCTCCTTTTGGCTATGACAGTTTTGCTAAGTGATTAAAGCATTTCTTCTGAATCACTTGAAAATTAATCACTTGACCTCAGAAGTAGTGATTTAAAAGAAACATAATGCAGTCTGTAAATGCAGAATCCATTTCAATATTGTTCCTATCATATTACTTCTTATACTATAAAATAGATATGATGATTTTGCTCATTATCTTTATTAATAATATTTCTGCAATATCCACAGTCCAAAACTTTTATTTTGGACTAAGTCCGTCCTTAAAATTCACTTTAAATATACACACTGCTTTTATATCTTCTACACTATTATTCTTAGTTTTTAAAAATGAAATCACAGATGTAAATATAACAAAACCAAGCCATTATTTAATCTTGCAGGACCATAAGCCTTCCATAAGCAACCTGATGATGCTAACTTACTACAATAAAACAAACTTTCAATACTCTAAAATATTTTAAAATTAAATTTTCTTTTAAAATTATATTTTATTATATTTCAAAAATATTTTTGTCCTCAAGAAAATATGGCAAATCCAAGAATATATTTATTTTAAGAAATATAAATAGTATAATAAAGTTATTAAATAATAATTGTAAGAATGCTATAATATTTTATCTTGGTCTAAACCAGTGGTCCTCAACAGGATAATTCTTCCCTACCTCCAGGTGGAGTTACCAGAGTTAGCAAAAAGAATACACAGTCAGTTAAATTTGAATTATTTATCATTGTGTATACATATTCTGACCATAAATGGAAATGTTTTTACAGAACAGTCTTAATCTTAAAATTTACTAATTGTTTATCTAAAATAAATGATCAGTATGTAAATTAGAGATTTCTTTTCTGAAAATTTCCTCGATGATTGGCTTTCATTAACAGCTCCTTGTTTTGCAGAGTTGACTTATAAAATTCCTTATAGTTAAAGCCTATGTTCCCCCTACAATGTAACATGTCTTCCATAGTGGTCACATCCAAATTTTCTCTTTTCTCCATTCAACATTCATTAATGAGAACATCGTGAAGTCCAGCTTATAAGTCCAGCTTATTGAACATGTTCAGTGTTAGCCTTATAAGCTGGACTTCTGAACATGTATTGACTTAAAGTTAACTCTGGGACTTACTCTTTTGCTAAAGAACACAATACCATATTTCATGACATAACTTGTTTTTTTTTATTTTTCAGGATTAGATTGCATATTTTGATCTACAACTTTTAAAAATATTTTCCACTGACAAAACAGAACATTGTCATGAATTTTTATTCCCTTCTTTGAGTGCATATAATTTCTCCTGTTCCATTAAAGGATCAAATTCTTCAAGGGATAAAATACATTTCAAAATATACTCATGACAAATGTAAAAATAATTATCCACTTCAATACGGACTTTTTCCCTGTCCCTAAGTTGTGTTGTTCCTCTTAAAACAGCCTTGGCATACAAGGGATAAACTTTTCATCCATTTTATCTTTAATACATTCAACAACTCTTTGTAAGCAATGGAGGGCATCAATTAACAATGTTTACTCTTCTTTCAAATTGCATAATCCTATTGCTAAAAGATATGGAATGCTATGAGCAAGAAATAAGTAGTCTTTACTCAATGGGTTATTTTAAAAGTCAGCAAGAATTTGTGAGACCTTTTCTTCAGAATTAAAGTATGATTTCGGTGCTTTAAATAAACTAAGAATTCTCTCAACTGCATCTATTAAAGAGAGCCAGTGAATTTTAAAATGTGAAAGAACTGAAAATAACGAATGCCAACAAAATTACAAAAATTCTTCATTAGTAGAGTCTGAACAGAATAAATGCTGAAATAGAATAATTTCTTGACAATTTCTTTACTGGCAATTACTTTACTGATATCAGATGCTGTTTGAGCAGCGTCATGTAGAATATGGCAGAAGAGGCAACACTGTTCATAGTCCCATTTATACTTTGCTTTAACTTTCAATAAATATCACACCTTTATGCAAATATCCACCAATTTATATTTGTATTACCTCCACAAAATAAGTATAATTTTTATGACTACTAACTCAATCATAGGGTCTCTGCAACAATTTCTTGTTGTTTCTGAAGACTCATCTGGAAGGCGTGTTACAATAGCCTTGTAAGCAAGTCTTTTTATGAGAAAATTATTATACGAGTAAAGGAATTTTTCCCCCAAATTGTGATTACTTGCATTCATGGCTATGCCATAAAAAAGTAAAACATTTGAGCTGTGGTAATCTCTGTAACAGTAAATGGAGTTATTCTAATTTTTATTACGGCAGTAGATTTTGTCCTATAGCACTAGAAAATTTACTTACAATTTTGCATTAAAAAATACTTGTAGCACAATTCAAATTAAGTCATGTGAGCTTAAAACCTTGTATGATATACAAAGTGGAAGACAACTTGTGCTGCAATTATTTTATCTTCTTCATCTGAATTTCTTTCAATAAGATGTGATTTTATTACTTTCTTTGGTACAAGTTGAGGAAATCATACATCTATTTGCTTAGCTGTTAGTATTTGCTGGCTTACATCCAAGTTTTCACCATTTTCAATATTAGCTAAACAATTGTATGCTGCACAAAGAGCTTCAAAAGGAGTTTTTCTTTGTTTAATGCACATCCATTGTTCATAAAATTTATCACAAAACTTACTTGCATTTTGACATTTTTGAGTTTACTTCTACACAAATAAAAAATGGATATTAGTAATTGACCCAGGAATTGAAAAGATTGAATTTGATAATCTCACAGCTTTGTCACTGTCAGTCACTCACAGGTACAAACTCATAACTAAACATAAACAAGAGTTGAGCCAATGAAAGGATTGCAAACTTGTGAACTTACAGTAAATTGAACTAAATATTGGATGCCAAAAATCTAAACGTTCTGTTTGCCAGCAAGAGAGAACTGTATTTGTGAGAGATAAGTTCCTGGAACAAAGCCACAGCTGACATTATATAAGGTTTGGGGAAATGTGCAGAGTGTTTAGAGACTCAAGGACTTCCAGCTGTGTTAGTGTGGACACTGGAGTAAGACTGCCGTTGACCTTCTAAATTTTGGAAACATGGTCACTAGAGTGGGACACTTACTGATTGGCTGTTCTCTAGCACCATAGGGGCAGGCACTGACAGGGTGATGTTCGGGACTGGGAGTTTATCATTAGCAGACTTTCAAAAGCTTGGACTGGCCTTCACTTGCTAACTTTCAGAAGCATAGTTACTGGAGTGAGGCAGTTATTGACTGGTTTATTTTCAGAAACATGGCCACTGGAATGAGAATTTCACAGATTTAGCTGATTTTCAGAGCCTGTGTACTGATTCTGAGTTAATGATAAATAATGATGATTACCTGTTCACAACTTGAAACTTGGGCTTAAAGACCATTCTTTTCCTTTCTTGAATATGAAAAATAAGCACAGTCTGAGCATGTACAGAGTTTTTTTTCTTGTCATTATTTCCTAATGAATGCAGAATAACAACAATTACATTGGATTAGGTATTATAAGTAATCTAGAGATGATTTAAAGTATACGGTAGGATGTGAATAGATTATGTGCAAATGTTACACCATTTTATGTAAAGAACTTGAGCATCTCCAGATTTCAGTATCTCATGAGGTCCTAGAACCAATCCCTCACTGATACTGAGGGACAATTGTAATTGTAATTTTCTGCCTGTGCTTTTGGTGTTCCCTTAGCCAAACCTGCTAGAAAGAGGATAGGGATTGTAAAGATTCTCATTTGTAGAGGTAAACATTTTGGCTAATGTTGGCATTTAAGCGATTTAATCACCAATTACTGTCGCAGAAAAATGGCTCCAACTGTCAAATTTTTGTAATTTATTGAAAAAAGCTAAGATACAGGAAATTTAGGCTGTCTTGACAAAGCCAATAAAGGGTGCAGGACAAAATCATTACATACATTTCCTAGTTTCATATACTGTATAGATATCGGACTCTCCTCCCTCATGGGAACATGGAGGAAGAAGGGTGCTTGCTATGGACACCTGGTGGGTAGAGGACAGAGAGGCTGCTAAAGTTCCTATAGGAATGCCCCCAAAATCGATTAAGCTGAGGTTGAGAAACCTATGCTTAGACCACAATTTCACCTGGAGGCTTTTTCCATTTAACAATGCCAGGGTCCTTAGAACTTACTTGCTCCTTTGGCTCTAATTGCTTTGTTTACACTGTAAACGGCCTGAGAGGCTGGCTGGGTTTTTAGTTCTATATCTTCTGAGAGGTATTCTAGGCTTCCAATATATCCACCAAGGCTAATCACTAACTGTTTTCAGTTGTAATCATTCCAGTGTCATCCAGTGATTAAGCTCTAAGCTTTGGTACTCCTTTTATAGTACACTTAATAAAGGATACCTGTGCTGAGTTGTAGACCCTGGGCATTGACACTAACTCATTGGAAAATATTGACTGATTATTTTCATTATTTTTAAGGGACTATTTCCTTAACAAAGAAAGTGGAGAGAAAGGGGGTCCAGAGGAAGGTAGATGTATGATTTTGAAGAGATTAAGCAGGAAAATGATCAAGTCCATATTTTGTAAAACTCACTTTTCACATAGTCTAGAGGGTAAATTTACAGCAGAAAGATCGGTTACCAAGTGAATAAAACTGATATGATTGGTGGGGGTATGGAAACATATTGAGGTATAGGTATGTGGTTACATTTGAAAGATAATGAAAGGCTGGAAATGGCAGTTGAACTCGGGATTCCAGAAGTGAGATGAGCATCCAAGATTACTTTCAGGTATCTGACTTGGCCTGCCAAGTTAATACTCCAGTGATTTCTTATGAGAGGAAACTAGGAGGATGAGGCTTAAAGAACAGGGAAGAAAAATGATAAATCCAATTTTGGACATCCTGTGTTTGAGATGCCTGGGAGACACAAAGTAGACAGGTCCAATAAGTAGCTAACCATGTTACTCTGGAACTTAAAATGGGAGGCTGGGTTGGAAATAGTAACTTTGGAGACACCAGCATATAAAGAGTATTTTGACATTGCCCAGGAATATTCCTAGTCCCAAGAGGCTAATGGTTTTTAAGAAAGACGTGTACATAAATGATCATAGTACAAAACATGGCAAAACAGCTTGAATGGAAGTATTTTAAAAGTACCTTGGAAACACAAGGGGTTAGAAATTGGTTTGAGCTGGTATAGGAAAGAAGGAAAGTTGAGTTGGAATTCAGCAGATGGATATGGTCGTATGTATATTTCTAAAGGCTGAAAAGTGCAAGCCAGGCTACCTTCTTTTTAATCCAGACTCCAACACTGAAAAGCTAGGTCACCTTAGTTAAGTTACTTAACTGTGTATCTCAGTTTACTCATCGGTAAAATGAGTATGAAAAGGATTTTGAATATTTAAATGAGTTAATGCATATAAACACTCTAGAATCATACTTGAACCAATAAGAACTCAATACATACCTCTATTATTGTTATTATCATTATTAGGCAGGGGGAGTTAAATAAACTGACACATAAATGCTTCAAAATGTACACAGCAAGTTAAGGAAATAAGAAGAGGTCTATGGACTACTTGGCAGCACTCTTCCCAGGATACAAGAGAGAAACCAGAGCTTTCAAACGGAGGAGTAGTGCCAGGCATTCTCCTTGTATGGGAGTCTTTTCAGCAATTTTGCAGCAATCCATGCAGCAAAGCATATCTATGCAAATACAAGGAGATGAGGTCCACATTGAGCAGTTGTGGGAGTTGCCCTGCTTCAAAATTGCTTGTCTCACATGAACCCTTATCAATTGTAACAACTGCAACTCTGTATGAAAGGGACATGCCCACTTACAGGAGTCACTGCATTAAGGGGGTTCCAAAGAAAGATGACACCCTCGGCATTGATTTAGGGCTTATTTTTTTTTCTCTTTCGGTGCTCTTTATATTAAAATTATACAAGATATTACTATTACTATCTGTCTAACGCCCATGTGTACAAAAACAGTTCTATACTTATGCTATTTGTTGGCTTCTCCTCTCTCCATAACTTTTATTTGTTTTTTAAATTTTTTATTGTGAGCTAATTATAGGAAAGGAGCAAAAATAGTACTAAATATTCCCTTGTACCCCCTGCCCCACTTCCTATAATGTTAACAATTATATAACCATAGTAATCAAGAAAATTAACACCAGTATGATATTACTATCTGAATTGCAAATCTTACTTAAATTACATCATTTTTTATTGCATTTAGTTGTTATACCTCATTAGTCTCTTTTTATCTGCAACAGAACTTCAATTGTTTTCTTTTCTTTCGTGACCTGACAATTGGGCAGAATACAAATCAGTTATTTTGTAGAATGCGTCTCAACTTGGGTTCACTGAATTTTTCAATTCACAACTAAGGAAACTAAAGCGTTATCTATGGAATTAGATACTTTGCTCAAGGTAACACAGCTGTGTGTAGCAGAGCCAGGATTTGAACTAAGATCTGTTACTCCCCAGGCCAGTATAGAAAAAAAAGATAACATTAGAGGAAGGATGTTTTAAAACTTTAAAATGCAGAAATACATGGCTTAGAGTATGTACCTGTTGCAAAGGTCTTGGCATCTGAATTTTTATCGATGACTCATTTGGCTTTATTCAGCAGACTTGAGTTTAGAAATTCAATCAGTGAGTAGTTTATCTGGTAAACTGTCCTTGTAATTAAATAAAACAATCCCCAGGAAGTTAATTGAAAAAAGCCTGCCCATCAGGAACACCTAGAAGCCACGCTTTGTTGGTCTGTTTAAGCCAAATTTCTGGCACACTGCTCTTCGGAAATCAAATTTAAAATGACAGGTAAGTTGGTCTTAACTTTCTTAAAGGCACAAACAAGTAATAGCTGACTCTCTGATATATAATGTATCACAGAAAAGGCTGATTTCACATGTAGTGGCCTTTTATCAACAGCAACATAATTTGGGAATTTCTAAATTTTTAATTTAGATCTTACTTTAAGATATGAAAAAATAGGAGGAGGGAGGGGAAGCTAAATGCCTGGGGAAAGACATGCATGTTCTTAGAATTTTGTTAGAATGTAATGAGTCCCTATGTCCTAGTATTTTTATAGACTCCCTCTGTTAACTATAATGAATTTAGGAAGGTGGGTGAGAAGGTGTTTTATTCTCTTTCACCCCAATAAATGATATCAAGCATCTATATTTAAATTAACAAAAACTGGAGTCCCTGGCACCTGAACAAGTGCTTGCTCAAACAGTATTTGTTAATTACTTGTAAATGTAGCACTTCAAGGAGGAGAGTTAATAGTATAAAGGTTACCTTAAAATCAGACTTTTAAATTAAATAACTTCTATGTAATAATATGGTGGAAAATAAAATAGATGAGAACCTTAGTGTAGAATATGGAATTTCTCCTGACATTTCTCTTTGAAATTTAATTCTACTATCTAGAGAGGTAGCATATTGTAGGAAATTATAAGTCCAAATGTTGGCTTTACCACTCTTGTATGAACCTGAGTAAATGATTTAACCTCAGGAACTATGTCTCCTATTTCACTGGTGAGGAAGTTACACGGGTAGTCTGTTAGAAAGAGGGGATGAAGTAAGGCAGGACAAGCACCTGGCTAGGGTTTACTCTACAGTATTACAGCTTGAAAACAAAGAAAAGAGAAAACAAATGGGAAACCAGTCTCCTTAATGAAAATGAGTGAAGACAAAAGCCTCAAATAACACATCTTGGGAAGAATGTACTCAGAAATTTTATAATTTATAATTATCTGAGAAATATAATCTATAATTTATATCGACTATTTGACATGGGTTTTCTTTCAAAACATGCCATTTTAACATTGACATATCTATTACTTGAAGGTCAAGTACAAGTGCATTTTACCAAATAGTGTTTCCACATTGATTGCAAAACTACTTTTCACTCAGTTTTACTTTCTCAACTACTACTACTGATTCTTGGTTTTTGAATTTTTTAAAAATCAGGCTTCTAATCGTTAAGACTTAGTCCTCTAATCATATCACAACGTTTTCTTTCTTTCTCTTTCTTTTTTTCTTTCTTTCTTTCTTTTCCTTCCTTCCCTCTCTCCTTTCTTTTCTTTCCCTTTCTTTCTTTCTTTCTTTCTTTCTTTCTTTCTTTCTTTCTTTCTTTCTTTCTTTCTTTCTTTTTCTTTCTTTCTTTCCTTTCTCTTCTTTCTTTTTTGATAGTGTATTTCTGTGTCACCCAGGCTGTAGTGCAGTAGTGCATTGACAGCTCACTGCAGCCTCCACCTCTGGGATTCAAGTGACCCTCCCACCTCAGCCTCTCAAGTAGCTAGGACTGCAGGCAGGCGCCACAACACCCGGCTAAGTTTTGTCTATTTTTTATAGAAATGGGGTCTTACTATGTTGCCCCGGCTGGTCTTGAACTCCTGGGCTCAAGTGATCCACCCACCTCAGCCTCCCAAAGTGCTGGGATTGCAGGCATGAGCCGTCCTGCCTGGCTTTGAAGTTTATTTCTTCATGTACAAATATATGCCAAGAATATGGTAGCTGTGTATTTATTCTATATTTTATTTTTATAACTGCATTTCTTTGTATTATTATGTGCATTGATATACTAAAGTATTTTCTAAAGAACTATTTCCTTTGGAAATATCTCTTAATTGACCTTACCTTTTTAGAAGAAAAGTTGAAAACTGGGCTGGGGAACAAATGGAAAATAAGATGCTTTTAACTATCATGTATGTAATAGAGTGACATTTGTCAAGCAAATGGAAATTTCACATTCAAGAATAACTTAGACATATCTATATAATGACATGGTGAGTTACACTGGTTTATAATTTTCACAGCTCTTTCACATATAGCAATGCTCTAAAATATAAACTGCAAAGATTCCTTTCATTTTTCTTACCAAAGGTGACATTGAGATTTACAAAGTTTGGTGCTTGTTACCAAGTCATGTTTAAGGAAACATTGAAGCTATGACCAGAAGTCAGGCTTTGAGCTTTGAGTTCAGTGGCTTCTCCCACTTTATACCGTCTAAGAAAAGTTAATTTGATAGAAGACAATGAAAGAATTGGCAACAATAGACCTGCAGATGTTTTAAAAGGCACTAGTTTAGCCAATATGCCTAAATATGTACATGGGTCTCTTTAAGACTCCACAAAGAGACACTGCTAAGAGTTACTGGAAACAAACTACAGCTGCTCTGTGAATAAATTCTTAGTTCACAGTTGCTGTGGGAAAAAATGAAAGATCCAATTACAAAGTCTGGGAGATTTCCTATAATTAGTTGCTATTATATTACTTTTGCTATGACACAGTACAGAAGAAAGGAAAAAGGAAGAGGAATTGCTGTTTCATTTCTTTATTATTTTCTTAATTGCTTTTTTACTAACAGCCTGTGTCTCAAGGAAGCCAAGCCATATTCATTTCATCAATAACATTAATCTGTCATTTCATTCAGGAAATACAAGAAAGGTTTCGGTTTTAACCTTAAGAATACTAGGATATTCTGATCTCTCTTATATTGTTTTGTAAGCATACTTGCAGAATAATGTCAATACATAGGGAGGGTTGCAGACTTGTGTTTCTGCATGTGTGGCATAAATGTTTGTCAAAATAATAACTATGTGATTATTATGTATACTATGTTGTTCCCAAGTCTTGTCCTGATTATATTATACCTTATATTTGAGAAATTATGATGCCCTATAAATAGAGAAAAGCGCACAAACACATCAGCACGTATGTATAGACTATATAATACTAATAATATATTGCATTTACTTTAAAATCGTTTAGAATCTTTGGGCTATTTAAAGTTTGTACAAAAAACACAAATGACTTCAATCAGTAATAGAACCAATCTAGTCAATGAATGCCATATGGAGATGTCCCTGTTTGGTCACTTTTTGACACTGCAGGCCAGTCATGACCCCTTCAATGTGCCAATGGTCAACTACTGCAGTTAGCTTTCCTGCCTTTCCTTAAGGTGATAATATCTATAGGACCAAGTTTTCCATCCTTATAATTAAGTGTTACAAACATTATGGCTTTAATTATAGTGTGGCTTAAACTGTTTTTTAAAGATTAAACCATTAGAGTCAGAGAAAATTTTCTACCTCACGTTTAGAATAGAGTCTCCAATTATTTTTGATCATCACCCTTACCAGCTCAATAATAGCAATACCAATAATAATAAAAGATCTCCCAATAAATGAATTTATATGCTTGCTAAATTATAAACAATCTACACATGCAGTGTAAAACATATGCATTTAAAAATATACACAAAATTGAAACTATTTTTTATTTTATCATTATTTTTTAAATCTATCATTACCTTGATCTTGAATAAAATTGAAACTTTTAAAGATAAGAATGAAGACAAAGCTCTTCCAGCATTGTTCTTAGGTGTGCATATTCAACTTTGGAAACCACAGATTATGCCCTTTGCATACATCCACCACCAAAGCTTCCCTGGAGAACTCAGGCAAACATGTCCCTGTCCATCCCTACCTTCATGCTGCAAAAACGTTTTTAGCACATAGAGTGCATTGAGTTTTAAAACTAGCATTCTTTCAACATCAGATTAATTGAAATGTCTTCTCTTGCATAACATCTTTCTAGAGCCTGTAAAATTAACTAAATAATGTAGTGCAGGTAAAAAGTCTTATTCATATGAAATAATTACACTAATTTTCTTGGTGAGGTGAAAAAAGAGCACCGATTTTTTTGTCATATACTTTGCTTGTTTTATAGGAAAAAAATTATAGATTTGTGATAACCTATTTAGAATTCTAATCAATGTTTTATTTCAAAAAGAAAACAGAAGTAAAGGCTTCACATATAAAAACCCAAAGCTTTTAGGAGACTTTACATATGTTGATATTTTATAGAACTAGGAATGCTTGTATTTTCAAAATAGAAGTTTTTGATTGATACAAAATACTAGATTACTTTTCTGGGAAAAAGAAAAAAATTAAATAAAATATTTATTTTATTTCAAGAGTGATTCTATACATCATCTCAAAGTCAAGCAAGAGGGAACCTTTGGTTTGAGGACTATAGGATGGTATTAAGAACTATGAGAAAGAACCTGATTTGAATTGCAGTTCTGTTTTTTTCTTGTTGCATGTGATAACATGTCTTTACTTCTCTAAACCACGGTTTCCTCATTGAAAAAGTGGAAGGCCAGGTGTGATGGCTCATGCCTATAATCCCAGCACTTTGGGAGGCCGAGGGGAGTGGATCTCAGCTACTCAAGAGGCTGAGACAGGATGTTTGCTTGAGCCCCTGGGGATGGAGGTTGCAGTGAACTGTGACTGTGCCACTGCACTCAGCCTGGGAGACAGAGTGAGATTGTGTTTCAAAAAAAGAAAAGAAAAGAAAAGAAAAGAAAAAGTGGAGATAGCAATTATCCCCATCTTCATTATATTATTGTGTGCATTACAATAGATAATGTACAAATCATTTTATGTAGATGCTTTATAATGTAAAGTGAGTAGAGGGGCAAAGCACAAGAACCACTCAATACATATTAAATCTCAAAATGCTAAGTGTCAATTCTTTACTTGTGAGATAACAGATTAGGATCATGGAGAATTATCTAAAAGTACATATGCCTTTCTATGGAGAAATGCTAAGTCTTTTTACAGGAATCCAAACTTTGCTTTAGTTACAGTAACATCATATTCCAATCAACTAAACTAAACTAGCACAGACAAAAAGAAAAGTACTTAATTGAAAAATTATTGATCACATCACATTACTTAGAATAAATGAAGTATAAGGTTAAAAGTATATCAAAATATGACATTAATAATACTAAAAAGCCTTATAAAGTTAAAAATATATCAAAATATGACATTAATAATAAGGCTTTTTATTATCTATTATTTCATTTGAAGCTGATAATAGCACTACTAAAAAAGATACCATTAACTATCACCTGGGAGTCAACATGAATATGAAATATGAGAAACCACAAAGAAAAGCCTTTGATGAAACAGCATCTTACGAAACTAAGGACTTGTAATTTGTACATTCGCTTAGAAAATAGTCCTTCAAGTCATCCGCCATTAGAATTGTTTAACCTTGCAAGAGTACTGGGCTTGGTCAAAAGAAACTCAGCTCTATAAATCATCATTATACTAGCAATTCATCAGCATGTTAGATCTTGTGTAAAAGGCACAATGAAATTTCCTGCTGCTATGATTTTTCTCCCCACAACAAATAATCTAATTTGTTTTGAAGCTCCTTTTAGTGATCCTTTTCATGTCTCTTTTCTGGAAAGCCACCTACAATCCTTTGTGCAAACAGGGAAAGAAAAAACAATCAAGATACCAAACTAAGAGGTGGAAATTTCCATCACTGACATCATAGCTGTATGATTAGATGAGAAAACCCAAAATATGTGGGAGGAGAAGGCCATGAAACATAAAATCCTCTGCCCCTGATGTGAAGCAGCAGTGTAAGACAGAAAGCATTTGAATCATGTCCTTTGTTATCTTTGCCAGAAGCTTTTTCTCGAGGAACTAAATGGAAGCTTTGACTACATTTCAGACCTCATGAAAGAAATAAATTAGATTTGAGCTGATTTTATTGTGAATATACCCCAATTACTCCAGGAGTTAAAATATTACAGCCTGTGTATAAGATGGGTATCTAGTGGCTTCAGTAGAGTCTTTAACTATCATCCATGTGGAAGGGTAGCAAAAAAATGACTGCTATATAATGCCCTGAATGAATGAATCAATCAATGAATCAAGACATATATATCTTGATTATGTGGTACTCAATGTTCTTTCACAGAATCTCTATTTTTAGGATTTCTTCAGGACATCATGACAAAATTAGTACTGAATTGTGGTGTGCATAACTTAGAAAAAAATATGCATAAAGCAGCTACCCTGTGCTACAAATGTAATTTTTTCTATAACAATTAGAACATGTTATTATCCTCATTTTAATTCATGGAGAGTTACAGATGTTCATTTGAGATAGATCAGGAGTGGGCAGAGGCAGGTTTTAAGCTTATATCCGCCTCTTTTGAAAACTTTCACCACGTTGAGGTCAGTATGCTCTTGAAAAAAAGTAACAAAAAAAAGTAGGGAAAAGGGGTTTATTGATTGATATAAAACTAAGTTCCAGAAAAACAATCTAGGCATTTCAAATTAATAGAGGACAAAACAAACAAACATACAAACAAAAACAGATATAATTGCCAGAAAATCCTGTTGAAGATGAAGGTATTTATTGCTTTCCTTCTTCCTGAGCTCCTGATGTTGTAAGTTGTCATCATTAGTAATGAAGATGGTATCGCTGGTTATATTTTCCGCTACTACTACCTCCTCCCCAAATAAAATAAACGGGGCCTATGCTATATCTTTTTATTTTCATCCCAAGAGAATATCTTCTAACGATAGAAGTTTATCATGTTAGGAAGAAAGCAACTGTTTAAACATGGGCATTACACATTACACTTTCCAATATTACTGAAAAACAACTGAATCTAGCTTCCTCCCTGAATTTGGGAGTATTCTGCACTAAAATGGCTACTAAATTTTGTCATCTGCCTTGAAACAACAAAGATGGAGAAGAATACCTTACTGAAATATGAATAAGGAATGTCTCATTCTCCTGCTCCTCTGGGCTTTTGAGTAACCTGTGCTGCTGTGGGAGGTAATTTGTATTACCACTTCGTGAAAAGAGTAAACAAGCAAGAAAACAAGAGTCAGTGATGCCCTACCACTATCCCCTTTCCCCTGCCTTAATCAATTTCTCAAAAAGACCATAGGCCATAAAAATTGAATAGATCATCACAAAAGTCTTCTCATTATTTAGGTCTAACTAAATTCCAAATGCAATAGCAAAGATCATAGTATTATCATGAAACTTTTCTTCTCCCTCATTAGTGAACCTGTTGTAACTTGGCATTTCTCATACTTGTCTTGGAAAAGCCTGAATACCTTTTATTTATCTCAGCAAAGTAAGATTTTAATATTTTAAAACAACTCAATACTGTCCAGTAGAAAATGTATTAAACTTCTTAAAGTACATAATACTTGAGCCGTCAAAGACACACAGATGGGCCTCTAGGGGCATTTCTCCTAATAAATGTGAGATGCTCTGCTCAAGCTGGGAAAAAATATGTATCTCCTGTTTGTGAAAGATATGGTTCAGCTGCTACCCTGACAACAAAACCAAGCACATTAGTGACCTAAGGGACTGCAGAGATACCTGCTATTGTTTGACACCAAAAGGAATTGGAAACTTACTAAATATGGAGCAGGTGCAGAGAAACCTATCATTGTTCTCTCTAAAGCGTGGGTTCAGGTGGGAATCAAGCTCATTGAAAAGTATATGATATATAAAAGTACATAATAAAGTATGTAATTTGTGATAGTAGGTGAAAAGCCAGGAGAGGAACATCAGAAAGACACAAAAATACAGAAAAACAGACATTTGCACAATAGTTTTGAGAAAAGCATTTAAATTGTTTGAACCTCACACTAGACAGAACTCTGAAGAGATGGATATTTCAAATGAAAAAATAAAATAGGGAATTGGGACTGGGAGTGAGTCATCCATGTGTCTGTCCCATTTCTCCACATCAATTTGCTGACATCTGCCTTGTCCACTTTTTAAAATATTTTTAGTTATTACAGTGATGCTGAACTAATAAGAATGGTGTTTAGAGAGAACATAAGAAGAGTAAATTTGAGAGTCTGTCTAAAATCTTTAGGCACTGGTCCATCACTCTTGCCGTCTTTATAGCCCATTCCTCTCTCTCTTTCTTCTTATTCTCCTTTGGGATCTTTTATTTTTTTGAGTATTCTGTTGTTTCCAATTACACCTACAACTTCTGGCAAAAAATATAAAATACTTTAATAGGACATCAAGTAATTATTTCAGAATACAGATGAAAATAATTTCATAGCATTGTCCTAAATCCAGAGGGTTCATGAATCATTGCTCTTAGAAAGCTCTTGACACCCAGGGGATAGGTTTTCATGCAGAAAATCACCCTGGGAGATCAACATGCCTAGTGGTTGATGTACCTCATGTACAAGATGTGTTTGTTTCTCCTGACTTAGTAAAGAGCTATTTAAGTGGACCCCTGGTTGGGGAGGAAAGCCTTGAGTTCTGTGCTATTTAGAATGCCTCTCAACTAAATGCTTTGTAATTAACTAATTAATGTTCACAACACACCTGTGGCATTGCTGCTACTATTCCATCATTTTTCCTGAGTAATAAACACATTAAGACTTTATATGAAGTAATCAATAAATGATGACACGGAAAACAAATCCAGGAAGTGTCTAAATTACCTGGAATTCACTGGTAGCCAATCGTAACCCAGCCCCATTCTTCACAGGCATTTAAAGTTCATGCCACAGAATTTAAAGAGGCTGTTACACTCTGATCTAGAACTTGTATAATAAGGTCATGAAGAGACAAAGGAGGATAAATATTTAAAAAAAAACACATAGGATCGGAGTGCCAGATAAAATACATGGTGTCTAGTCATATTTGAATTCCAGATAAGTCCAGGACCTACATAGGAAATTGGCAACTTTTCACAGGCATGTTCCAGAAGGACCAAACCTTTTTCCTATGGCAAGATGGTAGGTTCTTCCAGCTTCTCTGCTAACAATCTGTGGCTCCAGAGAGGAAGAGGCAAGAGGATGCCAGGTAGCATGTAACTCATGAGCCAATGAAAATTAGTTAATATACCACCTTAGCACATGTGTAACGGTTTGTTGATTATCATGTACATTTTTCCTACAAACTAAGAATAGAAAGTCTTCCAACATTAAAAAAAAAAAATGACAAGTAGCTATTTTCCAGCCTAGATATGCCCCTCAAGTTCCACAAACTCTAATTTTTCATATACTCTTATTTTAACCCGCTCATTTAAATGATTGCCAGTCAGTAGCCAGTGCTAGTAATAAAAAGTACCATTTACTCCCTGGGAACTCAGAATAGAGTAACATCTAATCAACAAGGGCTATTGATTATACTTTCTAAATCAACCCTAAACCCTTTCCCTTTGCTTTTTCTCTTTATCTTTTATCTGTACTATCACAATGGTCTCCAAGTCTCTAGGTTTCCACTCTCATTTTGTCTTATCCACAGAATATATAGTACTGTCAGAGTGGTAATTAAAAATTGATCACATCTCTCTTCTGTTAAAAAATCATCAGTGGCTTCTCAATAGCTTATGGGATTAACCCACAAGGGCCTGTCCTAAGTGGTCCCAGCCCAATTTCCTGATACTCATTCCCACCCACCTATCTAGGACTCAAGATCCTAGATAGGTGGCTATGCTCCAATAGGGCATTTTAATTCTTCCCTCAGGAGCCAGTCCAAGAGTTTTAAACCTACAACTACTTTTCTTAAACCTCCAAAGTAGTGGCCGGGTGCAGTGGCTCACGTCTGTAATCCCAACACTTTGGGAGGCAGAGGTGGGCAGATCACTTGAGGTCGGAAGTTCAAGACCAGCCTGACCAACATGGAGAAACTCCATCTCTACTAAAAAAAATACAAAATTAGCCGGGCGTGGTGGCGCGTGCTTATAATCCCGGCTCCTCGGAAGGCTGAGGCAGGAGAATCGCTTGAACCCAGGAGCGGAGATTGCGGTGAGCCGAGATCACGCCATTGCACTTCAGGATGGGCAACAAGAGCAAAACTCCGTCAAAACAAACAAACAAACAAACAAACAAACAAAAAACTCCTCTCATCATGATTTGACATAATCACCCTCCCCCAAGCTGTGACCATCTTATTCATCTTTCTACTCCCATATTTAGCCCAATGGGGTACATAGAAGGTAATCAATAAATACTTATTCAGTTGTATACACTCTTTCTCTATTCCTTACTTTAAAAAGAAGGAAACAGAAAAAGTGAGAAAGAGTTCAAAATGTAAGGAACCAATGAAAGAAAAAGAAAAAAGTCACAAAGTTATGTAATGAGTTCTTTTTACTGTTGTATTTGTTATCATTTTCTAAATAGTCTCATTTTATTTATTTCAATTTATGCATTGAACCATATGTTTTACTAATCTACTGTGTACTTCCACTTCATTTTGCAATTTAGGAGTATTTCAATGGTCAGAGAAAATGAAAGTACTGTTAATTCTGAAAATTAGAATCTCTCTACAAACTTTTAAATTAGGTCACAATATTCCTAAAAACCCTAAGTAGACTATAAGGGCAATGCATTATAAGGCTAGAGTTGCCGTGTATATAACAATACCTCAGACCGGGCATGGTGGCTCACGCCTGTAATCCCAGCACTTTGGAAGGCCGAGGCAGGTGGATCACCTGAAGTCGGGAGTTCGAGACCAGTCTGACCAACATGGAGAAACCCTGTCTCTACTAAAAATACAAAATTAGCCAGGCGTGGTGGGGCATGCCTGTAATCCCAGCTACTCAGGAGGCTGAGGCAGAAGAATTGCTTGAACCTGGGAGGCGGAGGTTGTGGCGAGCCAAGATTGCGCCATTGCACTCCAGCCTGGGCAACAAGAGTGAAACTCCCTCTCACAAAAAAAATAAAAAATAAAAAATAAAAAATAAAATAAAATTAACATGCTTGGTCTGCAATATTTCTCATTTGAAAACTTTTCTACTCCTGGTTCGTGGACTTGTCTATAACTTCCTCTGCCATAATTAAAGTATCTCTGGGCACCAAAAACATTTACAAAATGACTGCTTTCAACTATGATGTCAATAAAATTCCTTATACTACAAAAATTCTATGATTCTATTATTCCTGCATGGATAATTTACCAGTAATTCAAGCTTTTTATGTAAGGAGAGAGATTATCAGAAAAACTATGGGGATGCCCCTCCAGGAATTTCATTTTCATTCTTGTCTGGGCATTCTGCCTTTAACAGCTTTCTCTTTGTGTGTAATGTCCCCACCACTTGGTTTCATGAAACTAGGTATCCCTATATGTGCCTCAGAAACACAAAACACAACAAAATTATAGTTGCTGGTCCATCCCTTCATCTCTGCTGATTTTAGGAATTCAGAAATTTAAGAATATGAGAAGTTTTGATTTGGGGAAGAGGAATTAGTATGCATAGGGGTATACTTTAGTAATTCACTAATGAAATTTTGTAAATGATAATCACTTCCTATTATTTATTTAACTATGCCCACTATTATCCTAGACACATTGAATTGAGCTCTTAGAATTTTGTCTGTAAATAAGAATTAGAACTATATTTTATGAGGTCACTTTTAACTTAGTCATCAATGATTCCATGTTTGTAAACACATTCTCTGTCAATCATCTTGCCCACTGGTGATCACCAGGGAAAAGGCAAAAGGTTATTCAAAGCTCAAAAAGAACATTTTAAGTATATGTATTACATCAGCGGCTTAGTTGCATGTGTATTAAAATGTGAAGGGCAGTATATTATTAATCAAAAGATGGTTATAACTAAGAGTAAGAAACAGGAATTATTTCAACTACAAATATAAAGCGAATGCTATTTTGACGGTGACTTTTTTTATAATATTTTTAAAACATTATTTTAACAAAAAAAGCTTTTTCAGAGTGCTAAGAGTAATTTGCCTGCTCTCTATATATAAGCACAGACGCACACACAGACATACACACATATTTCCTAAGTAGACACTTAAGACATTCATATCTAAGTTTTAAAAAAATCTGATTTGGCGACACAAAGGCTTCCAAGGGAAGAATTTAACAAAATATCTTGAAGTCTTGAAGCATGAAAAGCCTAAAAAGAAGAATAATACAAAACAAAAACCCACACATCAGGGTGGTGAAATGAGAAAGTCAGAAACATTTTCCTTATAAAGTTTATCAACCACACAATTACTTTATGGTTTATATAAAATTATGAACTGCATACAACTTATCATGAAAAAATTGCTTCCTGCAACTGAGCTGAGGAATTTAGGGATGATATGTGTCAAAGGTGAAAACATGTTTCTTTTTCAAGCAAAAGATGTGGGTCATGTGGTAAGGTTCTATTGCAATATCTTCATGGCTCTCTTGCCAAAAGACTGATGTATATTTAATCACTTTATCTAATGGATGTGATTTCTAAAGTCACAGTTAGCCATTAGGAAAGCTCTTGCTCTGGTTCAGCTGAGCACTCTGATTACATTTCCTGACTTTGTGGTTTCAGAGAAGCAGAGCTGGTGGAGAATTCCCTGGCTGGATTCATCAGTCTTTGCTATGGACAAGAGAATACAGTAAGACCATCCAAGTCATTAGTCTTGGGGGTTGGGTAGATTCACTACATCCAAGTCTTTAGAGCCAAGTGCCCATATGGCTAACTTTAATTACTATAGAACAGATTTTTTTTCCCCAAATTCTTACCCTTCTTGATTAGATTGGAAACAAATCTCATTATGGAGTTTTAAATAATTACCATGAAGCTCATCATCATCAACCTGATACCATCTAAGAATATGTTTATGTGCAAAATAATGCAATGATACTTGAAAAAATTTAAATTCAAGTATAGTGTGATATGTTTACTGTTGTAAGATACAGTAAAAAATGTAAGTGAGCTAGAATATATCACAAATAGACTTCCCTATTGTCTTCATTCTATGGCGTTTCTTAAGAAACACGTACAATGTTAAAATAGTACTTGACATCTCAAAAAAAATAAGCCCTAAACCCGTAAAATGGGGAGAAAAAACTATAAAGTTGGTATATTGGTAAGTGTGCCTATTATAATGTGAATGACAGTAAGATTTACACGGCCCTACTTTTAACAGCCTGACAGAAAATTTACAGTAGATAAATCTATACTACTCATGGATTTATCTGACTTATGGATGATTCCCCTTTAAAGACTGTTCTATTCAATAAAGTTTTACATGCTTGTTGTATGCATTCCTTTGCTACAAGACCAGAAATAAAGCATTATACAATGTGATCTAAATAACAAGTTAAAAAGATAAAACACCATGGTAAATTAATGATGGTGATAAATGTAATAAGCCTACAATAAAAGCAGACTGCAGTAAGACTGAAACTAAGAAACCAAATAAGGCATTAGCAAGGACCTTACATTCTGTACTGAAGTATAGAAATATTATTTAGGAAAGCAAGCTTCAATCACAAAACATCAATCATTAATTAAAGTACATCTTGCTTTTCGTATATGCACCTTCATTAGACTCTTAATGAACTGATTAAAAATGTTTTCTCCAATGGGTTAATTTTTTCTTAGTTGCAGTAACATTGTGGGATATTCTTCTATATACTGATCAAGATACTTTTCCTACACACAGCATAAGAAGATATTGAGACTTCCACGTTAATCAAACTGAAAAGTAAGACAAGGAATTCCAAATCAGAGCCTATTTTAGAACTATGAGCATTCAACTGAAAACGGGTCTCCAGATTTCTGTGCTGCTCCATTCTGTTGCCACCAACAATTGATAATTGGTATCATTTTTGTGCAAGTGAGATGTGCCTTGTTAGTGCTTTTTAACTTGAGTGTTTGAAGTTGTTCAAATAATAAACTGTTTTCTCTAAACCAAGATTTAAAAGTTCCAGGATCGATATCTTTCCATTGTATCTGTTTTTTTTTTAATTTCTTTCTTATTAAAACATCACAAATTTCTTTTGAAAAAAGATCTGTGCTTTCTGGGCGTGGTGGCTAATGTCTGTAATCCCAGCACTTTGGGAGGCCGAAGTGGGCAGATCACTTGAGGTCAGGAGTTCAAGTCCAGCCTGACCAACATGATGAAACCCCTTCCCTTCAAAAATACAAAAATAGTGAGTCCCTGTTTCCAAAAAAAAAAAAAAGAGAAAAAAGAGCTGTGCTACAAAAAAATGCCTTAAAACATTTAGTTGCCTAACACCAAGCAAGTTTGAATAAATTATGTAATATTCATTCAATGAACAAGAGACCCTTTGTCTGCAATAGGAAATTTGATAATCTTCCCATGACTAAAAAAAAATTATAATCTACAGCTCCCCACTATGTACAGAATAACCTGTCATGTCTTTGGTCTGTCATAGAAGGTTTTACTAACCTGATGCTGACAGCCTCTTCTGTTTCCCTATTTGCAGTCTACATTCCAGCTACATTATTCTACGTTTAATTTCCCCAAAGGTCAGCTAGATAATTTCTGCATCCTCATAATGTTCCCTTTATCTGAACAGTTTCAACTATCCTGATCACCTGATTACTTGCTTTGTAATATTTGGCTCAATACCTCTTGTATGAAAAGATCTGACTTCGCCTCCTTCCTTCCCTCAAATATAAATTCAACCCTTCATCAGCTTCTCTTTCTCCCATATCTCCAGTCTGCTTTGAGCTGCCAGCAGTCCCCTAAATGCGGATTTTTATCCTACTTCTACAGTGCTTTATTTCTTTCATCACGCCTGTCTCCTTCAACTAGATTCCAAACTTCATAGACAGGAAATTTGTCTTAGGCATGTATTATCACCAAGGTATAACATGATATCTGGCACATCATATAAAATTGTTAAATGCTTGATGAATGAAGATGGTGAAATACTTCTCCTAACCCAAGCACTTGAAGAAGCACGCTATCTAATTATATTGCCTTTAACATAGATGTCACACTAATTTAAGACAATTTTAATTATTATTTAACAAAATTTTCTAAGATTTTTCAGTGTTCCAAGAGCATCTTCAAACATTTACAATAATCCATAACTATCATTGATTTTACATCAGAAACGCTATCTTTAATTTATGGCACTCTCAATTGCTCTTTTTCTCCTCATTAAAAAAATTAAAACATTGAAAAACAAAGCAATTTCCATCCTTTTATGGAGGCTGATATGTGCAAAAAATATAAGGATTCTGCTATTACAACCTGTTTCCCCATTTTAGTGACATCGAAATACAATTTAAAAACAACACTATCTGCTTAGGTTTAATTAAAGTAGCTTTTTTTTTCCCCAGCCATAAACAGGAAGGTTAAAAGTTTGGTCAGATGGATGAAAAGGGGGACAATATGGTGGACACCAACTAAAGTTTAAAATTCTCTAATTTGGGATTACACAAATCCCAAAGTTTTTAAGTTCACAGCAGAACTTAAAAATACATTAGGCACATTTTGACATGTTCACCAGTACTTAAGCACCTTAAAATTGTAGATATTTTATTTGAAACATATATTTAAGGACAAATTGCCAAATCTTTGAACATCCAACAAAGCGATCAAGTATTTAATTGTTTTAGAAACCTAGGCACAGATACAATCCTAGATGGTTGATTAACCCTAACTTAATTTTTGCCATTAAAATAGTTTATGCAGTTTGAAGCTTGTACGCAAATAACAGGGAGAAGCTATACTGAAAAGATTTCATTTCCATTAAATCCAAGACACATTTATTTGCAGAAAGTTGCACATGTGACTAATTTGGGGTTATTAATATGGTTGAATATAAATATAGCAAATTTTCATTGGGAGAAAATTTAGAAAACTGAAAAGCATAGAAAAAAATAAATGAAATTAACCTATTCCAAGAAAATTACTGATTTTTTTTTTTAAAGAGACAATGTCTCCTACTGTTACCCAGGCTGTGGTGCAATCATAGCTGACTGCAACCTCCAAACCTCATGGGCTCAAGTGTTCTTCCCACCTCAGCCTCCCAAGTAGCTAGGACTACAGGTGTGCACCACTATGTCTGGCTAATTTTTTTTTTTAATGGAGTCTCTCTCTGTCACCCAGGCTGGAGTGCAGTGATATGATCTCGGCTCACTCCATCACTGCAACCTCTGCCTCTTGGCAGCACTGGGATAACAGGCATGAGCCACCACACCCAACCTGTCTTCTTTTATATATATATACATACTGACAAAATGTTTCCAGAAAGGCTATAAAAATGTATATCATTTTTAGCAACATGTAAGCATATATTTTCCCACAATGTTAAGTATAGTCATTTAAAAAAAAACTTCATAATTTGATATTTAAAACGTTTTTATCTAAAATGTGAATTTCGTGAAACATTTCTAGTTCTTCTTTGGTCAGTGTCTTTAGTCTCTTGATCTTTTTTCTATTGAAATATTCATTATTTTCTTGTTTGCCAAGGGATTGTGTGTGTGTGTGGGTGTGTGTGCACACGCTAAGGATATTGATACCTTTTCACAAAAATTTCTTTTTTTTTTCTTTTGCCAGTTTGTCATCTTTTAACTTTGTCTTTACTAAAACTGGTTTTCAAAAATGAATAGAAATATATAATTACTCTTTAAAGGAATTATGCAGTAACTTTAACATTAAAAATATTTACCTTTTTGTGCATATATATGTTTTCCCATTGGGAGGGCAGTTTTATTTTCATGACATATTTCTGGGAAACATAGGCCTAGAAATGAGATTTTTTTTTTTTTTTGACAGATTCTCAGTCTGGAGTGCAGTGGCATGATCTCAGCTCACTATAACCTCTGCCTCCTGGATTCAAGTGATTCTCCTGCCTCAGCCTCCTGAGTAGCTGGGACTATAGGTGCCTGCCACCACGCCCAGCTAATTTTTGTATTTTTAGTAGCGACAGGGTTTCACCATGTTGGCCAGGATGGTCTTGATCTCTTGACCTTGTGATCTGCCCGCCTTGGCCTCCCAAAATGCTGGGATTACAGGCGTGAGCCACTGCGCCTGGCCAAAATGAGGTTTTTCACACAGTCCCTGGAGTCTTGTCTGAGGCTGGGTGAGGCTGCTTCTTTACCTCAAACTGAACTATCCTGCTCAGCCTCTGCCTCTTTTCTTTTCTCAGTGTTTGGGTCATCCACCTCCTCAGAGCTACTGTACAACATTTTTTTATTTAGATTTTTGTATAACGAAGTTTCTTTAATGCAGATGACTCTATTCTAAATAAACCTTATATTAATACTCTACATTTTTACACACATAATGGTTTGCAAAAAACATTCATTCATTCATTCATTCAAGTTCATTCCAGACATATTTTAGAGGAACTATTATTTGATTATCATCCTAAGCATCAGAGCAGTTAGTAACTCCAAGAACAGAACATTTTTAAGTTGAAAAGTTAGGTCCAAATTGCAGGTTTATGACTCCCATTTTTTCCCCATAAATAGCATTCTTATATTTATTTTTGAAGAATAAATTTAGCCACAAAACTCAAAAGTATGTATAACGAAAAATAATTCTCTCACTCTTCAATGTTTCCCAGCCATCCAAATTCCTCCCCTGTGGACAACCACAGTACCAACCCCTTGTGTATCCATCCATGTGGTTTTATCAGCATGTATACATCTATTCATTTTTCTTTTCATGCAAATAATACCCTATATAAACATTGTTTCATACCTTCCTTCGTCACTTAAAAATCAGACTTGGAAATCTTTCTGTATCAGCATGTATAAAGCTACTTCTTTTTATAGCAGCTTCATAAAGTCCTATTGTACAGCTGTACCCAAATTATTTAGTCATTCCCACACTGTAGAACATTTAGGTTGTTTCCCAAAGCTACAATAATTATCTTCTCATTAGTTTTTTTCTTTTTTTAACCTACTCTTTTGTGGGCTCTTTTTGTAACTTTTATTTTAAGTTCAGGGGTACATGCACAGGTTTGTTACACAGGGAAACTTGTGTTACAGGGTTTTGTTCTACATCTTATTTCATCACCAAGGTCTTAAGCCAAGTACTTATTAGTTATTTTTCCTGATCCCCTCCCTCCTGCCACCCTCCACCCTCCAATGGGCCCCAGTGTGTGTTGTTCCCACCTATGTGTCCATGTGTTCTCATCATTTAGCTCTCACTTATAAGTGAGGACATTCTCTTGAATAGTTTCACAGTACGGTATTTTATTTGTAAGACAAATGCTTCAGAGTGAAATTGCTGAGTCATAATTGTATGTGCGTTTTTAATTTGCCATAATAAAATATTGCCGAATTCTCTTTTGTTACCTAGTGTAACGCCTACAGGGCCATAGCTGAATTTCTATCCTACCCTAACTCTGCTGATCTTTAAGAAACAGGTAAAATGTTCCATTTGTAACCAGAGCAGCTGAGATTGCTTAGAACCAAGATAGTTGACTAAAGGACTTCAAGAAGACCTCAGGCATCATTATAATCTCATTTTCATGCTAAATGACACCCCCACCAGTGCCATGACAGTTGATAATCCCCATGACAATGACCAGAAGAAGCCATAAAAGGACAAAAAGGAAGGCGGCACTCTGGTTCCAAGAAGTTCACCACCTATTTCTGGAAAAGACATGAACATTCCTCCCCTCACTCTTAATGACCAACTTCTTCATTAGATATACTTTCTATTTCAATTTCCTCACTCCTCACTAGTCAAGAAGTTAGCTTGTGCGCCATACTTGCACTTCTCCATTCTTTGGCCATCGAATAAAGCTTGCATTGCTTGATGCTCACTTTCCCATTTCTTGTATTGGGTCTCCAATACCAAACAGGGAAAGATGCCACCTTTTGAAACTACCAAGGAGGTTATTGGTATATTGGTAACTCCTTCATAAAGGCCTATCAATCCATGCTCTCCCCAAACAATGTGTCAGGGATTGTTTGCACATACCTTCAATAAAGTATTTCATAAATTTTTTTTCATCTTTGTGAGCCTAATAAGTGGGGAATAAAACTTTTATTTATTTATTTATTTATTTATTTATTTATTTATTTATTTATTTATTTTGAGATGGAGTCGCTCTCTCATTGCCCAGGCTGGAGTGCCTTGGTGCGATCTCAGCTCACTGCAACATCTGCCTCCTGGGTTCAAGCAGTTCTCCTGCCTCAGCCTCCTGAGTAGCTCGGATTAGAGGTACCCACCACCACACCCGGCTAATTTTTGTACCTTTAGTAGAGACAGGTTTTCACCATGTTGGCCAGGCTGGTCTCCAACTCCTGACCTCATGTGATCCACCCATCTCAGCTTCCCAAAGTGCTGGGATCACAAACATGAGCCACCACACCCGGCCGAAAACTTCTTAATTCTTATCATTTTAGTTTGCATTTTCTTTTGTGAGTGAGGTCAGGGATCTTTTCATATCCTCAGATGCCATTTGTGCTTTTTTTTCTGTGCTCTGTCTGTATGTAGTCTTGTCCACTTTTTTAATAGACTATCAGTGTTTTATTAATTTAGGAACTCTTAACAAAATAATAAAATTAGCTTTTTTTCTGTGGTATACAATACAAATATTTTTGTAAGTTTGCTGTTTTTGTTTCTTTTGGTTTATGGTAGTTTATCTTTTAAAAGCATCTACATTTTAATTAAATTGAATTCACCAATCCTTTCTCCAGTGGCTCCTGTGTTTTATATTATCTTAGAAAATAATTTCTACTTCAAGTACTTCATAAGTGTGATGACTGGGTTTTCACATGCATATGTGAGATATTCCTCCCTCAAACCTTGTAATGACATTGATATATTATCCATCTCAGGTGAAAAGAAAAAAGAAAACAAAACCTTCACATGTTTTCTTCTAGCAGTTTTGTGGTTTGTATGTTATTTTAAATATTTGATTCCACTAAAATGTATCTTGGGTTAGGTGGCAAAGCAGTAATCTGAATTTATTTTTATCCACATGACTACCCAGGTGTCCCAATGATAACTATTAAATAATATTTCTTTCAACCTATTTAAGATGCTACCTTTATAATTCTCATATGTAACTATGTCTATTTCTGGATATCGTATTTTCTTCCAATGAACTATCTATGTAGGTCACCATACTATTTTAATTACCCTATTTGCATAAAATAACATTATGTATTAGGGTTGGTGCTATTAGATATTACTCTTTTATGTGTGTACAATTTCCCAACTAGATCCAGATTATCTAATTCCAAATGGGAAAATTTCTATTTTTATTTTCATTGGGATTGCAATGTCTTTATAAATTAAAAGGTTAAAAGGAACTGCCAATGGTAAGCACTCTGACTCTTTTTTTAATACCTCTTCTTTAGATTATAAAAACAAAGTATGCCAAGTATAATATCACAAGAAAAACAGGCAGGCTGGCTACTCATTTTAGAACCTCTAATGTTAAGTGTATCAATATATATGAAATCAAATACAATATATATGAAACCAAATACTTTTCATTAAATACTTGCCTGATTGCTGAAATCTTACCATTGCATCCTTCATAAGTAACATTATGTTAATCATGTAAATAAATTCTTAAAATAATTATTATTTCTTAGAAATGCTTAATTTGGTAGATGGCAAATCAGTTTAATAACTTCAACAAGAGTAGTTCAATATTTCATGTCCTAAAATCATTCAATTTTATGGCATTTTATAGTAGTTGAACAACTGGTATGCAAAACAAATTAAGCTGTATATGCGATAATTTTATATTCAGACAACTGATAGGGACTATTTCTAAATTCTATGATTATTAAAATATTGTGATTTGGGTATTTCATAATACCCTGTAATAATCATTTATATTATATTTATTATTTTATTATTAAGATAGAAGTTAGTCTTATGTATAGCCTTTTAAAATATAGTATTCCTCAAGTTTATAAGAAATGAAAGTTTGCCGGGCGTGGTGGCTCACGCCTATAATCCCAGCACTTTGGGAAGCCGAGGCAGGCGGATCACCTGAGGTCAGGAATTCAAGACCAGCCTGACCAACATGGAGAAACCCCGTCTCTACTAAAAATACAAAATTAGCTGGTCATGGTGGCGCATGCCTGTAATCCCAGCTACTCAGGAGGCTGAGGCAGGAGAACTGCTTGAACCCGGGAGGTGGATTGTAGTGAGCTGAGATCGGGCCATTGCACTCCAGCCTGGGCAACAAGAGCGAAACTCTGTCTCAAAAAAAAAAAAAAAAGAAAAAAAAAAAAAGAAATTAAAGTTTATAATCTTAAGAAGTGTATTACCCTGGGAAAACTTAAGATTAGTGTCAACATTTGCTGGCATATCTGAACGTTTTAATAAAAAATTCATAAAGTCTTATCTGTACAGCATGTATAAAGGAAGACAGAAAATACTTCTTAGTTCACGTTAAATCCCATCTCTCTGTTAGTTAAGACTTTATTGAGAGCACAAAATTATCACAGACTTATGGCTGCAGAACAGGTTCTATACCCTTATTTAAATAATTAGAGAGAAAATGTATTTCCAATATTATTATACATGTATCCACTTCCCTCAAAACATCAACATGATTTAGGAGAAAGTGCATAGTAATAACTTTGGCACCAGGCAGACTTAGGTTTGAATTTCCTGTTTATTCCATATAATTAGCTCTGCAGCATTATGCAAATTCCCCATAAATGAAAGAGAGAAATATATCTGTCTTATAAAGTTATCATGTAGAATAGAAATGGTTTTGGTAAAGTGCCTACCACAGTGCCTAGGCTAAATAAATAACAGCAAGATTATTATCCTTCTTCCCTATACAGACTGAAATTTTTAAATAATAAGCCATGAGTTGGCCAATAAACACAAAACCTTACGAAAATCTTATGTGGAGTATATTTGTTACCTATGTTTTATCTTGCCAAACATGTTTATGGCTTTAATTTAAAATATAGATCTGCAGTAAAATAGTAAGACAGCATAACCCAGTTGTTAAATTCATGGCTCCAGAGTGAGAGAGGCATGGGTTCACATCCCATCTCTACTGCTTACTAGCTTATGTCCTTGGGGAATTTAATTAACTTCTCTAAAGCTCAGTTCTTATATAGCAAACCGGAGCTGAAAATGATAATCCTTTAAGGTTATTTTAGTGGAAAAAATTAGACACTGAATTTTAATAACTTAGCACATTTCCTGTTACACTTTCAGTGCACAATACATTGTAACTGTTATTATTAGTGATTTTAGCAACTTTCTTCTAAGTTGATTTTGTATACCTAAAGCTAATGTTCTTAGGAACGAGAATATATTTGCTTACTTTATAATAGAAAAGCTTTTGTATTGCATATACAAAACCTTTTCTTCTTAGGGAGCTTTCAACTCAGAATATTTTAAAGACTAAAATGTATGCTTATAGCAAAACCAAGACTACATTGCCTTCTACCAACAGGTGGCAATATATGCCACACACAGCCATTTTAGTCCTGCCAATACAAAGTTCATTAGTTTATTCAGTGTCTACAGGATGTGGGCCTTGCTTTCAAGGTTATATAAATTCTTAAATCCATCAGGTTTGATAAATGTGGATACACTGAACACACCGAGGATGTTGAAAGATTTAATAACAAAAACATTGGAATATCATGGGAACCAAAGAAAAATAATAAAATGATCGAAAGTAAGAAAATAATAAATGTGGCAAGTGCATAAAAGTTTAATCATTGACAGTAATGATGACCCTCTAGGACTGAGCAGAATTATGCAAAAGTTTAAAATAATGAGCTTAGGCAATAGCCAGCAAGATACAAGGAACATTGTTTTTTTAAAAAAATGAAAATGCTCTAGCATGAGTCAGAGGATTTTTCATTAGCAGCGGATGCTCCAGAACTTAATGCTAAAGTGAGAAAAGACTAGGTATTCATTCAAGAAGGCAAAATCCAAGCACAGTAACAGCTGCTGATGAAATATTCCTGATGGGGCAGGAATTGTTAAAAGCCCTTTAATTCAATATCAAAATAAGTGAGTTAAGAAGCATGCATGCCAAAGTATTCTTTGGAACATTTGTGGACATTGTCAAAACTAGTGACATCTACTCATAAGATTTTTGATGAAGACATTGTTTGAGAATCTATATTAGCAAAGGAAGGGGGTAATCTGGTTTGAGGAGTCTAAAGGAACAGTTTATTTAGTGGAAATTCATCTGGAGATGGTAAAGTACTATGGTATAAATAACATGAGTTTACTAACAAACCTTTTGCAAACTAACATGTTCATAGATATGACTTCCTGTGTTTCTTATTTCTCTGCTCTCTCTTGGAACTAAAGGCTGTGATTATGGCAAGGTATCTAGGAACCCTCACCATAATCTGGGAATATGATGAAACTCATGTGATATTGTTTAAAATGCATTCTCTTTCTGTTGTTGTTGTTAAAAATATATTCAAAGATAAAGGGTATGGCTATTTTTTTAAGGGTGAATTAAATGTGTGATAGTATTTCTTACTTTCTGCCATTTTGGGGCAGAATTTTCAGAACCTCACAGATATAAATAGGATTGGAGTCATGAAGAATATTCCAAATTAGATAACAATCACAGGATCACAAATGAATAGGAAGAAAATAATTCCTATCCTTCCTCAAATTTATATTCCAGAAGGAAGTGTTTTGCCTAAACATTTGCTTTATCTCAGAATCCAAGACTCCTGATCAAATTTATATTCCAGAAGGAATTAAAATTATTAAATTATTATTTTTAAATTTATTAGGAATATAACTTTGACCAGGAGGCTTGGATTCTGAGATAAAGCAAGTGCATAGGCAAAAACGGTTCACAACAATTCAATGACAAAGGTGCTTAACTTTTATTTACAGACTTCTTTTTATTATTCTAACTGATGAATTGACCTGTTCATTTTTTTAAATGTCCATATGTCATATTTTCATGAAAATGCAAAATTTACTTAGTGACCTGGAGTTTCCATAAATAGTCACCATTTTTCATTTGCTTGTAACTCCCCAGTGGGAAAAGGTATTGCCTAGGGGACTTAACCTCCACAAGGATTGTCTAAAAACAAGAAATATCTGTGGTATAAACACTAACCTTAAAACTTCAGTTTTCGGTAACAAACTCTTCTGAAAACACTTTAACAAAACTGAGTGAAAAATAAGTGACTTTACTAAAAATTAACAGAGAGAGGAGATTTTTGAACTTGCTTTATTAAAATAAATCTAAGATTCTAAATAGTAGAAATCATTGATCTACTTGACCGTTGAGAAAACAAGATAGCTTTTCTTTCTTACTCATTAATTCAATTTGTTTACTCAAGTATTAAGCACCTTCTCTGTGCAAAGCCTTGTAAAATGGTCTGTGTGGATTACAACTACAGCACAATGAATCCTTGTTTGATTTAATCATATCTAGGATTAGAAAATGAAGGGTCCCTAAATTCATTAACTAGCTAGGCAAGGATATTCTTTCCCATCAGGAATTCTCCTAAATTGCTAGTATATTTATACAACAACTCAAAAGTTTTAATACTGGTATAAAAGAAAAAACAGAACAAAACAAAATGAAATGGGAGTTCTTGAAATGGAAGGCACATGTTCAGAGTAAGGCACATTCAGACTAAAAACCAGATCTCTGGGGACAATGGGTATGGGAAAGCTGGAAACTCTCTTAGAGTCTACGAATTATATAGGAATTTTTAAAAAATCACCAATGAATCACAGACCTAAACGTCAGAGTTAGAACTGTAAATTTCTAAGAAAATATCATAGGGAAAAATCTTCGAGACATTAGATTTGGCACATGGACATGGAACCAAAAGCACGGTCAACAAAAGAAAAAAAGAGCTGAATTGGATTTTGTCAAAATTGAAACTGTTGTGCATCAAAGAACACTACTAGAAAGTGAAAAGGCAATCCATATGATGGGAGAAAATAATTGCAAATCATATATCTGATAAGGGATTAACATTGGCAATATGTAAAAAATTCCTACTCCTCAACAAAAAATAAACAAGCAGATTAAAAATGAACAAAGGATTTGAAAAGACATTTTTCCAAAGAAAGTCAATCAGTACATGGGAAGATGCTCAACATCACCGATCATTTGGGAAATGCAAATCAAAACCACAATAAAATATCACTTCACACTTGGTCGGATGGTTATTGTTTAAAAAAAAAAAAGGAAAAGAAACATTGACAAGGGTGTGGAGAAATTGTAACCCTTGTGCATTGCTGATAGGAATATAAAATAGTGCAGCTGCTGTGGAAAACACTGTGGTGGTTCCTCAAAAAATTAAACAGAAATATCACATGATCCAGCAATTCTACTTTAGGGTATACATCCTAAACAATTAATAGAAGGGACGCATGTAGTTATCTGTACACCAATGTTCATAGCAGCACTAATCACAGTAGCCAAAAAGTGAAAACAACCCAAATGTCTATCAACAGATGAACAGATAAACAAAATGTGTATAAATGCACAATAAAATACTACACAGCCTTAAAAATGAATAAAATTCTGATATATGCTACGACCCGGATGAACACCTTGAAAACATTATGCTAAGTGAAATAAGCCAGACATGAAAAGACAAATGCTATAGGGTTCCACTTACATGAGGTACCTAGAATAGTCACATTCATAGAGAAAGTAGAATAGTGGTTACTGGGTGATAGGGGAAGAGAGGAGTGTGGAGTCATTGTTTAATAGTTACCGAGTTTTTGTTTGGAATGATGAAAATGTTCTGAAGATGGATGGTGGTGATCGTGTACAACATGAATGTGCTTAATACCTCTAAACTGTACATTTGAAATGGTTAAAATGGTAAATTTTGTTATATATATTTTACCAAAATATAAATTTTTAAATTCACTAGCGTGTTTTGAGATCCGTAAGGCAGAAAGAGTCAGTAAGAGAACAAAATCACAGCAGTTAGCAACCGGTCAACCCTGACAACATGCGGTGTCTCCTTGGTATCTGTTTTGCTAGGCAGTAGTCATTTATATCTATGCAGTACCACTATTTCATGAGAAATAATCATATAATAAACATCAAAATTGATCGAAATATACAAAATATTACTGTACTCCCACCATTAAGTTTCCAAAATGCAAACATTTAAAGTTACTCTCAATTGTAATCTTTGTCTTATTAGCCCTGCCCCCTGCCCCAAATAGTAAGAGGTTCCAAGAATCCAATCCATTACAGACAGGAAGAGAATATAGGACATTTAAATATAAATACATTTACATATACATAAATAGTAAATCAGTACATAAATACATATACATGCATGTACATATACATTTACATCTAAATCACAAAAAAAGACAAAAACATTATTTTTGTATAGAAATTAGAAACTTCTCAAACATTTTTTTCTGGTTTTATGTTACCCATGTCCAGAAAGAGATCCAGTTAAAAAAGAGCACACTCATCCCTTTCCAAAGTTGTACCCATGCTGGTAATTTTAGCATTGGTTTATCACGCAGCCCTCGACGCAGGTTAGTAATCCCTACAAAATCAAGAAAAACCCTCATCTTCTGCTTTCAATCTTGCTGTCTGTATTTCAACCATGCTGGTTTTCTTGCTTCTCCTTAAATACATCAAATATGCCTTAGGGCTTTTGCAATTGCTGTTTTTTGTGACTAGAATGATTCTTCAGTTGTTTAGCTAGCTCCCTTAGTTTTTCATTTACTTCATGTCTCTACTCAAATACCCTGTATAAAATTTTTCAGACCACTTTAAATAATACCTCCTTCTCTCAATTCTCTGTCCTGTTTTATTGTTTTTCACAGCATATCTTATGGTACAATGATGGATAGTGGCGAATATTTATCTCTTCATTATCTCTTAAAATCGGCGTCACATCTCCATGTGTTGTTCATTGCTATATCTGATGTCTACAATAAAACTTTATGAAGAAGGAAGAGAGGGAAAAAAGAAAGAGGGAAGGAAAGAAGGAATTGCTTTTAAATTCCAGGAAGAGTATAAATGCTGAGAGGAGTGAGGTTGTGAGTTCTTGGAACTGGCCTGGAGGGACTCAGCAGCCGCTTACCACTGCCCTTGGGATCTCTGCCAGGTCTTCCCTCCCTACAAACCTCAATGGCACCAATACCAACTTGGATGCCAACTCCTGACCTACACATTTTGGAGGCCAACTAGACCGGATCTAATGATTAATCCCTAGGCTAAGATAAATCAGTTGGAAATTTCAGCTTTAACTTTGTTTTTTCTTATCTGCCAGTCTACCTGTTAAGCATATCTGTCACTGTCAAAAGTTTTCGTGTCCCTTTACTTATTTCACTTAGCATGTCTCTTCTAGGTCCATGCATGCTGTCACAAATAGTAAGATTTCCTTCTTTTTTTAAGGCTAGATAATATTCTATTTTATATACAGACCACATTTTCTTTACTCTTTTATCTGTTGATGATCATTTGGGTTGTTTTCATATTTTTGCTATTGTGAATAATGCTGCAGTAAACACAGAAGTGCATATATCTCTTTGAGATTCTGATTTCAATTGCTGGATCATATGGTAGTTCTATTTTTAATTTTTTGAGGAACTTCCATATTATTTTCCATAGCAGCTACACTATTATACATTCCCACCAACAGTGGACAATGCTTTCATTTTCTTCACATTCTCAACAACACCTTTCACTTTTTTATAACAGCCATCTTAACAGGTGTGAGATGATTATCTCATTGCAGTGCTGATAAAACCTTAACCACTTAGTCTAGAGGATAAGCTACCAATCCACAAATCACTAAAATAGATTGAGACGTATCATAGAACTCAAGGGCCAAATTTCCCATGGTTTTTATATCCCAAAGTACAGTATCTAAGTGGATAATAGATATTTAAAAAAATTGCATGCAAAAATTATTATAAACATAATGTAAAATAAATTAGTTTTCCAAAACTGTTTTAAAACCCTTAAAAGTCAACTTCTTGCATTACTGATGTTAGACAATTTAACTGACTTAGATAATTGAGTCTTCATGACAATAAGTACTGTGATTTAGGTTTCATTTGTGTGTATCAATTTGTGATGCTCTAAATATTTGTACTCCTCCAATATAGAATATCTAAATTTTTATTTTCCAAGATATATAAATACTTCCAATGAACACCATCATCTTATCCTGCACAAGATCACTTTGCTTTTCATACTTCTCCATCTGCTAGCTCCAGGATCTCAACGTGTGTAACTTCATTCCCTGTTTCTTCTCCATTTCAGAATAAACTTCATCCTAGACATTTTTTTAATTTTTTTTCTTGAGACTGAGTCTCGCTCTGTTGCCCAGGCAGGAGTGCAGTGGCTCGATCTCAGCTCACTGCAACCTCCATCTCCCAGGTTCAGGCAATTCTCCTGCCTCAGCCTCCCGAGAAGCTGGGACTACAGGTGCTGGCCACCATGCCTGGATAGTTTTTGTATTTTTTTTAGTAGAGATGGGGTTTCACTATGTTGACCAGGCTGGTCTCCAACTCCTGACCTCAAGTGATCAGCCTGCCTCAGCCTTCCAAAGTGCTGGATTACGGGCGTAAGCCACCGCGCCTGGCCCACCCTAGACATTTTATACATATTTCCCTTTTAATTACACCATTCCTCTTTTTTCAAATCTTTTCTACCTTGGGGAAGGCCTTTTTCCCATTTCAGTTTTTTAATGTTAAAACAAAATATGCGAATCATAGCAAAGTCAAGTCACAGTAGTGCAATAATACTCCTAGACCAGGAAAGTGAAGTCATTCAACCTATAAAACAACTTCAAAAACACTTTAAATGCATAGGTACTCTTTTCATAATGTCTTCAAACTTCCACCAAAATCTCTATTTTGACTTAACACAATATACCCCTCAGGAATTGGTGTCCAAGAAGAAAATTGAAACAGTCATCCATCTTTCTTTTTTTGTTGTTTTCTATTAGCTGTAATTACATGATTTAGTATGTTTGATTGCAAATGTAATTTTATTTTAGCTCCATTAAGGGTTAAACATATTTGATAGAATGCTTGGTAGCGTAACCACCAGGTATATCTGTGTGGGGTATGTGCAAACGTATTCTTGGAATATATAAGATTTCTTTCCTATAAAAGAAATGTGTATGTTATTCAAGTTTAGTAACCATTGTGAGTCTTTGGAAAGGTTAGGTAATTTCTGAGCCTTAGTGTTCTCACCTCAAATGGTGGTCATGAGGATTTAAACGGAGCATATGAAAATCCCTTAACAAACTGCTCAGTTAGCATTAAGGAGACGTCCATACATAAGACTGTTACATTAATATTATCAGTAATGTTAGCAAGATGTAAACTTTTCCGTATGTATTTTTCCTTGTAACAGCATAATTGCTGGCCTTGCACAGTGGCTTACACCTGTAATCCCAACACTTTAGAAGGCCGAGGTGGGCAGATCACCTGAGGTCAGGAATTCGAGACTAGTCTGGCCAACATGGTGAAACCCCATCTCTACTAAAACTGCAAAATTAGCCGGGCATGGTGGTACATGCCTGTAATCCCAGCTACTTGGGAGGCTGAGGCAGGAGAATCACTTGAATCTGGGAGGCAGAGGTTGCAGCGAGCCAACATCGTACCACTGCACTCCAGCCTGGGCAACAGAGTGAAACCGGCACACCTTTACCTATGTAAAAAACCTGCACATCCTGCAAATGTACCTTGAAACTTAATTAAAAAAAAAAAAAAAAAGAGGCTGGGCATGGTGGCTCACGCCTATAATCCCAGCACTTTGGGGGGCCTAGGCGGGCAGATCACCTGAACTCAGGAGTTCAAGACCAGCCTGCCCAACCTGGTGAAATCCTATCTCTACTAAAAATACAAAATTAGCCAGGCGAGGTGGCTCATGCCTGTAATCCCGGCTACTCGGGAGGCTGAGGCAGGAGAATTGCTTGAACCTGGGAGGCGGAAGTTGCAGTGAGCCAAGATCGTACCATTGCACTCCAGCCTGGGCAACAAGAGTGAAACTCGGTCTCAAAAAAAAAAAAAAGAATGCATTTTGATTATAATATTCTAAGTTATTAAATGCCTAGATACCATTATTGAACATCTACTCATATCTACTTATCATGTGTAAGACACTAAAGTGGCTGTTTTGGAAAAAACAAATTACGATGTATATACATATATATCTCCTAATATATAATATACTCTATATATAACATATAATATAGTCCTTAGAAGTAAATACTACTAATTTACAGGAAAGCAATATTTAAGAAATTAATATTTGACTAAGACCACATACTGAGTAAAGGAAATATTTGGGAAAAATAAACTTCCTTTCACTATACTAATTTGAACTCAAATTTATTTATCTGTGCTTTTAACACTTTATAAAAATATTTTACAGTCTGAAATATAGTAGAGATGTAATATAAATTTTGAAAGGCACTTCTCTGCCTAGCTGTTCTACAAGTGTTCATTCCTAAAAGTCTGTCAGCTGATCTCATGGGATTATAAGAACCTTATTCCCAGTTGATCCCTGAGTAGGCCACTTCCCTTTTTCCTACCTGAATTACCATGAGCCAAGTTTGTAAATGGGGTAACAAGAATACATATTTTGTTAAGAGGGAAACAAATTCATCACTTCAACTTTATAATATTTTGTTCCATGCAAAGATCATTTACAAAGATTGGTCCCATAATATTTACCTAGAAGGAATCACTCAGATAAAGGCATCACTTACCAATAAAGCATTTAATTCATCCTATTCAAAATGTCCTCAATAAATTATCTTTACTCTGAGCCCTAAAAGATACACTGTCTATTAGACTTGAAAGAATAGTCATTTAGTAGAGCTTAAATCAATATATGAAATATAAATTTTAATTTTTTTGTAGAAACAGATTTTCCTTTTATTGCCCAGGCTGATCTAGAACTCCTGGATCAAGCAATCCTCCAGCCTCGGCCTCCCAAAGTGATGGGATTGCAGGGGTGACCAGCTGTGCCTGACATAATATTTTATTATCATGAAACATTTTTCTCATTTTTCCCTGTTTTACTCATCTGCATGGATTTGAATATCTACATTTACTTCTTTTTTCAAATTCTAAAGTATAGACTCTCAAGAAGATGACATATTTTTAAAATAATTACATTGGATTTAAAAACATATAGTGTAGGAGCAACTAGTAAAAGTTGACAGATACCACATCCAGTGAAATTACCCCCAGTTAAAATAATAATAATAATAATAATAATAATAATAATAATAATAATAATCATCATCATCATCATTAGATAATGGGCTGAGCGCGGTGGCTCATGCTTGTAATCCCAGCACTTTGGGAGGTCGAGGCGGGCGGATCACTAGGTCAGGAGATTGAGACCATCCTGGCTAACATGGTGAAACTCCGTCTCTACTAAAAATACAAAAACATTAGCCGGGCACGGTGGTAGGCGCCTGTAGTCCCAGCTACTCGGAGGCTGAGGCAGGAGAATGGTGTGAACCCAGGACGCGGAGCTTGCAGTGAGCCAAGATCGCGCCACTGCACTCCAGCCTGGGCGACAGAGCGAGACTCCGTCTCAAAAAAATAAAAAATAAAAAAAAAAAAGAATCTTTAAAAATCAGATAATACAGGGAGTCTAGGTGTGCATATAGCACATAAAATTTTTATTAAAAATCTTATGGGAATGTTTTTAATACTTATATTTTAATGCATGCTTCTAATCTTATTTATCTTTCTTTAGAGGCTCAATTTTCCAATTATTTGTACTAATAGTTTGACCTAAAAGTGGAGTAAAATTTGCCTTACTGGCGTACATATCAAACATTTGGAAGATGAGATGTAGGAGAGAAGAAGGAAAAAAAAAAAGAAAAAGGGCATTCATTGCAGGGCAGGATGCTAACTTAATTGTAAATGTACACACTCTTTCTAAATTTCCAAGTGAACAATCCTAGGTGCAATTAGAGCTTTATTGTATTTTGATAAATGATTCAGAAAGCTTTGTAAAAAATCCAAGGAGACATTTTAAAGAAATTTATGATCAGTAATAGCAGTCTCTCTAACACTTGACATAACAAGAGGAAATCATAAAATGAATAGCAAGGAAATTACAGTTAAAGTAACGTTAGGTTTCAACAGTAATATATGGCATTTTTGGCTCCATGTTATATCACTTTAAAAAATCTAAAGATAGTTCATCTCCTGTGTTAAAGAAACAACAACAACATATTTTTTGCTTACAGTAAGTTGTTATTTTAAAAAGAGACGTGGAAAGAACGGTTTTCTCTATAGAACTAAAAAGATATAGAATAATTCAGTTCTACATATGTCAATTCAAACTTGTCTGTGGCAGATTATGCTTACTGGCACTGTTCAAGGCATTCCCCTCTTCCTTCCCCACTTTATCATGGCCTGGCATTTTTCCTCACCACCCAGAAGGGTTTCATTCCTCCAAACTTCATTCCACCTTTAGCTGCCAAGAGCTGATGGCTTTTTCTTTTGCCTAAAGCCATTTCCTTCCAGCAAGGCAGAGGAAAGGGTAAGTGATACCTTCAATGAAGAAATTTCATTTTTTAGAATGGCAGGACACCAAAATTGTTATCTCATATTCCACAAAAGTATTCTACCCACATTCTCTGGATGCTCTCATAAATCCTCATATAAAATATTTTTATACAATTTTATAATATCTATTTTAATATGACCTTGCCTCTCAAGTGGTAATCTAACTCTACACAGTTCTAAAGGAAGATGTCATAATACTTCTGTAAAGAATAAATTAGCTAATTTGTGATGTGTAATATGAAGGACCATCTTCAATTAGTACACAGATGCCCTCCAATACAACATCCACAATATGTCCTCTTCAGAGCAAATTTTTAAAAATCCCTGCTCACAATTAGTGAAATAATTTAGTCCTTCAAGATGTAATGTGGTAACCAAATTATTTACCAAAAATCTGTGGCTGGCCATTTGCTACATAAAAAAATCATTAATCAGTTTGTCACCTAATTGAAAGCTAAATTTTCAACCAAATGTTAATAGCAAAACTAGTTGTTTGTTTAATATCTTTAAGCATAGTCTGCAAAAATAAAGGGGGGAGGCAAATCACCATACAAAGTGTGTGTGTGTGTGTGTGTGAGTGTGAGTGTGTGTGTGGTAAAATTCTAGTATGAAAATGACACAATCATTTATGAGCATGAAGTTTGCAGTCCTTACTTCCACTCTAATAACAGTGATGGGTCTTCATGGATAAGCCCACATTGCCTCTCTGAACCTTCCTTAGAGAATGCTTCAAATATTTGGATAATGTGCCCTTTGTACCTGGGGCAAACATCAATTTAGACCGTGTGGAAACCTAACTTATGGCCTCCGCCTCATCTGACTACATTTCTATCAACTGAGCTCACATAAGCATCTATGTTTATTTTAAAAGAATATTTTAAATTCATAGTCAGTGACTATTGACTGGCCCTCAAATTTCTGTTAGATGATACAGATTTAAACCTAACAAGGTTATCATTTTAGATTTGGAGTCACTTATAACCATATTAGTTTATGCAATCCAATTTTTTCTTAAAATATATTTTAATACATTTGTGGTCACTGCCTTTCTAAGAATGCATTACAAATTACTTACCTTTAAGTACATTATCACCTACACTGATAAAAGAGAGAATACATCTCAGGATATTTTAATTTTACCTCCTCAATATCATACCATGATATTGTAAAAATACTAAATGCTTGACAAATAAAAAATAGAATCACAAAATTCATGTTTCCAGGGTTAATATGCTTTATTCTGGAAGAATCCATATTTTTGTATTTTATTATTTATATAAATATCTACGAACCCCCTACTACTTGATGCCAGGCACTATTCTGGAAGCTAAGTCAACAATGAAGACATAGTCTGGGTTCCCTTGGAGTATTTGGTATGCAAATTCACAAAATACCTGCATGCTGTAACAAGCAGTATGAAAGAAACAAGGTTCCAACATCAAGACCAACACGGGACAACCTACTTTTAACAAGATGATCAAAAATGATCTTTCCAAAACAAAAAAACCTCGAGTTGAGATTTAAAGTTTAAGAAGGAGTAAGCACGCATAGAGTTCAGGCATTGGGAACAGCATTTGAAAAGGCCTTAAAGAGTGCTATTGTTTCATGTGTTTTAGCCACGACCTGGGCAGGAGCACCTTAATGAGAAGAGAATAGGTTCTGGTGAGGTTGGAGAGAAGGGACAGAACAGAGAGTAAACCATATGCTGAGGAAAGGCATTTACTGTTGTTGCTAATTGGTCTCTGTGTTGCCATGTTTATTTCTTCTTCTCCTCTTCTTCTTCCTCTTTTTTTTTTTTTTTAAATGCAGTTGTGAGCCAATGTTTGTTAGGGGAGACAGGATGGTATTGCTTTGTATAGAGAATGAATTGCAGGGGAGAAAATTACAGAAGTGGAGAGATTGATATGGAGGCTGTGGCAGGATTCCAAGTAAATTATGATGATGACCTGAACTAATTTGGTGGCCGTGTAGATACAGAAAAGAGGGTGAATGAGAGGCATCTGAGACGTATGATGAAATAGAAATAAGTTTGGGAGATAAGATTGATAGATCTACTTACAGGCTGGAAAGGGCTGAAATGGAGTAATAAGGAAGAGAGCAATCAAAGGTGATTTCAATACTTGGATGGTGAAGGCATTTATTCAGATAATGAAGATGGGAGGAAAGAATCTGAGACAGAGTTTTAGGGAAAGTCATAAATTATTATCATTATGACATCTAGAATGTTCCATTTACATCAATAAACTTTAAGCTCTTTTACAAGATCATGACTTGTCTTAGAAAAGTACCATATAAATCCTTCTAGCACTTCACACTCTTTTGCATAACTAATAGGAATAGAAATTGGATAAAAAATAGATTTTATTATTCATGTAAAATGAAAAATTCTACTTTTTTCCTTGCCACAGAGAAAGTGGGTTGATTATATTAAATAAATAGAACCCTACTGATTGCTCTTCTGAATTTATTTATTTGTTTATCTATTTTGCTTCTGAAACTCAGCACAGCAACAGGTAGTAAAAACATAGAAGCATTACCACAGAAGGGCTCCCATGATTATATGCAGGCCCTAGGGGAAAGGAGGCCCAAGATGCTTTTGGCAGAGAGCCAGACCTGACTCATCTTTCTTCTGTAGAAGCATCAGGTACTCTGTGAGCCTAGCCCTGCACCATAGGAATCAAGGCATATCATATATCCAGTCACTGTAAAAACACATCACTGAGTCCCACAACTGCACAGTGGCTTACTTAAGGAAACCTCCTTTTAAACCTCTACAAAATTTTAAAAAACTTGTCTTAAGCCAAACTATCAGTTGCCTAAATAGAGGGCACATTCTTCTTTACATCAAATACCATATTCTGTCTAGAGTTTTGTTGTTGATAAGCTAGTCTAACAATCATGAAAATTTGCGACACAGGGATCAGATAAGACTAGCTTTCAAACTAATCAATAATTTTTAAAAAATCTCACCATAATTATAAGAAAAAATTATAAACTTTTTTAAATAGTGGAAAAAATCTGAAGAATTTGCAATAAAATGAACAGTTTAATAATTGGATTTGGTTTGCAGTTTATATAAAATAGGTTTATATTGATGTTAAAGCAAAAATTATAAAATATATTTAAATAACAAGGAAAGAAAGAGAAAGAAAATCTTTATCTTGTCTACAGGGAAGAAGAAATAGAAAAGAATAATAAATATGTTTCTGAAAAGAACTGAACTTCCCAACACTGACTTCCTATTCAGTAACTGACAAGCTATCACTTCCTTGAAAGCTTACTTTGATTTGGCTTTTATCTTACTGACACTAGCTTCTTAAAAACCCCCCTAAGTTTCTCATGTAAATTGCTCTTAACATCAGAGTAGATATAATCTATGAACGCTCCAACTTAAAAAAAAAAAACTAAAATAATGAGTGAAATGTTTACTATAATCACAAAAACTGGCATTAATGTTTCTAGTTTCTTGTTCTGATTTTTGTCTTGAATATAAGGCACGAAAATATCCATTTTTTCCTAAAAGTAAATGAGTTTCCCAAGTTGAATTCGATAAAAAGTTAAAAGGATTCTGCATCTTTTCTGAATTTCACTATAAAGTGCTTATTCGAAAAAATAAATAAATAATCTGCGCTGAGAAATAGGGGCAGAGCTGTCCTGTCAATTATTTGTGTTTGTGTGCTCTTAAGGGGTGCGGGGTTCTTTTCTGTCCCCACAGGTTGTATCTGCTAAGCTGGTTCTGCACGCTCAGCTTTGCAGATGGGAAATACAGCACATGCTTTTTGCTCGTAAAAAATGTGAGCTGCCCCTTGAATTGAAGTCCATCTAACAACTCTGCTAGCGTAAACAGAAATAAAAGACAGTAAACCACCAGGCATTGCTACCCTTCCTTTCCACAGTTTCAGAACCTGGCAGCAAACCCACAGAGTCAAAACCGCACAGGAGCTGCCCAGCTATCGAAATAACTACGCTTCCAGCCCTTCTTCCTCCCATTGCTGGAACCACCCGGTCAAGCTTCTCCCCTCTCTTCTTTCCAGGTGGCGTAATACAGGGTTCCAGAACCGAGATGTGAAAATAGACACAGGTGGGTGTGGCGGTTGAGGCGAGCACGGGCGAAAGACCGAGGGCTTCTCCTCCCCTCCCCACAGAAGCAGCAAAAGAAAAGGCACTTACTTGCAACCTAGCCCGCCGATCATCCCCACCCAGTGCACCTGCAGAATCTGGCTCCAGGAGAGGGCGCGGGCCTCTCCTTCCCCGGCGCTCTCTCAGGGCTGCTTCTTTTTCTCTGGGCTCCTGTTGCTCAGGGGACGCCTGCCGCTAGCAGCCACTGGCACCCAGGCTAGCCCAGCCTCAGCCGAGCTGGCGGAATTGGAAAGCCGACAGCCGCCGCTGGAGCGCTGGCGACCGCCTGCAAGCAGACTGCGCCCCTCCTGCCAGGGCGCGCCCGTGGAGGTAGCAGCCCCGCCTCCCCGAGGGCAGCTGCGCCGCTTTGCCTCCTCCACTCCTCCCAGCGCGCCCGGGTCCCCACCCCTTGCTCCCTCCCTCCCTCCCTCTCTCCACTCCTGCGGGCGGCGCAGGGCGGGGACCCAGCTAGGGGCGCGGTGGTGGCGACGCTGTAGCCTCTGCACCATGCGCTAATAGAAGGCGGAGGAGGGGGTTGCACGACCTGCCATCCACGGCCACCCATTGGGTGGGGCGTGTGTGTGTTTGAGTGTGTGTGTGTGTGTGTCCAGCAGCCAGAAGAGCCCTTCCCTTATCTCACCCCCGCCCCCATCATCCCTTTCCTCCCTTCCTGCTCAGCAGAATCGGCTAATGTTTCCGAGAAGTCACTTTGTGTGGCTTGGTGGGGAGCTGGAGAAAAACTCCGGAGCAGAGGAGGTGGGGACCAATGGCAAAGCCCTGAGTCTGGGGCAGTGGCTGGGGAGCCAGACAACACCGCCAGGCCAGCGCCTCCCCGACCTTGGGCTCTGAAGAGTCTAGGCTGGGAATTGGTTTCTTCCGTAGGGCTTTGCTCACAACCGCGAGTGGGGCGGTGACGCTCAAGACCGGTATCTAGGCTATGTTTTCTGTTTTCTTTATATATATGTATATATAAAATCAATTGAATTGCAGCGTCTTCCAGGCAAGCAAATAATACATTTTCTTTCGAAGATGCAGTGAAGAATCAGAGGAGGTCCTAGGTGGGGAAAGAAACGTGGGGAAAAGGCTGCTTTTCCAGACCTGGGACCCGATTATCTGAATATGCCATCAGTCATATGGGTTCTGAATTTCAGAGCTGGTAGGAGCGACTGTGAAAATAAATTTTTTAAAAATTCATTTTGTGTGGAGTGTGTGCGTGCGCTTTCCTACAGCAGCCTGGGAGGAAGAACAATGGAAACAGGGTTGAATTATCTTTCTCAAAGAGAAACAGGAAATTTCCACCAAGGGAAGAAATCAAAGGATGGCCATAGGGCAGGGTGCCTCTCAAAAGGGCAGACCACTTTGCAGGATAAACACTAGTGACGGGCACTTTTATTATTTGCTTCCACACCTTCTATCATGGAAATGATGCTTAGAGATAACCGGAAGGAAATCAAATCCCAGGGTCTACTTTTCCCTGCTGCTTTCTTTGCTTCTGAGATTTGTCCTGGGGCTTTGGACCTTACATTCTTGACTTGTAAGATGTGCTATTGAAGGAAGGAAACTTCAGTGACTGAGACTGTGCAATGAAGGTGAACTAGCTCACTTGTGATAATTCTCAGTGCCATATCCTGGACAAATCGCCTTCTCTTCCCTGATTGGTGGTAGATATAGGAAGAAGAGTTCAACTGCAATAGGAATAATGGTCTTTTTTATTAGATGCAAGCAATGCCACATTCTTTTATTTTTAAAATTTTATTTTTAGAGCAATTTTAGGTTCACAGCAAAACTGAAGGGAGGGTACAGAGATTTCCCACATAACCGCTACTCCCACACAAGAATAGCCTCCCCCATTATCAACATTCCCCACCAGAATGAAACATTTGTTAAAATTAATGAACTTACTTTGAGGTTTCATTATCTCCCAAGGTCTGTAGTTCACATTTAGGGTTAGCTCATGGTGTTGTCCATTCTATGGGGTTAGGCAAATATATAATGACATGTATCCACCATTACAGTATCTTACAGAGTAATTTCAGTTCTCTCCTGAATTCTCTGTGTTCCACTTATTCATCTCCCATTTCAACCCCTGGCAAGTACTGATCATTTTACTGTCTTTATAGTTTTGCCTTCTCCAGGATATCCTATAGTTGCAATAATACAGAATATAGCCCTTTCAGATTGACTCCTTTCACTTAGCAATATGCTTTTAGTTTTCCTCCATGGCTTTTCATAGCTTGATAGCTCATTTCTTTACAGTGCTGAATAATATTCCATTGACTGGTGGTACCATAGTTTATTCATTCACCTACTGAAGGACATCTTGTTTGCTTCCAAGTTTTAGCAATTATGCGTAAAGCCTCTATAAACATCTTTGTGAAGGTTACTGTGTGGACATGTTTTCAAGTCCTTTGGGTGAACATCAAGGAGCACAATTGCTGGATCATATGGTGAGAGTATGTTTAGTTTTTAAAGAAACTGCTACACTGTCCTCAAAGTGGCTGGAGCATTTTGCATTCCCACCAGCAATACATGAGAGTTCCTGTTGCCTCACATCCTTGGCCAGAACTTGATATCATCAGTGTTCTGGATTTTGGTTATTCCAATACATATGTGGTGGTATCTCATGCCCATTGTTGATACCATAAGTGTTATTTGATTTGCATTTCCCCTGTGATATATGATGTGGATCACCTTTTTATATGCTTATTTGCAATATGTGCATCTTCTTTGGTCTGTTAAGGTATATGGCCCATTTTTTTCATTGGGTTATTTCTTTTCTTGTTGTTGAGTTTTAAGCTTTATTTGTATATTTTGGTTAACAGTCATTTGTCAGATGTGTCTTTTGCAAATATTTATCTAACACTGGCTTGTTGTCCGTTTTTGCAGAGCAGAAGTTTTTAATTTTAATGCAGTTCACCTTAGCAATTATGTCTCTTATAGATTATGCCTTTGCTGTTATATCTAGAATAACACATATGTTAGATACATTCTTAGAGTGGAATATATAATGCATTATACATTATATATAACCTATATATTATAACATGTTATATATTATATTACTATATTATGTTATAATATATGTTATGTATAATACATATGTTGTATATAATATATAACATATTATATATTCCACTTTAAGCATCCATTAACAAGAACTTACTATTCTCAATATATCTAGGTTCTTGTTAGAGATCTTCAAACATAAAATCCTGGAAAATGATAAAACCAAAAATAAAATCCTCTTGGTCTGACTGAGGGATCCCTTGCAGGATTTTCCCTGTGAGCTCATAGGCAAAGCATTAGGTATATTATTCATTATTTTCCCAATTTTCTTTCATGTTCCAACTATTTATTTCCTTTCCATTTCTTTTATGTGCCATTCCTAGTCTACAGAACATTAGCTGTTTGTGTTTTTCTTGCTCTTTTGGCAGCCCTAGAAATTTTATCTTGGTTTAAACCCAGAAAAAGTATCTTTCCAAATTTCTTATTAAATACTACACTGCACAGCCTTGAGAGTTCATTAAACACTAAATGACAGCGTCAGATGTAGACATAAGTAGATGGTACGTTTAAAATTTAAAGGGTAGGCTTGAATTAAGGGAACCAGACAAAGCCTGTCTGGTTGAAAAAGCCAATAACCAATAAGTTCCTAATCATATTTACAACTGACCTTCCGTAACTTAGATAGAAAAATGTGGAAATGTTGAGTCATGGAAATTAACTAACATCATACAATCCATACCAGAATAGGAATAAGAATTTTATTTCCCTTAGTGAGAAATAAATGGATATCCACACTTCTGTATTTTCCACAATTGCCACTGCAATTTTCAAAACTGTAGAAGTTTCTGGAAGAACAAAAAATAGACAGTAATATTAAGGCAATAAAATTAATACAATACTGAAAGAGTTTGTTTTTCTCTAATTAAATAGGATTAGAAAAATACTTTTACCTTCTAATATTGGCTGCACGGCAATATTACAAAGTAAGAAAAAACAATTATTCTGTTGTGAAAATAGAAGAATAAAGTTACAAGTTTTGTGTATACATAGCTAAAAAGTAGGATTCAAAAGTAGAACTTCAAATTATAACTAAAAAGAAATAGAATATACAATGAAGATTATCAGACATAGATTGGAGTGATGAGATGGGCAAATGATGCTTAATGAAACAACTGAAGAAAAGAGGTTTCCTAAATGTATTGGCATCTGAGTGTTTGCTCGTCTAATTTGACGTGGTCTGGATTTTTTTGGCCAGAAAACTGATGTGAAGAAAAATAAATGTTTTGTCTTGCATGTAGTAGATGCTTAGTAAGTATATTAATTGATTACTTATTCCTGAAGAATTTTCCCCAGTGTCATAGTCCACTGATGGGTCCCTTACCCTAACAATGGTTTTGCTGATAATGTGCTTTCTGTGGAGTTATTTTTGATCAAAACTATTGTTATCGACATTCCCTTGTAGAAGTCTTCCATTAGATAAGGGGACAAAATATATGAAACACTAGTTTTCAGTCATTGGGCAACATTATCTATAAGACAGTGATCCCTAGAGAAGAGAAAGAAAGTGAGGCTGTGATTGTCTCTGCATACTACACAAAGTTTCTAAACCACAGCTCAGGAAGATGGAAACATGAAGAGCCAGAAAATAAGAGTTTGATAGGCTGAGGGAGCTAGAATTTGTTTATTTGGGACAGGACACCTAAGACAAGGGAGCTGAACAGAGAGTATACCAGAGATCTGTAGAAAGAGACCTCAAGTTTTTGCTTGACAGCATTCTGCAATTGTGTGAAAACAAAAATACCCTAAGCCAGAGAAAGAACTACAGTCATGCATTGCCTAACAATGGAGATATGTACCGAGAAATGTGTCACTAGGCAATTTTAACATCATAGAGACAGTACTTACACAAACCTAGATGGTATAGTCTACTACATACTTAGTCTTTATGGTATAGCCTATTGCTTCTAGGCTATAAACCTGTACAACATGTTACTGTACTGAGACAATTGTAACACAGTGGTATTTTTGTGTCTAATCATACCTAAACATAGAAAAGTTACAGTAAAAATACAGTATTATAATCTGTGGGACCACCATCATATATGCAGTCTGTCCTTGACTGAAGTGTTATCTGGCACATGACTGACATGACTGTAATCTTAAGTAGCAGGTTAAAAATTCTTGGACCTCACACAGGGATAGTAATATTTTATCCTCCCCAGTCAAAGTGAAAAGACCTCAAAACACAGGAGATATTGGGTAGACTCTGCAGAAGGGTCTTATCTTAGCAGTGGGGCTGAATTAACTTTAACTAACGTTGCTCTGGATTTATCCTAACAAAGCTTAAAAGTGAGGCTTAAAAGGACCCAGGTGATTTCAGTTTGCTTATATGTTAGCCAGAGTAAAATCCAACACGTCTCAAAGGACCTAACAACGTAAAATTCACATTGACTGGCATCCAATCAAAAATAATGAGCAGGCATGCAAAGAAGAAGGAAAATATGAGCTAGAGCCCGCAGAAAAGTCAATCAACAAAAACAGACCCAGAAATGACAAAGATAATGGAATTAACAAATTAGGACATTAAATTTTGTAATATTAAGTTGGCTATGTATACTTAAGACAGTAAAGAAAAATCTGAATATGATGAGGAGAGAAATATAAGATATAACACACAAAAATGGAACTTCTACATATGGAAAATACAATATCAGAAATGAAAATTCAATGTATTGTAAAGGCAACACTCGGAATAGTAGTTAAGGAATATATATACACATTCAAAATAGAAACTAATGATCCCTATAACAACAAAGTTAATTCACAACCTGTTTTAACAGCTTGACTGCTATTGTTCCAGACTTTTATTTTCCTATATGAATACATATGTCATTAATAGTATTTGAAACAATAAAATATTAATGCAACATTTGTTAAACAGTTATAATAATTTATAGGTAGCTGTGATCTTTTGTAACTTTAAATAAATATTTCAATATATTCATTTAACATACATGTATTACATTTATTAAGTTAATTCTCAAGGATCAGAAATTTTTCTTCCCTCAAAGATATATATGGCCAGGTGCAGTGGCTTATGCCTGTAATCCCAGTACTTTCGGATGCTGAGGCAGGAAGATTGCTTGAGTCCAGGAGTTCAAGACCTGCTGGGGCAACATAGGGAAACCCCATCTCTCAAAGAAATAAATAAAAAATTAGCCAGAGACGGTGGTGTGCACCTGTGGTCCCAGCTACTTGGGAGGCTGAGGTGGGAAGATCAGTTGAGCCTGGGAAGTCAAGGCTGCAGTGAGCTCTGATCTTGTCACTGTACTCCAGCTTGGGCGACAGACTGAGATGCTGTTTCAAAAAAAAGGAAAAAAGAAAAGAAAAGAAAATTAATTTTAAAAAAGACATAAATAGGTCCTCAAGATAGTTCCAAAAGAGACATTTAAAAATATTTCAGCAAACCCATCGCTAATGATACAAGATATAACTTCCCAAGCTGTTACTCTAAAGGAGATAACAGCTATTTAAATTTATTTATTCCATTATCTTTACTAAATTGAAAGTTTAATTATGTACTATGAAATGGAGTTTGAAAATAATGGTGTTTTTCTTGTTGTTCTGATTACCTTAAGAAGGAGTATTGGCAAATTTGAATGTGTAGTCTAAGATGTGGTGATAGCTGATTCTTTCCAGGTTAGTAGGTTTTAAAGCAATGATGGGGATAGAATCAGTTTGTGGACCAAGAGTTCTGAAGATTTTAAAGGGGCTTTAGAGAGAAGTGAGGCCAGGGAGGTCTACAGAGACCTAATGGCCCAAGGGTCTTCAATGCAGCTGTAAAAGACTAGTTTGCTATTTATAGAAATCCACATTCTAAATACTAAGTTTCTTAAAGATACTCACACTGCAAGTTTTTATCATAAAAGTAATAATCAGTCAGAGCAGGAGTCCACAGCAGGAACCAGGCCACACAGCAAGAGGTGAGCTGCAGGCCAGTGAGCAAAGCTTCATGTGTATTTACAGCTACTTCCCATGGCTTGTATTACCACCTGAGCTCTGCCTCCTGTCAGATCAGTGGCAGCATTAGATTCTCATAGGAGCGCGAACCCTATTGTGAACTGTGCATGTAAGGGGTCTAGGTTGTGTGCTCCTTGTGAAAATCTGATGCTTGACGATCTCTCACTGTCTCCCATCACCCCCAGATGGGACCTTCTAGTTGCAGGAAAACAAGCTCAGGGCTCCCACTGATTCTACATTATGGTGAGTTGTGTATTTATTTCATTATATATTACAACGTAATAATAATAGAAATAAAGTACACAATAAATATAATGCACTTGAATCATCACAAAACCATCTCCCACCTCTGTCTGTGAAAAAAATGGTCTTCTAGGAAACTGGTCCCTATGCCAAAAAGATTGGGGACTGCTGAGTTAGAGTTTATCTTTTAAATCAAAATTTTCAAATTATTGATTACCATTGCTGCAAGATTTTTTTTCTAACATTTCTTTTACTTTCAGCCTAATTGCATTTACTACTTTTACGTTGCCGTATTTTAAGCAATTCAGTAAATAGACTCAAATTTTCATGGTACTGACGAAGAATAAAAAAAAATAAAAATTTTAAAAAGCAGAATATATTTGCGTAGTGTCTAATAAGATATGTTAAATTTTAAACCAGAGGCATGTTTTAGCAAAGTCTGAATTTATTTACACTCAAAAAAACCTGTTGATATTCTGAAAATGTATTGTCATGTGAAATGTGGAGAAGACAAGTTGAATGGTAATACCATGTAAAAATAATACTGTATAAAAATGATCAGCATGATTTCATAAAATATTCGGAAAAGTCATAGATTTAACTCTTGAAATTTTGTTTCTTGCCAGTGAGATTAATAACAGTTATTGAAGTTGTAACATATACCAGGCATTATATTAATAAACTTTATTTTTTTGACCCATTTAATCCATATAACAAACGTTTTGTTTGTTTGTTTGTTTGTTTTTTGAGAGAGGGTTTTGCTCTGTTGTCCAGGCTGGAGTGCAGCGGCATGATCGCATCTCACTGCAGCCTCAACCTCCTGGGTTCAAGTGATTCTCCCATCTCGCCTCCTGAGTAACTGGGACCACAGGTGTGCACTACCACACCCGGTGATATGGTTTGGCTCTGTGTTCCTACCCAAATCCCTTCTTGAATTGTAATCCCCACCTGTTGAGAGAGGGAGGTAATTAGATCATGGGGGCAGCTTCCTCCATGCTGTTCTCCTAATAGCGAGTGGGTTCTCAGGAGATCCGATGGCTTTATAAGGGACATTTTCCCCTTTGTCTCTTCTCTCTCCTGCCGCCATGTGAAGAAGGTCCCTGCTTCCCTTTCACCTTCTGCCATGATAGTAAGTTTCCTGAGGCCTCCCCAGCCATGCAGAACTGTGAGTCCACTAAACCCTCCTTTTTAAATAAATTATCCAGTCTCAGGCAGTTATTTATAGTAGTGTAAAAACAGACTAATAAACCTGGTGAAGTTGATTTATTTTTTTGTAGAGACAGGATCTCCCTGTGTTGCCTAGGCTAGTCTTGAACTCCTGGACACAAGTGATCCTCACACCTTGGCCTTCCAAGTGCTGAGATTATAGGCATGAGCCACAGTGCCTAGCCAACAACTCTTAGAGGTAGGTGATTTTATTATAATCCCCGTTTTTTTTTCGGGCTGAACAACTGGCCCAAGGCCACACAGCTAATATATGGAAGAGCCAAGGTGACAACCTAAATAAGTTGGCTCCAGATCCTGTGTGCTTAAGCACCATGCTACACTATCTCCATAAAGAAATGGCTCTTCTATGTCTCCTAAAGGCAATACATACATTTTGAAAGTACTGGCCACCTACATTATATATATGAATTGAAAATAAAATTTGTTACACGTAGAACAAAATAAATATTAAACAAATAAATCTCTCAGTAATCCATTTATTTGCAAATAAACCTGTAGAGTTGAAATCAAACATGTCAGAAAAGTTAAATTGCATCACAGTATCGTGGATAGAGTACAGAAGCTATTTACTGATCTGCCAGTTACTACTGTATCTCTGAGCACGTCTCCTCATTTCTATGTATTTCAGTTTTCTCCTCTGTAAACAGGAAAGTTTGTACTAAATTATTTTTTATTCCTTTTCATGCATAAAATTCAAAATCAGTTTCATCCTTCCACCTTCATTTTTGGCTAAATGCCACATTTACTGCCACCTGGTGTTCAAAATAAGTAGAATGTTTTATTATACGAAGTGATCTAAAAAACCTTTTGATATTAACAGTTTCTTTACATTCGAAGCAAGGGGGAAAGTCGTGTGTGTGTTTGTGTGTGTGTGTGTGTGTGCATGTATTTTTTTTAGACAGGGTCTTGCTCTGTCGCCCAGGCTGGAATGCAATGGCGCAATCTTGGCTTACTGCAACCTCCACCTCTCAGGTTCAAGCGATTCTCCCTCCTCAGCCTCCCGAATATCTGGGATTAGAGGCACCCGCCACCACGCCCAGCTAATTTTTGTATTTTTGTAGGAACAGGATTTCACCAGTCACCCAGACTCGCCTCGAACTCCTGACCTCAAGGGATCCGCCTGCCTTGGCCTCACAAAGTGCTGGAATTACAGGGTGAGCAGCTGTGCCTGGCCCGGAAAGTACATTTTGCTGGTGTTCAGACTTAAGGTCCATCTGTAGATGAGCTGAAACAACCACTTCTGACTGTTTTATATATTAGAGTAATTTGCAAGGAGATAACTTCAGTTAGTAAACTTCACAGATCTGATTCAGATTAAAAAAATTTTTTTTTGTTTTTGCTGAGACATAATTTCAACAATTTATAATTGTTTTGTGGGAACTTTTTTTTTGCTTACTTGTGATTTTTGTCCACAAATATTTATTTAGCTTATGCAAAGGGCACACCTGATACAGAAAGGCCTTCCTTTAATCATATAACCTTGTGTTATATTCTCTTTTGATTTAAAAATTAAAGTAACAGAAAAAGAAAGAAAATATGGTATTTCAGAAATATATATGAAATTAAAACAAGACAAGGCAGAGGGACAGTAGAAATGGATGTAAATACTGGAATTTTTAAAAAAAGCTTTATTCTAAAATTTTAAATATAATTACTTTTTTGAAGCATTAGTTTTTAAATATAGTATCTCAAACTTTGTTTAAATTTATGAAAATACTTTTACTCCTTCCATTACAATAAAATAGATTGGAGGAAATTCAAGATGTGATTGGTTAGGGGTAACAGGTAGAAGCCCTGGCTAGACAGGTATCCAACGAGTACAGTACAACAGGGTCGATGCCTAAAGAGTCAAAGCACTGTTTGAGGAGAGTTAAGGGAACGTAGGCGGTAGCACCAGTGGTGGAGTGACACTCTTCAGAAGAGCTGTGCTCTGTTTAGTTACAGGCCCTTGGTTGTTTTCCAAGACCTGACACACTATTAAATGGAGATTACTCCTGAGTGTGGCACAGCTTTGAATAGACACCTGTAGTCTTCTGAACAGATATGAAATTTGAATGATAGCTTTAATATCCCCTCTCACTTTTTTCATATGTTCACTAGTTTATCCTCTTGAAAGAAAGGAGAAAAAGAAAAGCAGAGCAATTGTAAGTAAAGGCACATGTGGGGAGAGGTATCTGGCAATGGTTTCTGCCTATTTTGATGAAATATGGATGTTAATGGTAAGAGCTCTATGCCAGAACTTTATATCTTTGCTTTTGGGTCAACTTTGTATTTTTTTTCTTCACAAAAAATGTAATAAAAGGCCGGGCGCGGTGGCTCACGCCTGTAATCCCAGCACTTTGGGAGGCCGAGGCGGGCGGACCACGAGGTCAGGAGATCGAGACCATCCTGGCTAACACGGTGAAACCCCGTCTCTACTAAAAATACAAAAAATTAGCCGGGCGTGGTAGCGGGCGCCTGTAGTCCCAGCTACTCGGGAGGCTGAGGCAGGAGAATGGCGTGAACCCGGGAGGCGGAGCTTGCAGTGAGCCGAGATCGCGCCACTGCACTCCAGCCTGGGCGACAGAGCGAGACTCCGTCTCAAAAAAAAAAAAAAAAAAAAAAAAAATGTAATAAAAGGAATTCTACCACATGTTAACAAAAGCCAAAGAGGTTGGGGGCAAGTGTTGGAGATTTAATGGTCCCTAGGAAAGAAAAGTTGGTTTGTTTTATTTAAGCAAAGAAGAAAGAAGCGTAGAGAAAACTTATTTTTACCAGAGATTTCTTCTTTCTTTTTTTGTTGAAAGATGTATGCTGAAGTCTCTCAAATTTGTTTATTTCTATCACCACTTGCACTATTTTAGCTTGAGTGCTGTGATCTTTAATTTGGACTATAGAAACAGACTCCATACTGCTCTGTCAACTGCCAGCATTCCTAACTCTAACCAACTCTCTACATTCTCTTATTTAATGAGTGGTTCTCAGGATCAAGGTCAAATTCTTTAACATCCATTCTGATCTCTAGCATCAAGGTCTTTGCTTTTGCACTTTCCTTTGGTGGACCACTCTGCTCCAGCACTTATTTCTGAGCCACCTCTTTTGTCCTTCAGATCCTGGGCATCACACACTCTAAACCCTGCTTGACCTGCCAAGTATGGATTAGATTCCCCTCCTCCATGCTTCCATTATGCCCTCAAAGTGTGTGTCAAAGTATGTGTCACATTTTATTCTATTTCTTTATTTGGACTCCAGCAAAGACTTCCCAGAACAAGTGATGCTTGAGCTGGCCTTGGAAGGTTGTTCAAGAATTAGATGGATGGGGCTTGAGGGGGAATTGCAGGCAGAGGTAATATGGTATGCAAGAACAAGGCCTTTTGCAAATCTTCAGTTTCTGTATTGATGAAGTTGAGGGAGGGCTTGGGAATGAGGGAAGGTAAGCCCAGAGAAAAGGAGGCATGGGTGATAAAGGTCTTGAATATGCCCTGCTGAGTTGCCTGAACTTAATGAGGAAAGGAGACATTTTAAATGTGGAAATATAAATTGTCACCATCATATTTGATTTTTAGAAGCATTATTCCTATTTTAAAAGAAAAAAGTACATATTACTCTGATAATGCTGGGAAGAAGGGTTTGAACAATAACATACATGAGAAAAAATAAAGACCTAAAGAAACTAGGGAAGTGAAAATGGAGCAGTATGGTCAGAAGTAGTAGGTTTTTTGGTTTGTTTTTCTAAGTAGAATTGAGAGGAAGTAAGTGCTTATTGAATTTGGGTAGGAGAGTAGATGGAGGCATATAAAATAAACAGAAAAGTTTTGGACATTAGTGACAATAGATGGCAATGATAATTTCATTAACACTCCCCCCCATCCCACAAAAGAGTTAGTATTATAAGAGAAATAGATTTAATGGTGGAAGATGATGAGCGAAGTTTTATACCTATTGATTTTGAGATGCTGTGAGACAGCCAAGTGGAAGTATTTAGGAAGAAGTTGAATGTGTAGAGATTAACATGATGTTGTCATTTATGAAAAATGGCCAAATATGTGGTTTAATACCTATATTACATATTTTTAAAATATATTTTTAACACCAAAGGAGTACATATAGAACAGAATCTCTGAATAAAGTAATGTATTTCACAGAAAAAAAACTTTTGTCAATCTCTCTATTCCTTAATGTGTAGAGAAATAATGTTTATTTACAAAATTTAAAAGTTACAATTTCATTTTGAAATATCATATTGTATGTAACTATTTTCTGGATTCACACTTGTCACATTAGGGATCCATATGTGATAGCAATACACAGAAAAGATAACAAATATTGAGTATATCCCAGGATCCAATGTATGTGAGGTAGTAAGATATACAGAGAACTGTGTTATGTTGCCCATCCCCCTTCAGGAACAATGAACAACGGATTCATTTCTTCAGTTGGAGAGAGTATGGGATGCAGATGGCTCATAGCTGTGATTCTCTCTGGGAATTGTCCTTAACTAAAGGAAACAGCTGCACTCAAAGATTTGACCCTTTCTCAGAGGCAGCCCACATCTAATGACTGGTTAACATGAGTATTAAAGTCCTGATCGCTTGCTTGGGTACAAGTTAGAGCTTCCCATGATTTCACTGAGGCTGCTGTTGCAGCTGCACTGCCGTTCTGCTTCTCCTGCACAATCTTGTTTCCTGCTTCCTCTCAGCTATAATTACAGAGAGTACTTCCCAATGAACTTCCATAGAAATCTTTTGCTGACTCATCTGTATCAGAAATAAGTTTTTATTGCATAGTAATATTGAGGAAAATAAAGTCAGTTGCTACATGTAATATCATTCCAGAAAAACTACAGGAGTTTTGAGGAAAATAGTCTCATCTTCCAGCATCTGGCACTATTTATGACTTTTTCTCATTCTATGAAAGAATTAGAATGAAAGGGTTGGAGGCCAGGGCATGAATTGGCTAATGGTTAGAACTGTAAGAGCTGTGGGAAAGAAACTGGAAGTCCCCCATCCCCGGAACTATGGCTCTTTATAATTATATTGTAGACTGAAGGTACTAATCTCCACCATGGAAAAGTCAGAAGTTGAGGAGAGGTAAAAACTCCTCAATGACTGGTACCAGTCATGAGCTAGTATTGACAACCTCTTGTCTGGAGATCCTATTATTATAGTATTTTTTATCACAGATTTTGTAGTGTGATTAAACCATGGAGAGTACCCCAACTTAAACAATGCACAAAAATTCTGGACTTAATAAACACAGATAACTTGCACTCCCTATTCTTTTCAGAGTATTCATCATCATATTCTGTATTAGTCCATTTTCATCCTGCTGATAAAGACATAACCGAAACTGGGTATTTATAAAGAAAAAGAGGTTTAATAGACACACAGTTCCACGTGGCTGGGGAGGCCTCACAATCATGGCAGAAGGCACTTCTTACGTGGTGACGACAAGAGAGAATTTGTGAAGGGAAACTCCCCCTTATAAAACCATCAGATCTCGTGAGACTCACTACCAGGAGAACAGCATGGAAAAGACCCACCCCCATGATTCAATTACCTCGCACTAGTTCCTTCCCAAGACATGTGGGAACTGTGGGAGCTACATTCAAGATGAGATTTGGGTGAGGACACAGCCAAATCATATCAAATTCCATGCTTCAACAATGTTGTTGGAACAAAAGGGATTTGTCTGAAGGTTCAGCCATCCATATATTCTTGTAACTTTTGGACACCCTCAAAAATATATATCTGAACCAGATCTCCAGAGATGTGCAAACTGAGACCCAATTGACACATTTACCTTTGCTAAATTTCTAGGCCATTGGCATTAAGGGATGTCATCACAAGCATCAGCCTCATGGGATCTGGAGAAGGAAGAGGAGGGCGATAGCCGAAATGATGGCCACTGGCTCATTGTAGCTTTAAATGATCTACTCTACAGGTTTTTGGAAGTCACCTTTATCATATATATTTGGAAAATCATCTGTGTCATCAGGTTGGGTTGGCAAGAACATTGGAGTTCTCAGGAATTGAAAACATAATGACTCCCTTTGACTAATTTATTTTCTTTAACATTATTCCCGCAATCACTTGACTTTCTATCCTATTTTTCAGTGATTTTACTTTGAAATATGACGGGTAATGAGCTGTAAAATAATGAGATATCATCTTCTCTGTCCTACATTTAAATTTGGAATTTCTATATCTGAACAAGTATGTTTAGAGTCAGTATTAAAGAACATCCATTTTTAGAAAGAATTTGAAACAACTCTATGAAGGGATAAAACATACTATTGTGTCTTAAAAGGCTAGGCTTCAGAGACAGGTGAAGTTTGTTAATTGTGTTATCCTGAGAGTTATTTGAACACTCTGGGCCCTAGCTCTCTCATCATAGGAATAATAACACCTGCCTTGTATGAGTCTGTGAGGATTAAATAAAACTGTATTTATATAAAGACCTTAACACTGAGCTTGGCACATAATTCTTACCCTCATACTACACTACCCTGATTATTGCAGCTTTCTGGTTGTTTTTCAAACCAGGTAATAAAAGTTCTCCAAGTTTGTTACTCTTATTCAAATTTATCTAGGCTATTCTAGGATCTTTGCATTTCCATATAAATTTTATAATTGGTTTGATGATATCTACTGTGATATTTATTGGGATCATGTTGAACCTGCAGATTAATTTGGAAAAAAATTTATATCCTAGCAATATTGGATTTTCCAATCCATGAGCAACGTATTTTTTTCCATTTATTTAGGTCTTGTTTAAGTCTTCTAAAAAATGTTTTATAGTCTTTACAGTATAGGTCTTACACACAGTTTGTCAAATTTATCTCTAAGTACTTCATTTAAAAAATGTTCTTGTACATTGAATTTGACATTTTAATTAAGTTAATTTTTCAGTAATTAAATCATATTATAGGGAAACACTCTATGTTTATTGACCTTGTACCAGCTAAACTCTATTAGGTGGAATAGTTTTTTCCTTCTAAAAACTTAGTAAGATTTTAGGTGTAGGTAATGTATTTGTCTGCAAATAAAGACAGATTTACTACATCTTTGATCTATGGATCATTTAGAAATGACTTTTCCTTTTTTTTTTTAAATAGGGGATTTTACATATAGCTCTTATTTGTTGCTTTATAGTTTAATTTTGATGGAGTCAGAGAACATATTTGAATAATTTCAGTGCTTTCAAATTTGTTCACACTTGTTTTATGTTCTAGCTTATTATGTATCAGTTAATACTTTGCTTGTGCTTGAAAAGAATGTGTCTTCTGCTTATGTTAGGAGAGTGTTGTAAATGTCAATGAAGTCAAGTTGGTTGTTCACATCTACATTCTTTCTGACTACCTGTGTACTTGTTCTACTAATTACTGAAAGAGGAGTGTTGAAAACTCTGATTATATTTAGGAACTGGTTATTTTTCCTTTTATCTCCATCAGTTTTGCTTTATGTATTTTGAAGCTATGCTATTATATTCATACACACTTAAGATTGCTATTTATTCTTGTTAATTTGCCTCCTTTATTACTATAAAATATACATCTTTATCTCTGATAATATCACTTTCTTGTAAATCTACTTATTTTCAATTTTAATACGGTCAGTCCAAATTTCTTTGAATTGTTTGCATGTATATTTTATCACAATTTTGTGTTGTTAATCTGTTTGTATCTTCATATGTAATGTGGGTTTTGTAATTTAAAATTTCTATTTGACATCATTGTTAATTTTAAGTTATGTTTAGAAGTATTTTAATGATGTAACTATTAACATTTTTATCAATATATAATGTCATTTAAATCAATCATCTTGCAATTTGTTTTCTATTCTTCCAATCTGTTCCTTTTTGTTTTACAAATTTTTAAAAATAATTTGCTATTTTTAGGATTTTAATATATTCCCTCTATTGGCTTATTAGCCTTTCTTTTTGTTTTATATTTTTAATTATTATTCTGCAATTTACAATATATTGTTTCAACTTATCACAGCCTAACTTGAAATACTATTATTATACTACCTCATGTGTAGTATACAAATCTTAATTCAGTATAAATCTATTTCATCAGTCTTGTCCTTTGTACTATTGTTAAACATTTTTCTTATATATATGTAATATGTATTACAAATACATCATCAACAACAGACGTTGTTATCTTTGCATTACACAATCTTTTAAAATATATTCAAAATGATAAAATGTTTTTTACATTAATCCACATGTTTATGTTTCTAGTGTTCTTCATTCTATTGTTTACATCCACATTTCAATCTGATATCATTTGCTTTCTGCCTGAAGAAATTCCTTTGGCCTTTCCTGTAGTATAGCACTACTGGTGGTCAATTCAATTATTTTGTGTTTGTCTTAAAAAGCATCTATTTATCTTCATTTTGGAAATATTACCCATATTTTAAATTGCTACGTATTGGCTCATGGGTCATAGAAGCACTTTGTTTTTTCCTCTCCTTGTTAAATTTAGATAGTTTTTATTCCTACAGCTTCAAGTTCATTGATCTCTTCTGCAGTGTCTAATCTGCATTTAAACCCATTCAGTTTATTTTTCATTTTGGATGATTTTTTAAAAATCCCTAATACTTCCATTTGGGTATTTAAAAAACATTTCCAATTTCTCTTCTTATTACATTTATGTGTTCCTTTATGCTTTTGTTCACAGTTATACTATATATAATAGCTAGTTTAATATTCTAGTCTGCTGATTTCATAGTTTATATGGTAACCGATTTTTGTTTCTTTTTCCTTCTAGTTAAAAGTCATATTATCTGCTTCTTCCCTACCCTAAATATTTTCACTGGACACTGGACAGTGTGAATTTTATAATGTGCTATATTTTATTATATTTCTAAAATATACCAGGCACTTAAACTATGTTCAGAGTAGTTTAACCTTTTTGAGGCTTAAAGTATATTTAAGTCAGGTCCAGAGTAGCATTTCATACAGGACAGGGATCCTCACATTTTTGTTGTCTCAGGATCCCTTCTGTCATGTTTCACAGTCCTGTGTTACCTATTTTTCAATGTCTAAAGACATTCGTTTCATATCTTTATCTCGTTTTCTAGTTTTACAATGACACAGCAGTTTCCACAACAGTTAATCCATCCTAAATGGAAACAGAAGACCCTAACTTTACTTTTAAATAACCTTAAATAAATCTAATTTTCTCAGTGATTGTACCCCCACAATAACGACAGCTTGAAATTTCATTTTTTCTCTTCAGCATTAGAATATTTAATTTTTATGCATTAAACCAATGAAGATGAGCAGGGATAACTAAGACATGGAGAGCATAATGACAGAGTAATGATTAAATAAAACTTTCTATAATCAACAACATAGAATCTCCAGAGCACTGACGTGAATGACTCTATCTTATAATCTCAGAAAGAAAAATATCCCATACAATTAATATTATACAAGATTTATTAATAACAATATTCACCAAGGGAAAACAATCAATATAAAACATACAGAGAACATTATAATGTCTTAGGCATGCCTGTGTTTACTACATAATAATTCATGGTATAGTTATAATAGTACACCACATTTCCATTTGCTTGTTGATTTGTGTAAAAAGTCAAGAGGCTGATATCTGTAGTATATGATGAGACCATGGGGGTCATCCACTCTCCCCCCATCAATAGCAGCAATTACACTTAGGCAATTGTGTTAATAATTTTGGCTAATTAAAGTAAATGCACAAAGGCTGTTATATTGTACGTTTAATGCATAGTCTGTTATTGAGGGAAAAATATCCTCTATATTTTTATCTAAAATAATCAAAAGGTAATGTGATTATACTGGGGAATAATGATAGCTATTCCAGGAAGGTGCCTGGCATCTCCTGACACTTCTCATCATCGGTGTTAAGAAAATAGAACAGAGTGGATTCATATCCTACAAGCTAGTCCATCAGTGGCACATCAGCACTGAATAGTACATCACAAGCACTTGTCCAATTATAAGATGGCCTCATGATAGCTGCTTTTGCTTCTTAAATAATCTATAGTGAAAGAATTTCTCTGGATTTTCATACTTGAGGCTTCTATATATTTTATATTTCTGTTTAGTGATAGAATTCTGGTTATTGTTTTAATTTATGTGAGTTTTCTGTAAAAGTACTGCAGATCAGTGTAAGCTAATGCACATGCAATCAATGCCTTGCAAGGCTTTTCATCACACTTTCTTCCTCTATAGATCAATTGCTAATAAAGGTATCCAATTACTTCCCTCAGAGTGTACTTGGGAATAGCATTAAGTGAAGGAAGCTTGATTTGGTCACCTGCTTATAACTGTACATTATTCACAATACCTTTCCTGTGTGCATAAAATGCTGCAGCAGCAGAGATCCCCAGCAGACCTTGGCTGGTTGTGCTTGGGTTGCACTGCAGCAGAATCTTTGCGTACACTGGAAGGATCCAGTGTTGTTGTTGTATTTCTGCAGAAAGCAATGTGAGGACACAGCAATATATTTAGTAATTTAAAGGTCAAGAGAAAAGTAGACATCTTAGAGATGAATATTCGTCACTTCTGTGATGTTAAAAAAAATAAAAACCACTCGTCTCCCTTAATCAAACTGATGTTACTATCATGGAATCTTGCTTGTCCTAAATATGTCAGTGCTCCAACTTGGTCTAAAGAAGGTTCACTCAGTTGAGAAAACAAATCGTTTTCTTGACCAGAACTATCAAGCATGATTGTTAGAACAATTAAAAAGAAATATTTATTCAGCAAACCAAGGGGGCTCTTTCACATATGAAACAAGATGAAATACTCAAAGATCAAAAAGGCATCCCTGCTTTACATTGCACTGTTTCATGGGTTCACGATAAATTCCTTCCTGTTAGTTTTTGTTTAGGAATCTTGGAGAGATTTCTACTAAGCAAAAAAGTAAAAGTCAATGTAGGATTAGCAACTACTGCTTATAATACCTATACAGTTAATTAAGAGTCAATTATCATGGGATGTTATGTTAGACAGCTATGCTACCTGTTAACACTGTGCAATTATATTCAGGTTAGGTTTCAGATAATGTAATCATCTTAATGATGATACCTAGTTAGAAAATAAAGTTTTATTCCATCTAAAGCTCCTATTTATTTATTTTTTATTTTATTTCTTTGAGATGGAGTCTCGCTCTGTCACCCAGGCTAGAGCTCAGTAGCATGATCTCTGCTCACTGCAACCTCCGCCTCCCAGATTCAAGCAATTCTCTTGCCTCAGCCTCCTGAGTAGCTGGGATTACAGGCGCCCGCCACCACACCCAGCTAATTTTTGTATTTTTAGTAGAGACAGGGTTTCACCATGTTGGTTAGTCTGGTCTCGAACTCCTGACCTCGTGATCCACTCACTTCGGCCTCCCAAAGTTCTGAGATTACAGGCATGAGCCACCGCGCCCGGCTAAAGCTCCTATTTATTAAGAAAAATATTGAAGAGTTTTAATCACTGTGCGTGTCCTGAATTGTTTGCAGTTTTGCTCCTCAGAATGACAGAGCATGGCACTCATTTTTATGAGCAGTTCTACTGTGGTTCCAAGCTTGTGCAACATACTCAACAAAATACAAGAATCATAGTATGCACCCTATAATAGATAATTTCCTTCTTTCTTTCCCTTCCTTCCTTCTTTCCTTCCTTCCTTCCTTCATTCTTTCCTTCCTCTTTCCTTCATTTTTCTTTTTTTCTCTCTTTATCTTGATTTTAATGGAGAGAAATAAGATTTAAGCTTACTCTGGGGAACACTAATATAGGAGATAAAATTTGAGTTATTTCAGTTTCTAAACCTACTAAAGGCCAAAAGTTCAGCTGATGCATGAACCAGGGATATGCAATTATTGTAGAAAGAAGAAGTCACACTCCAAGGAGACCATCTGAAGAAAAGTAAGCAAAGGGGCCTGTAAATACTGTAGGCAAGGTTTAAGGAGAAACCAAGGGATTCTGCTTCTAAGACTGAAGGGACAAGAAAGGAATAGTTACCAAAAATTGCCCTAGAGATTAGATGTAGATATAAGAAACATTTACAGAAATTGTGGCCATAGGTAAAGAACGGAAACTATACCCAGTGACTGGGGAGGGAGCAAACACTTGGTCCGGGGCTTCCCATTGGTCAAACCCAACCGGAAGCCGGAGGTCAAGAGAACCCATTGAAACAGCTCTTGTGAGTGAGTCTCTAAGAGCTGAGCACAAGGAGAAGAAGGGTAAAGAGTAGTTCTGGCAGGGTAAAAGGAAGATATCCAGTACAGCTGATAAACTGTTACAAATATACTACTCTGACAAATTTCATTTATTCTTCAATCAATGTTGTTTAGCAGTGCTTTCTAAGATGATGAAAATGGAATAAATATGTGCTATCAAATACGGTGGCCTCTAGATACAGGCTTTTATTGAATACTTGAAATGTGGCTAGTGGGATTTAGAAACTAAAGTTTTGATTTTATTTGCTAATTATTTTAAATTTGAATAGTCACATATGACTAGTAGCTACTGGTACAGATCTCGGTAACTGTTTCTTAAACTTTACTGTGCATTAGAATCAGTTGAAGGGCTTGCTAACACAAGCCCCACTACCATAATTTCTGATTCTGTGGTAGGGCCACTGAATATGCATTTCTGAAAAGTTTCCAGACACATCATATTAAAATGTTGAATATTAAAGGCAGAAAAATCTGGAATGCAGCCAGAGACAGATGATGCAGCCAGAGAGAGATGATGGTGATAGAAATCACTGACTTATATTTTCATTAAACCCCGTATTGACTTAAAGTGTACACACAGAGTTGCAAATTGACATTGAAATTCAATCATAACACATAGGTAAAACTGAACCACAATACACTGTTGTCAAGAAATGGTTCTAAATAAGAAACACAGTAATATGAAATTGTAAAGCAAGAATGAGAAACATTAGGCCCCCAAATCCTGTATACAACATAGATGTACTATTTAAAAAGAATCCTCTTAGATAACTACAATTTTCAACTGTGAATGTGCACCCACGGAGAGTATTTTTTTTTGAAGATCCAAGATGTACATGTGCTTCTTTGTTACATGGGTATTACATGAGTAGTGGTGAGGTTTAGGCTTCTAGTGTACCCACCACCTCACCCAAATATTGAACATTGTACCCAACAGGTAATTTGTCAACCCTTAGCTCCCTCCCACCTTCCTCACTTTGGAGTCCCTAGAGTCCATTATCCCACTTATAAGTGAGAACATAAGATATTTTACATTCTGTAGCAGACATAATTCTTAAAGATTGGCTGAATAGAATTCTTCTAACAGAAAAGATGAATAAAAGAAGAGATCATGGAGCATCAGGAAGGAAGAAATAATACTACAAAAAGCAGAAATATAGGTGCATACAATGTGCTTTCTAAGTGATGTTTGATGATTGGAACAAAATTATAGCATAGTCTCATTCTCATGATGATATTATAAAAATGGAGAAGAAAATGGGAGGTTAAAATAGTGATACCAGTAGACTTATAAAGAGATAGATAGATAGAGAGATAAATAAATACAGGAATACTCAGAACAACCACTACCAAAAATGATACACTCAAAATCACTATAATTAAACCAGATGAAATCCTAAAATATGTTCCAGGAACATGCAGGAAGAAGAGAAAAGAGAAACAGAGATCTGAGTCCAGAGAAAACAGACAGAAAATAACTAATAAATGGTAATCTTAAGTACTGGTATATCAATAATTGCCTCAAGTGTAAGAGGTCTGAATACATCAACAAAAAAATGGATAAAAAGTATACCTCAGCTAAATGCTGCTTACAAGAAACTCCCTTCACATTCAATGACATACATAGGTTGAAAGTAAAATGATGAAAAAAATTGCCATGCAAACCTTAATTAAAAAAAAAATAGAATGGGCTATATTGTTATCTGATAAAGTTGACCTCAGAGGAAAGAAAATTATTAAATACAAAAAGGGACATTACATAATGACAAAAAAGCAAGCTATTAGGAAGAAATACCAGTCATATATATGCATCAAAAAACAGAGTTTCAAAATACATGTAAGCATATTCTCACTCATAGGTGGGAATTGAACAATGAGAACACGTGGACACAGGAAGGGGAACATCACACTCTGGGGACTGTTGTGGGGTGGGGGGAGGGGGGAGGGATAGCACTGGGAGATATACCTAATGCTAGATGACGAGTTAGTGGGTGCAGCACACCAGCATGGCACATGTATACATATGCAACTAACCTGCACATTGTGCACATGTACCCTAAAACTTAAAGTATAATAATAATAAATAAATAAATAAAAAAGAAAAAAAGAAAATCTGAGAGTGCTGAAAGGAGAAACAGAAAAATTCATAATTGTAGTTGGGGATTTCAACAGCTCTTTCTCAGGAGCTGATAAAAACACCAGACAGAAAATCAGCAAAGATTCTATATCCTGATTATCTGAACAACACAATCAGTGAACAGGGTCTAACAAACATATATGCAACACTTCATCCAACAATTGCAGAATACACATTTTCTTCAAGTGTCCATGAAGCAATTACTAAGATACACCATATCCAGGGTCGTAAAACAAACCTCAATAAATTTAAAAGAATTAAAGTCATATATAGTGTATTCTTTGACCACAAAGGGATAAAATTATAAATTAATAACATAAAACAGAAGGAATATCTCCAAATCTGTAGAAATTAAACAGCACACTTCTAAATCCATGGTCCTAAGAGAAAGCCTTAAAGGAAATTAAAAAATACGTAGGGCCTAAGATGAAGCCTTAAAGGAAATTTTTAAAATACACAGAACTGAATGAAAAAAAATTATAACATATCAAAATATGTAAAATGCCACTAAATAATGTCGAGGTGAAAACTTTTTATCTTAAAGGGTATATTGGCTATGAATAAATGTCTCAAAAAAACCCTAATTCCCTAACTCAAGGAATTATAAAGAGCAAAATAAATATAAAGCAAGCAGAAAGAATGAAATAACAAAGATAATAGGAGAATCCTATAAAATAGAAAAATGGAAAACAACAGGAAAAATCAATGAAACAAAAGGCTGTCTTTAAAAAAGTCAATAAAATTGATAAACCTGTAAATAAAAGTAAAATACATACCATATTAATGAATAAGGAAAAATAAGGCAAAAATACCCAAACGATTCTCAAAACAATTTGGTAGGGTTTTGATGGCAACCCTATCAAAATCCCAACTTGGCTTTTTGTAGAAGTTAACAAGCTTATCATAAAATTTATGTAGGAACAGGACAGGGCCCTAGAATAACCTAACTATCTTGAAAAAAATTTAGAACAAAGTTGAAGGAGTCGTATCTTCTTATTTCCAAGCTTACTACACAGCTACTGCAATCAAAACAGTCTGGTGATGGAAAAAGAATAGATATATAGGTCAAAGGAATAGAGAATCCAGAAATAAATGTTACATTTATGGTCAATTGATTTCAACAAGAGTGTCAAGACAATTGAATGGGGAAAGAACAATACTCAATAAATGGGACGGCTGGATAGCAATATGCAAAAGCATGATCTTAGACCCCTTTCTTAAACCATAGACACACAAAAATTAACTCAGAAGCATAAACTTAAATATGAGAGCTAAAAGCACAAAACTCTTAGAAGAAAACATGGGAGTAAATCATCGTAAGCTTGGATTAGGCAATAGTTTCTCAAATATCCTAAAAGTACAAGCAAAAGTTTGATAAATTAGACTTCAACAAAATTAAAGCTTTTGTGTATCAAAGGACACAATCAAGAAAGTAAAAAGACAACTCACATAACATGATAAAAATATTTGCAAATCATATATCTAATAAAGAACTGCTATCTAAAATATAGGAAGAACAGCAATAAAAGATAAATAACCCAATTAAAAATGGGCAATGGATTTGAATAGGCATCCCTCCAAAGAAGACATACAGATATCCAGTAAACTCACGAAAACGTTCTCAACATAATTAGCCATTAGCAGAGTGCAAATCAAGACTACAGTGAGAATCTACTTCATACTCAGGATTGCTATAAACAAAAATACAGATAACAGATGTTAGCAAGGATGTGAAAAATTGGCACCACATGCATTGTTGGTGGGAATATAAAATGATGCAACAATTTTGAAAACCAGTAGAGCAGTTTATCAATAAATTAAACATAGTGGTACAAATTTCACCTCTAAGTATATAGTGAAGAGAATTGAAATAATGGATCTACCCAAAAATTGTACGCTAATGTTCACAGCAGCATTATTCATAATACTCAAAATGTGGAAACAATCCAAATGATGAATGGATAAATAAAATATAATACATCCACATAGTTAAATATTATTCAGCAATAAAGAGGAATGAAATAATGATACCTGCTACAACATTTGAAATATTGTGCTAAATGAAAGAAGCCAATCACAAAAAAAAAATCACATATTTACACTCCCACCAACAGTGTATAAGAAGAAAATGTGTTACATACTGACCATGTAATACTATGCAGCCATAAAAAAGAATGAGATCATGTCCTTTGCTGAGACATGGATGGAGCTGGAGGACATTATCCTTAGCAAACTAACACCGAAGTAGAAAACCAAATACTGTGTGTTCTCACTTATAAGCAGGAGCTAAATGATGAGAACACATGAACATATAGAGGAGAACAACACACCCTGGGGTCTTTTGGAGGGTGGAAGGTGGTAGGAGGGAGAGAATCAGGAAAAATAACTAATGGGTACTAGGCTTAAGACCTGGGTGATGAAATAATCTGCACAACAAATCCCCATGACACAAGTTTACCTATGTAACAAACCTGCAATTGTACCCCTGAACTTAAAATAAAAGTTAAACAAAAAAGAAAAAGAATAACATATTATATTATTCCATTAATATTAACTGTCTAGAACAGATAAATCTATAGAGACAGAAAGTAAATTCATGGTTTTCTAGGGTTAGGTGATGGTGGAATATGGAGTGACTCTCAACAGAGATAAAACTGTTATAAACTTGAATTGCTGTGATGCTTGTACAGCTCTGTTAATATACTAAAACCATCTAATTATATACTGTACAAGGAGAATTTCATATGTTAATCATGTCTCAATAAATATATTTTAAAAAGAATGATAGACAATACGAGCAATTTCATGTATAAGATAGGTTTTGCTTGGTAATTGAGAAAACCCACTTTAAGTGTTCTCCTTTTTTAAAATTTTAGAGACAGGGTCTCACTATGTTGCCCAGGCTGGTCTTGAACTACTGGGCTCAAGCAATCCTCCCACCTTGGCCACCCAAAGTGCTGAGATTTCAGAAATGAGCTACTGCACCCAGTCTAAGTGTTCCTTTGAGGTCACCTCAACCTTAACACTCTTGAGTTGTCATTTTTCTTTCCCTCATATGAACACATTCTAGAATCCAACTCTACCATCTCATGCCATTTTTTGAATGCTTTTTGCATAAACATACAAGTAGAGAGACTTGGGGTTTATGGACTCTATTTTTCACACTTCTATATTTGCTGTCACTTCAGCTTAGGATGTCATTCCTCATATTCATCATGACCTCCAACAAAATCCCATTTACTTGAACACTTAGCTTAAGATCCAGCTTTTCTGCTAAGTTCAGTAAGATTTTCCACTAGCCCTTGTTGAGGATCTCCATTATTGGAAGGGAGTTAACAAATAGTTCCAACATGGTGTTTTACTTGTCACACTAAGAAATGACTTTTTAAAGATAAGAGCAACCCTATTTATCTCTAAATTGTTGTGCCTAATACCTAGGAGGTGCTCAACAGATTTTTATTACAGGACAACATGGAGGGAGAAAATAAGGAAAAATGGTGATAAAATTGTGTATAAATGTGGACTGAGAACTTATGGATCATTTGAAGGTGTAGGCTTTCAAAAAGCCTAGACCAGAATCAAGGAGTATAGGGTTACGCCACCTGGATAGAGAGTAGAACCTAGGGCTGGAGTTGAGATAGAATTATTTGAGTCAGTGTGTGATTATAAGTAGTTGAAGACAGAGGTTTCCATACAGATGAGGAGATGATTAAGTGTCTAAGCCTGAAAGTTTTAGTTTACCGAACATAAAGATGAAAATTTCCACTTGTGAAGACTCAAATCATTCATTGGAGTTCTTTATTAACCATCATAGCTAAGAATGCAGACCCAGAATTTATGGAAAGGAACAGACAACAGAAGAGAAAGTTCAAAAACCAAAGGGAAAAATAAAACATGTCTGAGAAGGGATTTGAGGTGTCCAGAGTAATTCTGCTCAGATTTTCTAGCTAATCTCTGCAATAGGGATTGCATCGTCTCCTTGGTTCATATCTCTTTATCCTCCAGGCTGAAGAACTATAAGCTGGATGCCTAGGTCTCATATCTGTGGTGGACTCTTCTCCTTAAAAGTGCCTCTGTGTTTAATAAAATTGCCTTCTTTAATTGACAAAGTCCTCCTTTCTCTGCAGGAGCCCACTTTACTCACTTCACCTCTGATATCCAACACAGAACCCATCATTCCTGCCTATATGTGTATTACAATGTACACTCACAGTATAAAAATTATCACATATTATAACCAGCTGCATATTACGTTTCCCCCCAGTAGTCAGTAAGCCCTTCAGTCTCAGATATATCTTTATCTGAATAGGATCTGAGTTTACCTTTAGTATTCAGCATTCACAAAACGTTGAATTTTTCAACTTCTATAATTTTATCCCTTATGACTTCCCTTTTTCCAGGGAATGTCTCTACTTTTAAAATTTACTGCACCAAATGGGGAAAGTGGGACAGCGGGAGATGGAGAGCGAGCGAGCGAGAGAGCGAGTGTGAGAGAAAACACATTAAGGCTCTGTAACTGGACCTGGTTTAGAGTCCTGGCCTTTTTACTTATAGGGTCTCTGCCATATAAAAACTTCATAACCTTTCTAAACCTAACTTTTTTCACTCATGAACTGAGAGTGATCACTTCTTCATGCACGATAAATACATACGATAAGGCTGGGCATAGAAGTGTGCTCAATAAATGGTAGCTGTTACCATTATCTTTAAAACAATTTCAAGTGTATTATATTTACTAATGAAGCACAATAAAATTTTTGAAGATGCAGAAATTGATAAATAGTAGTGTACCAATAAATTTAATTTCAGTATTATCTTCCAGAAAGCAAATTCTAATAATACGAAAATATATCTAGTAAAATTATCATTATAATTTTGATAAGAAGAGTGATCATTTTACATCTTGTTAATGTGTAGGGGCCACTGGTAAGCTTACTAAAATGTATTTTACAAAATTATGTGATCTAAAGAAAGCACAACTGTTTCCAGTTTTAAGCCTGAATTAACAAACTTTAATGTAAAGCTTATTTTTAAAAAGTATACTACACAAAGTTGCCAATGTGATTTATCAAATTAAAAACAAACATAGCTTAATGTGGTTTACAGGTTATATTTATTATTTTCTATAGTATCTAAAAAGTAACATATATTGTTAAGACTTTGTTAAAAATAACTCTTTACACAGCTTTCGGAAGGTAACTGGCAAACAAGGTTTACAAGTAAAAGATAAACTTTTCAAACTAAAATCAGTTTGTTGTCTTTACGCAATTTACAGAAGCAAGTTATGATTCAATTTAAGTATCTGAAGCAGTTTCCACAATAAAGCATTCCCAAGAAATAGAAAACGGAGCTTAGATAAAGCACCAGCTGTCACATTGTCACCAAGTTAACACTGGTTCCTCACTGGTCTCCATAACATGATGGAGAGCAGGAGAAGAAAGGGAAGGAACACTTAGAGAGGAAAAAAAAAAAACCCTGAAATCTGAAATTACATTTACTTAGGGCATCCCCTAAAGGCATCTTGGTTAGGTTATTCAATTTCTGAGGGGCAGAAAAAGATTATAGTAGTTAAGGCTTGAGATCATGCATTCAGAATAAAATACAATCACTGATACATAAACTATATTGAATGTTATACAACATATTTAAAGGATGATATTTAAATCAATAATATATAAATTTTCTTTCTGAATCTTTTAGGACTTAGCAGGCACATTGAAATCAATCTTCATAAAGTTGGAATAACTCTCAGAATCTCAAACTACATAGAAGTAAATGACTATATTTGTATGAATAAGTCTAAGGACAACTATTTATGCCTATCTTTAAAAAACAATTTCAATAGTGAAAACTAATGTTTAGGATTTTACAGTTCTTTGAATATAAAACATTTTATAGAGTATGGATGTATATGATGAGATTAAAAAACTTGAAAACGTAAATATATAAGGGAAAACTAACTTGTACATACTGTTATAAAACAACAACAAATTTAAACTTTTATCTCCTAATTCATAGTTCTCATAGTTTGAGTGACCATTGTCTCTCTCTAAGTTATAAAGAATTATAACATACAGTAAAAAGTACTTTAAAGTTGCCACAACTTTCCAATTAAGGGCCAAGACACTATGAGAATCCCTATACATAATGGTAGTTCTCAACTCTTCTAATTCATGTTTAAACATACATTTGTCAGATCTTATATATTCAATGTTACATTAGAAATAACTGGTAAAAATACATCAATTTCATAAGGTAAAGCTTGAGTCTATTAACATGTTATTTATTACATCATTTTAGTAAATGTATACTTTTTAAAAAAATAGGTGTAAATGAGAAGAAAATGAAAAAAAAAAAAAAAAAAAAGGCTATACCTCTCCTTTATGCTTCTTGTTTTACGAATCTGTCCTGCTTAAGAGCCAGAGCTTAGGTGAAACTATCCAGAGATGAGAAACCAGGAGCTTGAGCACAATGAAATCCTATTCATTCCCAGTTCCAAATGAAAACAAGAACATACAAAAATAAACACAGAGCTTCAACCAATCTTTTTCAAATGCAGTTTTAATCAGCCCAAGAATCTCTGAGGTTGATCTCAAAGGCACTTTCTAAAGAACTGCTCTCTCCCTTCTTCCAATTGGCTTTTGTCTAGGCAAGTTTATGATTTAATGGCCATTAGCATTTCACCATCCCACATCAGGAAAGTATTTGCTTATTTGTAAGTCTTAATAGTGGTGACTTAAAGCCCATTAAATTATACATAAAATATAAAAGAAAGCCCCTGCTGCTGCTGATCTCTATCACCACTTCCCTTCATTCCCTAGAAGGCACACATCATATAAGCCATGTAGAGAAAACAAATATGAGATTGTCAAATGGCCACTTTAACCCACTTTAAACTCACTGCAGCAATATTAAGGATTCTCTTGATTTGTTAGATATAATGCTAAAAAGTGAATTTGGCATGAAGTCTTGTGAATACAAGCTTAATTACCATCGGTTGTAAAGAACTGATTATTATCTCTACTTTTCTTTTATTCCTGGCTTAGGCTTTCAACATTTTTCAGATATGTGAAGAAATATGAAAAGAGGTGGTAAGTGGTATTAGATCTGGCTTTGAATAGGTGACTTTTCCTTAGCTTTGTCAAAATAGGCACCTTCTTTAGTAGCATGAACATCTCTGTCACCATCTATCATATGAATATCTGATGTATTTTTGTCATTTCGCCTCAAGCGGTAATTTTTATAAGCACGTTGAATGATGGTTGCTGAAACTGCCTCTTGTTTTCGTTTCAAAGTAGTCGTAATTGGCTCACATGTGATCTTAAAAGGGTTGGCTAACAAAAACCCTGATTCTATTTCTGAAACAACTTTCTCCATCCTCACATCTTGACCCATAACTCTCTTTGTAAAAGCAAGTAAGATATCGAGGCAATGAATTCTGTCCCCAACAGCCATGGGGAGGTCCAAAGCAATGAGCTGGCCCTTGTTTGGTTTTGCCATGAAAAGAGGAGGATCAAGAGCAGCTGCAAAATCTGAAAGCTTGCTAGAGTCTATGTACTGGGTCCTATCAGGATCAAACCTTTTCCATACCTGAAAGAATTTCCTAAAATCATCTTCACTCAAGGTCTTGTTTTTCTTCTTAGAAGCAATATTTAAAAACTCCATGACAACAACAATGTACATATTTACAATGATCAGCCATGATATGAGGATATAACTGACAAAATAAAAAATCCCAACAGAGGGGTTCCCACAATCTCCTCTAACTTGAGTCCCAGGGTTAATTTTATCAGGATCACAGTCAGACCATTTACTGTTGAAAATTGCATCAAGCATCCCATCCCAACCAGCAAATATTGCAACTTGAAAAAGACAGAGCATACTGTTGCCAAAGGTTTCAAAATTAGACACATCATTAATTCCAGCTTCTTTTTTAACATAGGCAAAATTATACATTCCAAATACGGCATAGATGAACATGACCAGGAAGATGAGAAGAATGATGTTCAATAATGCTGGGAGGGACAGCATCAAAGGAAGCATCAGATTATGAAACACCTTTGGTCCTTTTCCAAGACGCAGCATGTGAATGATCCGTGAGAGAAGTATCAGTTGCACAAGTGAAGGAGGCACAAGGTAGGATCCTACTGTCATAGGCAGACATAGTCCTGGGGGTGGGAAAGATAAAGCAGGCTATACATTATTCAAACACAATAGTATTTTGAGGACTATAAATTATTTTACACTTAATTGTTTTTCCCTGTTTTATTAATCCTTTATTGATCCCTTCCATTTTACTAATCATTCTCATTTAACAGTTAGCATGTTGAAAGTTTGGGTCAGCCAAACACCTATTGTATCAATGCTCAGGGTATCTAGCTAAATTTGGAAGATTATTTTTCTGTAACATCATCTAAGAGTATTACAGATCAAGTAGTTCTGGAATTACAGATGACCTGATTCTATAATGTAGGACAATAGTCATAATTTTTTATTGCTATTGGATTAAGAAACTTAGTTCCATGCAATCTTTATTGAATGCCCAATAAATATATCACACCAATATACAAAGATGAATGACATGATTTCTGTCTTCAGGAACCTTATAATTTAGAAAATAGTGACAGACATTTAAAATAATTATAAGACAGAAATTGATAAATATAATTACAGAAATGTCTGGCATTCAGTGATTCATAGATTGTAATTTAATTTCCTTATTTCATAAATAGTACTGGGGCTCCAGGAACTTTAAATGTGAATTGAATAAATAAGTCTTTGTTTAGAACTTTTTTGTAGCTGTGGTAGTTAGATGAGGGAAGTATGGCAGTGATTAACACAAGAACTATAAAACAAGGTAGAATTATAATTCATTAAAGGTATAAGAGATGTTCTCTGGAAGTATTAGAGAGAATGTAGTTTATTTTGAGTTGAGAAGGTAGTGGAAGAAGGAATCCCACGAGGCTTCTAAGTGATATGGTAGGTTTGTTGAATCTGGAGGAATCATGTCTCACATTTTTGTTAAACTTGGTCTCTGCCTAAGATGATATTTCTCTCTGATGTTCTATCCTATCAATACCCTATCTCTATAGTGCTTTAGTGAATCTTCTACTCTGACCCAAATTCTCATTTCCCTTCAACCTTCCAAACTTTTTCATTATGCAGGAAGTATCACTAAATTGTGAATAAATTCCTCTACATTCTCATCACTAATTTTTTTTTAACCCAGTCTCTTTTTTGGGGGGAAGTTCTTTTTTTAATCTTTGTTTTTATTTCTTCTAAAAAAAACCCACCAGGATACATGTGCAGAACATGCAGGTTTGTTACACAGGTATACATGTGCCATGGTGGTTTGCTGCACCTATCGACCTGTCCTCTAAGTTCCTTCCCCTCACGCCCCACCCTCCAACAAGCCCTGGTGTGTGTTGTTCCCCTTTCTGTGTCCATGTGTTCTCATTGTTCAACTCCCACTTATAAGTGAGAATATGTGGTGTTTGGATTTCTGTTCCTGTTTCAGTTTTCAGAGGATGATGGCTAAATCTGGCTCTATCTTGAAGACTCTATTTCCCTTGCAACCCTCTCAAATACAGGGAGCTCATTCTTCCCCACTCCACTTTCCTCAGGTTAGAAAGAAAAAATAGGTATCTTTCTTTCTTTCCAATGTGATTTCTGGTCACTTTTCCTTCCTATTATTTTTATAAAGAAAAAATAAAAGAGATTTTTGACACTTTGTGGATCATGCCATTCAGCTATATCATTTCCTACCATTCCTTGGCTCTATAGCCTACTCATTCTTCATTCACATTCATTGAAGACTTCAATAATTGACTCACTGTCTCTCATTTCACCTTAGCACCTACCATCAACAATCCATTTAAAAGCCGGTTTCTGTCTTTGGTCTTCTCAAGTTATTACACTCTCTTCCATCATTTTACAAATCTACATTTATAATCACATTCTGGACCCAAGATACCTTGCCTTCTGAAACTGCAAATTCAAACTGCTTTCTCTCTGACTGCAATTGCTTTTCCTTCCAGTTCTCTGATGAAGTCCCCTTCAGTCTCATAGGACCCTAATTCCATCATTTCTCTGCCTTCTTCCTATCAGCTCCCTCTTGTCTTCATGTACTTTTCTATCAGTTTTTCTGATAGCTTCTTCTTTTCTGAAGCTTCTTACGGTTTTTTTCAGTAGTTAGTTGCATTGTTTCCACTATCAACTGAATGAGTGAATATTTGGAAGCAGATCTGGGCAAACAGTTTATCTATATTTTCTACTACTCAATGCATAGAATAGTGCTTGATGCAGTAAACTTAAATATTGTTCCTACTCTCATGGAACTTACACCCTAATATGTGTGTTATGTGGAAACAGACAAACTTCTCTCTGCCTGAAACTCTTTGACACTAAATTCTTTGCTTGGCTATCTCCTTATCTGAAAAGTCTCTAATTAGATTTCACGTCTTCCATAAAGTTTTCTCTGACCTCTACTTACTGATTAGGTGACCTCCTTCTGCTGTGTTGCTGCAGCACCCTGTGACTTCCCTACCATAACCTTAATAGCACACATTAAAATGTACTGTTTAATTATCTATATCCTTTAATAGACTCTAAGCTATGTGTACACAGAAATTATACTTGTCTTGTTTACTACTGAATTTTTTGCATATAACAGTCTTTATTCTCAAAGAGAATTATCAAGTGTATTTATTAAATAAGAGAGAGATCTCCAAAGTAAGAGAAAACAAGCAACAAATTTGTTAAAGCCTGAAACTCTAATGTTGTATAAGTTGTAAATAGTTTTAGAGATTAGAGGGAAGGAAATAATAGTGAACCTGAAAGATTACATCATTCTAAGACATAAACGTCTTTCTAGTGTCATCTAGAAAATTAGTGTATATTATAGAATGAAGGGTTGACTAAACATTCACCTGGTGGCTTGTATGCAAAGTCTATGTTATTAGAAATATTTTTGAACATCTTATCTCTATTAGGCATGGGTGGTACACATATGAATACAAATGTGAAGCATTCCTGTTGAAAATAAAAAAAGATCTCTACCTGTTTTGCTTATTAGGAGACTATATTTCATGATTTTGAAATGTAGGAGACTATATTTCATATTTACTGTAAGAGCTTACTTGAATTAATATTATTATCAGTAAAAATTTGACTAAACAAAATCTTACCTGTGATGGAGAAAATAACCACCATAAAATCAAAAATGTTCCACGCAATGGTGAAATAAAAACAACGGAAAGCGATGAGCTTCAGTATACATTCCATAGTATATAGCATAACAAAAATTGAGTTAATCCAGTAGAGAGCAATGGACATTTGTAGACTCTGAACATCAGTGTCTATCATCATGGCTATTGCTTGGAAACATATAAGAACCATAACAATGACATTAAAAGCTTGGCTTGTTACCACATCAAAGATGAATCCTTGGAGCTTGTTCTGTGGGTAAAATCAACAGGTGTAATAGTCTTATTAATAGGATACATATACATATATATGGTCTTTTATACACTACAACTTTCTTCCCAAAATAAATGAGAATAAGTGTGAACCTAAATTTTTGCCAAACTATAACATATAGTCAAAACAAACAAACAAAATGACCATGAAAAGCTTTGTCAAGGGACACAAAAATTTTGACAAAAACATTTGTTAAGGCTTTAAAAGAGAATATATAAAGAACACCTCCATTGAAGTTTCAAAAAATCTAGACATTTTCTTACTAATGGGCGAGGTACTGGTCTTTGAGAATCCTCATACATTAGCTTCTTCAGCCTGCGGTACTGTTTTCTCTGTTTAACCGTTATAAAGATATTTGAGCCTCCCAGGTAAAGAAAGGAAAGAAAAATATATTAAAATCACACTTAATCCAAATTTTCCCTTATGTTAATAGGCATTTTAAAGACTTGGCAATTATTGATTTAATCTTCTAAAAAAAAGGCTTAAGTGCAGTGAATGAAATCATGTTTGAACATGTCTGACTTTCTGCCCAAAAATCCATAAAAAGCACATACAGAATACATGCTGATAGTGACAGAAATTCAGTAATCTCTAAGTGCGCTTTCTTAGGGGAGTGTCAACTCTATTTTCACATAGGGTTGTAAAAGAGGACAAAGGAGAAACAGCAGGGGATATCTGGAAATATTTACTAAGAAAGGTTGAGCTCAATAGCTAAAGGAAAAGTTGATTTGTATCTTTTAATAAGCAGAAATAAACAGAAATGATCATATGTGATCATTTTTATATGACTATATATTGCTTTATTTTTCAAATAGTATCAGAAGAGTTTTTTTTACTATTATTCCAAAAGCACCTTGCGCTTGCTTCTTCATAGCACGGTTGAGGGCTTATTCATTTTTGTGTTTCTAGTGCTAATTTCAGTATCTTATGTAATATATGTGAAGTGAATAATGTCACGTCCTAGGAATTAGGAATTGTTACTGCTCTAAATCAGGACCTGGTCACTTAAATTGACTGCAGACACCAGTTCGAAGCCTAGAAGCAAATCCTAGTATGTTATCCTACAGGGTTGATATTCGTAGAAAGCTGAAGCATCCAATCAAAATCACATTTGAGCACTCAGCTCTCTACTCCTATTTCATTGGTGGAGACTCAAGAGTGATTGATATACAGTAGTCCCCCCTTATCTGAAGTCTCACTTTCCACACTATCAGTTAGCCATGGTCAACCACAGTTGGAAATTATTACATGAAAAATCCTAAAAATAAATAGTTAATACATTTTAAATTTCATGTGGGTCTGAGTTGTGTGATGAAATCTTGTGTCATCCTGCTCTGTGGAGACCGGGATGTGAATCATCCCTTTGTCCAGCACATCCACTCAGTCTATGCCACCCACACATTACTCACTTTGCAGCTATCTCTGTTATCAAGCGATTGTGTTCAAGTAATCCTTATTATAATTAATAATAACCCCCAAAATGCAAGAGAAGTGATGCTGGCCTTCGAATACAAAAAGAAGCTGCAAACTGCTTCCTTTAAGAGAAAAGGTGAAAGTGCTTGACTTAAGGCAAGAAAAAAAAACATATGCTGAGGTTGCTAAATCTATGGTATGAATGAATCTTCTGTCCATGAAATTGTGAAGAATGAAAAATAAATGTATGCTTGATTTGCTGTTGTACTTCAAACTGCAAATGGCCACAGTGCATGATAAGTCTTAGTCATGGAAAAGGCATCTTAACGTGAACAGAAACGTTCTGATTTACGGTAATCAGGTTAGGTACTACCCTGCGGTTTCAGGCATCCACTGGAGGTCTTGGAACGCAGTCCCCTTGGATAAGGAGAGTCTACTGTACCAGATTTTACACATGGCTAAAGTTTGATTACATGGCTGAAGATAAAATTTCAAAATTAAACTATTCTTTCCTTTGACTTTTTTGGAAGGCTTCCCAAAAGAGATTAGGTGCCTGTGTAAAATAACTTGACTTAGATGTCTTTTTAGTCCTTTGCGTTTGTGGAGGCCCTGAAGAAGCTGCTTTTTAGAAATGGCATGAAACTGTAGTTATTCAATTCTGTCTCTGAACTCTGTCTTACTGGGTTCAAGCACTCCTACTTAGGCCACCCAGTTAGGATTTATGACTCTCTCTACTTCTAGCAGAAAGAACTACTCTAACTTTGAAAGATGTCCATGCTGGCTGACTGTGGAGGCTTTAAATATAACAGAGAGTAAAAGAGTGTTTTTTTCTGGAACTCTTCACATATTTGTGAAGATAGAAAATTTTACTTACAGTATTTATTTTTCAGCCCATAATTATTTCCAAAACACTTGTAATTTTTACACAGACACTTGTAATGTTTAACTTTTAAACTTGACTGTGTAGTACATATTTTGGATTTAGAAGGCAATGTTCATCAATGTGCAGGAACATTAATCATGATTTTTTAAGATACATGTCAAATAAAAATGACATTAAGCTGAATCCAAAGCCAATTATTTGAAGCAGGGCATTTATATATTTATGTGTATGCCTGATTTTCTCAGACATTGGATAAACAAATAATATTTATACTTATCTTTATTTTATGCTTGTTGAAATTATCAATAATAACAGTAATCAGCATACTCAGAGGGAGAAATACTCCAAATATAATAAAGTTGATAAAGTAACAATACATGTAGATGTTGACTTCAAAATGAGGCTGTATATTAACCTAGAAGTTTAAAATAAGCAAATTATTGATATTGGCTTTTTAAAACAAGTTTTATAAAACAATTTATGACAAGAAAACAATAACAAAACAAGCATTGTTATGCTACCTAAGAAACTGTTTTCTTTTTTGCTGTTTGGTAAAAGGATATCATTGCTTTGTATGAATGTTAAAGTTCATTTCATTCATTTAACCATTGTTGCAAAGTCTGGTAATCTTTCAAATGGACCTATGGGGCCTCAATCATTGTATATAATAACCCTGGAAGAATTTCATTGCCAATGAAATATCCAATCTGAACTGCATTTGATTTCTATTCATTATTACTGGTGTCCTGTGCTCGAATTGCAAAAATGACTTTGCTTGTATCCTAACAATGGCTTTAAAATGATATTATACTTACAGCAACAGAATCAATTGCTGAATTCATAATAGTGATCCATCCATTAAATGTTGCCTGTAAAAATAAAATGCATTTAAAATTTATGCTTCCTGGCAAATAAAAAGTAAAATCTCAGTCTCTTATTAGTGCACTGAAATATTTGACATAGGCTTGCCACACTTCCATATACTGTGTAATTGGGATCCTTAACATTTTCATTATTATATTGTCTGTTAACAACTATTTCAAGTACTTAGTTTATTTATAGTTAATAACAAAATATTTGAAGATAGCATGACTAGAAAAAGATAAATAGAGAAACAGATATATAAATGGTAAATAATTACATGCGGCCATGTGTCATGGTGACTTGTAGCTGCTACACATGTGCTTTTCTGTGAGAGACATAAGAGGAATTGTTCAACTCTTCACATCTGCTAGATACTGAGTCACTGAGTAGCAGTTCCTCAAAATGCTAAAGAGATAAAAAGTAGTGACTTGGGTTGAACTAAAGAATTATTACCTGTAGTGGTTAATACTGAGTGTCAATTTGATTGGATTGAAGGATGCAAAGTATTGATCCTGGGTGTGTCTGTGAGGGTGTTGCCAAAGGAGATTAACATTTGAGTCAGTGGGCTGGGGAAGACAGACCCACCTTTAATCTGGTGGACACAATCTAATCAGCTGCCAGCAAATATAAAGCAGGCAGGAAAACGTGAAAAGGCGAGACTGGCCTAGCCTCCCAGCCTATATTTTTCTCCTGTGCTGGATGCTTCCTGCCCTCAAACATTGGACTCCAAGTTCTTCAGTTTTGAGACTCGGACTGGCTCTCCTTGCTCCTCAAGCTTGCATACAGCCTATTGTGGGACCCTGTGATCATTGATCATGTAAGTTAATACTTAATAAACTCCCCTTTATATATATATGTGTATGTGTATATATATATATATATATATAAATATACTATATATATGTAAATATATATAAATATATTTATATATGTAAATATATAAAAATATATTATATATGTAAATATATGTAAATATATATAATATATTATATATAAATATATATAATATATTATATATATGTAAATATATATAAATATATATAATATATTATATATATGTAAATATATATAATATATAATATATTATATATATGTAAATATATATAAATATATATATCTATATATGTAAATATATATAGATATATATACACACACATATATATATATATACACACACATATATATATATATATATACACATATATATATATATATGAAGGAAGTAGAGATGCAAGTAAATTTAACAGAGGAAATACAGATACTAGCCCAAACTATTTTTACCACCACTGATCAAGTTATGGGGTGATGTATTAGTCAGGGTTCCCTAGAGGGACTGAACTAATAGGATATATATATATATATATATATATCTCCTATCCTATATCAGCACCTATTCTGATTTTTCGGTCACCCGGAAGTCTATATCCTCATCTTACCAGGCTTCGGAATAATCTCCCACATCCGGAAAAAAAGAACCATTTGGGTACATGGGCATGGTCTGGGCTATAATATCAGTTGGCTTCCTGGGATTCATTGTGTGAGCTCACCATATGTTCACAGTGGGAATAGACATAGATACACGAGCTTACTTCACCTCTGCCACTATATATATATATATATAGACACACACACAAAATATATATAGAATATATATTACATAGAATATATATTATTATATAGGATAATATATAGTAGGATATATAATATATAATAGGATATATATAATATATAGGATATATAATATATAATATATATTATATAGGATAATATATAATATATATTATTATATAGGATAATATATAATATATATTATTATATAGGATAATATATAATATATATTATTATATAGGATAATATATAATATATATTATTATATAGGATAATATATAATATATATTATTATATAGGATAATAATAATATATAATAGGATATATATATCCTATTAGTTCTGTCCCTCTAGGGAAGCCTGACTAATACATTACCCTATAACCTGATCAGTGGTGGTAAAGATAGTTTGGGCCAGTATCTGTATTTCCTCTGTTAAATTTACTTGCATCTCCACTTCCTTCATCCAATGGGGCAGAGACAGTATTTAACTTTTGTCTCTTTTTTTTTTTTTTTTCTTTGAGAGAGTGTCACACTTTGTCACCAGACTGGAGAGCAGTGGAATGATCTCGGCTCACTGCAACCTCCGCCTCCTAGGTTCAAGGGATTCTCCTGCCTCAGCTTCCCAAGTAGCTGGGACTACAGGTATGCGACACTCCACCCAGCTAATTTTTGTATTTTCAGTACAGATGGGGTTTCACCATGTTGGCTAGGACGGTCTTGATCTCTTGACCTCATGATCTGCCCACCTCGGCCTCCCAAAGTGCTGGGATTACAGGCATGAGCCACTGCAACTGGCCTGTCTCTTTAAATGAGTCTAGTGTTGTATGTTGCGGGAAGTCAGGGACCCTGAACAGAGGGACTGGCTGGAGCCACGGCAGAGGAACATAAATTGCGAAGATTTCATTTTAACATGGACATTTGTCAGTTCCCAAATTAATACTTTTATACTTTCTTATGACTGTCTTACTTTGATCTCTTAATCCTGTTATCTTCGTAAGCTGAGGATGTACGTCACCTCAGGACCACTGTGATAATTGTGTTAACTGTACAAATTGATTGTAAAACATGTGTGTTTGAACAATATGAAATCAGTGCACCTTGAAAAAGAACAGAATAACTGTGTTTTTAGGGAACAAGGGAAGACAACCATAAGTTCTGATTGCCTGCGGGGTTGGGCAAAAAGAGCCATATTTTTCTTCTTGCAGAGAGCCTATAAATGGACGTGCAAGTAGGGAAGATATCACTAAATTCTTTTCCTAGTAAGGAATATTGATATTAATACTCTGGGAAAGGAATTCATTCCTGGAGAGAGGTCTATAAACAGCCACTCTGGGAATGTCTGTCCTATGCAGTTGAGATAAGGACTGAGATACGCCCTGGTCTCCCACAGTACCCTCAGGCTTACTAGGATTGGGAAACTCCATCCTGGTAAATTTTAGGTCAGACAGGTTCTCTGCTCTCGAACCCTGTTTTCTGTTAAGATGTTTATCAAGACAATATGTGCACCACTGAACATAGACCCTTAACAGGAGTTCTGATTTTGCCCTTGTCCTGTTTCCTCAGAAGCATGTGATCTTTGTTCTGCTTTTTGCCCCTTGAAGCATGTGACCTACTCCCTGTTTGTACACCCCCTCCCCTTTTGAAATCCTTAATAAAAACTTGCTGGCTTTAAGGCTCAGGTGGGCATCATGGTCCTACTGATATGTGATGTCACCCCCGGCGGCCCAGCTGTAAAATTCCTATCTTTGTACTCTTTCTCTTTATTTCTCAGCTGGCCAACACTTACGGAAAATAGAAAGAACCTATGTTGAAATATTTGGGATGGGTTCCCCCGATAGTTGTATGTCCCATTACATTTATCTACTAATTGCTAAAATATTTTATAACCAAATGTATTAATCGCCCACATTTTGTCCTTTGCATTCAACCTACAATATGGATGAATATATAATTAATAAGGAAAAGTCAAAAGTGTACTTACTACTTGAAGCAGAGAAAGGAAACCATTTCCAACATTATCAAAGTTCATTTTTGCATTTTCCCATAGCATGGATTCGTTAAACAGAAGGCTTTCACACCGACTCTTATTCATGACTTCAGATGAAGGAAACCTTTCTCCACTTGTTGGGTCAATGCATTCATAGAATCTGCCAGCAAATAAGTCTACTCCCATGATACTAAAAATCAGCCAGATCATCAGGCAGACAAGAAACACATTCAAAGTGGGTAAGGTTGTTTTGATCAAAGCTCTCACAACCACCTGGTATATATAAAAAATGTAAACTTTAGATAGGAAATCTGAAACTGTTTTAGTTTTTGATCAGTTTGAAAAATACTAATTGATAGAATAACATATTTAAAAAAAAACCTTAAAAGGCCATATCTAAAGATTTAACAGCCCACATGCTGGTACTGGAATAACCTAAATAGCAATTCAATTTTTATTTAGAAAATACACTCAAATCAGGCTGGGCGTGGTGGCTCACGCCTGTAATCCCAGCACTTTGGGAGGCTGAGGCGGGTGGATCACCAGGTCAGGAGATCAAGACCATCCTGGCTAACATGGTGAAACCCCTTCTCTACTAAAAATACAAAAAATTAGCCAGGTGTGGTGGCGGACACCTGTAGTCCCAACTACTCGGGAGGCTGAGGCAGGAGAATCGCTTGAAGCCAGGAGGCAGAGCTTGCAGTGAGCAGAGATACTGCCACTGAACTCCAGCATGGGCAACAGACCCAGACTCCATCCCCCCACAAAAAAGAAAATACATTCAACTCTAGATATTCTTAAAATGTTTGTACTAAAAAATCATTAAATGGCAACAGAGCTAATTAGTACAAATACTAGAATAAATAATTATTTTGCTGGCTTAATATATATATATATATATGCTTATTGATGTCCTGTATCATGCCAGAAATGATCATTCAAGATAACTGAACCCATGTGTATGTATGAGATTATTTTAAAATATATATATTATATATTTTAAGTGAAATATAATATGTGAAAGAGTAGTTAGGGGAATCAGAAGACCAATAGTTTGTACTGTCAATGAAGCCAAGAGAAGAGATTGCTTCAGGAAATTAAATGGGTTGCTGTACGTCACAAAGATTCAATCCTCACTGAACCATTTGGTGTCACTGGTGAGTCACTCCAGAGTATGAAGCTTGGGAGATGAATCTGCCACCTAAACTTGAATACCAGCAATAATCTATAATCACTGTCATTATTTCCTCAACTGACTTCACTCTTTAAAATTCAAATCAGAATTGTATTCTTATTACTCCACTGAAGCTGCTACGGCAAATGCAAATCAGTTGCTATATCTAATATAATAATATAATAGTTTTACTATTTCCACTACTTATTTTTCTCTTAGCTTTTTTATTTTTTTATTTATTTTATTTTATTTATTTATTTTATTGAGACCAAGTTTTGCTCTTGTGTGCAATGGCCCGATCTTGGCTCACTGCAATCTCTGCCTCTGGGGTTCAAGCGATTCTCCTGCCTCAGCTTCTGGAGTAGCTGACATTACAGGCACACGCCACCCCGCCAGGCTTTTTTTTTTTTTTTTTTTTTTTTTTTAGTAGAGACGGGGTTTCACCATGTTGGTCAGGTTGGTCTTGAACTCCTGACCTCAGGTGATCCACCCACCTCGGCCTCCCAAAGTGATGGGATTATAGGCGTGAATCACTGTGCCTGGCCTCTCTTAATTTTATACTTTTGATTTCCCTCTCCTGACCTTCTTTCACTTTCTTCCTGAGGCACCACTGATTCTGTTTTCTACCATTCTAACCTTCCCTTCCTTCAGCCATTACTAGATACTAATCCTTTTGCCTGCATACTCTTCCTTATGTTCCATAGTTGCCTGTCTTTGAATTAATATTTAGGCTTTTAACTATGATTTCAGTAACACTTTTATTTCTAAAACTAGATCACAGATCTTTTGTTAATACTTTTAAATATTTTGAAAGGTCCATTAATTGTTCTGCTGAAGAAAAATGCCATGTCTTTTAGAAAATCTACATATAAAGAATAAAAAGAGTGGATATAGTTGACACATATATTTGAAAAGTAGACAGCACCTAAGACCTTAAACTTATTAAATACATAAATCATTAATTTTGTAAGCATGTAACTTCCTAATATACTCAATGATATATCTTCAGAGATAATTTACAGAACTTCCAGAGGTGGAGATGAGGCTTCAGGTCTGAACCTGACTTTGACCTAAGCATGGCTACTATTTTCCTGACCTTGAATTGTCCACAGCCATTGTTTCATTGCCATTCTAATGAATGTACAGCATTAAATGGTACAGGGCCTAATTTCTGACAGAGTCAGTTTCCCTGGCAAATCTCTTCCTCCTTTTCTCTAAATTGGGGCAGACAACTTGCTGATTTTGTTACTTTTTTTTCCTCCCTATATGTCTAAACTTATTAGGAAAAAGAACTGGTATTATCCCGTTTTTTGAAAATAAAAAAGAGTTTATTTTAGTTACATATTTACTTAGGGGGGTGTGTGTGTGTGTGCATGTGTATTTTGAGTAAATAGGCCCTCTGTAGTTTACATGTCAGAATATTCTATAATGTTTTCCTATCACTAAACTGTATTTATACTGGAAATGTGGCTGTCTTTTTTTTTTTTTTTTGAGACAGTCTCACTCTGTCACCCAGTCTGGAGTGCAGTGGAGCAATCTCGGCTCACTGCAGCCTCGACCTCCCAGCCTTAGGTGATCCTCTCACCTCATCTCACCTCAGCATCTCAAGTAGCTGGGACTACACTTGCACACACCACACCTGGCTAATTTTTGTATTTTTTGTAGAGACAGGGTCTTACTGTGTTACCCGGGCTCGTCTCAAACTCCTGAGCTCAAGCAATCTGCTGGCCTCGGTCTCCCAAATTGCTAGGATTAGAGGTGTAAGCCACCGTGCCTAGGCTGTTTTGTCATTTTAACTTCAATCTTATCAAACCATTCAACCACCTTATTTTCAGCTTATTTGCCACCTTATTTTGGTTTAAAAGCACTGGGCAATATCACCACCTTGTGGATCTTCATGATATGGTTAAATGAAGTCTGTTTCTTATTATATGTTACAATTACTATTTTAGATTTTTTGTTTTTGAGGTGTATAATTGGAATTTTGCCACATTTGGAATTTTATGTATTTACTACATAATCAAAATATTAATTTCCCAACACAAATAAATCAAATGTATTTAAGAAACAGATAGATCAGGCCTAAGTACTATTATAATGAGTCAACGATACATTTGTATGAATTACAAGAATATTATAATGAATCACGGGCTAAGTATACATATACAAATATAACTAATGTACTTAAGTACTTTACACAATCATAAAAGTGAAATTATTAAAATTTCTGAAATTATTTTTTTAAATAAAATACATATTTAAAATCATTTATATTTCTGTTTGTATTTATAGAGAAAAATAAACATCCACATTTCACCAAGTGGAAGGAGTTTAAGTGTTATGGTTTCTTAATTAATAACAGTTTAAATGTAACACATAATACAATAAACTATAGGGATAAAGGTTAAACGTTAATAATTTTCTCACTGGATTCTACCATAGCAATGAATATGTGATATTACGTAGTAATTAAAGTGGCAGACTGATATGAAAAAAATCTATGTAAATAAAAATGCAAAAACACATAAATGTATTATAAAATAAAAGGTACATTTGAACGTATTCTCCCATTTCTGTATACAATGGGTCACTGTATAGCTACATACTTATACTACTTGTGGTGGTCACAGACTCCATTTTTTTCTATTAGGTCGAGCATTATGGGATTTCCATTTCAGGTACAAAAGATTGAACACCGGCCTTTTATAATATTCAATCTATTTTCTTTACATTTTTCAGACATTGGCCATTTTATAATATTCAATCTATTAATTTTCTTTACATTGTTCAGAAGAGGTTTTAACATGTGAGTGATGAAGACAGGAGAGGTAAGAAATCATCACTTGTGATTGTGACATTAAAAAAGTAAATTTATCTTAAAATTCAAACTTTTCTTTCATTCAGTGAGTAACCACTTAGGGTATACAATGTTTGTATAATTTTAAAGTTTGTTAACTGATCCAAGTTTCATTTTCTGACAACCGTATTTTTAAAATGGAGACAATTTTGGTAATATGCATATGTATATGGGGTAGAAATATATTTTTAAAACTATATTTTCTCTCTCAAATACTAGTTTCTTTTACTTGTCTGTATTGGTTTTTATACTTTATGAGGAATAAGAACCTAGAATCTTAATAAACATACCTATTCCTCTCTATTTCTAAGCAATGAAACGTAAAGTTTTTGTTGTATTAATACTGTTAAAGGTACAAACGAGAAGAAAACAAAGCTTCCCAATTTGTGCAAATTTAGTAATTCCAAATAAAAATTTGTAGATTAGCTTAGAAACTTATCTCTTACCTTCATTCTTTCAAATTGAGATAGAACTCTGAGGGGCCGAAGGAATTTCATGGAAATAAGAGGTTTTAGTTCTTCCCGAGTTTTGCCTATTAAGCTAAGACAAAACACCTATATATTTTTTTTAAAAAAAGAGTGAATAGGATTCCATATTAATCAAAATAACATGTAAAATAAACTTTGCATTTATTACAACAGATATATACAATAAAAGCTTACCAGTAAATTCGTGAATTATTTTTACATATACTTCAAAATACATTAATAATCACAGAAAGTTATAAGAAAATTATTGAGTGTTAAAATCACTTTAAAAAGATAAAACTAAACTGTTTTCTGGTAATAAGGAACATATTTTAGTGAGATAAATAAAAGTTGTATATTTTATACTCTTTATGATCAATGACATATCTTTTTTGTTTGAAATTAGATTAAGAATCAGTTTCATAATTACTTGTAATACAGTAATCATATGCAGTATATTCATTAAAACAAAATAAGAAATATAGTTACACATGCATTCATATACAAATATGGTTAAGACAATATACATGATAGGCTTTCAGAGGATAGGCATCAAGGAAGATATGAATATTGTTAAGTCAAAAGTACACACATTACAAAAAAGTATAACCAGATACTAAGGTAATCTTTAAAAGTAAATATATTAAAGGTTAATAAATGTTCATAAATACTAAGGTGGTAAAGCTAATATTAACTTTTATTATATCCAGATTTTTCTACATTTTCAAATCAACATTATGAAAAATTTCTTCTTTTTACCCTTTACTAAAGAGACAGCCTTGAAGTAGGCTTTGAAGTTTGGGTATTATTTTCATAAGCATGAAGGAATCTAGACACAGAACAGTGACTAGGAAACAGGAAGGCGAGTTGCAGGCATAGTATGATTTGGCTAGAGCTGAAGGCTAATTTGAAAGAGTGAACTTAGGAAAGAGAGGTCAGCTATTTTAAATCATTAATTGTAGATTGGGGAGCTTCTATCATTGTTTATAGAATAGAGAGCCATTCATTCATTCAACAAAAATACTGAGAACCTTCTAATATGACAGAAATTGTTCTAGGCACATGACTTAAAGGAGGGAAGAAAACCAAGAAAAAATTCTACCCTAATGGAACTTAAACCTTAGTGGGAGAAAACAGACAATAACAAAATAAATGAACAAATGGTACAATATTAATAAGGGGTATGGAGATGAAGAAAGCAGACAAAGAGAAAGGGAGTATTGGAGTGGCTGCAGTTTAAATAGTGTTGTAAGGAAAGACCTTCAAAGGTTTCATTTTGGCTAAGGCATCAATGCCAGCCAAGGTTCCAGCTGGAAGGAAAAATAAGTGCACAGGCACTAAGATGAAAATAATCTTGGCATATTTGAAGTGCTCCATGAAGGCTGGTGCTGGTGGATCAGTAAATAGACCTGGACAGGGGGAAGGAAGCATAGCAGGGAATATGTTGGATTACACAGATACTTGTAGAGCATTGATTGCAAAGATTGTTGATTTTACCCTGAATGAGATGGGTGTTTAACATAAGGTTTCAAGAGAAGTGACATGAGCTGACTTCCATTTCACAACAGTTACTCTGGTTGCTATGTGGAAAACAGAATGATGGTATGCAGGGCAGAAGCAGGGACACCACTTTGGAATCTATTGTAGAGATCTAAGTGAGAAATTTGGGGAGTTTGGATCAGCCCTGCACTTGTGAACATCATAAGTAGTCTAATTGTGATATATGATTAAGAGTTAAGCCAACAGAAGAACTTAAAGATTTTAGGGTGCTGATATCATCAAGATACTGTGCAACAAACTTACATGGTTAACAGTAAATTCAAGGTGATTATTATAATAACCCAGGAACAAAGTGTTGAACTTTTAAAATTTTGGAATAAGAAGAAAATGATAGATGTTAAATATTACAAACTAAGAAAGGTGTCATGTACCAACAATGTAGAGAGAGAGGGAAAGGAAAGATATAACAAACTGACAGGAAGTGAAAGAGTAAGAGTGAGGAAGAAAAAGTAAATCAAATAGCCTTTCATTTTCTTTAAAATACGTACAATAACAACCACGAAGTCCAGCCTGTACCAGCCATTAGAGAAATAGGCCTTAAAACCATATGCCATCCATTTTAGAAGCATTTCCAGAATGAAGATATAAGTAAAGATCATGTCAGCATATTCTAATAAAATTTTAATTGTCTTTCTCTGATCCATATATATATCTTCAAAAGCCTGTGGGTAAAAATAAAAAAATAAGGATTAGGTGTACAGGTAATTTCTAAAAACTCTTTTGACATAAAAGCGAACAAAATTTTGTCTCTAATAGGCATATGGTGAGCACTGTCAGAGATTGTAGGCTCCAGGGCTGGTTCACTATGCTTGTACTTATTGACATAATCTATAAGTATTATTATTTGACCCCATGCCTACGCCAGACATCATTAATTGATCCCAGAACTAGTTCTTATATAGGCTGAACCTGGCTTCATAATTGTTTTAAATAGCGATCCAAAAATCCCCTCCAAAATCAGTTAATCAAACTTAACACAAGAGTCAAAACCTTTAGTCACATCTGACATGGATCTTATATGTAATTCCAGGTAGCCAACTCACAGATATATGCCACTTACTCATAGAGAAACAGATATGTTTTTAAAATGTCTTTAGAAATCCATAAGGCTATCAGGTAAACCAGTTGAAATGCTGACGATTAATTAAAACTATAACTGTTTCTCCAAAGCTTCTCAGTTTTAATGTCAACCTTAATTTGACTATGGAATATGTAAAGTCTAATCATGTCATTGAAAGCAATTTCATAAATATTTTAGCACTGAAAACAGGCAGGCAGGCTTTCAATATCAATATACATAAGAGGACAAAAAGCAAGCAAGGATTAAAATAATCTCATATAAAGAATGATGTGATTCTTAAAACCTACTGTTAAATGGAAGTAAATACAAAATAACAATAGATTTTATGACTTTTAATTGAACAAATTACTGTGTAAATGAGTCCATAAAGATTATAAAGTTCTTAAAAATTTTATTTTGTTACATGTATTTATTTTTCAATTATTCAGGTACATAATGCAAAATATAATAAAAAGATGTTCAAAAGCCTCCACTTCAATTAGCATGGGTAGAGTAGATTTTACCAGACCAATGATCCTGCTGCAAAGAACCAGAAAAACAGTACGAAGTTTAAAAAGCATTTGTTTTTAAAGGCATCACAGAGCTGCTGTATCAACAAAGAGCAGATGGGCCCTAATTGTAGAAAGGAGAAGGTCAAGAATATGTTCAGAACAAAAAGATTTAACATGTAAATTCTAATAAAAATAAAGCTAGTAACAAATTAGGCAAGATACGTAACTTAGGATAGTTCATAATAATAGAGGGATCAGTACTATAAGTATACATCTGTATGTCCAAAATAATGGGTCATCAAAATATATAAGGCAAAACTGATGACACCAAAAGAAGATTTAGAAAAAAAAGCAATCATAGTGGGATGATTTAACACATTATATCTATAGCCAACCAAAGAAAAACATCTTTGCTAGATCACTAAGGCTCCCATCGTAGATGGGAACGATGGAAATCACAAACTATAATTGCACCCAGCTACATCATTTGACACATGCTTTTCAAGTACATGTTGAACACTGTAGTAGATGCTGGAGTTGCCCACCAAGAATTCCCTTACTGGCATACCTAACTATTCCACAGCAACCGAGTGTTGCTTGATAACACACAACTGAAGCCCTTCTGGAGAACTGCCTCTGCTAAACAAGAGCCACCCCGCCTGAGAGGCAATGTTTCCACTCCTAGAGGGACCCAGCACAATCAACGGCTGAGTGGAATAGAGATATAAATGCCAGCTCCCTTTTGTCACTCAAGGTGAAATTGCGCGGTGCAGTCTGGGCTCCAGAGCCTCCCCACAAGATCAAGCTGAATTGAGTCTTTCTTGAGGATTATGAAGAGGCCTACAATAGGGTAGGTGTCTTTTAAAAACTCTCTTTAAGGTCTACCTCTACCTCCTCTCTTGGCCACCTGATGCATAAATAGAGACAACTCTCTTCATACAGTGGCCTGGGAAGTACTAAGACTGCTAAGGAAGGAGAAGGATTGTATACCAGAAAACCTGGTACCTATGCAAGACCTAGAAACATGTACTAGCAGGAAATGGAGGAGCTTTCCTGGTAGTGTATCTAGAGAGGGCTGCTTATTAGTTTCCTATTGTGACTGTAACAGATTACCACAAATTTAGAAGCTTAAAAACAACACAACTCTATATACTCTCATTCTTGATGTCAGAAATCACTGGGCTAAAATCGAGGTGATGAGAAGGCTAGTTCCTTTTGGTGGCTCTGAGGGGTCTCAGTTCCTTCCTTTTTCAGCTTCTAGTGACTACTTATACACTTTGGCCTGTGGTGCATTCTTCTGTCTTCAAAGGATGACACCCGAATCTCTGCTTCTATCCTCACATCACCTTCTTTTCTGACACCAACTCCTCCAGCATCTCTTTTGCCCGAACCATTGTGATTATATTAGGCTCAGCTAGATAATTCAGGATAATCTCCCTGTCTCAAGATCTTTAACTTGATCAGATCTGTGATGACCCTTTGCCATATAAGTTAATATTCAAAGGTTCTGGGGATTATGTCATGGACATATTTGAGGACCATTTATCAGCCTACAGGCTGGATCAAAGGGGATAGAATGTGAAGCTGGATAAAAGGAATAATGTGTTGACATGGGGGTCACAGTTAACTCCAGCACCACAGGAGTTAACATCATATTGATTCATTATATTGATGATATCATGTTAATCAGACCTGATGAACAAGAAATGGTAAGTTCTCTAGATGCTTTAGAGAGACATATGTGCCTCCTACTCTAAGAAAGAGATACAACGCCTGGTAGACCTCTTTAGGATTTGAAAGCAAAATTTCACACTTGGGAATATTGATCCAAAGACGCATTATCAGGTGATGCAGAAGATTGCTATTTTTCAGTAGAATCTGATGCAACAAAAGATACTAAAATAGGTTGACTATATTCTAAGCAGCCTTTCCATTTGAGCCATGTGAAGATCCATGATGCTAGCAGAATCTGTGATGGAGAAAGGCGTAGTATGGAGTATCTGGCAAGCCCCCTAGCGGGTATTTGTGTTTCCCATTCTCTCAACCTTAGGATAGGTGGACTCTGGGGTCTTTGCTCCCAGAATAGGGCATTAGGAGACATAGTATGTCTCCTACTAAAATTCAAGCTTAGATGTCATTTGCTTAATTTTTGATTTCTTGTACCAGTCAACTAGTAAGAAAGAAAGAAGTTACCATACCAGCAAGGATAATTGACTCTGATCATTATGAGGAAGTGGGATGCTGTAACAAAATGAGAGGAAGAAGAAATACAAAAGTAACACACAGTTTGAATCTATTTTTATTAAGTCTGAAATGGATAAAACTAATCTATGGCAGTTGAAGTCCACATGCTGGCTACCCTTGTGGAGTAGGGAAGTAACTGAGGGGTAAGAGTGTTGTTCTGGCATCCTGGTAAATGTTCTGTTTCTCAATCTAAGTCACAAACGTGCATTCACATTGTGAAAATCATTCCTGCTGCACACCCATGGAGAGTTTTCAATATGTGTGGTAAATAACACAAAATTTATTTAAAAATATAGGCAGTGCAAAGTCCAGTTCACAACCATGACTCCATCTTCTGTGTTCTGTGCACCTCACAGTTAACTAGATCTTGTATGTAAGAATTCTCCTTAAAAGATCTCTGATCTTCTTTAATCAAATACAAACAAATACCAATATACATTCTATTTTTATTCCTTTCCTATATAAAAGGCAGAGTGCCATACACTTTATTCTACACCGTTCTTTTTCCACTTATTACTACATCTTGATGAATTGTAAATATGCACATAGCTTCTGAATTTTTAAAATAGCTGCACAGAGTTCCATTGGATGATTTTTCATAGTATAAAGTCAGCTATTACAGACCTTCTTTTCTAACCCTTTGCTATTATTACAAAACATTCTTCAGTGAATTACCTTGTAGAACCATTTAATGTGCAGATATTTGTAGAATATTTTTAGAATTAAGATTCTGAGCGCAGAGTTAAGATTGTAGGGTCAAATACATTTGTAGTTCACAGACCCTTTAAAGCATATGCAATAGTTCCCTTTCCTTTGATAGGTACCAAAGTACAAGCATATTATAGCAGTTTTGGATGTGCAAATCATTAAAATGTTTCATACATGAAAATTCATTAAAATCAGAAGAATCCGGTATCTATTCACATTCCATTTCCCACTGTCACTCATATATTTTGGAATTCAATATTGCAAAATAATATATTAAAAATCAATATTAAATTTAATATTGAATGATGCATATATAAACTTTCTAAGAAAGTATATTATTTAGATTTTAAATCACAGATTATGAAATTTGGTGCTATTTGGTGCTATACTAAATATCCTTGGAAATGTAATCCTGGTTTTGACTTTCTGAATTAACAGAATCATGATACATTTGTCCCCAGCAAAGTATCAAACACCCTGGCTGCCCACTTACCAGAGTGCCAGTGCTGAGCAGAGTAACAAGCCCAATAAAACACTTAAACCAATTGTTCTCTACAATCTTGCAGCAGGTTTTCCTGATGTTCTGCCAGATTTTTCCTTTCTTGGATGCTCCACTGATTTGACCAAGTGAAGATCCGCGTCTGCAACCTGTCAAGATTGAATTGGTAAGAACAACAATCTAGAAAACTCATGAAAAAGTAAACAACTGAAACTTTCTACTATGTGCCACAGCAATTATTTATTTACAAATTCTAATCCAGGTTGTCTCTGATTTATAAACATTTAATTTTTACCCATGGTGTAGTGACCACTGTAATCCCTGAGCAGGAAAAGGAAAACTGGACTTAGGAGTTCGGTAGTAATGAAAGAAAGGCATTGTGAAAGGCAGAAATGACCTACAACATGTTGTCACTCTGCAAAACAGTCTGAGAATAGGTATTCACTAATAGCACAAAAGAAAATACACACAAATATCTCATTTCTGAATGTTACATTTTGATATAATGCCTGAAAATTTACTCTTTGAAGATTCACATGGTATAACATGCATTCCTGTTTAAAAATATAAATACTTATGAGATGTTAAGAGGCATAAAATTAGTTAAATCAAATTAATTGCTTTGATTCCAGTTCTTAGGTGGCATGAAAATGGGAATTTTTATTGAGACTATTACGGAAGTAACATGGACTGTGGAGTACTTTGTGGGTAGAGTACATGTGTACGGGGCTGCACTCTGCGCTCTGGCCAAAAGGGTTAGCAAAATGGAAACCTGAGGCTGGAGAAGAGGTTGATATACAGGTGACAAAACAAAGAAATGGAGGTAGGTGGAGTTTAAAGCCAAAACATTTTATTTTGGAATTTTGTCTTGTGTTAAATTATACTATGAGTAGTATTGTGGCAGTGGAATATTATTAATAATGGTGATTCCAAAACACATTTTTCATGCTGTGAGTAATATTGGGTAAAGATACATAATGTTCATATTTGATTTTATACTAGTAGCTATACCACTGTGTGCTTTAGAACAGAGCACAATTTAGGAGTAAAACAGAAAATCAGTATAGTTAAAGCAGCACTGAGATGTTTGTGTATACACATACACATGCACACATATACCTATATATGTTGAAGTCAAATGAAGTGTTCTTAGATCTCATGAAATAGGGCCAATATTTAAGTTACTCATATAAAAATGGCCTATAACTGTCAGAGGAAAACAAGTTGTAATGGTGACACTTGTACATTTAACATGAATATTAAGAAATGTATAAAGATTCAGTCAATTGACTGACATACTGGATATGGAACATATACATTTTGACAACTTATAATTCAAATTAGTTTCCTAGCAAGATTAACAAAATTTTCTTACCATTTTTCAGATGCTTTGATCTTTCACCTCCATAGAACATTTCTTCTTCTTCAGAGATAGCAATATCAACAGTACTGCATTCAGATGAGCTAGATTGCTTTATTTTCTAAAAGGTGAAGTCCCACCAAAAAAGTTGTGATTAAAGTTTCATTTACCCATGGTGGCCAAAGTTTATTTCATTTTCAGAAGTAAGAAAAATTTTGTACAGAAATAATATTATTAGGTTTAAAAGACTTAAGGCCAATTTCATGACTGAGATTAAAATGCGTACATATTGGTAAGAGTTGAAGTTTAAAAAAATATTGTATGATACTTACTTTAAGCTAAAATAACATTTAGATTAAAATTCATGTTTAGTTTATAACACTTTGCTTCTTAAAGATGTATAGGCTGTCTCCAATTCACAAAAGGATTGGGGTTCCAAAGTTTTCTTGGAGTAAGTCACAAGTTTCCCATATATGCTATTTCAATTAGATGAGTAGAATCAGAACAAATCATCCCTTGATGCTAAAGATGGGTAGATAATAGTGCACCTAGGTTTCATTGTAAAATTCAGTCCAGATGGTCTTATGTATGTCATCACAGGATGGGATTTATCATGAAGTAAAATGAGGGAAAGGCACAAGAAATAGGGACAAGAACAGGCCTGGGAAAGGGGCACAGCCTTATGAAAAGCACCCAGATGCAGAATTGACCTTCTTTCTAACTCTGCTTTTGACTGAAGTTCAAGGCTGGGTAGAATAAGGTGGTCATTGCTTTACATAGGTAATAGTGCTAATGATACTCTTTGCCTTTATTTAAAATTATTTTCTCACAATACTTTATTTTACCTTATTTTAAAATAAGGATACCGTAAATCATTCTTTAAAATCACCAAGATCTAAGGTTAATAGCATATAAGTAATATTTTCTAATTAAAACAAAAATTAAGGCAAGCGCATTTTAACATTTGGAATGAAACCAATCTTATTTCATAAAAATTAAGAAAAAAATCTAGGTAGACGGCCAAAAAACCAGAGAAATTGTCAATATTTTGTCCTACCTCTTAGACTTATACACAGTAAGTGTCAAGGAAATATAATTAGAAAGCTTTTTTTGCTTTAGTTCTTACGTGGTCAGTTGTCAGTAAATCATTATAGTGCTCAAATAAAAAAAGTAAAGTATCCAGCAGAATATTATTCTTACACAGATATTTTTATTTCCATTACTTTTATATATTCTTTATTTATTTCTAATGAAATAAAATCTGTAGCAATATATTTATTTGAGACTAGGCATTAAGTAATTTAAACATAATATTTGACAGTAATTAAAATTATACATCATAAATTTATATTTTTAAAGAGTTGTAAAAAGCCTTGTACATATCCTATTTGATGTGATTTTTCCAAAATACCGGTGAGTAGGTATTTTTCTAATTTTACAAATAAATCAATTAAGACTCAAATTATAAATCATTTATTTTGATAAAAGATTATTTAATGGCATAAAGTGACCATGATATACTTCTGCATTACAAAAAATACAAGTTACAAAACACGATGTAAATTTTGATGTTATTTTTATAATATGTAAATATATATGCATATTTTTAATAAAAATAGGCTGGAAGTACAAATAGCAAAGAAACAAGACAGTGTATCTCTGAATTATCAGATCATTTATAATATTTTTGTGTTTTATTTTTGGCTGTGGGTATATCAATATCCTAAGTAGTCATGGGCTACATAATCTAGAAAGCATCTAACTAAATATGTAACTAAATATATAAATAAATGAATACATCTTTTGTGAGTAGTTAATCAACCAGCAAGACCAAATAACTATGCAGCATAAATAAAAACTGCAATTTCAATATTTACAGTTATTTTAAGTTACAGCTTTCCTATGTATTTTCATACTCCAGAATTTCTAAGGAGATTAGCATGAAGTTTTCAGGGACACTCCAACATGCTGTGCTGTGGTAAATAGCAATTTCACCCAGAAATGGATAGTAATCCAAATCTTTAACGAAGATTGAGAAGTGTGCTGAGTAAGAATTTATGCCTGTTTTATAGCAATGGTATTAATTTAAAAGGTAAATGAATCTTAGACTATTGGGCATGTGGATTAAAAATGTCTCTCTAACTAAAATAAAGATGGCTTTAGTAGGTGATGGAAGGACCTTGGATAATTGAAACTGAATTCCTCTTAGAAGACAATTTGTGAAGTTATTGTAGAGAGCATCTGCCAAAACAGAAGAGGTCTGGGAGACAAGATGGTGCCACAGATGATGGGGACCTGTAAAGACACATTCCCCGACCCTCCAGTGCCCCTGAGTGATCTGAAATGATTCCCTAGTGGGGTCCAAGGTAAAAAGCCCTTGTGCAGATGTGATCTCTGTAGGTGTAGCTTTCTATGAAGTTACACCTCCTTCTAAAACACAAGCTGCTTGCAAATGGAGACAATAAGACTGTTTCCAGTAGGGTGTATATTTTAGAAGCTAAGTGAACAGCAGTATCTACCCTTCTTTGAATGCGACTCTGATTTTTTTTTAAAGCCAGTGCGTTATAAAGCTACCAACTGTTCAAAATTCAAACTGGGAGGTTTTAAAAATTCCTTTAGTCCAACTTAATTATAATGTCCAAATATGGGCAGAAATGATCTGATTCAAATCTTAGAATTTTAGCAAGCAAGAAGGAATTGTAGCACTCTTCTAATTCAATCTCCCATTTTAAGATTATAAAGCCCATGGAAATTTAGTGATTTGTTAAATCATACACCTTGATTTAGAAAACTTTGGTTTCCTCAGTATACTTTTCAGCACCCTCAAACTGCCTGGTTATTAATTTATAGAATGTCACAATTATATCATCTAATGTTTCCTAAGTGCTTACTCTTTACTAGGTATTGTTCTATGCACTATTACCTCCCCCCCTCCATGGACTAAATACCATTTTAGCCTCATTTAAATATGAGAAAACTGAAGCTTGGAAAGTTTAAGTAATTTGATCAAAAGCATAAAGTCAGAGGCTAAGAGTGATGGAGCTAGGAGTGATGGAGTTAGAATTGAGTGGATAATCTGGCTGTGGAACTTCGGCGCTGATTTACTTCCTTATCAACAATACTATAAATCACCACTAAGCAATCAGGATATTTAAACATCTTACCTCTTTGCTGCCTCCATCACCAGACTTACTCTGAATCTCCTTATTATCCAGATTTTCTATATCAGATTCTCCTGAAGCAATTGGTACAGTTTCTGAGACACTAGGACTGGGGATAAGTGATTGGCTCTCATTTTCAGTAGCGTTTTTCTCTGTGCCACTGCTTTTTTCCTTATCTTTGAGAAAATCTTGGGTGTTGCTCAATTCAGAAAGGGTATGGTCAGAAATATCTTCTTTAACATATACCTCATTTACATGGTCCATTGTGTCCTTTGGGACATTTTGTGTTTTGCATAGTATTTTAAGAAGCACATAGTTTATTCCTTTTTTAATTCTTGCCACTGCAAGCTGGAGATTTTTTGCTTCATTATTCTCTTCAGCTGTTACATCCTTGCATGAACTAAATGAGCTCACCAATGCCAGAAACAGGTAAAGTACCTAAATAAGGAAGTAAAATGAGGCTAAATGTATCTCATTTTGTTTCATTTTAAGTAATGAAAAGTTTGTTTACAAAACTGATGAGAACATTTAATATCTACTCTGTTAGCATTTTTCAAGAATACAATATATTGTAATTAATAACTGTAGTCACCATGCTGTACAATGCATCTTTTGAACTTATTCTTCCTATTTAACTGTAATTATGTGTCCTTTGATCAACAGCTCCTCAATCTCCACTTTCCCCTAACCACCCCAGCTTCTGGTAACCATCATTCTGCTCTCTACTTCCAGAGTGTGAAAGAACACTTAACCCATTTATGCCTAGTGTTCCATTATTGGAAGGCTAAGCTTGTGGGAGTTATTTATATCCTACTGCTCAAGGTCATCGCCAAGGTCGACTTTTCACACAAAAATTGCAACTTCTGGCATAAATGGGTTAAGTGTTCTCACCATAAAAATGATAACCATGTGAAGTAATGCATTTGTTAATTAGCTATATTTAGCCATTCCACAATGTATGTCTACTTCAAAACATTACCTTGTACACCATAAATACATACAATTTTATACATTAACTTAAAAAATAAATTTGACTAAAAAAGGCTGACCTGAGATTTGAAAATGAAGCATATGAACTACAATACTATTCAGTTCTTATCCACCTACCACAGTGTGTCAGGTGCTGTGCTAGGGATTTGTATAGCAAGAATTTATTTTAAGCTCATGACATCCTATGCAATATGATTTGTTTCTCTTTTACAGATGAAAAAGGCAAGGTTTACAGATGTCAAATATCAAACGATCAAAGGTTACATAGATTAGACCCAAGTCTGCTTTATTCCAAAGCTTATTTTCTCACTGAGTCAAGCTGTCTCACCCAAGGTGAGCAAATAAGTTGTTTTTCCAGGCAGCTCACTTCCCTTCAGCCCTGTTCCAGGAAAACATGTAAGAATTCTGCAAACCCAGGAAGAATTATATGGGGAAAGAGCTACCCAGGGTCCTGCATACCATATCTAATGGCTTTTGTGGGATGAAAACACAGATGCTAGGAAGGTTAGTTGATTATCTGCTGTAGTAAATTTGGTCAAATAAGAAACAGATGAGTGATGGAAGACTCATTCCTAACACTTGTAACTTATTTTTAACTCAAAGATAGTGTATATTTTGACTTTTACTATCACTTAGAAGTATGATCAAGTACTGATCACTTTCCAGAGAATCAGATTTTAAACTTGTTTATAATTGTAAGGCATATATTATAGTTTTGGATAATTAGGCTGACTATTTGTGTGTACATAAAATAAGTATGTGAGCATCTCCAAAGACTCATATTTTGAAACTTTTTTCAAAATTTTAGATCTATGTGAACAGTTGAGTTTCTCAAACACTCCAATAATTACTCTTTTTCTCATGGACATGCACATCTGGGATAATAGTGTTTAATCCTAATGGGTTACATTTACTTCTCTCTATCTAGATCTTCCTATTTCTTAGGAATACAGAAGGTTCAAATAAAACTTGTATAGAAAAATCAAAGTATTTTTCAGTGAATAAAGTCATCAAATAGATAATCTTATCCATAGTTTTAGCATAGCAATAAAATTTTGGTTATAAGATATATCAATATGGGAAATGTTTTGTGGGTGAGAGCATCTGAAAAACTGGCAAATATCTTTTATAATCCACAATGAAAGATTCTCAGAAGAGAAAAATTAAAACAGAAAGGACAATGATCAAATGCTAATAGCTTCAGAAATAAAGAAATAAAGCAGACTTAGGTCTAATCTATGTAACCTTTGATCCTTTCTGTTCTCCCACTAGCGTCTCCTTTGGCAATGAGGTTTACTTATAGATAATCTAGGCAGGACCTCCATGGCTCCCATAGGAGCCACACTATTAGCAACTCTATGATTCTCAAAGGACAACAGTTTCCTGATATAAGATGGTGAGACCAGATATAATTTAAGATAGTCAGTTGTTTCCTTTTCTTCTATTGTTTGGCTAAGTATTAGGCACAGTGTGAAATAACAGAAGGCTGTTAGTGTGTTTCATGACTGTAAGCTTCATATGAACAAAAACCATGTTTTCTCTTAATTAGACAACCAGCACACTGCTAGGCACAAAATAGGTAATAAACAAATATTTATTTTAAAAAATAATTGATTATAGAAAGAATAAAAAATAGATTTTGTGCTAGGATTTGAACAAGAAAAAGTTTATGCTATATTAATCATATTTTAAGGAAATTACATCAAAGATTTCTTATATCTTAGACATACATGCACACAAATATACACACATACATTCATATATCTATATATATATAGTGAAAATGTTCAAAGCCTAAAAATGAACGTAATCTTAAAAGTGCTAAGTGCTCTGAAACTGTAGTATAAGATAAGAATTTTATAACACTAAGAAATGCTACTGCTTTGTTCAGATGTGGTCTGAATTAAAAATAGCCTACTCTCTTTAAGGATTTAAAGGAAAAGACAGGCTGTGTAAGTGGCGCAAGTTACAGAGAACTGATTACTACTTCTAATTTGAGCATTAACAAAAAAGAGAGCAGAAAATGCAGAGATTTGTATTATATAAACTCAGAGTAACTTTATTCTAGTCACAGAATCTGTAACCAGATTAAAAACATATATTTATTATTTTTGCGTTGAGAGAAAAGGTGAAATAGTGTGTATAAAACAAAACTTTTTAAAAAATTCCCCTGAATTTTGTTTTCTTGCCCCTCAAAGATATCCACATATTGAGTGAGAATTGAGCAACTCATAGCAAAATCAAGCAGCATGAAAGAGGAAGAAAGTTCAAGATTTAAGTAAGTACTTTCTGATTTGTAATCAACAAATAAACAGGTATGAAGGAATTTAACATGTATTGAGGCTATTTAATTTTAAATTTCTTGAGTTACATCTTAACATATATTTAATTTGGGATTATACAAATATATATGGAATAACATATGTGTCTATGATCATATTTTTTATTTTTAAAAGGCAACTGAATTTTGTATTAAGTTTTCTCTTTCTTTTATTTTCATGTTTCTATCCCTCAGTGTTTGGTTTATGTAACCAGTCAGGTACTATATTTCACTTGGTGACAATTACCTAAATCACAAGTAAAACACCAGGAATGAAATTAAAATTTGCTAACTAAAACTTGTTAATAATATTAAATAACTAAGAAAAATCTGGTAAAGATATAGGGGTTAAATTTTTCTGCAGTGTAAAGAAATGATTTATGTAATATATGAATTACTTATAGGGTGCTAAATGATTACATTTAAGTTATAATAACCCTATAAGGCAAGTATTGTTATGTTCATTCCTCCATTAAGTATGGTCAGGTTCAAAGAGGCTGCGTAATATGCACAAAGACACTTATTTATTAAGTGATTGAAATGGTTTGTCTTTGCTCCCATCCAAATCTCATCTTGAATTGTAGTTCTCATAATCCCCACATGTTGTGGGAGGGAATCGGTGGGAGGTAACTGAATCATGGGGGCAGTTACCTTCATGCTGTTCTCATGGTAGTGAGTTAATTCTCACAAGATCTGATGGTTTTATAAGGGGCTTACCCCACCTTCACTCTGCACTTCTCCTTGCTGCTGCAATGTGAAGGACATGCCTGCTTCCTCTTCCACCGTGATTGTAAGTTTCCTGAGGCCTCCCAAGCCCTGTGGAACCGTGAGTCAGTTAAACCTCTTTCTTTTGTAAATTATCCAGCCTTGGTTACACCCTTATTAGCATCATGACAATGGACTAATACAGTAAATTGATACTGCAGAGAATGGGGCACTGCTGTAAAGATATCCAAAAATGTGGAAGTGACTTTGGAGCTGGGTAACAGGCAGATGTTGGAACAGTTTGGAGGGCTCAGAAGAAGACAGCAAGATGTGGGAAGTTTGGAACTTCCTAGAGACTTGTTGAATGGTCTTAACAAAATGCTGATAGTGATATGGACAATAAAGTTCAGGCTGAGGTGGTCTCAGATGGATATGAGGAACTTGTTGAGAACTGGAGCAAAAGTGACTCCTTTAGCTGTGCTTTAGCAAAGAGACTGGTGGCTTTCTGCCCTTTCCCTAGAGATCTGTGGAACTTTGAACTTGAGAGAGATGATTTCGGGTATCTGGCAGAAGAAATTTCTAAGTGGCAAAGTGTTCAAGAAGCAGAGCATAAAAATTTGTAAAATTTGCAGCCTGATGATGCAGTAGAAAAGAAAAACCAATTTTCTGGAGAGAAATTCAAGCTGGCTGCATAAATTTGCACAAGTAATGAGGAGCCAAATATTAATCACCAAGGCAATGGGGATAATGTCTCCAGGGCATGTCAGAGACCTTGGCAGCAGCCCCTCTCATAACAGGGCATAGGCCTAGGAGGAAAAAATGGTTTTGGAGTCTGGGCCCAGGGTCCCCCTGCTGTGTGCAGCCTAGGGACCTGGTGCCCAGTGTCCCAGCTGTCCCAGCTGTGGCCAAAAGGGGCCAAGGTATAGCTTAGGCCATCACTTCGGAGTGTGCAAGCCCCAAGCCTGAGCAACTTCCATGTGGTGTTGAGCCTGCTGGTGCAAAGAAGTCAAGAACTGAGATTTGGGAATCTCCACCAAGATTACAGAGGATGTATGGAAATGCCTGGATGTCCAGGCAGAAGTTTGCTACAGGGGCAGAGCTCTCATGGAGAACCTCTGCTATGGCAGTGTGGAAAAGAAATGTAGGGTTGGAGCCCCCACACAGAGTCCCCACTGGGGCACTGCCTAGTGGAGCTGTGAGAAGAGGGTCACTGTCCTCCAGACCCCATAATGGTAGACACACTGACAGCCTGCACTGCACCTGGAAAAGCCATAGGCACTTAACACCGGCCTGTGAAGGCAGCTGGGATCGGGGCTGTACCCTACAAAGACACAGGGATGGAGCTATCCAAGGCCATGGGAACCCACCTCTTCCATCAGCATGCCCTGGATGTGAGGCATAGAGTAAAAGGAGATCATTTTGGAACTTTAAGGTTTAGTGACTGCCCTATTGGATTTCAGACTTGCATGGTGGCTGTACCCCTTTGTTTTTGTCAGTGTCTCCCATTTGGAATGGGTGTGTTTATCCAATGCCTTACCCACATTGTATCTAGTAAGTAACTTACTTGCTTTTGATTTTACAGGCTCATAGGTGGAAGGGACTTATCTCAGATGAGACTTTGGACTTGGACTTTTAAGTTAATGCTGGGATGAATTAAGACTTTGGGGGACTTTTGGAAAGGCACGATAGTGTTTTGAAATGTGAGGATATGAGATTTGGGAAGGGCCAGGGGTGGAATGATATTGCTTGGCTGTGTCTCCACCCAAATCTCATCTTGAATTGTAGTTTCCATAATCCTCATGTGTTATGGGAGGGACTTGGTGGGAAGTAATTGAATCATGATGATGGTTACCTCCATGCTATTCTCATGATAGTGAGTGAGTTCTCAGAAGATCTGATGGTTTTATAAGGGGCTTTCCCCTGCTTCACTATGCACTTCTCCTTGCTGCCATCATGTGAAGAAGAGCATGCCTGCTTCCCCTTCTGCCATGATTGTAAGTTTCCTGAGGTCTTCACCCTATGTAAATGTGAGTCAATTAAACCTCTTTACTTTATAAATTATCCAGTGTCAGGTATGTCTTTATTAGCAGCATGAGAGTGGACTAATACAGTGATAGAACTGAAATTTGAACCTATGTTTCTTTGATTCTGAACTCTGCTTTTTCTACAACTCAACAAGACAGAACTATTTAAAAACCAATTCATTTCCTTTGACATATAATAATTTTTTGTAAGGTTTCTGCTTAAGGCTTAATATCACTGCTGAGTTTTCTTAGAAGAGTAAGACAAAATTAATTTTTTAAAATGTGAAATGTCTTCCTTTTACACCAACCCACATTAGAAGTGTGGAGGTTAAAAAGATCAACAGCTTCAAAGATTATCTCCTTACATTTTTCCCCCTTCTACTTATTCTACTGCCATTATCATGATGTTTCACAGTTGGATGACTGCTGAGGAAAATTAAGCTGGAAGGATTTAGTGAGCCAAGAAATATGATGGCCAATGAATTGGAAATGGAGGTTCATGTAACTCCATTTATCCTAGAATCCCTCTGCACATTGATGAAGTTTCTGGTTAGTAGAAACAACAAAAAATAGAAAGAGATTGGAGTTCAAAATCAAAGAAGCAGGAATGTTTAGGCAAATATATATATATATATTTATATGTTATATCATACATATATGTATATATACATACACACACATACATATATGTGTGTGTGTGTGTATATATATATATATATATATATAGCCTCAGTATTTCTGCTTCTTTCTCTTTGAATTATGTGAATGTGTGTGTTGTTGTTGCTTTCCTCAACAGCCATAACTCTTCCTTTTGGAAACAGAAACATAAAATTTATTTAGGAAATTACACTTATCCTCTTATTAGTCATAGGATTTGTGTTTGATCTTATCCCATCTCCAGCTGTAAGAGAGAGCTATGAACAGTTTAACATAATAAATGCATTCCACACCCTGGGCAATGGAGATTAGTTAAGAATGGGCATGTGATTCAGCTAATGAGATAATAGGAAAAATCAACTGTGGCTTCTAGAAAAGAAATTCTTTCCTCTATTAGACTTGATATAATACAAAGATATGAGGCTTTAGACTGCAGCAGCCATCTTGATAAAACAGAAGATACTAGCTAGCAAAGAGCACAGAGAAAAACAGAATTGAGATCTACAAAGACCTCTCTGTAATGATCCCATTTAATCATTTGTGTCACATCCAAACTGAAGCAAGATCTATCTCTGATATTTTGAGTTATGAGTTATGTATGCTGATATATATGATCATTTTTTTGTTTCAGCCAGTTAGAGTGGTGTTTTTTATCACTGGGAATGAAAAGTGTACTACTGTAACTACAAAGGGCAGAAGATATTGAAGTATTTTTTACATGTTGGGCACCGTTCTAGGTTTTGTAATAAAGAGGAGAGCTATGGTCCTTTCCCTCATGGTGCTTACAGTTTAATAAAGAAGATAGAGAAGTACACTAACAATTAAATACAATGCCAATGTGATAATTGTATGACAAGGGTCTTCTCAAGGTGAAACACAAGCAATGTGGACAGGTAAAATTGAGTCTAACCTGCGATTTTTTTTCAGTCTTTTGGGAAATGTACTTGATCTTTATGACATGAGTAAAAAGAAAATACCAAGTCTTGTATTCCTGTAAGAATCATGTTTTAATAAGCCATACCTTTTCCATAGATGCAGTGAAAGCTACTTATTTAATTCATTAGAACCACTTCAGTTATTAGGAAACTTATAAGTGAAAGCTTTCTCTCTTAGTTAATGCATAACATTTTTATAGACCAGGGGTTTTCAATCTTGACTACACAATTTAATCAACTGAAGATTTTCAAAAAATCCTGATGACCAGGTCATGTCCACATACCAATAAAATCAGAATCTCTAAGAATGGATTCTAGGCATCAGCATATTTTTATTAATTCCCCAGGTAATTCCAAAGCCAGGAAAAGACTGACAGCAGTGTTACATTTAAGTGCTTCTTAAAATTTAATGGGCACACAAATCACCTGGGAACAGTGTTACAATGTAGATTACGCTTGCATAGGTCTGGGATTGGGGTCTGGGAGTCTGCATTTCTAACCACCTCCCACGTGATGCCAATATTACATTGAGTAACAAGGTTAGAAGCTAGTGCTATCTAATGGAAATATGATGCAATCATATATGCGATTTTACATTTCCAGTGGCCACATAGAAAGCACAGAAAAACAGGCAAAATTAATTTTACTAATACATTTTATTTAACAAATATATTTAGTTAAATACAATATACAATTTGTATACAATAAATACAAACATTTATATTTAACTAAATATATATTTAACTAAATACAAATAAATAAAGGGAGACTATTGTATTTGTATTTAACAGTATTTGTATTTAGTTAAATACAAATACAGTAGTCCCCCTTAATCCAGGGCAGATAAATCCCAAGACCCCCAGTGGATGCCAGAAGCAGAGGATGGTACCAAACCCCATGCGTACTACATGATCTGACAGCCCAGACAGCTGCTAAAGGACCAATAGGTGGTGTATACAGCATGAATATGCTAGACAAAGGGATGTTTCATGCCCAGAGCAGGACAGAGTGGTATGGCAGGAGATTCCATTACACTACCCAGAATGACATGCAATTTAAAACTTATGAGTTTTATATTTCTGGAATTTTCCACTGGATGTTTTCAGACCATGGCTGACCACAGGCAACTGAAACCACATACAGTGCAACTGAGCATAAGGAGGACCTACTATATTATCATTAAAAAATGCATTCAATATAAAAATTATTAATGAAATAGTTCACATCATTTTTTGTGTAAGACTTCAAATCTGGTGCATATTCTACATTTACAGCACATTTCAAATGGAACTAATCATATATCAGTTGATAATGGCCACATCTGGCTAGTGGGTTACTCTATTGGACTACCACAGTTACAGACCATTAGATCCCATCAATGCACATCATGAAAATACCAAACTACCTTATACCAGTTTTCATGGAAAATGTAAAAGAATTGACTACTTACCAGTAAATTTCCAATTAAAATGACCATCAGGTAAAAAGGAATACACCAGGATTGGCCTGCAACCTCCATACAGTCCCACAAGGTCTCTACCCACTCTCCACAGAGAATTCGGAACACATTCAGGAAGGAGTGGAAAAAGTCATGCATGTGCCAGCGTGGGAGTTGACAGTCTTTGTCTATGTGGCAGACAAATTCTTCATAATTCTTACCAAACAGCTTCATGCCGAATGCAGCAGAAAAGAAGATGAATGTGAACAACAACAGGACCAAGTCTTTCAGGGCCACCCATGAGTTACTAAGAGACCACATCAAAATCTGGAATGTTGGCCAATACTTTCCCAACTTGAAAATTCTTAACTAATAGAGCAATGTAAAATCAAGAACAAGAAACAAATGACAAAAAACTTGGTCAGTGTATATTACAAGGTACAGTGTTATACACATATACATATATAGCCTTTAGAGTTTTAAGCATTATTAACTACTGAACATTCATTTTGTGACAAATTCTTAATACATCTTAAATATCCTATAATTTTGTATACTCAGTCTATACATATCCTCTTCTACTGATGTATTTGCCAATTCCCATTAAGCATTATACTGTTACAATTCCTCTAGCTTTATATTTTATTAACTGTTAGGGCAAGTATCCATTCTTTGTTTTTGCTTTTCAAAATATATTGAATATTTTTCCACATTTTTCCTATACGTTGACATGAAAATGATATTGAAAGTCTTTCAGGATCCAGTGGATTCTGATGAAGGTACTATCATGTATTTCCCTTTTAAAATAACATGTCAAAGACCAAACACAACATTCTAGGTTTATATTGAATAGTCCCCTTCCTTTCACTAGATTTTTTCAAATTTCTGTTTATACAGAACAAGATTACCTTAATATTTTTGGTCACTGTATCACAGTAAACTTACTGTCGATTAGATCTCATACATCATTTTTATATAGGCTATACCTTCCTGACACTTTCTTTTCAATTTTTTTTTGTTTGTTTGACAGAGTCTCTCTCTGTCACCCAGACTGAGTGCAGAAGCACAATCATAGCTCACTGCAGCCTCCAACTCCTAGGCCCAAGTGATCCTCCCACCTTAGCCTCCTGAGTAGCTGACACTACAGACATGAACCACCACTGTGACTAATTTTTTATTTTTTTTTAGAATTGGAGTCTCACTATGTTGCCCAGGCTGGTTCCAAATTCCTGGCCTCACTTCTTGACTTTTTCTAGTGTTCAGCTGTCTTTCTGAACTCAACAGTGAGATCTTACATTTATCTATGAAAAAAATTAATCATCTTAAATTCAGTCTATTACTAGCCTTTAAAATATTTTGATACTATCTTTTAGCACATTTTCTGCAATTGCCAGTGTTGTTTCATCCATAAATTTGGTGACAACATCCTGTATATATTTCTCTTATTCATTAGAAAAGGTTATGGATGAGGATCTAAGACAGGATTCTGAATGAGCTGCCCTCTAGGAAGTAACCATTAGAATAAGATTAAATGGACTTAATTGTTCTTAATTCCTGCTACATTCCTTCAACCTGTCACCAGAATGTGACCATGTATAACTTATCTAAAGCATATCATTTCAATAAACAATATTCTCATAACGTTATTCCCTTGTTTAATTTTCTGAGTCTCACCATTACCCTACCCCATAGACATACACTGATTTTTACCTAATAATTATCATAATAACATTCTCCTGGTCTGACTGGTCTTCCTTTATACCTGACATTTAGAAATACTCACCTTATTTCGGCTTCTTGGTGACATATTAGAATTCTACTTTGGAGACTCCTCATTTTCTTGCTTTCCAAAATGTACTCAGTTACCCTGACCCTGCTTCCTAAAACTGTATCTCAAATTTGCTGCCTATATGGCATTATTTCTTTTAACACTGTGGTCAAATAACAGCATTGGAGACTGCTTACTCTTTCCTTGGCAATAAACTCTTTATATACTAATCAATTCATTTAATGCTCCCAATGTCCCAATGGGATAGGTATTACTGTAACCCCATTTTATGTCTGCAGACACTGAGATAAACTTTGATCAAATAAAAGTTAGGTATTGGATTCTACTTACCATCCTGAATAATCGAAGAAGAGCCATTCCTGCAACATTTGCTAGACAAAGTTCTATTAAACCATGGAACACTATCATGCTATCAAAAATGTTCCAACCTACTTGGAAATACCCATATGGATGCATTGCAATTATTTTAAAAATCATTTCTGCTGTGAAAATTCCAATGAAAACCTAAATCAAAACCAAATACATAGGTGAGAATATGATTCCAATAGCTGTATCAGAATCTTCACACACAAAATCTGTGACACACACTGTTTACTTGTCACTCTCACATTCTTCACAGCTTCTCTGTCAATATCTGGTTAGTTGTAGAGTCTGCATTGTAAGGACAGACTCATACATTTTATTTAACAATCTAATGTCAAACACTATATACAGAATCTTTTATTATTTTAATAAAATTGATCCTCGAAGAAAACAAAAGAATATTTCAGGGTGAAGCCCTTTCAATTTTGAATAGTTATTTTTGAGGTACAGAGTACATGATATGATATTTAATTTTTCATCCTCTGAGAAAACATAGCATGAACCTATGGAAGCTGTCCTTTAAAAACTGTACTGGCAGAAATCACTAAATTGCTGTTTTGGTACCAAATAAATGTATAATTTGAAACTTCTAGCAGTTTGGCTGTTTTTATTAGTACCAAGCAACTAAACAACAACAATGGTGAAAGAAAATACATTTAAACAATATACATTTGCTTGAATGTGACTTATTTTTAAACTCACAGGAATATGTTTTGTCTTTTGCATTGTATGTGAAAAAGGACTGGTGAATCTCAAAAATACCAGGCTAAAATGGTAAGTTCCAATCCTGGGCAAAGATACATGGTTAGAACAGACAGGGCCAACTGCTGTTTTAATCAGAATTAAGAATTCAGGAGTCAGGTGCCTGTTATTTCACTTCTGCCCTACTCTGATCTATGAGCTAATGGTACCAAGAGACTGTATATTTGGGAAGGGAGGGGCAATAAATAATTTCCATGTAATGTAACTGCCAAGCATCTGGCTAGGAATCCCAAATTTAAACTGGGGAATTTTAAATTCCAGCTGTAAAACTATTCAATGATAAGAACATTTAGAAAGCAGGGGTTGGAGGGATAAAGCATAAACACAATGCTTCATTCAATAATAATGCATATTGCAACATATTGGAGTTACAGAATAAAATAATGGGAATAATGATGAACAAAGAAAAGTTCAATGATAACTAAGAAACTGCAAATGAAAATAATGTACAATGAGAGTCTTACCAGGTTTCCAATGTTGAGAAGAGTGTTAGTTTGTTTACTCATTGGATAATGCTCCAAGGTCAGAAAACATACGTTTAAAATTATGCATATGATAAGGAAAAGATCAGTAAATGGTGCCATTATAATCCTATGGACAAACTCTTTCAATTTTAACCAACAGGGAGAACAATTCCAGATCAAGAAAGTTTTAGCAAACTTATACCAGTATAATGGGCATATCTTCTTGGATTTTTCAAGTTCTGAAATGAAAGAATACAAAAGTTAAACATTCTGGCCGGGTGCAGTGGCTCATGCCTGTAATCCCAGCACTTTGGGAAGCCGAGGTGGGTGAATCACTTAAGTTCAGGAGTTCGAGACCAGCCTGGTCAATATAGTGAAACTTTGTCTCTACAAAAAATACAAAAAATAGTTGGGTGTGGTGGTGGATGCCTGTAACCCCAGCTACTCGGGAGGCCGAGGGAGGAGAATTGCTTGAACCTGGGAGGCAGAGATTGCAGTGAGCTGAGATTGTGCCACTGCACTCCAGCCTGGGCAACAGAGTGAGACTCTGCCAAAAGAAAGAAGGAAAAAAGGAAGGAAGGAAGGAAGGAAAGAAGGAAGGAAGGAAGGAAGAGGGGAGGGAGGGAGGGAGGAAGGTTAAACATTCTCAAATTGTTTAAAGTTCTAACGAACTAATAGACAATTTTGACTTTTGCATGCAAAGGGAGATTTGAGGATAGAATTCTGATATGGAATTCAAAAACAGAAATACTCTATCCTAATAAAAAACTGAATGAAGGGAAACCCTCTCTTGGGCGACCCACTTTCTCAGCAGGAGCAAGCTTTCTCTCTCTCTCTCTTTTTTGTCTGTTAAACTTTCTGCTCCTTAACCCACTTCACATGTGTGTCCATGTTGCTAATCATCTCGGTGTGAGACAACTAACCACAGCCTTGCATCCCCAGGATGAAGCTGACTTGATCATGGTGGATAAGCTTTTTGACGTGCTGCTGGATTCGACAAAAACAAGCGATGGGGAAAGGATTCCCTATTTAATAAATGATGCTGGGAAAACTGGCTAGCCATATGCAGAAAACAGAAACTGGACCCCATCCTTCCACCATATACAAAAACTAACTCAAGATGGATTAAAGACTTAAATGTGAAACCTAAAACCATAAAAACCTAGAAGAAAACCTAGGCAATACGATTCAGAACATAAGCATGGGCAAAGCCTTCATGACTAAAACACCAAAAGCAATGACAACAAAAGCCAAAATTGACAAATGGGATCTAATTAAACTAAAGAGCTTCTGCACAGCAAAAGAAACTATCATCAGAGTGAACAGACAACCTACAGAATGGGAGAAAATTTTTGCAATCTATCCATCTGGCAAAGGTCTAATATCCAGAATCTTCAAGGAACTTAAATAAATTTAGAAGAAAAAACCCCATCAAAAAGTGGGCGAAGGATATGAACAGATACTTCCCAAAAGAAGACATTTGTGTGGCCAACAAACATTTGAAAAAAAGCTCATCATCACTAGTCATTATAGAAATGCAAATCAAAACCACAATGAGACACCATTTCACGCCTGTTAGAATTGTGCTCATTAAAAAGTCAGGAAACAACAGATGCAGGCAGGGATGTGGAGAAATAAGAAAGTTTTTACACTGTTGGTGGGAATGTAAATTAGCTCAACCATTGTGGAAGACAGTGTGGCGATTCCTCAAGGATCTAGAACCAGAAATACCATTTGACCCAGCAGTCTCATTACTGGGTATATATCCAAGGGATTATGAATCGTTCTACCATAAAGACACATGCACACGTATGTTCATTGCAGCGCTATTCACAATAGCAAAGACTTGGAACCAGCCCAAATACACATCAATGATAGACTAAATAAAGAAAATGTGGCACATATACACTATGGAACACTATGCAGCCATAAAAAAGAATGAGTTTATGTCCTTTGCAGGGACATGGATGAAGCTGGAAACCATCATTCTCAGAAAACTAACATAGGAACAGGAACCAAACACCGCATGTCCTCACTCATGGGTGGGAGTTAGTTGAACAATGAGAACACATGGACACAGGGAGGTGGGCATCACACGCAGGGACCTGTCGGTGGGTAGGGGGCAAAGGAAGGGAGAACATTGGGAAAAGTGCCTAATGCATGCGGAGCTTAAGACCTGGATGATGGGTTGATGGATGCAGCAGATCATCATGGCACATGTATACCTGTGTAGCAAACCTGCACGTCCTGCACATGTATCCCAGAACTTAAAGTTTAATTTAAAAAAATCTGTGTGTGAAAATAAAAAAGCTGAATGAATTGAATTTCCTCTATTGTGTTCATGCTTGGCTTAGACAAAAGAAAATGAAGCGAACGTGTATTAGAAGAAAAATGTAGGGACATCTCTCAAGAAAACAAATATGGAACATAGTTGAGAACATTGTGACTTACAATGTCTAGATATACATGCTTTACAAATTAATGCCTTTTGATATTGTCCATGATAAATAATTATTGGTTACACATAAAAATATAGAGATAAGTCTAGAAGGGACCTTGAGATATTAATGTTATATACCACAATCTCTATATTTAGTCACAAGTTAATATGTCAATATGTTTTTAATGTTAAACAAAGAAAATTATTTGGTACTCTTTGGTCACTCTTTCCAATGTTTAAAACACCATGATTCTAAAATTTTTATACATGGTTTATCCTAATATTCTCAAATATTTCTTAAATTTTTGTTATTACCATCTAAGATTCTGAAGAAATTGCTGAATTTCTTTAAAAGTGAATTTTATGAGTAGTACCTTCAATAGTGAGTGTCTACTTATTTAGTACTTTACCTTCCTTATGTCTGAGAGTAGCATCTTCCAACACATCCAATGATGTGTCTGTGGAAATTGGTGACCTTTTCTTCATTTCTATTTGTATGGTCTTGGCCTGAAAAGGAATTTGATGGTTTAATACTGGCTTCCTGTCTTTGCAGGTCCAAGACTATAAGAAGGTGCACAGCCTTGCTAAAAATGCCACTTATTCTCCCGGAGCCTTTTCTTTTTATTAAATTGATACATAATCATTGTACATATTTGAGGGGTATATGTGGTATTTTCATACATGCATACAATGTATAATGATCAAGTCAGGTTAATTGGAATACATATCATCTGAAACATTTATCTTTTCTTTGTATTGATAACATTTCAATTCCTCTCCTACAGCTATTTTGAACTATATAATAAATTATTAATTAGAGTCACTGTACTATACTATTGAACACTAGATCTTATTCCTTCTATTTAACCATATTTTTTGTAGCCATTGGCTAACCTCTCTTCATACCCCCTCATACATACCCTTTGCAGGCTCTGGTAACCACCAATAAACTATCTACTTTTATGAGATCCACATTTTTAGCTCCCACATATGACTGAAAACATGTGAAGTTGGTCTTTCTGTGCCTGGCTTATTTCACTTAACATAACCTCAAGTTCCATCCATGTTGCTGCAAATGACAAGACTTTATTCTTTTTAATGGCTGAATAATACTCCATTGTGTATATACTATATTTTATTTATTCATGTGTCCATTGATAGACACTTAAGTTTATTCATGTCTTGGCTATTGTGAATAATACTGTAATAAACATGGGAGTACAGATATTTCTTCAATATGCTGACTTTCTTTCTTTTGAGTACATACCCTGCAGTGGGATCCCTGGATGATATGGTAGCTCTATTTTTAGTTTTTTGAGGAACCTCCATACTGTTTCCATAATGGCTGTACTAACTTACAATCCCACTAATAGCGTTCCAAAAGAATTTTTGGGTTTTATCACTTGCCAATCTTTAGGCAGTTATTAAACTGATTTAGGAGTTCTTAAAATTAAATAAAATTTTATACTGTGAGGTCTGAGGTCAAATACAAAAGGAGCAAGACCAGGAAATGGTTGTGGTATGATCCATATTTGACAAGTAATTCAATATATAGTTTAGGATTATTGCAAAGTATCAAATCAGGAAACATAGTACTAAGTAATAACAGAGTATTTTTCTAACATCTTAAACTTTTTTAGGATAATGTTAACTTTATAACTTTGTAAATGCTCTTGACAAAATAAAAAATTATTTGGCATTGTGATAAGTCTTGAAGAATAACAAGTAATGGAATGGATTTATAAGGGTTGTCTTAGATAGACCATGTATGATATTAAATGAGTAGGACAGGCATAATTCTGTAAGATAATTACTTATTTTTGTTTATCATGTCTCTTGAATAATGGTTTTAAGAGATCTTCTGCTTTACTGATTTTACATTGGTAAGACAGTTAAAACTCCCAGGCTTTGTTGTAGATATTACAAATTCTATGCATTGATAACTCTCAGGAGTGTGGCCATAGATGTTTCCAGTGATCAGATGTAAAACAGTATTTGAATTTAAATTTTTAGAACCAGACAATGGATGGATGATATTACACTATAGTGATCCCTGTTTTTACATTTGACACAAGCAAAGGATGATATATCTGTATATTTGTTAACTTGAGGTAAAGGCTGCTCTTGAATAGAGTTAACTGACATAGGGGCTGCCACTGTCCCAGCACTGAGGGAGTTAATGGTTGAGGCTTGCCAATACCCAACCCAACATTCTGGTTGGCAAGTTCTGCTGTGGTATATCTTAAATGGCATAATAGATACCATGGAAATCATTATATTATTTCACTATCAGTCAAGCCCCCTGTAATTTCACAAATACTAGAGCTAGAGGAGGATAAAGCCAATTATACTGCATACTGTGTTTCCTCAGACCAGCGACAGACTCTGCAGGTCTACAGAGCTCCAGTTCCTCTTTTTTTTCCAGTGGGTAAAGTACCTGAACAGACACTTCCCCAAAGAAGGTATACTGTGGTCAACACATACATGATAAAATGCTCAACCTCAGTAATCATTAGAGAAAAGAAAGTCAAAACCACAATAAGAAATCATCTCCCACCAGTAAGAAGGACTATTACTAAAAAGACCAAAAAAAACAAAAACAAAAACAAAAACAAAACAGATGTTGGTGAGGTTGTGGAGAAATTGGAATGCTTGTACACTGCTAGTGGGAATGTAAGTTCAGCCAATGTGGAAAGCAGTTTGGATATTTCTCAAATAACTTAAAACAGAGTTACCATTAGAGCCAGCACCCCCAATACTGAGTATATACCCAAAGGAATATAAATCATTCTACCAAAAAGACACACTCACTTGTATGTTAATCACAGCACTATTCACAACAGCAAGGACAAGGGATCAATCCAGATGCCCATTAACAGTAGACTAAATAAAGAAAATGTAGTACCCTGGAATACTATACCACTCTAAAGAAGAACAAAATCATGTCCTTTGCAGCTTGATGAACATGGACGCAGCTGGAGTCCATTATCCTAAGCCAGTTAATGCAGGAACAGAAAACCAAATACCATACGTTCTCACTTTTAAGTGACAGCTAAACTTTGTGTACACATGGACATTAAGATGGGAACAACAGACATCGGGCACTGGGGACTACTAGAGGGGGAAGGCTTGCGGGTGGGCAAGGGTTGAAGGACTGCCTATCGCTCACTACCTGGGTGATAGGATCATTCCTACACCAAACCTCAGTGACATGCAATTTGCCCATGTAACGCCTGCACATGTACCCTCGAATCTAAAATAAAAGTTGAGAAAAAGAAAAGAAATTTAAAAAAAAAGTAATCTAAAAGTTCAGGATGTGGACGGGTGTGGTGGCTCACGCCTGTAATCCCAGCACTTTGGGAGGCCGAGGCGAGCAGATCACGAGGTCAGGAGATCATCCTGGCCAACATGGTGAAACCCCGTCTCTACTAAAAATACAAAAATTAGCTGGATGTGTTAGGGCGCGCCTATAGTCCCAGCTACTCGGGAGGCTGAGGCAGGAGAGTTGCTTGAACCTGGGAGGCAGAGGTTGCAGTGAGACCAGATTGCGCCACTGCACTCCAGCCTGGCGACAGAGTGAGACTCTGTCTCAAAAAAGTTCAGGATGTAAGGGTTAGATTTTTTTTGTTTGTTTAAACTATGCTTATTCTAGAAACTATTCTTAGCTGAACTATAAGATTACATAAAATGTAAGTTGTAATTTATGCAATTCCAAATTTTCGTGAGATTAAAAACCAATAGAAGTAATTTTTTGTTATTAAGATCCGACGGGGATTTCTTATATGTATCTCTCATAAAGATGACACTGTGTGACATATTGAATAATATCCTTGAATATATCCTTAATTGAGATGAATTAATTACTCTTCATAGAGCTGTTTCAGATAGGGACAATGTTTGTTGGAATCGCATTAAGAAGCAATTCAGTAAAGATAACTGTCCAGGGTTGGGGAATGGGGAATAAAGTACATGGTAATAATATTGTCGTTGATAAAGTCAGTGCTCAATTCTCTACTAATTTGGCTTCAACTATGGATAGATTTTAGAATATGAAATGAATAAACCACAGGTCTGTCTAGTAATATATTTACCTTGATTGAGCTTCTTATAAATACTGAATAAATGCCCACACATTGGTCAAATACTAAGGATATAGCTATTTTACAGTGAAAATTGAGAGGATTGTTACTCAACACCCTTCCTCTGTGGATATTTAAGAGCTAATAAGGGCATATGCCTGAACTTTTGACAACCCAATATTAAAATTAAACTGGAAAAGGGGGCTAGGATTCTTTTTCTCAAAACTAGTTTAAGTATTTTTTGGAGGGGAGGTAGTAATAAGGAAGAACTTAGTCACATGTCTCACATTTACCTGAATATCTGACAAGTTTGTCATGGACTCAGGGTTACTCTTTCCTGCAGCCATGCTGGCCTTTTTACTTCTCTGACTCACCCTGCCCACTCCATCTATTTAGCCTGGACACATTCTTCACATCTCAACTGAAGTGTCAGTTTCTCATAGAAACCTTTTCCGACTCAGAGAATCCTTTACAAAAGGCCCTCAAAGGACCATGCCTCTCTGCTTCATTCCACTTGCCCCAGTTTCCTTTAATTTATTAAAGCAGAGAATAATGTGAACCACCAAGTAACTAATATCCAGCCTCAACAATTATTAGTGGTCTATTTTTCCTTTTTCATTTATTCACTCTACTTATTTTCTGAAATATTTATTTTAAATAAATTTCAGAGATAATACACTTTTCAGATAAAATATTAAAAATATAAATCACAACACCATTATCACAATTAGCAAAATTAGTAATTCCTTAATACTAACCAATACTCAAATTATACTCAATTTAATTACTCAAAAACATCATTACAGTTGATTTGTTCTAATCAAAATACAAACAAGGTCCAAACATTTACTTGGCAGTTTTATCAATTATCTTGTAATTTTAATTTATTTTTTCCAACATGATTTATTTTTTAAAGATTCTGGGTTGTTTATACTTTAGACTTTTTCACATTCTTTATTTGGAAGATTATATCATTTCAGTGTAATTTAATGTATTCCTCTCTTACAGTCTCTGAGAAAAAAAAGCAATTGGATCAAGATGCTTATTAGACTTAAATTTTAGGAAGAATATACTGTATCTGGTATTTTGTGTTTTCTATTCCATAATAGCTAGAAACACATAATTTTTTGTCCTTCAGATACAATTTAGTGTTTATGATAATTTGATAGTCTATCTATCCATTAGACAATTAGCTTCATGAAGATAGACACTCTATTTGTATTTATTAAAACTCTTTATATCCAGTGCTTTGTACAATTGTCAATCATTTTTTAATTCGTTACATGAATTATGACTATCATTTTAATGTGGCAAATATTTTTTAAAAATATTTGTATTTCTACAATTTTATATACATGATTATCTTCCTGAGATTTTGCCAGTAGTTGACAATTCATAAGAAAGTTTCACCTGCAAGGAATGAAACTGTTTCAGCACTGAACCTCCAGAACCAGGAAGTGAAGTGGTAAATGATGGATTGTATTCCTCAGTGTTGTGAAATCAAATATCAGTGAGTATAGATCAATCTCTGCAGCTGGAACTCCTCAATAAGGATTAAACTTGAAAATTCATGATGGTACTTATCATATGTCTGGTGCATATCTGACACTCAATAAACATTTTATGTGACTGCTATCGTCATTTTTATTGTTATTTTAATTATCCCTAAATATAGTCAAAGACAAGAATTTTATGTTGCTGGGTGTTTCTCTGTTGAAACAGCCATGCGTTCTTGTGTTTGCCTTGTTGTGTTATCTATAATTAACGAGTGATTATTTATGAACTTTATTAACATGAATTACATTTTATAGTATAATAACATAAACATTTTAATATCTTGTTTAATATTATGGCTAGTTCTACATTTCCCACTTTGGAGACTGAACCTCAGTTTTCTTATGTGAAATATTGAGATAATTCCAGTACCTCAAAGGGTTGTCACAGTAGAAAGGCAACAGTGTATGTAAAAATTTAGCATAGAGTCTGAAACACAGTAAATAAGCAATAAATGTTGCATGATATTAATGTTATTATATTGTTATGAGATAATTCACTTCTAAAATGTGAGTTTATTCAATCTGACTTTTTCCATAAAAATCAAGTGTTCTTAATATAGATTGCTGACCGCAATAGTTTGTATAAAAGCTATCTTCTACATGATGCATAATATTGACATGTCATAATAATTTTATTAATAGTCTTCATAAAATTTTTTCAGTTGCTTAGTATAGTGTAAGCACAGCTTAGTGCTTTACATGCATTTATTTCATTTGGACCTCACTACAACCCATAAGATAGGTTCTTTATATACATTTTACAGATAAAAAAGTTGAAGTTTAGAAAAGCTAACAAACTTGGCAAACATCATTCATCTATTAAGTAGCTAAATTAGGCTGAAATCCATATTTATCTAACTGCAGAGCTGTGCTTTTAGCCAATATGACCAACAGTTTTCCTATAACATGAGGATATGAAGCACCTAAGCAATATCCCGGCAATTCCAGCATCAGAACTGACATCTGACTGGTTTGCAAGCAGATCAGTGACCTGTAGAGCCCTCAGTTTGTTCCATTTTACATTATTTTTTCTAATTTTTTGTATTTATAAATAAAAGAGGAAAATTCTTGTACAAATAATGTATACTCTTACTTCCTAGAAAATTCTTCATGATAAAATGTTCTAGGAATCTTCCAGGAAAAGAAATGGGTTATAATTAAACATTTTAATAAAAATCAGAAAATGGGATCCAGAGCAGAAAAATGAGTGGAAATATGGTAAAATTGGGAAATATCCAAGTTCTTCATAAGAAGAGTTAATAAAACATTTCATCTGGGATCAGAGAAGTATTGTTACATTCTTGGATACAATTGAGTGCAGCCATAAGCCCTTAAGATTGTGAAATGCCACTTCAGAACAAATTACACATTCAACATATCATTCAAACCCTAATCACTCAATCTGAAGGACCCCGGACTCATTTCTTAGAAACAGAAAGCTTTTGAAATTTGTTTTTCTGTGGCTTACTCATATATAATGGGAATACTCAATAGGCTTTTTTATACATGTTTTCTTCACACAGTCCACAACTGCTTCTTGTTCAATGGTATGCATGTTATGGACACAAGTAGCTATAGAGTCATTCAGTATGATCTTACATCATGTCGTTCAGATTCCACCTTTTGGTACAATAGCTTTCTAAAGCTTCTTGACTGGTCATGACTTAATAAAAGGGTTATATACAGGGGAGTTAACATTTCCCTCTTTGACTTAGTAGGGACCTTTGGTATTAATGTACCTTACTATATATTCCACTTCGTGGCAGAGTGTATCTCGGCCCTTCACTTTTCCCCTTGTCTTTTTATCTCTTTATAGAGAGGGCTCCGGGTATGGCTTCTCTCTATTTTTCGTTCTCTGGCTCAATATAGACCTTTTTCCCATTTATCAGAAAGGTAGTTCAAAGAAGAGATGTGAGATTGCCAGGTCCTGCAGAATATTAGAAAGCTACTTCTGTTTGCTTTCTACCATCTGGTCCTTTCTTTAAGCACACTTATGGCAGTTTAGATTTTTAAAGACAATTTTCGAAAACTTCCTTAATGCTACTTCTGTCAATACTTTCAAACTAATAGACCAAAGTTTTTGCTATGAGGCTAAAGAATCTGAAAAAAATATTAAAGCACAACACTAAGGTAATTGACAATTACAGTAAAACATTGTTAGGCTTTATTAATCTGGATTTAATTATTTCAGGAATAAAATAATTCCCTGTACTATGATACATAGTGCATTTCCTCTGGAAAGAACTAGAAAGCCAATAAAGTAATTTTATTTCTGTCTACAACTTCAGTACTGTAATTTTATCCATCCTTTTAGTACTTTCTAATTTCTAAATTATGGAAGGTTCTGTCACTTTTGCATTAACACCAGACATTTTTCAAAGTTGTAGCAAAAGCAAGCTCTCTTATTGAAATATTTTTTGATCTTCTGATTATGTACCACACACAGATATAAACATCTATTAGAAGGCAATGTACTCCAAGACCTTAAAAAGACACCTCTAGCACTGTGATTTTAAGAAGCATTAGAAAAAAAAAAATGAAACCATGTCATTTGCAGCAACATGGATGCAGCTGGAGGCCATTATCCTAAGTGAATTAACACAGGAACAGAAAACTAAATACTGCATGTTCTCAGTTACTAAGTGGGGGCTCAGCACTGGGCAAACATGGACCTAATAATGGGAACAACAGACCTTGGGGACTACTAGAGGGGGAAGAGAAGGGGAAGGGCAAGGGCTGAAAAACTGCTTGTTGGGTACCAAACGCTACCTGGGTGATGGGATCATTTGTACCCCAAGCCTCACTGTCACACAATATACCCACATAACAAACCTGCACATGTAGCCCCTGAATCTAAAAGTTGAAATTTTGAGATATGTTCCATCAATACCTAGTTTATTGAGTGTTTTTAGCATGAAGGGGTGTTGAATTTTATCGAAGGCCCTTTCTGCATCTATTGAGATAATCATGTGGTTTTTGCCACTGATTCTGTTTATGTGATGGATTACATTTATTGTTTTACTTATTTTGAACCAGGCTTGCATCCCAGATATGAAGCCGACTTGATCATGGAGGATAAGCTTTTTAATGTGCTGCTGGATTTGGTTTGCCAGTATCGTTAGACTACATAAAGAAAATGTGGCACATATACACCATGAAATACTATGCAACCATGAAATACTATGCAGCCATGAAAAAGAATGAGTTCACATCCTTTGCAGGGATATGGATGAAGCTGGAAACCATCATTCTTAGCAAACTAACACAGGAAAAGAAGACCAAACACCGCATGTTCTCACTCATAAGTGGAAGTTGAACAATGAGAGCACATGGGCACAGGGAGGGGAACATCACACATCAGGACCTGTCGGGGGTGGGGGCAAGGGGAGCAATAGCATTAGGAGAAATATCTAATGTAGATGACAGGTTGATGGGTGTGGCAAACCACCATGGCAGATGTATACCTATGTAACAAACCTGCACGTTCTAGGCATATATCCAGAACTGGACATATATCCAGTATAATAATAATAAAAAGATGCTCTAATAAAGCAACTATTTAAAATTCCAAAAAGGGTTGAAATTATAAAAAATTTAAAAATTTAAAACTGCATAGAAAAATAAAAGAACACCACCATCACTGAGAAAAGGAACTAAAACCCAAACAAAAAAATATCATAAGTGTGGTAGATTATTTGCAAAAATGGCCACAAATTTCCTTCTTTTTATTTATACCCTTAGGAAATCTCTTTCCACCTTAACTCTAACCTTGGCCATGTTACTTGCTTTACCCACTGGACAATAACAAATGTTGACACAAGCAGAGCCTTAAAGCACTTGGCATGGTGCTTGCTCCCCTGCTGTTTTTTGGAATCTGTGACCACCATGGGACCAGCAATGAACTGTCTTAACAGAGCCTAAGCCATAGAATCATGAGCAAATAAATGATTGCTGTTTCAAGACTAAAATATATATATATATATATATATATATAGATAGATAGATAGATAGATAGATAGATAGATATAGATACCTCATCTGTTTCATTTCCTTCTTGAAGTTCTTTTCCAGTCTGTTGAAATTTTGGTTCAATCTTCTTAGATATTTCACCAACTCTCTGCTTTTCTTCTTCATAGGCCATGGCAAGTATGCCTAAGAACAAACTTGCCATATAAAAGGAAAACAAAAAACTTACCACCACAAAAAATATCATGTAGACCTTCCCAGAAGCATAAAGTATCTAAGGAAAGGTAGAAAGTAAGGCAAAAGAGTAAAATGTTATTTATCTTCCAGGATTCTCCTATTTTAAAATAAAAGGCAAAATTTTATTAGGAAAATAATATAGTCATAAATGGAATGTAATCATAAGACTGTTTAAGCACTGGCTCCACCTGAAGAAATAAATGAAAACCTTTTGAACTTGAGACCTGCATGTAAGGTATACAATATATGCTGTAAAACCAAGGGAAAATTAGTAATTTAATTAACTTAAGGTAAGTATTCGATTTTTATGTCTTCATTGATAGAGAAAATACATTTGAAATAATTGTCATCTCTTGATATAGAAACTGGACAGCCTCAACATGGAAAGTTATTTTCTTTGCAGAAGAATCTTTAAATATATGAAGTTTAATGAAGTCAGAGAATGTTTGGAGATTTTTTTTTTCTGATTATTACTTTATGGAAAAATCACAGCAAAGTAAAAAATTAGTCTTTACAAGGAATGGAGAGCAGGACTATTTCTTTGCCTGTCAAAGTATCTGCTTTGGTGAAGAACCTTTAGACAAGCTACATGGGGAAGTCAAATTATCCATTTACATGAAGGCATTGCAGTGGATGACATTTATAGATAGCAAAATACAACATTTTAGATTGCCAAACACAGCACTGACTAGCTTTTTATTTCATAATAATTTCCTAAGACAGATCAGAAAATTAAAAGATTTAAAAAATTATAAGTATAACATTACAAATATAAAATATCCATTGATTTAACCTCATTGATCAAAAGTACATGAACAAAATTTAAGGAAACAAATGAGAAATTAAATTAATAGAAAAGTATTATCTACAGAAAATATTGTGTGGATGTAACAATCAAGAATATTTACAGATTAATAGAGAGTTCAAACATTCAATGAGAAATAATTTCTTGACCTAGAGTCTATTTGTCTTTAAAAGTATTTTTAATAAGCCCTGTTATCACAGTGAGCAACCTATTTAGGATTGGTTAAATATTTTACCACTGAAGTACCTGTTATTTATTGTAGTGCATTCAGCAGTCAGGAATAGGTATTATAAAGTACATTGCAAATCCCATCTCTACTAAAAATACAAAAAAAATAGCTGGATGTGGTGGCATTTGCCTGTAGTCCCAGCTACTCAGGAGGCTGAGGTGGGAGGATCACCTGAGCCCAGGGTGGCTGAGGCTGCTGTGAGCCATGATCACACCACTGAACTCCAGCCTGGGTGACAGAGTGACCATGTATCAAAAAAAAAAAAAAAAAGTACCCTTTAGGCCATGCACATCAGTAAATAGAGTTGGTTCCAAGTATTCATGGGTTCCATATCTGTGGATTCAACCAACCACGCATCAAAACTATACATATTAAAATTTTATCTATATTGAACATATAGACTTTTTATCTTGTCATTATGAACAATATAGTGTAACAACTATACAGTCTCATACCACATAATAACATTTAGGTCAATGACCAGCAGCATATACAACAGTGATCTCAAAAGATTCCAAAGGAGCTGTTCTATATAGGCATATCAATTTTTTGGTTTTTTATACTATGTTTTTACTGTATCTTTTATATGCCTACCTATACAAATACTTGGCACAGTGTTCCAATTGCCTACAGTATTCAGTATAATTACATGGTGTACAGGTTTGCCGCCTAGGATCAATAGGCTATACTATATAGCCTAGGTGTATAGTAGGCTACATCATCCAGGTTTGTGTAAGCACACTCTATGATGTTCACATAATGATGAAATCACCTAATGACACATTTTTCAGAATGTATCCCTGTCATTAAGCAACACATGACTGTATTTACATAGCATTTACATTGTATTAGGTATTATGAGTAATCTAGAGATAATTTAACTTATACAGGAGAAAATTTATACAGAAGTATGTAGGTCATATGCAAATTCAATGCCATTTTACATAAGGGACTTGAGAATTCATGGATTTTAGTATCCACCAGAGGTCCTGGAACTGATCATCCATGAATACTGAAGGATAACTATACTTTATGCTTATTATCTTATTCAATATTATTTCAATATACAGAAGACAAATGAAAATCAGATAGGAAAAAAAGCTCCCAAGATCTCACAGCCTATGAAGGAATGCCTGAATTCAGAACTTTTGCTGTCTCCACTATATAATGCTAGTGGAGCATAAAAGCATATACTCTTGTTAGCATAAAACAGTACATAATTTCTAGTTTTATTACATTTTAGTTTGAAATAGGGGCTAACTATGGCCCCTATTTCAATGTTTTTTATGAATATAAAATGAAACATTATACACAAAGATCTTAGCACATCCCAGGTTCCCAATAAATATTAGCTATACTGTAAACATAATTTTGTTCCCTGAGGTTTGACACTGTTTTGTTCATTTCTGTACCCACAGTATATCAGAATACTTGGATAAAATAAATATATTTTGAATTAATGGAAAACAATAATATCCAAAACATATGCTATACTCTTTGGGAAGAATTGCTAAATTTCCCTATCCATAATTAGTTCAGTTTAAGGCAATGTTCAGGATACAAATCTAGATAAAATCAAAACAAACTCTATCTATATTAGTCAGTAAAAACTTGGAGTACACTATTCCCAATAGCAAAGACTTGGAACCAATCCAATGCCCATCAACGTTAAACTGGATAAAGAAAATGTGGCACATATACACCATGGAATACTATGCAGCCATAAAAAAGAATGAGTTCATGTCCTTTGCAGGCACATGGATGAAGCTGGAAACCATCATTCTCAGCAAACTAACACAAGAACAGAAAACCAAACACCACATATTCTCACTCATAAATGGGAGTTGAATAATGAGAACATATGGGCACAGGGAGGGGAACATCACGTACCAGGGGGCCTGTCAGAGGGTGGGAGGAAGGGGAGGGATAGCATTAGGAGAAATACCTAATGTAGATGACGAGTTGATGGGGTGCAACAAACCACCATGGCACATATATACCTAAGTAACAAATCTGCACATTCTGCACATGTATCCCAGAACTTAAAGTATAAGAAACAAACAAACAAAAACTTGGAGTACAATAATGAAGATCCTGAGGGCCCTAATGGCAGGACACTTCCAGACTGGTTCCCTATTTCTTTTGTAGAGGGAAAGAACTGTCTTGAAACAAACGCTAACAAGAAAATTAATTCATACATTTTGGGGGCAATAAGTGAAGAGCAAAACCTGTATTATTATAGCATATACAGTGATATAGCCCATACATATTCACTTATATTTTTATTAAAGTTCCATTAAGAATTCTATGTGTAGATGCTGAGAAATCAAAAAAATTAAAATAAGACAAAAATACTTATTTTTTTTCTCAGATAGATAAAAAATTAGCAGGTAGTTTCTCAGGTAGTTCATCTCTAAGTGGGAAAATAACCGGACAAGCAACTAAAACACCACAATCTAAGGAAAGTATAGTGAACCATAGCATTCCAGTGTAGGATGTGCCTTACTCCTACACTGGGCTTGGGGAAAAGCTCAAGGAAGAAATCATGGTTTCACAGCATAAATTTGAAGCCTGAAACTGAAGGCAGATAGGAGGAAACTTAAATTTAGGGAGAGGGTACAACATACATGGAAATATGATATTATGAGAAAAGCTCATTTAGGAAGCAGCAAATCCTTTGAATAATTAAACAGAGAGTATATATTAGAGTATGTTAAGAAATAAATCAGGAGATGTAGGCAGATGAGACCTTGAAGGGCACTATATATCATGCATATAGAGTTGGAATTTGAAAAACACTGAAGGATTTTTAGAAGAAGGGTAATGTGATAAGATTATTTTAGAAATAAGAACCTCCTAATGTTTTGGAGAAAGCACTGAATCTTATCAAAGAGACTGGAAATACCAATGCAAGTACTAGTCTAACAAAATTACAAAAATATAGTTTGTGTAAAAATGTCACTTGTAATATTTTCTTTTTTTTTTTTTTTTTTTTTTTTTACCAAAAATACAATTATGCTGCATGCATGTTTGGTCTATTTGATTTCCATTTAACAATATATTATGAAACTTTGTCTGTGCCCCAAATATATTATATTAGCCTATCATCATTAATGACCCATATATACACATATATTGCCCACAATTTATCAAGTCAACCAAAATAAGCATGGACTGGATGTGTATGTATGTTTGTTTAAAAATAAAGAATGTTCTCCTTCAACTATGAATAACTTCAGAAGTTAGAGTAATGCTGCTTTGAAAATAACACTATTTTCTACTATGATAGAACTTATCTTTGAAGAAAAACTGAATCCCCATTTTCATGAATATCATACCTTTCTGAGAAACTATGACACATACATAATTAGTTACGAATACAGACTCTCAGAATTTGAATTTCAATTCTCATTACAGTAAGCCTTCTGTTATTGTAACTGGAACATGGTTGAATATTGAACTGGATAAGAAGAAATAGAAGAACAAAAAGAAACAGGACACTGTATATATTCAATAAATAATTGCTTAAGATATGGTAATGTCATAAATTCAAAATGTTTCAACTAAAGAATTAATACCTAGATATGTTCTTTAGTGATTACCAAATGCATAATATCATAGGCTTTGAAACAAGACAGTGATCTGAGATCTGGGAGGTTCAACTGCTATAAATTTTGGGAGGGTACTCGACCTCTCTAAATCTTAGTGTCTTCATATAAAAAGCACACACACACAGCTGGGCGAGGTGGCTCACACCTGTAATCCCAGCTCTTTGGGAGGCTGAGGCGGGAGGATCATGAGATCAGGAGATCAAGACCATCCTGGCTAATACGGTGAAACCCCTCCTCTACTGAAAATACAAAAAATTAGCCGGGCGAGGTGGCGTGCGCCTGTAGTCCTAGCTACTCGGGAGGCTGAGGCAGGCGAATGGTGTGAAGCCGGGAGACGGAGCTTGCAGTGAGCTGAGATTGTGCCACTGCACTCCAGCCTGGGTGACAGAGTGAGACTCCGTCTCAAAAAAAAAAAAAAAAAAAAAGCACACATACAAATACACACACTCTCTTCTCTCTCTCCTCTCTTCTCTCTCTCTCTCTCTGACCTTGTAGAATTGTTTCAAAGATTAAATAAGATATAATACACCTGGCAATGTGGCCAGCATATAATTTGACATTCAGTAATTCTAGTTCTCTTTTCTTTTGTCTTCCAATTCTTCTGCACATAAAAATTTAAAAAACTATATTACATTTGACCATTATCTTAGAAGCAAGGGCATGGTGCCATTCCTAAGTACAGTACAATTTCTCTCTGTTCTTACCTGGTGATAAAGTACTTCAGGGTAATCCTGAGCCATTAACCGAAATAGGGCAAATAAGGCCCAGCCAAAACTGTCAAAATTTGTGAAGCCTTGATCAGGATTTATGCCAGCTTTTACACACACATATCCTTCAGGACACTGACTAAAGAAGACAAAGAAAAAAACCTGCTTACTATTAGGTGACTATCAGATTATGGTCAAATCATAAATATAGAACATCAGTCCTGAGTAATAGAGAACTCACGCTTCCACAGGGAGAGTAATGTCTGCTCCCAAACAATTGCTTGCTAAAAAGTCACACATGAGTTAGATTATAAGTTGATACAGTGAACAGTGTTAATTAAGCGAAAATAAAAAGGGGCCTGAAAAGTGGTTTTTGCCAAGCTATTTTTTTTGTATTTCTTTATTTTTTCATTGACAAAGAGAAACTGTACATATTTGTGAAGTACAACATGCTGTTTTGAAATATGTATATATTGTGGAATGGCCAAATGGAGCTAATTAGCATATGCATACCTCACATACTTATTTTTTTGTGGTGAGAATACTTTAAATCTATCGTCTTATCATTTTTCAAGAATAAAATACCTTGTATTAACTATATCTTTACTACTCCAATATTAAAGGGGAAATATCTGAACATCAGAGTGAAGGTATAACTGATGGAAAATAGTACTGATACAACTGCAATGGTTGAGGGTATAATTTTCAAATGACTTCATGTAAAGCCCTTAGAACCCATTATTTAAGGGTGAGAAAACATTTATCGCATCAATAATTTATAAGCAGTATTTGCACATGGGGAGGCAGATCAAATTAAATATTTATTTTATTTCCTTTTAGGGAGTCCTCATATTTCTATCCACTTGGGAGTTTCGGTCTTGTGTTCCATTATTACAGTGGCAGTCCAGTAAATCATGCTTCCTCTCTCCACGCCCTTGTGTAGTTTTCTCTCACATTATTTTGGGTTTAGTCATGTTACTTGTTGTAGTTTTAATGGAACAAGGAGAGATTTAAAAATCACTTGTGCATTGGGACTTGCTACATTGCTGACCCATACTATCTGAGCAAATGAAGTATTGTTGTTGTCTTGTTGTTTTGGGATAGTTTACCATGCAGCCAAGTATGACTGCTGCAGGTGAAACACTGCATGACTTTCTCTTCTTGCCTTGAAATATACCATTGTATCCTGAATATCCATGACCATGTGTATCCAAAATATAGCCAAAATGTATTTCGGGTCATATTTGAGCTTGGAATGTACATAAAAGGAATTAGCTGAAATGGGATGGGACAGATACAAAGAGATGGGTTCACCATTTGGATATGAGAACAGAATGGGAGCCCAGCAGGAGCTGGGCAAAAAAATATGTACTGAGGCCAGGCGCAGGGTGCATTGGTTCATACCTATACACTCAGCACTTTGGGAGGCCACGGTGGGTGGATCGCTTAAGCCCAAGAGGTCAAGACTAGCCTGGGCAACACGGCGAAAACCCATCTCTACTACAAACACAAAAATCAGCCAGTAGTGGTGGCACATGCCTGTAATCCCAGCTACTTGAGAGGCAGAGGCACTAGAATTGCTTGAACCCATGAGGCAGAGGTTACAATGAGCACAGATTGTGCCACAGCACTGCAGCCTGGGCAACAGAACAAGACTCGGTCTCAAACAAACTATACATACACACATACACATATATATATGTATATATATACGACATACATATGTGTATATATACGTATATATACGAATATATACACATATATATACACATATGTGTGTATATATATGTGTATATATGTATGTGTGTGTATATATATACACACATACATACATATATGTGTGCTGAGCAAGTGAGAAAATGTCAAAATCCCCTGAATTTAACTAAACCATATAACTCATGCTCTCCTCCCCCAGAAGCCTTTTGTTAACCTGGGCACCAGAGTGTAAGAAAGAACTGAGTTTACAGATGGCTGCCAAGTCATCCCAGCTAAGCAAAGCAACAGGAGGGAATTACATGAGTCACATTGCTGAGAAGTGCCCTGTTTCCCCTTTATGAATTGTAATTTTCATCTGAAATTATAGGACAATGAGACATGACAGTTATGTCATCTCACTTAAGAATTATTTTGAAATGCTGATTTTAAGAACGAGGTTTTTACTAATGTAAATTATAGTCATAAAAACATATAAGAGATTAAATAAGTGAAATATCAGCGTATCTTTTTAATTTTTTTTTAAATGGATGTGAGGCTTTCAATGTTGCCCAGGTTGGCCTCAAACATGCAGCCTTGCCTCTTTGCACGCCAGGACAACCAGCCCGAGCTATCGCGGCTCCCATCAGCCTATCCTTAATATTTCTTTTCTCCCAAAACTTCTTTCCAAATGATAGATTTATATTGTCTTTCTTCGTCATTCTCACTAGCTCTGGAGCACTCTTGAAAACAGAAGATAAGATTCTTGTGTAAGTCCCAGCTCTGCCATTTACTAGCTTCTAGACCTTGAAGAAATCATTGAATTAGTCTGCCTATTGCTTTTTTAATAAAATTGGATGAATAGTATTCCACATTGCATACTTCTGCTATGGTCTGAATGTTTGTGTCCCCTCAACATTCATATTGAAATTCTAACTCCCAATGTGATTAGGAGATGGGGCCTTTGATAGGTGATTAGGTCACGAGGGTGAAGTCCTCTTGAATGTGATCGATATCCTCAGAGAAAAGGCCTGAGAGAAACCTCTGGCCTCGTCTGCTATGTGAGGACACAGCAAAAAGGTACCATCTATTGACCAGAGGACAGGCCTTCACCAGACACCAAACTGGCCCAGCACCTTGATCTGGACTTCTCAGCTTCCCCGACTGTGAGTAATACACTTCTGTTGTTTTTAAACCAACCAGTCTGTGGTATTTTGTTAATGCAGCCTGAGTAGACTAAGACAACTTCTCAGTATGGTTTTGATGATGAAATGAGATAATACAATCAAATGGGAAGCAACAGTAAAAGCAATAGTCCTTCATTAAATACTATTGACAGGTGATAATGATTTAATAGAATAAAACTAATACCACCTACCCAGCATCTGTCCTGTTGCCACAAAGGAGAGCATATCTTTCTCCTTCCAAATAATAAAAGTTTTCTGTTTCTGAAAAACAGGCAAGAAATGATATTCTATATGTAATTATGAGTTAGCACCACAGTAGAAGTCCATTTGGATCTCTGCAGAAGCTAAAATACCTTTCTGCAATTGTGAAGAAAAGAGCAAATATCCTTGCCTTTCAACCAGCGCCTTTGGGAATCTAACAAAATGTTGAGTGTTCAACATTTCTGGGAAGACTGCTTTGCCTTTAACGAAAGTTTCAATTTTTGATATACATGGCAAGGTGATTCTTACCTCGAATATAATATGGGTTTCCAGTTCTGTTGTGCAGGGTTTCATTTTCATTCTCTTGGGGCCATCGAAAACATTTATGTTTCAAGTTGCCCATGAAGAGCCCCATCCCAATTAGAGAAAATATGCTCAGAAAAAACAGAGTTAGGATAATGACACCAATAAGCTGCTTCAAGCAGTGGATCAGGACCCCTACAAGGGATTTCAGACCTGGAAAGAGAAACATTTGTTTTCGAAATAATGTAATATCTTAGAAAAGCACTATTGGCAAACCTCTCCCACAGCAACTGCATACTCCATTGAAATCAACAGTTTTATCTTATAATGTAATTCTAATTATTTGGGCCTCATAAATAAAGTGAATACTAAATCAAAAGTTGAGGTTTATGTATTATTGCTAATTTTTAACACCTAACAAAATAATTCAGACACACTATTTAAAATTAATCATTTGTTTGTTTCTCTTTACAAAGAAAAACAATCTCCCTCTCTTGGTATCTACTTGTCATACTAACCTCCAGTGTTTGCAAACATAAAGAAAAGTGTAAGGTTATAAATCAAAATTAAAATGTTCTTGAAAAAAGAAACAGTTTGAAACAGCAGTATTATATGTTATTCTGTAATTGACTTTATAATAATTCAATTTGAATAATTTCAATAAGCAGGAAAGAGAATAACACAACTGTGGTCTATGTAAACTGTATTTATATCAGAATACTAATAGAGAACTCAAACCTAAAGCTGGCTTTATTTAAGGATATTCATTTTTCTAATTATAAATAACACATGCTGACTTCTGAAAGTAGAAAACAAGAAAAAACAAAAATAACATAATCATATCTCATAGAATTACTATTAAATTTTTTGTATATAAACTTTCTTTCTTTCTTCCATCCTTCCCTCCCTCCTCCCTTTTCTTTTTCACTTGCTCTCTTATTTGCTAGTCTGTGTGCATTAGTATCCTAATAACTGCTCAAAACAATAATGAATGAGAATATACTAACTCTGTGATGTTAACTATGCAAGTAGTCAACATTTGTATGCCTTAGTTTTATAATTTTTTTACATGGAAATAATACCTACTTTCTATCTTATTGTGAGAATTGAAAACTGTCATTTGAATGACCTTAGATGATTAGATTTCTTGAGTAAAGTATGACAGGGTTCAAATAAAGTCATTCTTGTGACTACAGAAGTGTGATAATCTAGATTAAATATACAATTTTAATTTGACATCATAATAAAATCTATTTATAGCCTCCTTTTACCACTTAGAATTATATCATTCTTTTTACTATAAGCAAATCTTTTCAAAGTATTATACTAGATATATAATAGAACTTCTGTGTCAAATATACTACAGTGGTTTACCATTGATACACATGTTCACATAGTTTTCGAGAGATGTTGAACCAATGTATAAACCAGACTATAAGCCTTCACTAGAACTGGAACATTTTGAAATATTGTTGGCAGTTTATTAGAAAAAAATAAAATGACTTCAATGTAATTTCTGTAGTTACTATTCCAAACTTTTAAAATAGGTGTATTTGCACTGTGTGCTTATTTGGCAACTGTCATGAGTCCTTAGTATATCTTTATACTGAATTTTTTTCATATTGTTTTGTTGGAAATGTTTTTAAGAAGAGCAATTCTTAAAGAAAAATATATGTCTGTGTTTATATATATATGTGTTTTTATATATGTTTATATATATATATATACACACACACACACACAGATAGATAGATAGATAATTTCCATCATATACCCAGTTTTTGGCAGAGCCTTAATTTTACTACTGACATTTTGTTTGATGGAAAAAAATGACACCATCACATTTTTATAAAATTAAGTTTGTTAATAATTTTCATTAGTATATACTAATTATATTTTGTTAGAAAGTTCCGGGTCTTACACCAATTTCGATCTTAATTTTCTGGTATAACTTCCTCCTCCTTTTAAATTTTAACCTTTGTTTTGCTTAGCTTAAGTAAGTCTATTATAGAGTTTAATTGTATTTCTGACTTCATATTAAAGTCTCTGCCTTGATAAAAAAAATTTAAACCAATTGCATTTATTTTCATAAATTAGGTTTACACTGGAATATACCTTTACTTTTTTTTATTTCTATATTCTCCTTATTATTCACTGTGTTTCTTTTCCTTTGTCAATAAATTTACTGTGTCTATTTTTTCCTTTATTATTTTAGATAAAATACATGTTTTGAGAACTTATATCCAATTTAAGTTCCTATTTTGAAATAACATGCATATCTCTACATCAATAAGACTGTGTCTACTCAGTCCCACCACATAAGGTGAGAAAATAACTGTATTTATTTTCTTACATTTCTCTATTCTTACTTCTCAGTTTTTGTTAATATAAGTAATGACCTTTGACCTAGTTATAATTGTTGAGTTATGTATTTTGTATCACATATTATCTATCATGATTTATAGAAAGGATAAAATTCAAATCCTTACAAGGGCTTGCCAGGAAGCATAAATTCACACAAACAGAGAGTTGAGAGGACTCAGATGAATCTGCCTGACTGAAAGTGGCAGCTGTTCTTCATCTACAGCAGGTTGTTGCTGTTCATAAATGTAGGTGGACCTAACCTGACAATTCAAGTTAAATTGGATTTCAAAATAAAATCATTAAATTTTTATAATATTGACAACTATTTCAAAGTTTTCTAAAACACAAATAAAATATGTCTCTAGTTCAAGAATGAACCACGGAAGTCCATGTGGTAACTTCTGATTTGTAATATTTGCATTCTGTTTTGCAACTCACTAACAGCAGTAATTTGCAATCCATTCTGTGTCGAAATGGTTTCAGAGCTCGTTGCAATTACTTTTAGAACTAAATACTCTCATTGCTAAATATTTCATTTTCATACTTACTTTTTCAGCAGATATTCTGAAAAGATACACATGTACAGTTTGAGAACTCTTGTATAGCTGAGAACATACATTTGTTGACTACACATACAAATGACAGCCAAGTATAGAATTCTAGTGTCTCAACTTCCCTGCCTACACTTTCCCCCAAGCTCTGAAACTCCACTGTCTATTTAAGTTTACTATTAACATGCGGTCTAAGGGTGACCTGTCCACGATGTATGTTTCTTGCCCTTTTGCTTGAAGAATTTTATAATACTTTTATTCTTTAATACTTTACATTTATAACATTTTACAATATGTCTAAGTGTGTATTGTAGTTATTATTTATCTAGTATAAGCTGATCTCTTTCATTTGTAGGGTCTTTTTCCAGTTAAAATTTTTTTTAAGTTTTTTCTATTGTATATATTTCAATAATTTGTCTTTTATATTCATTCTGGTCTGTTTTCAGGATCACTGTTTATGCATAAGATGGAATTTAGTTTTTTCTCCTTCATTAATCCATTCCATTTTTCAGTTCTACTGTATTAATATAGAATTCCTCTAGTCTTTCTTTATACAAGTGTGCTTGTTTGATGCACTTATAATACTATTTTACGGCTTCCATTACCACTGAATATTCATCTAGGGTAGTGTAATTTTTATCACTTTTTTGTCTTAAAGTTAGTTATATTTGCCTATATTACTCTCTCATTTCATCTTCTGTTGAGAGAATGTAAAAAGATAATTTATTATGTATGCTTCTATTTTTAAGCACATTTATTTTAAAAGAGGATACTTTCTTTCTATTAAATATATGTTTCTCTTTCTATATTGCAAAATATTTTCATACACTCCATATTGCTGGTATGTGTCTAGTATATTCTCCCTTGAAAAAAAGAGTGAGAGGTCCCTACTAGCCTGCAGGCTTCCAACTCTAGTGAATGAATTCTTCTTGTATTATTACAACTTGAATTCATCTGATTTATTTAATAATTCTTACCTCTAGTCTTAGGATGAAGATGCATGTGAAATATGTGGGGAGTAGTAAGGGAGCTAGAGCTGTGAAAATTCCCACCAGGTTAACTCTCACTGATTCCTTCACTAGATTTGGTAAAGCTGCCATGCCACAGACAGTTTTTATTAAACAGCTTTACTGAGATATAATTCACAAGCCCCACAATTCAATAGCTTAATGTGTACAATGTGGTCTTCTTTCATAGACCAGAAAGAAGCCTGTAGGCTTTGTTTTTGCTTTTATTATATTCCTCCTTTGTTTTCTTGATACAGCTATTTCATAACACTTCTGAATTGCAGCTGAAACATTCTGGGTAGAGTTGTTCTTATCTAATTGTCCTTATTCATTCACAATAACAAACTAGAAGGTGTTGGTGTGTTTCTGTTAGAATGTCTTTAGAAATGGGAGCTGTAACTTAGTCTTCAGCATCTTCCATCAATGTGATAAAGTCACAACCACATTGATGGAAGATGAATTTTATGGCATGTGAATTGCACCCTATCCAAGCACTCAAAGCAAAGGGGAATTCATCTTATTTTATATTACTTTGTTCATGTCAACTGGTTTCTTGATAAAATGAGGAAAAGAAAGAGGCAGATTAGACATCTGTCTAGACCACTATTTCTCTCAGAAGTCTAAGAAGAATTTTATAAGTTCATATTTAATTTGTAAGAATTATAAATTAAAATATATTTCATTGATGTATATATTTTGGTTTTGTAAAAATTGAGCCTACACCAAATAAATAACAGTCAATGTACGTTTTTTCTTCTCTTTCCTGGAGTGACATAAATGTAAATTTCAGATAACTCACTGGTTTCAAAGTGGAAACATTATTCAATATTTCCTCTGAACAACAACAGGGAAGTTCAAGTGAATACATGGCAGTACATAAAACAAAATGAAGAAAAGACATTCAATGCAATTTCTTACCTTGATTTAAAGGAATAATTTTTAAAATTCTCAAAGTTCTTGCAGTTTGAAGCGTTGGAATGAAGTCCAGAGGTGAGTATCTTATAATAACCCTGTGGAATTAAATTAGAGTTACTTAAAAGTCATATTACATCTGTGCTACTTATTCTTGGCTTTTTATGGTTATTGAAACTTATTTTTAAAACCATATATGCAAACATTTCCCTTGATCACATGATTCCATATTGCAAACAGTTTTATTATTGATTAGAAGACAAAGATTGCTACAGTGGAAAGTGGCCAGGTAAATATTAATCTATATTATGAGAGTTTACAAAAGTTTGACACTGTGAATGCTCAATTTCTCATCAAATATTCTATACTATGTTCATAAATCTTTTATCTAATTACTGAAAAGATAGTTACAATGAAAAATGAATATCTAGTGTTTTAAGGAATAAGATTCATTTTAAGTATTTAAACTTACAGTGATGATGATGGTAATTATGGTGGTGATATGAGAATAAAGATGAAGAGAGGATGAGGATGAGGATGATGGTGATGAAGGTATAAGCAGACTGTGTGTTGTTTAAGGGCACAGACTCTGAAGCCAGACTGCTTGTGTAGAAATCCAGGCTCTACCATGAACTAACTGTGCAACATGAGCAAATTATTTAAATCTTTCTTGCCTCAGTTTCCTCAACTGTAAAGTGGGGTTAATAATACTTTCTGATTCAGAGGGTTTTTTGAGAGATTTAATGAATTAATTTATGTGAAGTACATAGAAGAGCACCTGGCACATAGGAAGGGCTCTGTAAGTGTTAGCTAACAGAAACAGCAAAACAGCAAAGATAATGGTAATAATAGTAAAAGTAGTGATGGTAATAATTACAGTGATATGAGACACTATGTTAGATTGCTTACAACATAGCAGACATCTTTATGCTGTTTATAAATGTTATTTTAAAAACTGACCCAAAATCTACAAATAGAAAATTACTTTAAATTATTTTTAACAAGAGTTTGATGCCAGTAATGATTTCCATAGCTAGAAAACAGAATACACTAAATAGAAGCATTTTAAAAAGAGACATGAAATTGTTAGAATTGTATGAAGCATTCCAGAAAATGTGGGGGGGGGGGTGGTGTTTAAGATATGTTATTCTGATCTCTAGCATATTTACTGGTCTTATGCAATGTAGCTACATGCAACGTAGATTGGGAATTGAGAATCAAATCTGCTAGGACCTTCTCCTAAGTATTCAAGGGATTTGCTCACTGATCACTAAAAGGCACACTTAAAATGCACAAATTCAATCTTTATCGTTCTTGCTCCAAATAGAAAGCAGAAAATAACCCACTCCTTTCATTCTTTTTTTATTATTATACTTTAAGTTTTAGGGTATATGTGCACAACGTGCAGGTTAGCTACATATGCATACATTTGCCATGTTGGTGTGCTGCACCCATCAACTCGTCATTTAACATTAGGTATATCTCCTAATGCTATCCCTCCCCCTCCCCCCACTCCTTTCATTCTTATTGCATCTTCTGAGGACTAGGTCAGAGGCAGCTGAGAGAGCTCACTATGACCATAACTTTGAAGTATTCTTCACTTGCAGACTATCTGCAGGCCAAAATCTTTGCAGACGTCAATTATTTTTTATGAAAAACATTTTCTGAGCAAAACATTAAAATAGACTCAATTTAAAGAAATACTCACTCAAACACAGTTACGCTGAAATCGAGCCAGTTCCATGGATCACCGAGGAAGGAAAATGATCCTGCCCAGACACCTCTTGCAAAGAGTTTTACAAGTATTTCAAATGTGTAAATTCCAAGCAAAGTATTCCTGCAGAAATTTTTTCATATAAATATTATTGGTGAGAATAATACATTGTCAACTCTGAAATACTATGTTTATGATAACTAGCTGGCATTTAAGAATAAGTCATCAGGAAGGTGAGACCAGGTCTACTTGGTAGGCCAAAACCAACCAACCACCAATAAATTAGACAACATTCAAGAAAGCAAGTGCTCCTTGAGCCCTAGCTCAATGCTTTAAACAGAATTTAAAGCCCTAGCTCAATGCTTTAAATAGGGTAGGCTGTGTCTTATAGCATTTGTCATGACATTTGACTTTTAAATTTTTTTATTACTGTAGCCATGTAGTATAATTTGAAGTCAGGTAACAAGATGCCTCCAGCTTTGTTTTTTTTGCTTAGGATTGCCTTAGCTATTTGGGCTCCTTTTTGGTTCCATATGAATTTTCTTTTACAGGAACATGGATGGAACTGGAGACCATTATCCTTAGCAAACACAGAAATGGAAAACTAAATACTGCATGTTCTTACTTAGAAGTGGGAGCTAAATGATGAGAACACATGGACACATAGAGGGGAGCAACAGACACTGGGGCCTTTTGGAGGTTAGAGGGTGGGAGGAGAGAGAGGATCATGAAAAAAATAACTAATGAGAACTAGGCTTAATACCTGCGTGATGAATAATCTGCACAACAAAACCCCATGACGCAAGTTTACCTATGGAACAAACCTGCACTTGTGCCTCTGAACTTGAAAGTTAAACAAAAAGTAAAAAAAAAAAGTTCAATAAATCCTAGCTGAGAGGTGATAGTCTTTATACATTATGTAGGTAAATGACAAAAACATCAAATATCAAATTTGCTCCCTATAGGGATTACACAATAATTAATAATCATCATTAAGGGCATGTGTAAGATCTAATTTTATTATATATATATTCAAGGATTTTTTATGGTGATATTGTTACAGTCACCTTCCAAAATCAACTAGTTTTAATAATAAAAACTCAAAAGGTAACTTCAAGAAAGCCTTTTCCCCCAGAAAATTTAATGGGCCTTTCCATCCTTACAGTCCAATGCAAGTCATACTACTGGTATGTCCTAGGAAAGAGAGGAATAGAACAGAAAGGGAGAAAGTGATTTTCTTAATGAATGGAAAGGAATGAAAGTTACCTGAGTTAGAAGCAAATCAGGAATGAGATTGCAATAGCAAAGAAAATAGATGTGAAGCACTGAAATATTATCTTAATCATTAACAAATATTAAATTTATTATAATATAAAATATAATGTATCATAATTCAATGTTATTAAAATAAAATGTAAAATATTAAAAATATACAATTATATATGATATTATGTATAAAATAATTATATAACATACTCTAATACTGGTCTCCATTTTGGCAAATTAGTCAGGGACATGAATACGCAATCAATCAGGACACTAATTAGAATAAACAGTTGGAAAAAGGTAGCTTATAGTCAAGGAATAATAGTTAATAAATAATATTGGAAAAGATATATTTCTATGATATATATTTCTTAAATGTTGAAAAATATTAATCTTATTGAACAACAATGGGCATTAATATTTGTTAATATTTACTATTGTTGTGTATATTAGAAAATATACTTTATATGTATTTTCAAATGTGGAACACTTAATGAAGTATAATCTAGATTTCAATATGACCCAACATGAGATATAAATTGAAAAGAGAAAAATACTGCAGAAATAATTGAATAATAGTATAGTTGCAGTTAATGTCAGCACAGTTTAAAGTCAACAAGTCAACAGAAAAGGATATGGATGTACCAAAACCTTGATAGTTGTTCTTCTAATACAATTGAAAGGAGACAATGTACACAAGATGGAAGCCGCATTGAATCTGAAGATTGTTCTATTTTTATTTAATACTATGAAAGTCTGTAAGAAGAAAAGCGATCAAGTGAAATTAGAACTCAGAACCATAATCTCATCAATTATGCAATAAACTGCCAATCAATCATCATTATAGTCTTGGACTCTAAAAGCCATACTCTTCTTTTTTTATATATTTTTATAGACTAAGTCAAATGGAAAGATTTTAGATGTTTTTATTCATATTTAGGCTTGCCTATTTATCTACCATTTTTGTTTTTTTGAGTTTTTTGCTACTGCTACACCCGAGAAAGTTGTTTGTCTCAAGCCAACCCCTGGTCTCCTTAGAGAACGAACAGAATAGGAAGAACACAATATCCCAATGGCTCACGAAGATCCATTTAAAAATGCCAGAGCTGGTGTATCTGAGAACGTTAATGAATGTTAAAAGTTCGATTTTATTTCAGAGCAAATCAAATGTGGGATTAGGATAGCAAAGAAGATCCAATGAATTGAAATAGTACATTAATTCTTAACAATTGTCTATGAAATAAAACCAAACTTGCATGATATCATTAACATACATATATCTAAACCAGAAATTTATATCATGTAAACCTAATACATTGAGATATTAAAGCATTAAAATTCTAACAAAAAATAATGAAATATCAGAAATATTCTGAAATTAAAATTGAGTCATATATCTATGTGTACATGCTTGTGTATGTACATGAATGTGTGTGTGTGTATATATATATATACCTGTAAATGAGCAAGTTTGCATATTTTTATATTTGTGTATATATATATACACATATATATGTATATATATATATATACATATATATATATATATACACACACACACATTCAGTGAAAGTGTGTATATATATCCACCATATATCCATTTGGAAAAAAAATCTTATTGTGGGGTATAAATACAAATGTGAATATTTTATAGCTTACAGTCTAAAAGAGTGTATTTTATAATTTATAACATATAACATACTGAAACACAATAAATTATAGTATACTAAAATTATATATTAAATATCTATTAGATACTACGGTATTATATGTTATACAGAGGTGATTATTTCTATTTATATTTGTATATATACAGAAAAATAGACTACTTAGTACAAATATACATTCAACAATATTTCATGAATAAGTGTTCTAAATGGAAACCAAATTGTGATATAATTCTTAATAAAATAATATTTTTCTAACACACAATCTGTGAACACTTTGACCTACACTATAGCTATTTTCCCTCTATTTTAAATGCAAACAGAAAATAAAAATTAAAAAGAGCCAAAGTAAATCTGATTTTTTAAAATGTGCTTTTCATGCTATTTTCCAGAACAATCTCAAACTTCACACAAGATGTAATATATGCCATTGTGATGAAATGACTAATTTTAGGTATAATAATCTCCCAATTTAAGAGCTGAAACTGTTTTGTTAATTATAAAAGTATTTATTTTATGCCACTTTTAACAGAATAAACCAAATACAAGTCAAATAAATTGTCGTTTGTAACAGCACTTTTCTACCAAGCTATCCGTGCAGTTCTTGCTCCAGATGTTTCATGGGAACTAGACCAAGAGTAACTCTGGGCCTTGGTTTATTTTGCAAAATCTTTGGTTTTGTCTTCAATAACAGAACTAGCACTTTGCCAGCCATGTCTGTACATGCAGCAGGGTACTCAGAACTCTGCAGTATTACACCTATCCCTACAGTTACTGTGCCATATCAATTATTATGACATAAACATAGCAAAAACTGAATGTAGAGGTAATTGAGATGAGGGCCTAACTTATACTTTCATTAAAATGCTCTCAAGATTAAGCATGTATATTATAACAATGCTGCATAATGCCCATGGAGGCTACCCGAGATACTGCAGTCATTTAAGTTAATATATACATTTCTACTGTAAAATGTCAATAATCTTCCACCATGACAAGTATTCCAAATAACTGTAATTTATTAAAAAAAAAATCACTTTGTCTTCCATCCAGAGAATGTGGTGCAATTCCTTGTCACCCATTTGATAATATCATTGAATGCTCTACAAGAATATCAAATTACGTTTGCTATGAAGCTAATCATCACCTCCCTCGAATTTGATATTCTTTCTAGTTATTTCATTTTGTCAGTGGCATCACCATTCCTCTAAGCTGAAAACCTTGGCATTTTTAGTCAGTCAGGTCATGCTGTTTCTTCTCAGCTTTGTTCTCTCTGTCTCCTTGCGACTTCAGTCCCGGATTACTCTCTGTGTTATTTCATCTTTCTAGGCCTGTCTCTTCCATGCAATCATCATTTAGAAATCTGCTGGGTTAATGCTACTTAAACATTATATTCATTGCATCAGTCCTTTGATCACCATATTAAATCCATGTTGATATCTCCATTATCTCACCTCATATCTCGTAACTTGCAACAGCTAAGTTTCCAGTTATAGCATCACTTTCTCTTTTCCTCCTTCCAGAATCATTCTCTGCTCTTGCCTACACATAGGTCTTCTCTTTCCCTTATTAAAACTTTGAAGTGCTCTTTAAGCTATAACTCAAATTCTGCATCCTTAATGATTCTTTCAGCTTCATTGGTTCATACCAATCTCTGATTTCTAAATGCAATTATTTTTATATTTAGCATTTTGTGCTTGTTCTGGGATTGGACATATAGTAGTAGGTGCCTAAAGTCATTCTGGAGATAAGGAGTAAGTGTATGTATGTATGAATGAATAAAAATGATAAATAACATACGGGTTGTATTTACTTTTCTAACTTCTGAGTAAGTTCATCATATTGAACATTTTAAATTGTTGAGCATGTTCTGGGCATTTTATAGGCATTTTAAAATTGATAACCACAAATGGACAATCATCATGTTCCCTTAAAATATTTCACTTACATTAAGGCATACTAATACATATATTATGAAGTAGAGTAATCCAAAATATACTGCCTAACCAGGTAAGATATCAGTTTTGACAAAAATCTCCAATATGTGTGTTCCCAAAATGAGATATCTTATGTCGTTCTGTAAAATTTAAAATCAGATCTTTCCCTGTTTTTCATTATCTTTTTGTATCCTATCTCAATTACATTTTCTGTATGTCTGGAAATAAAATAATAAAAATGTCATCAAAATAATCTCAATTAATACTCACATTTTTTTTCTTGTAGTAATATGGGTCCACATCTTCCAAGGGCTCTGACACCATTCCTTGAGAAAGGTTTCCATAAATAAATGGAAGCTTTTTGCCAACTTCCAAATCAGGAGTTGGCTTTAAGTCTTCTTCTTCATGGTCTTCATTATGTGTTTTAGCAATATGCTGTTTTATAAGTTCAAAAGACTCTTTAGTGAAGGGAACAAGGCCCTTAGGTTCTGGTGAAGCCAACATTTCCAATTTTGTACCTGCAAAAAATTCTGTATTAAAGTTGGGTATACTAATAAAACATAAAAGTACAAAAGATTAGGATACGAAAAATAGAGACCAGTAAACTGAATGTATGCATTTAAAGAACATATTCCTTAGTTTTGTAGAAATCTAAGTTGTCCTGAGTTTTATTGTACTTAATATCAGACTTAATTTGTAATTTCATGAGTAACTCAGTCTGCTTCACTTATTCATCGTTTTAACATTCTTTTACTGAAATCTACCTTTCAACTTCTCCATTATAATAAAAGAGATATTTTTTAGAAAGATCTTTTTTGCTAGAGATACTTTTTTCTGGCCAAATCCAATTATTTCCCTGTGAGACATATTTAACAACTGACTACACTTTTCTTCTTTAAACTTACTCATCATTGGCCCTGCACCCTACTCTTCCATGTCTCTTTTTGTATCTCTGATTACTTTTTTCAAATCAATTACAGTATCGGTCAAATATTAACCCAAATTTACATCAGGTATATCTCACACCAACATGGCACATGTATACATGTATACATATGTAACAAACCTACACGTTGTGCACGTATACCCTAGAACTTAAAGTATAATAAAAAATATATATAATATATATAAAAAGAAAAAAAAATTAACCCAAATTTTAACTCTGATATCTCTTAAGGGTTTGCCTTCTTCCTCTGTTATATCTATCATTCTGATGAATGCACAGGCAAACAGAGTTTTAATTACTCTTTGCATTCAAATATTTATCAAGTACATGTGAATATTTCCCAAATGCTTTCTTCCCCCAGCTGTCTATATAGTAAATTCACCAATGGCAGCAACTTAACAGGTAAAAACAAAATTATCTTTCTGCATGACTAGAATTACTCTTTAACCTGTGAGCTACTGTAAAAATAAAAACTCAAACTAATTATCTTGAAAATTACTGATGGCATTTTTCTCTCTGTCATCAATCCTTATACAAAAAATAATTTTCTTTCAATAATTTTCTATGATTCTTGAATACTATTTATTTATATATGTCCTTGAACGTAATCATCTTTGTAATTCTATCTTTGGGGTACTCTAGTAGTCTTCACATATTTCAACTCTAGTCTTTACCTATTTCAAGTTATCCTATAGGCAACTCAAAGTAGTGTTCATTAAATATAATTTCATGCATCAATTCCCCATTCATGAACCTGGTTCTTTTTTCACACATACAAATATTTTATTTTACTAATTTGTTCCAGTCCAATTCCTGTCAAAATTTACTCTTCCAATGATTCTATTCAATGTCAAAAGATTGATTTTTCTTTATTTGTTCATCTAAACACTCTTTGTAATTTTATTATTGCAATTAAAGATAATAAATTTTGGTTTTGATATTGTGGCATTTTGCATCTGTGTATTTTCTCTCACAATGCTGGCACTAGCTGAATTACTTCTATAAGATTTTCCCAAGACAGAAATCACCTACACATATATATACTCACACATATGTTCTACTTCAGAATTTTTCACTGTTGTGCATAAGTGAGTTGTTTAATACTTTAACACATTACTTGTCTATTAATTAAAAGTAAGCATAAGATAAGTATTTAATATTATTGGGACACCATTCATTGCAAGAATCAGACTTCAACTGCTAGCATAAGTAAATGACGGGCAGGATATATTTTAAATATACAAAACGCAATCTTATAGACATTCAAGGGGAGGATACATGGTACATTTCTGTGTTATAAATGTTCTGTGGAAAATAAAAATGAGAAGTAAAGATGAAAATAAAATATTGGGATGACTACTTATGCCTTTTGTGGAATCAAGTTTTCTGGGTTTTGCTTTGCTTTTCATGTCTGCCGCATTCTACTTAAAGAATGGCTTCCTTTTCTTACATCTAAGAATACACATAGACTAAAAATATTGACAGTCTTAACTTTATTTGGTTTTTCAGTTTAAGTTCTGACCACATACCTATGACATATGTCTCAAAAAAAAGGTAAACAGAAATATACTTTGACTGAGCCCAGCCTCTGGATTCATTTACAAGAACCAGTCACAAATGACTGGTTCAGTCATTTGTAATCAAAGACAGGGATATTTTTGCAATAGCAGTGGTTTCTTATGCCCAAGTCCCTCAAGAAATGTTTCAGAGATAGGGTACAAGGAAATTTTAAAGGGAAGAATATGTGCTAGGAAGATCAAAATGTATCTACTTAGAGCTGTCTTCCCAGACTAATGGTATAAAAACTCACCTTAAAATTTACTTATTTCCAAATATCTGAGACATTACAAATTTGCTAAGATTATTTATAGATACCATATGCACACATATACAAACATGCATATGGTCACATTTCACATGTTAAACTTTATTAAGGGGAGCCAAGATGCTCTGAATAAGTACAATTTATGAGTATAAGCTACAGATAACCAAGTTTTCTCTTACATATGAAATTTTTTCCTTTAAAATAGCCTTTCAGGCCGCGCAGGGTGGCTCATGCCTGTAATCCCAGCACTTTGGGAGGCTGAGGCGGGCAGATCACGAGGTCTGGAGATCTAGACCATCCTGACTAACACGGTGAAACCCCGTCTCTGCTAAAAATACAAAAACATTAGCCTGGCGTGGTGGCGGGCGCCTGTAGTCCCAGCTACTCGAGAGGCTGAGGCAGGAGAATGGCATGAGCCCGGGAGGCGGAGCTTGCAGTGAGCCGAGATCGCACCACTGCACTCCAGCCTGGGTGAAAGAGCGAGACTCCGTCTCAAAAAAAAAAAACAAAAAAACAAAAAAACAAAAAAAAAACAGCCTTTCAAAATATTTTTACACAGAGATCCTTGAATATATATTAAATAATTTATAAATAACTTATTGATTCTCTTTATAAACATTCCTTACTATATTATGATAAAATATAGTGATGCTCCCAAAGGCAACTGCTGAATGATCCTGTTATACTTTTAGACTTTTGTTTCCTGCCTTAGCAATCAACTGTGACTTGACATTGTCTTGGTATTTTGAATCTCCTCCTTCTATGTGGAAAGAGAATATCGAAATTTTCTGGGTGAAGGACTAAAGATTGTTTAACTTCTTCGAAGAAAAAATTCATGGGCTTTGTGACAGTAACTGGTTGCTCAGGGACTTTTTTCTTTTTACGTGAACCAATCCTATTCATGCTCTACTTTCTCACCATAAGCCTTGACTATTTAATAAGGAAAAATGAAGTAAAATATATGTATTTGAACGTTAGTAAGTCATTTGTAAAATGTCTCACAAGAAGAAAAAATACGTGCTAGATAGCATTAAAATAAGATAGGCCTATAAGGACTCCAGGTTTTTGTCTAAAGGCTGGTGGCCAATGGATACGACATATCCAAGTTATCTATATTCGATATGACTTATTCAACATATCAACAATTTAGGTTGTGATAGAGAAACAACCTAGTAGAAACAAATAAAATCATGATCTTTGAACTTAGACCTACAGTCAAATCCTGAACTCTGTGACTAATGTTCTAAGAAACCTCAGTCAAATTATTTAATATCCCTGAACATATTTTCTCAGTCATAAAATTGGGATTCCTCTTCCAGTTAAATAAGAATAAATCAAAATAATATGAGTAAAAATACCTAGTACAGTGATTGGCACATAATACATGGAAAATAAATATAAATTTTTAACTGTGATAAAATTTGCTGTATTAGAATGGTGAGTCAAATTTACTACAAAAAAATATAATAGAAATACTTGTAAAACTTCAAAATTTGGACTAAAATACCCATCGGCACAAGTACAGTAGAGAAGAGATGTGTTTTTGAAACAGAGAAAATTGTCAAGGGATTTTACTTAATAGTAACTGCAATACAAATCAATACTAATTTGTGTCTGCCAAGAACACTAATATAACCTGTATCTGTGTTGATAGAAGATGCAGGAGGCAGTCCGTCTCTACTGTGCTGTAATCCAAGAACACCACACCTGAAAGGCATGTCAACAAACTGAAGGGTCTTCAAATGGAACCAGAAGGTTGATTAAGTAAAATAAAACAATTTACAGACAAGCTAAAAGAATGGAGAATGTATAGTTGAGGTGGAAAAAACTCAAGTACAATCTTACTATTTCCAAGTATCCGAATGGTTCTAATGTGGAAGAGAAATTAGACTTCCATGTTGTTCAAAAAGGATGAACTAGAATCAATGAGGTGAAGCCAGAAGAGATTTGGCTTGAGAAAGTAAAGATCTTTCTAATAGCTGTCAAAAATGAAATGGGTTGGTTTGGACATCAGACCTTCCCCTTAACTACCAATGTGGACGCACATACTCCTTTACAGGCAGTGGGATGATCCGAATATTGGTTGTTAATTTCAACATCTTACAATTTTGGAACATTTCTAAGGTTAAGATCATTGGTTGAATTTGTTGCACAATTTCACATGATATAAAAGTCTGACTGAAATATTAGCTAACTAAAACTATGCAGCATTGAATTAACAAAATCAGTATATTTTTGATATTTTTAGGGATCCATTCTGATTGCCAAAAGTATTACTAAACTAAGTTAAAAATATTAACCTTAAAAGAATACAAAAAAAGAGGTTATAAACTTCTTGCATGGATGCTGCCATCAATGAAAATGGTTTAAACACCTTCCATCAAAACTGCAAGACCCAATTTGCTAGCCTGTCTTCCTATTGCATAGTCCTAGTATAATATCCCTTTTCTTTTTCTTTTACTACTCCATAAGAAAATAATCTTGGACTCTTCATTTTGCCACCCCCCAGCTATGAGACCTCAGTAACATCACCTGACCTTTCCTCATATATAAAATTTGGAATCCCTCATATATCTCACAAGGTTTTAAAGATTAAATCAAACCACAAAGAAATCCTGGACCACAGCACTGGTTTCATCAGTACTGGTTTCATCAGTACTGATTCTGTCATCCAACCCAGTCACTTATCCCAGAAGATTATTTTAGTGATAATTTTGATGTTGAATCAAACTACCCTGGGTTGTTGACTAGATGAATGAATGAATGAATAGACAGCAGGCATTGCCTTCTGCGATACTGCAAAAAAAAAAAAATGCAAGCACTTATCAAATAGAAGTGGCATGCATCTGACTTCTAGATGGTTGAGTGCAGACTGTTAAATTATTAATCATTAAATCATAATTCAGCAAAATCATTTCTGTGGGGAATTTATGTAATATGGTCCACGCACTACGCTTTCTGGTGAGCCATCTTAATACAGCACTAAAGTCCGAAAAAATATAGAAAGATTAATAGTTAATCCATCCATTAGACTTCTTTCTGAAAAATTGAATAGCTAAAGTAAGCTTTTGGCAATAATTCTATCAAAGTCAATTGTATCAAGTCCAGATTTGGACACTAACAAATTCATTGTACCAATATTTTATATTGTTGACTGAAGTGGAATCCATTTCTGTTGAATGTCAGTTGAAATTTGCAGGAGCAGCAGAAGTATATGGAAATGGGGTGAATTTTTATAGAAAAAAAATTTCTCCTTGAAACGAATTTCAAATTTGAGTATGAGCCAAAATTTATTTTAATCCTTATGGCAATTATGATTATGGCCATGCTTACCAAGTACCATTTTTGAAGAAGTGGACTAGACGTTTCTAATTAAATTATTTTACTTTCTCACATATCTTCCTGCCTTCTAGTTACTCGGATAGTGTGGGGTTTGTGTATGTTTGTTATATTTATTTGCGTAGTTTTGTGTACATATTATGTTGTATTTGTTTTTCTTGTTGTACTGCATTGTTTGTGGAACACCTATAAGAAGGTTTGGAAGTGGGCAGTTCTCATTATCCCTGGCTCCATGCACTACTTGCATTAAGATAAATTCTAGATGGCTCAACTATTTAAATACAAAATAAAATTTAAATTTAAAACAACAAAACTTATAAAATCAATAATAAATAAATTTATCTTTAATAATTTAAAATAGAAATCTTAGTTTAATGAAGGAAAGTGCTGGTTAGGGTATGAAAAAACACTCAAACTTTTTTGATCATATAAAACAGTATAATTATTCTAAGAGGAAAGCTGGTACTGTTTATAAATAAAAACGTTTACACTTTATCCTAGCAATTCAAGCAACAGAGACTTGACTCTTGGGTACAAATGTCAAACCAATTTAGGTACTCAAATCTGTTCACAGTAGTGTAATTTTTATACCTAAGAGAAGAAGTCAACATATATCTCAGGTGCAGCCACTAAAAAAGATTATAGTACATCCTTAAAAGGAACTACTATTATTTTTTGTTATTCTGTAACTATATTGAATTTTAAGGTTAAATACATATAGAATGATTTAAAAATAGAAACAAGTGTTAACTGGGAAATAATGTGTCTCTTGATATCTTAATAATTTTTTTAACACTAATAGCTTGTTTCTAACTTTGTACATAGATAATGGGTTCTCACAGTGAAGGCTATAAAATCTGGCTTGTATGACTGACTGTCATTCATATAAAGAATATGGACTATGGGGAAAGCATCAGCTTAGAAATTAGGGAAAGATGTCTTTTATTTTTTGGTGGGTTTGAGGCACATCTGAAACAACTAAAAGAACAATTCAGAGACTGGAAATATAAATCTGGAGGTAAATATACATAATTAAACTGTATGTATGTGTACATGTTTTATATGCAAATATAAATAGATATATTTATGTACCTATGAGTGTGTATATAAATGTATATATAGTATATGGTTATATAAATATATAAATAGCTGAAACTCAGAGAAATAAAAGGATTATGTGTATTTGCAAAATGTGTGAAATTCTTTATGGAATGATTACAAGGGGAGCATATTGAAAAGCACCTACCTATTATGATTTATGATTTAAAAATCTAATCTTGAAGGCTAAAGATTTTATATGTCATCACTAATACATGTTTTAAGTCACATGGCTCAAATACTATTAAGGTATATCACAGTCAAATCTTGAAAACAATTTGGAAAAAATGACACATTATAAATTAGGAAATAATGATTAAGCATGATCACTGCCTTCTTAGCAGAAAATAAAAAGGAAACCAGAAGACAGTATAACAGTATCTTAAAGGTGTCAAAGGGAAAAGAAATTTAAGACTAGAATTCTACATACAGCAAAAATACTCTTCAAGAATGAAGACAAAATAAATATATTTTCACATATCTCAGATGGACATGTCTATGTTTAAGAAGGAATGAAGAGGATGAAAAGTAATAAATATATGGGAATATATCTTTTAAAGCATAAGTACCCAAAACTGGGAAGAATCCATCAAAATGAGAATAGATTTATAAAAATAAAAATGGAAGTCTATTTATCCAATAGAATACAATTAGCAAAATAATCAATGAACTACTAATACACATAACAATGACTGAGTGACAAAAACATTGTGCTGAGTGAAAGAAGTCTGACATGAAAGATTACAAACTATATGATCCAATTTATATAAAGTGCTAGAAGACAGCAAGCTAATCTTACCTTGTTAATCTCTCAAAATGATTAGTTTCAAGAGGAACAGAGATTGGAATTAAAATCATCTCAAACACTGGTGGATCTGGTTCTACAGATTATGTGTTAAATTTTCCAATAATATGGGACAACTAATATCTCTCTTGTTGAGGGAAGGAACAGTCTAAGACATTAAGCTTCAGAATGAGAGTCAACAGAGTCAACAGACACGATAGGATTAGAAGTCCACAAACAGTGCCAGATAACCAAAGCAAATCACTCTGTCACATCTGATTGCAAATATACTAAGATCAATGAGCATAAGGAAGGCTTAATGGCAGTTGAAACACTAGAAAAGGACACGAATCACTGGGAATAAGATCTTTTTGAGGGTCTCCTGCCTCACTGAGAAATGTGACTATGACAGTGATAAAGGCAATAGAAAGGGAGGTTTCTAGGAATAAAAAGTAAAGCTGGTTCTGCCTGAAATGTTCCTGCTTTGAAGCTTCCAATACAACGAACATCTTTGATTCCCTACCAGTAACTCTGGGAAAGTGGTCGAGCCCCACATTCTAAAGAACTCAATGTTCCCAGTTTCTCCAGATGTTCTCGAAACTTCCACTGCTTTGCAAAATAAGCCTCTAGAATTCTAAATTATCCTTTGTTATCTCATCAAAAAGAGCAAGTTGTAAAGGAGCCAGGATTGTCCTGGAATTCTATTTCTAGTGGATCCAGTCTGTTAAATCCTTGACCAAAAATTCCTGGCTAGTGGCCACATTAGGATTCAACAAGTGAAGAAAAGTAGCCTGTGCTGCTTCTCAGCGGAATACAAAGGAGGCTGTATGATGCAACCAGATTATAACTTGCCCTTCATCCTGAGGTCTTTGATACTAATTGTTCCCCTAAGATGCAAGACCTGATCTCTCAACCTCTGTTTAAAAAGTTCCAGAATTAGGACATCCCTGGGACTCTTCGGGACCTCTCAGAACTAGCTGACCTCCTTGAGTATCCTCTTAATCTGTGGTTAGACTTAATCTGTAGATTTCCTTGACCCTTCATTGTTGCCAGCTTCTCCTCAGCAGTGGAACTAAGCTCATAGATCCACAAATGATACCCTAAATCAGTGAATAGACAGAAGAGTTCTGAACCAGTGTCATATAAGGTCACTCATAAACCCCTAGCACCAAGTCTGGCTCCATGTTAGATTCAGATAGACACAAAACCTTCAACAATGTACCAGACCCTGGAAGGTTGACCAGATATAACAGTGTCAAATCTGCAGTTCCCAAGTCCTGGAGCTTCTACGAGTACAGAGAAGATGAGAGGATGACCTCTGGTTAACACGCTGGTACTGAGAGCTATAGATAAAGAAAATCTTGGTACAGGTGATTTCGATCATACAAGCTCTGGAGTGCATATCAGAAATCTCCTGGGGCTAATACTGAAAATCTAGGAGCCAGTGGCCCAATCCAGACAGACTATTTCAGAATAGCTTGTGCTGCAGCCTTTGAGATGAATCTGATGCAGACTGCTAGGCAGAAAGATGCCTTGGCTGATAGCTAAGCTTCACCCAACCAACTTTATAAAGCAAGCAGACACATCATTACATTTTCTTGTTTGTTTTTTCTCATCTGATAGCCTGAGTATGAGAGATAGAGCATATACAGGAGTTGCTGAGGCAAATACCTGTTGAACAACAGCACTTCTCCAGAAGATCCACACTCTTTTCATATCTTTGGGCACTAGTTTTCCCTCAGCTCTAATGACCTGGCCATGTTGGCATTCACATGGTGGAGGACCTGTTGCAAAACAGTTCTAAAGCTTGAAATCAGACAAACACAACTGGGACATTCACTTTTGCATGTGGCTCCCACCCACCTCCAGGATAACAACTTTCTTTTTTCTTCCACTCTGTCCTCTCCTTTCCAACCCATCCAATCTCATGTTTAAGTAATGTTTCCTAAAGTTCTAGGTTACTTGGAGGCAGTTTGGGTTTATGCCTGTTGTTGAGGATTAACTATTAATTACATCCTTTTTCCTTTTCAGAAACATCCTGAGTTGGATGATAAATTACATGGCCACTCAATCAGTGAGCGAATGCTGTCTCTAGAGAGCCCAGTTCCCATGCAAGAGGCTGCATCAACAGCATTTTGAAACAGCAACTGCAGCTGCATTTTCTTAGATAATGAAGGATGGGGAAGAAAAGGAATGCCAGAAGTCAGTATTTTTCTTCTTCCCTACTCACAATTCCCAATTGTTTCCCCTGTCCCTCAGTTTTATTTCTAGAGCACAGCCTGCCAGCAATGCACTCAAGCTGTGGAGAGAGATTCTCCACCTGTAGGAGATGACTGCCCAGGCCAGTCACAGCCTCTTCATTTCCATTTATTCCCATCTTAGGGAATTGAAAATACAGCACCTAAAGAATCAATCTCTGTGCTTTCTGAGAAACTGGAGTTGATCCTAGGGGAGACAAAACAAATGTTAGATTAGCTTTGCCAAATAGAATTGTCGAATGTTCTATTCTATATTAAATATATATTCCTAATGCATTCCAAAAAGATTGAGGTTCACATTCAAGAATGTAGACCATAGAGCAAGATAATATAAATTAAGAAAAATGAAACAAAAAAGTAAGGACAGTGGATCAATAGACTGAGGATAATATTGCAAATGCCAATTTCATTCCGTGTGCAGCAGGAAATAAGGATAAAATGACTTCTCACTTAGTTGTTTTCAAGCTATTTTGAAACAATTATGCTGTACATCAGACATGGACAACGTAACATGTCTATTGCACCAATGACATTTAGATAGGTGTAAAAACAAAGCAGTGATGATAATAAGACTAAGTTAACTTGGGATCAGAAGGTACCATCGGCATAAGCAAAGATACAGAGTTAATGTGACCATTGTACATAATCTGTATTGTTGAGAATGTAGGACTCATACCTGCTGATCAATTTAGCAATTTAGTGACCAACTTATATTGACATTTTTATTGGTTTGGGCAACTTGACTGCACTTAATAGATATATCATGGCTTATATTTCATCTTTCTCACATTCCATAATGACTTACAGCTAAATTCTCTAATGCAGGGCCTTTTCCCTTAGAGCTTTCTGACTAGAATGCTTTCCCCTCCAGGGTTTACAACCCAAATGATATTAAATGCATTGCTTTTTTTAATTTTTATGGAAGGCTATGAAAATTTTATCATTGACTTCTAGGAAGCAGAAACCTATGAGGAAGATGACTGAAGCTAACGAAATTCTAAAGGATAGACATAAAGTTGCCTAAATCAATAATTTTAATAGTCTAACTCTGTAGAGACATAATTGAGATTCATCTCAATGAATATGACCATTTACAGGCTGGGATATGGAGGCAAAGGCTACCCACACACAGTGCAGGTGAGAATATAACTTAGTGCAGTTTTTTAAAAAAGCTACTTGTCAACAGTTTCTTTTTTTTTTTTTATTTTTTTTTGAGACGGAGTCTCACTCTGTTGCCCAGGCTGGAGAGCAGCGGTGTAACCTTGGCTCACTGCAACCTACGCCTCCCTGAGTCAAGGGATTCTCCTGCTTCAGCCTCCCAAGTAGCTAGGATTACAGGTGCATGCTACTACACCTGGCTAATTTTTGTATTGTTAGTAGAGCTGGGGTTTCACCATGTTGGCCAGGCTGGTTTCAAATTCCTGACCTCAGGTGATCTGCCCACCTCAGCCTCCCAAAGTGCTGAGACTACAGGTGTGAGCCACTGCGCCCGACCAACAGTCTCTTAAATAAAGTTTCATGTACTCTTTGGCCCAGCAATTAAGCTTTATAGAAATTATTGCTGAAGTTTGAGAAGTCATATTTGCAAGGATGTTTATCATAACATAATACTTTTAATTCCAAAGAGTAGAAATAAAATGTCTACCCTAAGGGACTAATAACAAAAATTCTAGTATATTGCTATCATGGAATACCTAGTTAGTTACAAAAAGGAATGAGATGGATATGTCTGTGCTCATACGGAAAGTTTCACCAAATCAGTTACTAAGTGAAAATGTAAAGTTGAGAACAACTTGCATCATTCACCTTTGAATAAAATGTTGTATAATGATTATATACATAAAGTTGTATACGTTAGCATGTGCATAATGTTTTCCCCTCTGGACATGAGTGAAGTGTTACATCTATGGAAAGAGTCCAAAAAGGTGTCAGAGGATTCTGTTGCTTTCCAGTTAATATTTCTATATTACTTGAACATAACGCACCATGTGTATGTATTACCAAAGCCCAGATATGGAAAATTTGCACACTGAAGTTTGAGGAATAAAGGACAGCTTGACTAAAATGACATCAATCCACTTGAAATTTTGCAACCATCTGTGTGAATAAACGTTCTTTAAATACCTCTTGACTTCAACCCACTTGGATTTTGCTTTTGGATTATTTTTTCACTTGGGTTGGTTACTTCCAATTTGGCGTTGATGATCTGATGCCTACTTTTTTACCTGTCTGTGGCAAACAGTTTATCTAGGCTGCTTAATTGACTTTTGCTACTTTCTCCTTGGATTCTGACTGCAGCTATGTTCTGCTTCCAGGTCAGTCCAGTTTGGCTTCAGGTTCTATTCTTCAATACGTCCACTTAATTCTGGACTCAACTTTCTCACTCTGACAATTTCAGCCAACAAATTCCTAGAATATGTTATCTTGCAAAAGAAAGTGGTAAGTAAGCAACTTTCTCAAAAGCATAAATATGCACTGCCATTTTAAAAAATATTTTGTCTCTAATTGATAAATAGTAATTATATATATTTAGGGGATACAAGTTGATGTTATTTTATATATATAAAATATATATATGTACGTATACACAAACATTGTGGAATGATTATATCAAGCTAATTAATATATCCATTATCTCACAGACTTATTTCTTTGTAGTGGAAACATTTAAAATCTATTCCTTTAGCATTTTGAAATATACAACACATTATTATTTAACTATCACCATCATGATGTGCAATAGAACACTTATACTTATGCCTCCTCTCTAACTGAAATTTTGCACACTTTGACCAACATCTTTCCTTTCCCCATTCACCCCCTCATCCCCAGCCTCTGGAAAGTACCATTCTACTCTCTACCTCCAAAAATTTGTCTTTCTTAGATTTCACATTTCTATGAGATCATGCAGTATTTGTCTTTCAATGCCTGGAATATTTCACTTGGCATAATGTCTTCCAGGTTCACTCATGTTGTCACAAATGATGTCTATTCAAAAGAGCTGAAATTAGTTTGTCAAAGAGATATCTGCTCTCCCATGTTTCCTGCAGTATTATTTACAAGAGCCAAGATATGGAAGAAACCTAAGTATCCATCAACATATGAATAGATAAAGAAAATGTGGTATATATACACAATGGAACGCTATTCGGACTTTTAAAAAAGGAGGCTGTCATTTGCACTGCTATTTTATTTGGATTATAATTCTTAAAATTTTTGACCCAGGCATTTTCTGAATTAAAAAAATCTAGAACTGGCACATTTACTGAAACCCTGGAGGCTTCTTAGAACTGGCTATTTACCTCTGCTTCTGACAATTCTGAAAATGTCTGTCTGTTTTTCCAGGATTCCAACCTGCCCTCCCTGCAACTCTCCCAAAAGCTCCTTTAGCTTTTCAAATGTGAAACCAAACATATAGATGTCCATCCCCTTCTCAAATTAGAGAGAAACTAGAAAGGTGCCTTGAAACATCTTAGGGTGAGCATGATTTAGTTTTTGTCTCACTCTGAGTTGGGCAAAAAATGTCCAACATGGAGCCCCAGGGCCAGAGAAAGAGAGTAGATATGGGCAAGAGCCTGTAATCAAGTGCTTAGACCATGTCGCCTCTGGGAGAACTCAGAGAGTGAGCAGCTGGTGGACTGGAAGCCTCACCTTAGCATTTAAAATAGGAAAGACAGACTACTCTACTCAGCACAATATATTCACCTAGGGTCTATGGCCCCCAAATCAGCATCACCTCCTGTTCTAGTTTAACACCAAATGCCCTATCATAATATCAGACCTTTCTAATCATAATTTCCATGAGTGGGGCCCCAGCTTCTGCATTTCTATCAAGCTCTTTGATGTCTAGGCAGTCAGTGTGGCACCTGACCCACACCATCATCAGAGCCGTCCATTGAGCTGGTTATCCTTGTCCAGCACCAGGCTGAGTCAATCCAATTATAAATACTGCAGAGACAACAGGGATATCTGTTTGCTAGGAATTTCAGGATGGAATATAAGAAGATGGCGCCTCATTTGTAATAAACAATAATTGAACAAATGAATGTAAAATAATAATCTTAGCTGGGTCAAGAGATATGCACCAACTCAAAAATAACCTCTGAAGCCCTCAGATGAAATCTTATCTTTAACTTCAAAGGCTCCTTCTTTCAATGTTGCTGCAATGAGACCTCACTTGTCTGGTTGGTTAGTCCTCACTAACAGAAGAGAAGGAACCAACGCAGGAAAAGAAAAGTGACATCTGTTTGTACAAGATTTTCTCATGTGATAATGGGTGACTGTGCATTGCTGATATCTGGAGTGGGGGTGGGGGTGGGCAGAGGTTATAGATGTTCTTCTCACACTGACAAATACTGAAAATGGTTAGTGGAAATAATGGGATCAGACTCCCAGAAATCAAGAATGTCCCTTTTACCCAATGCCTCCACCATAAGCTTTCAGGAGGGAGTCTAAGGCAGTAGGTAGATGGTGAGTCAATCTCTGAATACCCCAGTTGTGACACGTATCTCAACCCAATGAGATCTAGGGCTGGAGTGCAGATTTCCCAATCCCTGAGTAAGGGATTGGGGAAAATACTGTTATTTTTATTTCTAGTATGCTTTGGACAGGTATTTATCCTACTTTGGGAAAATCAGTGAGAGTGTATATCCGCTACCAAACCATCTACCACACGAGGCTACGGAGACAGAATGCCCAGTTTTGAAGTGCTTGGCTCTGCCTCCAGTACTCCAGTAGAGACTGATATGCAGCAGCAGGTCCAACGGTCGTGTGCCATCTGGGATCTGATGACCCCTTTTCCTGAGCCCATGTACAAATTGAGTTCTTTCTTCTATTACTTTAAACATATCCATGGGAAAGAAGGGACTCACAGTACCTATCCCCCAGGTGCAAGATTTTAATGAATCTTTGCAGTCAAGATTAGAGTATTTATGCCTAAATTTTGATTTCTCCTATGTTAAGTAACGGGCCAAATACATTCAGCAATATCCAATATACGTGATGGCTTCATCCCCAGGAAACAGGACTACAGACCTAAAATCAATTTTAAAACTAAAAACAGAAAGAGGGTAAAGCATATTTGGAGAATATTACAAGGTTTAAATATGCAAAGCTAGCCAAAGCACACACTTTTCACTTTTTTGAGGATAAAGGCTTTCAGATTAGAATATGCTTTAAACTGTACAGGTGGCAAGAAAAGGATTTGAATTTCACTTCCTCTAGTGCATTCTAGAGATGCATGTCAAAGCCCTCTGTATGCTTATATTGAATCAGACTTAGAAGGAAAATCAGAATAGTGAAGTAGATAAAAACACAGAATAATCCCTTATGTAATCAACAGTTACACATATGGTACTTTCATAAACCCTTTATATCATCTCTGTCAATTAGTTTTTGTCAGGACTTTTTGGAGTGTCATTTATAAATAAAGAAAATAAAGCTTACTCAAGTTAAATAATTGGCTTAATTTGTACAAAAATTGAAATCAAGTTTTGTAGTTCTAAATCCCAAAGACTTGTTCATTGGACTTCCCGCTCAATTACTGATTTGCCAGGTAGCCTCAGCAAATTACTCCTTATAGGTCTTACTTGTAAAAACAGCAGCTGGATTATAGAATCTTTAATTAAGGCTAGTCATAGCAGGTATGGTGCCCAGGATTCTGTTTATTACAGGGCCCACTTTCCTTCTACTTTGCCATAAATTGCTCTCCTGAATGAACAGCAGTGGGGTAAAGTATCCACAAGAAGCACCACCCAAACTCTTTCCCATTTCAAGATATTTTTCAGTCCAATATCCAAACTGGAACCCATCATTTTCGTTAATGAAAGGGGCCCATCGGTGTGTCATTCCACATGCACTCATCATTTGTCTTGTTTTGACCAATGTTCTAAGTTTTGAAGCTAACACAACCAGTCACACTATCACTTCTAAAAGAAAACCTCCAGAAGAGATGCATTTTATAGAGCAAAACAATGCAAAAACAACAACAACAATCTCTGTTGATCTAGTCAATACCAAAATGCCCAACTGACTAAACTGAGCACACCACTGCCAATCACATCAATGCCTCTACTTTTATACTATCTATTCCTTTGGGAAAATCAATCTTGAAATCTCTGTTATTTAGAATAAGAGATAGGATTCTTAGAAGAAGTGTACAACAATCTGCATAACCTTTCCTCCATTTTATACTATCATTGTACCATGTAATGTAAGTCATTGTCATATAGGGTTTCTAGAATTTTACACTAACAGAGAATGTTGGTTTCAGAAGCTTACCTGATGGAATTAGAAAACTGACGGCACATGCCATGCAAACACCCACAGACCACGGCTGCTCTTGAAGTATACTCTTGAAGTAACTCTCCTAATGCACGTCCACAATTTCAAATCTCTGTCCTCCTGCTGGGGACCCTAAGGGTGTGTATGGGATGGGGCAGGTGGGAGTGGATGGGAAAGGCTGGCAGCGGATAGCGGCTATCACCATTCTGGGACTGGACACAGCAGCAAGAAAAAGGCACTTACTTGCTACGAAGCGACAGGTCTCCACCAGTGCCTGAGGGACCCTTCAGGAGCAGGGCTCCTTGGAGCCCTTTCCTCCTCCTGGGCTTCTCTTTCTCCACGGATCTCTCGGGTTTTCTGAGCTCTAGTTGTACAGAAGCTGCTGTTAGGCTGGCGTCTGTCCTCACCAGCTGTGGCTCTGCAGTAAATGGGCCCCACTAAATGGCCAGTTAGACACCGACTCACTGGGGCGACTCTCCAGCCACTGACCCAGAGACCCCTCCTACCCAGATGTCCAGTGGAGCCGCGCCCGCTGCTTGGAAGCTGTTTTTGTCTCCTTTCCACTCCTCCCTCCCCTCTCCCAGCCACTCCACTCTCTCCCCCGCCCTAATCTCCAGGCCAGTGAGCGACTTCAGCATCCAGATCGGGCGTGGGCGGGTGATATTGACAGAGACCTGCTGCAGATGCAGTAACAGCAGCAGCTGTGGCGTCTCCTCCAGCAGCTGCCGGGAAGGGAGGGAGGAAGAGGAGCGGGGGGCTGATGAGGAGGGGTAGAGGGGAGAGGGCCTGCAGAGCGTGAAGGAATGAAGGGGCTAGGGAACATCCAAGGAGGAGAGGAAAAGGAGCAGCGCGGTGCAGCTGAGGGGGAAGGGAGAGTGAAAATGAGGGAGAGGAGAGGAAGACAGAAAACTCTGGTTCTTTAACCTCCAGTTGTATTCTCTCTCCCCTTGCCTAGGTGCCCCAGCAGAACTTAGAGGGGCAATTGTCAGCCTGCAGCATTCAAATCTGGACATTGCTGTAATTAAGAGTTTGTAATCCTGTTGTTGTGTGAGTATGTGTGTAGCTGTTTTTAGGAGAGTCAAGAGTCAGCTGGAGCTGGCTTTTACTCTGGATCAGTTTCCCACTCTAGTGATTTGAAACACGAGGGACAGAGGAAAAATTATGTTTATTTTAGAAAACTGCGGCAATACAGTGTAGTTTGGGAGTGAAGGCCAGAGGGGTTGCACCTTCTTCCCAAAGGCCACACCATAGAACCTTCATTTTGTAACCCTATTTTATGCACACATCACATCACTTACTTCAAAAATATATCAGCATATGTCTCTGAATGGTAAGAACTTAAGATTTTAACTCAATACCCTGATCACATCTATAATTAGCAATAATTATTTTGTAGCATCAAACATTCACTTGATTTCTTTATAATGGACAATTGACTGACTGCAGGCTTCTCTTCTCCACACTCTGGTGATGATGCAAATGAATTTTCTAGAGCATAAAACCTTCCCTTAGAGCAGTCTGACACATATATCCCTTTTCACCCAGTAAAATTCTACACACCTTTCTGTACATTCAAACACAATATAAATTTAATGAACTTAATATCAAATATTTCAAAGTTTCCATGTGATATTTAAAATAAATAAAAAGAAGTACTGCTTTTTATAATGTGTAATGAACAGGCAGTTGATCCCAAGATATTGTACAAACCAATCACATAAATGAGAGGCAAATAGATGGGAAACTAATGGTGTTGGTTTTATATTCTGAGTTAGCTAGCCATTTTCTTGTTTTGGAACAAATATTTGTTTTGGGACAAATATTTGGCACTACGGTTATATAACGGTTATGTAATATTACCAGGTTGGATCTGAAAAGTTTTGGCAATTATCGTGCCCCTAATAATGAGCTGAGGATCCTTCCTCCCCCACTGAGTTTCTCAGCAGGAGGAACTACATAGTGGAGGGTCTGTTTTCAACATTTCTGCCTTAAGAACTTTATAAGCATATTTCTAAACTCTACTTTCTAAGTATGTATTCAGTAGGTGGGAGCTCTAGACCCCACATACTCTTCTGTGTCAGGAGAGAAGCTGGCTGTATCACACTACACTTGAACTCGATACGCCACTGTGGGCATTAGCTTCCTTTCAGTCTGTTTAAATGGGAGCTGTTTATTGTGACCTCAGAGATGTCAGTGTCAGAAGTGTGGATGGACTCGATGTTTTAATTCTCAAAAAAGTCTCTACATCCAGAGTTGACAAAACCCTGTATAAAAAGACAAGCAAACAACTCTCCCAAAACACACTCAAACAAACCCAAAACTCTTTCTTTGGAGATATGTTCTCCAGTTTCATCATCTTTTTCTACCTGGCTACATGGTAGCCATTATGTTCTGCCTTTATGGACACTCTTATTTATTAAGAATTTATTCTGTGGTTGACAGTCTTTCCCTCCATTCAAACTCTTGCTTTCCTTCTTAAAAACTTTCTCATCCATTTGAATACCAACAACTATTTGGATGAAGCATCCAACAGCCTAACTTCTGATTTCATCCTTAATGGATTATCTTCTTCTCCAAATCATCTCTGCTATCAATTCCCACTTTCACAATTTGAATCCTATTGTAGTTAGCAACTGCTTTGTATTTCTTCTTAGTGCTTATCTGGCCTGTGAAATAGCTATTGCTTATATGTTTATTTTCTGTCTTGTTCCACTAGACTGCTTTCTGCATGACAGCTGAGACTTATTTATTTCCTGCTCTACAATAGCACTTGTAAGAGAGGATGTAATAGAGTAGGTACCCAGTATATTTGCTAAAGTATTGAGCATTATTCATACCTAATCCACTCTATGCTTTGTGGGAAAATGTGGAGATTCACTATAGGAATAGACCATAGATCACATGCAATCTAAAGAACATGAGAATTGTTTGTTGATCTGTTTCATTCTTAAAACCTGGTGCTTGGATGCTTTAAAGCTTCTATAATATACAGGTGTGAGAATTTCCTCTGGTTTCAGAATCTTGATATAAAGCATGAGCCTGCCTGAAAAGAAATGGTAATAAGAAAGTCCAGTCATGTCTATGGGGAATACCAAGGGATGCAGAGAAATAAAGCACTCAGCCTCAAACCTAAGCTATTTTTGATAATAGCCATTCTAACATGTGTGAGGTGATATCTCATTCTGACATTATCAAAAAGATGAATGATAACAAGTGTGGGTGAGGATGTGGAGAAAAGAGAACCCTGTACAGTGCTGGTGGGAATGTAAATTAGTACAGCCATTTTGGAAAATAGTAAACTCAAAAAACTAAAAATAGAATTACCATATGATCTAGCAATCCCACTCCTGGGTATATATCCAAAGGAATTTAAATTTCTATGTCAAAAGGATAGTTGCAGTCCTACTTTAATTCAGCATTATTCACAGTAGCCAAGATATGGAAGCAACCTAAATGTTTATTGCTGGATAACTAGGTAAAGAAATGTGGTATATATACAAAATTAAGTACCACACAGCCTTTACAAAGAAGGAAATTCTGTCATTCAAGACGAGGTGGTACTGGTGTACATTACGTTAAATTAAATAATCCAGGCACCAAATGATAAATGCCACATGATCTCACTTATATGTGGAACTAAAAAAGTCAATCTCATATAAACAGAGTAGAAATGTCGTCTCTAGAGGTTGGGAAGGGGAGGGAGAAGGAAATAGAAAATGTTGATCAAAGAGTACAAAGTCTCAGAATGGATGAATACATTTTAGTGATCTGTTGCATTGCATGGTGACTACAGCTAAAAATAACATTGTATATCTGAAAATTGCTTAAAGAATAGATTTTTTAACATACTACAAAAAAAGGATAAGCTGGTGAGACAATGGATATGTTAATTAGCTTGATTCAATTTTTTACAATGTATATACAAATCAAAGCATTACAGTGTACCCCATAAATATACAATTATTTATTAATTTACCATAAAGTAAAATAAAATAAAATGCAAAAAAGGGAGCTGTGCTTCTTGGAATGCATTCAGAAGGTAGAAGATCTAGACCCAGATGTTCTGCCTTGTCAAGAGAGAAACCTCCTCTATCACACTGCACTTGAACCAGATAGGCCCTGGGAGACTTTACTTTCCTTTTAGCCCATTTAAATAAGGGTTGTTTATTCTTACCTCAAACACATCAGTGTCAAGAGTGTGAATGGATACTTCCCACAGCCTTATTATAGGATAATATAAAATAGAGACTCATTTTGGTTCGCTGTCACAATGCAAGCCTAGATTTATTGAAAGATGAATATAATGTGAATCATATTGTAGAATCCTGTCTTCTGAATCATTTGAATTTTATGATTTTTTATTTTATTTTATTTTATTTTTTGAGACAGAGTCTGGCTCTGTCACCGAGGCTGGACTGCAGTAGTGCGATCTCAGCTCACTGCAACCTCCATCTCCCAGGTTCAAGCAATTCTCCTGCCTCAGCCTCCCAAGTAGCTGGGATTACAGGCGTGTGCCACCATGCCTGGCTAATTTTTGTATTTTTAGTAGAGACGGGGTTTCACCATGTTGACCAGGCTGGTCTTGAACTCCTCACCTCAAGTGATCCACCCTCCTCGGCCTCCCAAACTGCTGGGATTACAGGCGTGAGCCACATGCCTGGCCTTTTATGATTCTTAATACTTCATATATTCTTTTGCAAATGCAGGTTATCTTTTCAAGTGCAATGGGCAATATTGCTGGCAAATACCTATTATCTTTTATTTATTTTTTTAAAATGATACATTTAGGGCCTACAAGTGCAGATGTCTTATATGGATTGTGTTGAAGTCTGGGCTTTTAGTGTAACCCTCACTTGAGAAAATTTTCAACCCTCGCTCCTTCCCACATTCCCACCTTTTGTAGGCTCCAATGTCTCTTATTCCACTCTGTGTCTATATGTACCCATTGTTTAGCTCCCACTCATGAGAACATGTAGAAATACATATTATTTGTTCCTTTCAGTTTTTTATCATCCTTACATGCCTGCACAAACACAGTACTGCCCAGAATCAGTTTCTTGTCATTGTTTTTATGTGTACAACATTCAACTTATGATTCTATTAATACTTACGTGTTTGCTTTCCTTGGAATTACTCTAGAAAACCTTACCACAATCTTCAACCCTGTCCTAAGTTCCAGAACTATAAGAATCTGTACCTGATCCGTGAAAAAAACAGAACAAAACTGTAAAGAGCTGTTTGCAAATAACAGAGGAGAAAAATAAACAACTTGTTTCTTAGGGATTCTCAGAAATGAAAGAACAGGTCATAGATGATAAGAGTCACTTGGACCTCTCTACAAAAAAGTAGACAAAATCCTTCCAGACTATTGATAATTCATTGACAAATTTCTAAACTGGTTTCAATTTTCCTAAGATATATACATAAACACATTGTCCCAGTTCCACTTTTCAAATATGTTCCAAAGTCAGGCATAGTCAATACAAATCTTAGAAAAAAAAAGTCAATTTAACATTAGAAATCAGCAGAGAAAATATGTCAAACATCTCATTGAGAAAACACATTCATAATATAAGTTGGACATTTTATGCCTATATTATTTAATACTTTTTGTTCCCTAAAACAGATTCCAAAAATCATAGGAACATCTGGAGTTTGTGTTCAAAATGTTCCTGAACATAATACATTCCATTACCAATTTCATGTCCAAAAATTCTCTCTCAAGTAATTCCCAGCCAGGATTGGCAGAAGCCCAGGATAGTATATTTTCAAGTGAAAAAATAAAATACAATTACACAGATAATTACAAAGTTGTAATCTGTCACTTATCTGGAAGTCCCATTGTTACTTGTGTGCATATACATGAAATAGTTGAATATGTGCATGCCATGCGCAAAAGTCAGAATTGACTGCTGTAATAAAAAAAAAACTAAAATAACAGTGGCTTAAATGAAACAGAAGCTTATTTCTCTCAAACATATCATTCTGGGTATAAGCAGTCCAGGGCTACAAAATACAAAGGAATTAGGATATTTTCAATCTTGTTGATTTTTCTACCTCTAGTGGACAAGCCCCACTTGCATGAATGAAGACGGATTAACAACACTTTTACATTCCAGGCAGTGGAAAAATAGAATAGAGGAAACCAGAAGCATTAATTAATACGTTCTTGAGTTCATATCTTGTTGGCCAGAACTTAACCCCAAAGACAAAACTGGTTGCAAGGAAAGATGAGTAATGTCATATTCATTTTGGTGCCTATTTCAAGAGCTAAAAATTGAGGTTTCTAATAAGGTAGATAAAGATAACAATAAGTTTGGGGGGATGACCAACACTTCTGTCATGCCATGTCTGTGTCTACAGTTGACATTCTGTTTGGACTGGATGCCCCTGCTGAATTAGGAAAAATATTGTGACTTTCAAGGATTTTAGAACTTGCAAAAGCATAATCCAATTTACCAATAAACCTTTCCTCCAACCTAAATTAGAATTATCAAGCAAGGAATTCATATTGAAGAACAAGCAATTGAATAGTATAATAATAGATTCTAGTTTATTTCCTCAAATTCACTAGGTTTCACAGTTATATTATTTCATTCATTTCTACCACTTTGTGTTTGGTTTAATAATAAAACACCAGCTCAAAATTTTTCTCACATATTTTCCCCTTCCCCAATTATTTAAGACAAGTCAAACAAAACCCAGAAATTCCTAATTACATTTTCAGTGAAACTATGAAACATCTGTAACATCAAAACATACAATATTAAATAGAATGTAGGTGGAAAAATTAAAAATTATTTAGTAAAGTAAAACAAAGAAAGTCTAACTTACTTGTCTGTGAAAAGTAAAACTGGTAAGAATCAAGCTAATTCTATCTACAGACAACTATGACATCTCAGTCCTTGAAGAGACCTGGTTATCTTGCAACTGGACAAGGTTGGATGCTGAAAACAGAAAGTTGTTTGAAAATCTTTAGACCACCAGAAGGCCAGCTCCAACTCACCCTGACTACTGCTCTCATCCTCTACTTAAGGTGAGAAGTATGTTCTCTAGAAAATTTGCATTATAGAGTCTTGAAATCTGAGGTATTAAACACAGAAGATGGAGAGAAGTTCTGCCCTGGAAACAGGAACATTAAAAAGTTTGTATTCTAAATGATGACATTCTTCCCCTCACTCCAGGTTCTTTTCCTTACTCAGAACCCAGAAATCCGGTCCCCATATTTTATATTTCAGAAGGGCTGTTCTAAAGTCTTCCTCTGAAAAACCTGACCTGACCCATAGGGTAGACCCACTGATATTGGCATTTTAGTGTCCTCAACAAAAAAGTTAACTGATTACAGGCTCATCCTAGAATAAAGTCTGCTAGTCCTCAAGATTTACTTCCTCAACTCCCAAACATATGCATAAATGCATAGAGTATCCTGTTGGTTTCTTAGTGATCACTAAACAAGAATCATTGGATATTTGAGGAATGCCTTCAGCATGGCAGAGAAAAATTGAAACAAACTTATTGAAGGAAGTGATTCAGTGGAGGTAGAGATAGTAAGGCACAGAAGAAAATTCAAACATAATATGATCAATTTGAGAAATAAGAGAGGTATATTTATGAAGAAAGAAGAAGATGCCATATTTTAAAGGAACAGAATAGAAAAATACTGTATGATCTCACTTGTATGTGGAATCTAAAAAACACCATCTCACTGAAGCAGAGTATAAAAATGTGGTTTCCAATGGCTGGGACATAAGAGAAATGAGAGGAGATGTTGGTAAAAGACACAAACTTTCAGTTATAAGATGAATAAATTTTAGGGATCTTGTGTACAGCATGATGACTACAATCAGTAATACTTTATTTTTTTTGTCAGAATTTGCTAAGAGAGTATATCTTAAGTGTCCTCACCACAAACACACACCCACACAAATAGTAATCATGTGTAATGATGAATGTGTTGATTAATTTGACCATGGTAATTATTATAGAATATATACATAAGTTAAATGATCTCATTGTACACCTTGAATATATGTAACTTTTATTTCTCAATTAAACTTCAATAAAGCTAAAACATAAAGGAACAGTATATGAAAGAGCTCTTGGAAATTTAATCTATGAGAGCTTATTATTATTATCAAATGGTTTGGTAATAAAATTATGGAAATTATCAAGAATGTATGGGAAAAAAGGACAAAGAGACGGACATTTAACTTTAAAGTGAAGAAATGTGACAAACCCTACTTCTGCCAGGTGATCAAGGTCAGCATCAACAGTCATAAATCATATTGATTGTATGTACCTTTGATATACGATATCATGAAAATCGCACTTTACCTCTGTGATATGCCTCCAAAATCCCGTATCACCAGACTAATAATGAGGGAAACATCAGACAAATTCCAATAGAAGAACAACATACAATATACCCAGTACTCTTCAAAACTGTTATAGAAATCAAAACAAGGAAAGTTTAGGAAATATCCATGTCCAAAAGGAACCTAAGGATATGACAACTAAATGTAATATGGCAAGCTGAGTAGGATCCTAGAACAGAGAAAGGACATCAGGCAAAAGCCAAAGATATCTGAATTAACCATGTACTTTAGTTAATAATTATGTCTCGACATTGTTTTATTGATTGCAACAAATACACCCTATTAATGTAAAATGTTAATAATGGAGTAAATTGTGTATATATCTTGGGGGGTATATGGGTACTCTTTGTAATATTGTCTCGATTTTTTGCTAAATTTAAAACTTCTCTAAAAAGTAAAGTCTAGGTTGCAAAAATTTTCTCCCATTTTGTAGGTTGCCTGTTCACTCTGATGGTAGTTTCCTTTGCTGTGCAGAAGCTCTTTAGTTTAATTAGATCCCATTTGTCAATTTTGGCTTTTGTTGCCATTGCTTTTGGTGTTTTAGACATGAAGTCCTTGCCCATGCCTATGTCCTGATTGGTAATGCCTAGGTTTTCTTCTAGGGTTTTTATGGTTTTAGGTCTAACGTTTAAGTCTTTAATCCATCTTGAATTGATTTTTGTATAAGGTGTAAGGAAGGGATCCAGTTTCAGCTTTCTACATATGGCTAGCCAGTTTTCCCAGCACCATTTATTAAATAGGGAATCCTTTCCCCATTGCTTGTTTTTCTCAGGTTTGTCAAAGATCAGATAGTTGTAGATATGTGGCGTTATTTCTGAGGGCTCTGTTCTGTTCCATTGATCTATATCTCTGTTTTGGTACCAGTACCATGCTGTTTGGGTTACTGTAGCCTTGTAGTATAGTTTGAAGTCAGGTAGTGTGATGCCTCCAGCTTTGTTCTTTTGGCTTAGGATTGCCTTGGTGATGCGGGCTCTTTTTTGGTTCCATATGAACTTTAAAGTAGTTTTTTCCAATTCTGTGAAGAAAGTCATTGGTAGCTTGATGGGGATGGCATTGAATCTGTAAATTACCTTGGGCAGTATGGCCATTTTCACGATATTGATTCTTCCTACACATGAGCATGGAATGTTCTTCCATTTGTTTGTATCCTCTTTTATTTCCTTGAGCAGTGGTTTGTAGTTCTCCTTGAAGAGGTCCTTCACATCCCTTGTAAGTTGGATTCCTAGGTATTTTATTGTCTTTGAAGCAATTGTGAATGGGAGTTCACTCATGATTTGGCTCTCTGTTTGTCTGTTGTTGGTGTATAAGAATGCTTGTGATTTTTGTACATTGATTTTGTATCCTGAGACTTTGCTGAAGTTGCTTATCAGCTTAAGGAGATTTTGGGCTGAGACAATGGGGTTTTCTAGATATACAATCATGTCATCTGTAAACAGGGACAATTTGACTTCCTCTTTTCCTAATTCAATACCCTTTATTTCCTTCTCCTGCCTAATTGCCCTGGCCAGAACTTCCAACACTATGTTGAATAGGAGTGGTGAGAGAGGGCATCCCTGTCTTGTGCCAGTTTTCAAAGGGAATGCTTCCAGTTTTTGCCAATTCAGTATGATATTGGCTGTGGGTTTTTCATAGATAGCTCTTATTATTTTGAAATACGTACCATCAATACCTAATTTATTGAGAGTTTTTAGCATGAAGCATTGTTGAATTTTGTCAAAGGCTTTTTCTGCGTCTATTGAGATAATTATGTGGTTTTTGTCTTTGGCTCTGTTTATATGCTGGATTACATTTATTGATTTGCATATATTGAACCAGCCTTGCATCCCAGGGATGAAGCCCACTTGATCATGGTGGATAAGCTTTTTGATGTGCTGCTGGATTCGTTTTGCCAGTATTTTATTGAGGATTTTTGCATCAATGTTCATCAAGGATATTGGTCTAAAATTCTCTTTTTTGGTTGTGTCTCTGCCCGGCTTTGGTATCAGAATGATGCTGGCCTCATAAAATGAGTTAGGGAGGATTCCCTCTTTTTCTACCTACTCATCTGACAAAGGGCTAATATCCAGAATCTACAATGAACTCAAACAAATTTACAAGAAAAAAACAAACAACCCCATCAAAAAGTGGGCAAAGGACATGAACAGACACTTCTCAAAAGAAGACATTTATGCAGCCAAAAAACACATGAAAAAATGCTCATCATCACTGGCCATCAGAGAAATGCAAATCAAAACCACAATGAGATACCATCTCATACCAGTTAGAATGGTGATCATTAAAAAGTCAGGAAACAACAGGTGCTGGAGAGGATGTGGAGAAATAGGAACACTTTTACACTGTTGGTGGGACTGTAAACTAGTTCAACCATTGTGGAAGTCAGTGTGGCGATTCCTCAGGGATCTAGAACTAGAAATAACATTTGACCCAGACATCCCATTACTGGGTATATACCCAAAGGACTATAAATCATGCTGCTATAAAGACACATGCACACGTATGTTTATTGTGGCATTATTCACAATAGCAAAGACTTGGAACCAAGCCAAATGTCCAACAATGATAGACTGGATTAAGAAAATGTGGCACATATACACCATGGAATACTATGCAGCCCTAAAAAATGATGAGTTCATGTCCTTTGTAGGGACATGGATGAAATTGGAAATCATCATTCTCAGTAAACTACCGCAAGAACAAAAAACCAAACACCGCATGTTCTCACTCATAGGTGGGAATTGAACAATGAGATCACATGGACACAGGAAGGGGAATATCACACTCTGGGGACTGTGGTGGGGTGGGGGGAGGGGGGAGGGATAGCACTGGGAGATATACCTAATGCTAGATGATGAGTTAGTGGGTGCAGCGCACCAGCATGGCACATGTATACATATGTAACTAACCTGCACAATGTGCACATGTACCCTAAAACTTAAAAGTATAATTAAAAAAAAAAAAAAGGAAAGTCTATTATTTAATTTTTTTAAAAAGTCGTGTTAGTGTAGGCAAGACTCATTGATGGATTCTAAGATTAGTGAAAGAAAATATTTGCACAGTCTCAAAGAATCTAGTTATAGGATAGATATTCATTACAAAGAGGAAAATAGTAACTTTATAGTGGATTATCCTAACAAAGTCCAACATAATCAAATGACCAAAGTTAATATCACCAATAATAAGACTTCAGGTACCATGTTTCTCCTGATATAATTCACTGTAAAGGCATCAATATCATTTCTGTGGCATTTTCCCAAATATGCATAAATTTAATATAAACAGGAGAATACATCAGAGCAGCTCAAATTAAGGAATATTCCACAAAATAATTGGTCCGTCCTCTTCAAAGTGTCAAGCTTTTGAAAGGCAAAGAAAGACCAAGGAACAGTCATGGATTACAGGAGACTAAGGCAATATAACAATTAAATATAGCATGGAACTCTGAAATGGATCTTTTTTTTTCATTGCTCTTTTCTATCAAACGTTTATTTTATTTTATTTTACATTTTAAGTTCTGGGATACATGTGCAGTATGTGCAGGTTTGTTACATAGATATACATGTGCCATGGTGGTTGGGTGCACCTATCAACCTGTCTTCTAGGTTTTAAGCCCCACATGCATTATGTATTTGTTCTAATGCTCTCCCTCCCCTTGCTCCCCACCCTCTGACAGGCCCAGATTGTGACTTTCCCCTCCCTGTGTCCATGTGTTCTCATTGTTCAGCTCCCACTTATGAGTGAGAAGATGTGGTGCTTTGTTTTCTGTTCCTGTGTTAGTTTGATGAGAATGATGGCTTCCAGCTTCATTCATTATCCTGCAAAGGACATGAGCTCATTCTTTTTTATGGCTGCATAGTATTCCATAGTGTATATATGCCCCACTTTCTTTATCCAGTCCATCACTGATGGGCATTGGGGTTGGTTCCAATCTTTGTTATTGTAAATAGCACTGCAATAAACATACGTGTGCATGTGTCTTTATAGTAGAATGATTTATAATGCTTTGGGTATATACACAGTGATTAGATTGCTGGGTTAAATGGTATTTCTGGCTCTAGATCCTTGAGGAACCACCACACTGTCTTGCATGATGGTTGAACTAATTTGCATTCCACCAACAGTGTAAAAGAGTTCCTAATTCTCCACAGTGCTGCCAGCATCTGTTGTTCCCTGACTTTGTAATGATCACCCTTCTAACTGGCATGAGATGGTATCTCACTGTGATTTTGATTTGCATTTCTCTAATGACCAGTGATGATGATCTTTTATATGTTTGTTGGCCGCATAAGTGTCTTCTTTTGAGAAGTGTCTGTTCATATCCATTGCTCACTTTTTGATGGGGTTGTTTTTTTCTTGTAAATTTGTTTAAGTTCCTTGTAGATTCTGGACATTAGATCTTTGTCAGATGGATAGACTGTAAAACTTTTCTCCCATTCTGCAGGCTGCCTGTTCACTCTGATGGTAGTTCCTTTTGCTGTGCAGAAGCTCTTTAGTTTAATTAGATCTCATTTGCCAATGTTGGCTTTTGTTGCAATTGCTTTTGGTGTTTCAGTCATGAAGTCTTTGCCCATGCCTATGTCCTGAATGGTATTGCCTAGGTTTTCTTCTAGGGTTTTTATGGTTTTAGGTTTCACATTTAAGTCTTTAATCCATCTTGAGTTAATTTTTGTATATGGTATAAGGAAAGGGGTCCAGTTTCTGTTTTCTGCATATGGCTACCCAGTTTTCCCAACATCATTTACTAAATAGGGAATCCTTTTCCCATTGCTTGTTTTTGTCAGGTTTGTCGAAGAACAGATGGTTATAGATGTGTGGTGTTATTTCTGAGGTCTCTGTTCTGTTCCATTGGTTTATATATCTGTTTTGGTACTAGTAACATGCTGTTTTGGTTACTGTAGCCCTGTAGCACAGTTTGAAGTCAGGTAGCGTGATGCCTCCACCTTTGTTGTTTTTGCTTAGGATTGTGTTGGTTATACAGGCTCTTTTTTGGTTCCATATGAAATTTAAAGTAGTTTTTTTTCTAATTCTGCAAAAATAGTCAATGGTACCTTGATGGGAATGGCATTGAATCTATAAATTACTTTGGGCAGTATGGCCATTTTCATGATATTGATTCTTCCTATCCATAAGCATGGAATTTTTTTTTCATTTGTTTGTGTCCTCTTTTATTTCCTTGTGCAGTGGTTTGTAGTTCTGCTTGAAGAGGTCCTTTGCTCAGGGAAGGTACTTGTAAGTTGTATTCCTAAGTATTTTATCCTCTTTGTAGCGATTGTGAATGGGAGTTTACTCATGATTTGGCTCTTTGCTTGTCTATTATTGGTCTATAGGAATGCTTGTAATTTTTGCACATTGATTTGGTATCCTGAGATTTTGCTGAAGTTGCTTATCAGCTTAAGGAGTTTTTGGGCTGAGACAATGGGGTTTTCTAAATATACATCGTGTCATCTGAAAACAGAGACAATTTGACTTCTTCTCTTTCTATTTGAATACGCTTTATTTCTTTCCCTTGCCTGAAGTTCTGCCCTGGCCAGAACTTCCAATATCATATTGAATAGGAGTGGTGAGTCAGGGCATCCTTGTCTTGTGCCAGTTTTCAAAGGGAATGCTTCCAGCTTTTGTCCATTCAATATGATATTGGCTATGGGTTTGTCACAAATAGCTCTTATTATTTTGAGATATGTCCCATCAATACCTAGTTTATTAAGTTTTTAACATGAACAGATGTTGAATTTTATCACAGGCTTTTTCTGCATCTATTGAGATTATCATGTGGTTTTTGCCCTTGGTTCTGTTTATGTGATGGATTACATTTATTGATTTGCATATGTTGAACCAGCCTTGCATCCCAGGGATAAAGCCGACTTGATAGTGGTGGATAAGGTTTTTGATGTGCTGCTGGATTCGGTTTTCCAGTATTTTATTGAGGATTTTTGCATCAATGTTCATCAGGGATATTGGCCTGAAATTTTTTGTTGTTGTGTCTCTCCCAGGTTTTGGGATCAGGATGATGCTGGCCTCATAAAATGAGTTAGGAAGGAGTCTTTTTCTATTGTTTGGAATAGTTTCAGAAGAAATGGTACCAGCTCCTCTTTGCACCTCTGGTAGAATTTGGCTCTGAATCCATCTGGTCCTGGACTTTTTTTGGTTGGTAAGCTATTAATTACTGCCTCAATTTCAGAACTTGTTACTGGTCTAGGATTCGACTTCTTCCTGGTTTAGTCTTGCGAGGATGTGTGTGTCCAGGAATTTATCCATTTCTTCCAGATTTTATAGTTTATTTGCATAGAGTTGTTTGTAGTATTCTCTGACGGTAGTTTGAATTTCTGTGGGATCAGTGGTGATACCTCCTTTATCATTTTTTGTTGTGTCTATTTGATTCTTCTCTCTTTTCTTCTTGATTAGTCTAGCTAGTGGTCTATTTTGTTAATCTTTTCCAAAACCCAGCTCCTGGATTCATTGATTTTTGAAAGGATTTTATGTCTCTATCTCCTTCAGTTCTGCTCTGATCTTAGTTACTTCTTGTCATCTGCTGGCTTTTGAATTTGTTTGCTCTTGCTTTCTAGTTCTTTTAATTGTGATGTTTTGATGTCAATTTCAGATCTTTCCAGCTTTCTGAAGTGGGCATTTAGTGCTATTTCCCTCTTAACACTGCTTTTGCTGCGTCCCAGAGATTCTGGTACGTTGTATCTTTGTTCTCATTGGTTTTGAATAATTCCCTTATTTCTGCCTTAATTTGGTTATTCACCCAGTAGTCATTCAGAAGCATGTTGTTGTATTTCCACGCAGTTGTGCAGTTTTGAGTTTCTTAGTCCTGAGTTTTAATTTGACTGCAGTGTGGTCTGAGAGATTGTTATAATTTCCATTATTTTGCATTTGCTGTGGAGTGTTTTACTTCCAATTATGTGTTCGATTTTAGAATTAAGTGCCATATGGTGCTGAGAAGAATGCATATTCTGTTGATTTGGGGTGGAGAGTTCTGTAGATGTCTATTAGGTCTGCTTGGTCCAGAGCTGAGTTCATGTTCTAAACACCCTTGTGAATTTTCTGTCTCTTTGATGTGTCTAATATTGACAGTGGGGTGTTAAAGTCTTCCACTATTATTGGGTAGGAGTCTAAGTCTCTTTGTAGGTCTCTAAGAACTTGTTTTATGAATCTGGGTGCTTCTGTGTTGGATGCATATGTATTTCGGATAGTTAGCTCTTCTTGTGGCATTGATCCCTTTGCCACTCTGTAATACCCTTCTTTGTCTTTTTTGATCTTTGTTGGTTTAAAGTCTGTTTTGTCAGAGACTAGGATTGCAACTCCTGTTTTTTGTTCATTTGCTTGGTAAATATTCCTCCATCCTTTATTTGAGCCTGTGTGTGTCTTTGCACATTAGATGGGTCTCCTGAATACAGCACACTGATGGTTCCTGACTTTTTATCCAATTTGCCAGTCTGTGTCTTTAAATTGGGGAATTAGCCCATTTACATTTAAGTTTAATATTGTTATGAGTGAATTTGATCCTGTCATCATGATGCTAGCTGGTTATGTTGCACATTAGTTGATGCAGTTTCTTCATAGTGTCATGTCACTTGGTATTTATATTTTGGTGTGTTTTTGCAGTGGCTGGTACCAGTTTTTCCTTTCTATATTTAGTGCTTCTTTGAGGAGCTATTGTATTGCAGGCCTGGTGGTGACAAAATCTCTCAACATTTGCTTGTGTGTAAAGGATTTTATTTTTCCTTCACTTATGAAGCTTAGTTTGGCTAGATATGAAATTCTGGGTTGAAAATTCTTTTCTTTAAGAATGTTGAATATTGGCCCCCACTCTCTTCTGGCTTGTAGGGTTTCTGCAGCCTGATTCGCTGTTAGTCTGATGGGCTTCCCATTGTAGGTAACCTGACCTTTCTCTCTGGCTGTCCTTAACATTTTTTCCTTTGTTTCAACCTTGGAAAATCTCATGATTATGTGTCTTGGGGTTGTTCTTCTCGAGGAGTATCTTAGTGGTGTTCTCTGTATTTTCCCAATTTTGAATCTTGGCTTGTCTTGCTATGTTGGGGAAGTTCTCCTGGATAATATTGTGAAGTGAGTTTTCCAACTTGGTTCCATTCTCCCTGTCACTTTCCGGTACACCAATCAATCGTAGGTTTGGTCTTTTCACATAGTCCCACATTTCTTGGAGGCTTTTTCATTCCTTTTCATTCTTTTTTTTCTCTACTCTTGTCTTCACACCTTATTTCAGTAAGTTGACCTTCCATCTCTGATATCCTTTCTTCTGCTTGATTGATTCCACTACGTGTGTATGCTTCACAAAGTTCTTGTGCTGTGTTTTTCATCTCCATCAGGTCATTTATGTTCCTCTCTAAACTGGTTATTCTAGTTAGCAGTTCCTGTAAACTTTTATCAAGGTTCTTAGCTTCCTTGCATTGAGTTAGAACATGCTCCGCTAGCTCAGAGGAGTTTGTTATTAACCACCTTCGGAAGCCTACTTCTGTCAATTTATCAGTCCCATTCTCCATCCAGTTTTGTGCCCTTACCGGAGAGAAGCTGCGATCATATGGAGAAGAGGCATTATGCTTTTTGGAATTTTCAGCATTTTTGTCCTGGTTTTTCCTCATCTTTGTGAATTTATCTACCTTCGATCTTTGAGGTTGATGCCCTTTTGACGGGGTTTTTTTGTGGGGGTCCTTTTTGTTGATGTTGATGTTGTTGCTGCCTGTTAGTTTTTCTTCCAATAGTCAGGCTCCTCTTCTGCACGTTGGCTGAAAATTGCTGGAGGTCCACTCCAGACCGTTCACCTGGGTATCACCAATGGAGGCTGCAGAACATCAAAGATTGCTGCCTGCTCTTTCCTCTGGAAGCTTCGTCCCAGAGGGGCACCAAACTAATACCGCTGGAGCTATCCTGTATGAGGTGTCTGTTGACCCCTATTGGGAGGTCTCTCCAGTCAGGAGGCATAGGGGTCAGGGACCCACTTGAGGGAGGCAGTCTGTCCCTTAGCAGAGCTTGAATGCTGTGCTGGGAGAATCCTCCTTGTCAGGATCAGCTGCTCTCTTCAGAGCTGGCTGGCAGGAAAGGTTAAGTCCGCTAAAGCTGCGCCCACAGCCATCCCTTCTCCCAGGTGCTCTGTCCCAGGTAGATAGGACTTTTATCTGTAAACCCCTGACTGGTGCTGCTGCCTTTTCTTCAGAAATGCCCTGCCCAGTGAGCAGGAATCTAAAGAAGGAGTCTGGTGACAGCCGATTTGCCACGCTGTGGTGAATACCATCCAGTCCAGACCTCCCAGCCTCCTTAGCACTCTCGGGGGAAACCGCCTACTAAAGCCTCAGTAATGGTGGATGCCCCTCCCCCTACCAAGCTCCTTCATCCCAGGTCAACTTCAGACTGCTGTGCTGGCAGTGAGAATTTCAAGCCTGTGGTTCTTAGCTTTGTGGGCTCCATGGGAGTGGGACCTGCTGAGTGTGACCACTTGTCTCCCTGGCTTCAGTCCCCTTTCCAGGGGAGTGAATGATTCTGTCTTGCTGGGGTTCCAGGTGCCACTGGGGAACACACACACACAAAACTCCTACAGCTGGCTCAGTGTCTGCCCAAACAGCAGCCCAGTTTTGTGCTCGATACCCAGGGAGGCACACGAGGGACTCTCTTGATCTGCAGATTGCAAAATACATGGGAAAAGTACAGTATCTGGGCAGGGTAGCACAGTCCCTCACAGCTTCCCTTGGCTAGGGGAGGGAGGTCCCCTGGCTCCTGGGTGAGGCAATGCCCCACCCTGCTTCTGTTCGCCCTCCATGGGCTGCACCCACTGCCTAAGCAGTCCCAATGAGATGAATTGGGTATCTCAGTTGGAAATGCGGAAATCACCCGCCTTCTGTGTTGGTCTTGCTGGGAGCTGCAGACTGGAGCTGTTCCTATTCGGCCATCTTGCCAGATTGCCTGAAATGGATCTTGAACCAGAAAAATGACATTGATGGGCACTAGCGAGATTGTAATAAAGTCTGTAGATTAAAAACAAGAACAAGGGATTGGGCTGTAAATGGTATCAAATGTATCAATAGCAGCATTGGAATCCAGAAGACAATAGAGTGGCATATTCAAATTTCTGTACAAAATTTATCTCTAATCTAGATTTCTATACACATTCAGGCCATAAATCAATATGAGAGAATACAAATAATTTTTAAACATGGAAGTTCCCCAAAATGTATTTTATATGCACTTTTTCACCTTTATGTATTCTTGCTAAAGAAGTTATTGAAAGGTGTAATATATCCAAAGAGGGAGCAAAATGAAACAGTTCCTGGTATCGAATAAACAAGGTTTCAATATATGAGAAATGCAAAGAGGCGTTTCCTCATGATGTGAATGGATGTGCCGAAAGGGAGATGCACAGGAGGCCCCCAGGGTACTTGCTGCAGACTGGAGGTAGAGGAACAATGGTGTATTACAGAAATGAAAGGTGTCAGAATACTTGGCCAATGGTTTAAAAAAATACATTTAAAAAGTTATCCAAATATTAACTCTAAGAAAAACAAATATATATATATATATACACACCCATATATTTGAAGCAATATGATTACAGTACTCTCTGACTCAACAGAATCATAATTATGAAAATAACCAGTGTGGGCGTAATCAGTGTCATATAGCCACAGTGGCAGAATGACTGCATGGAAAGTGAATGAATGAGAGGTAAAATGTTAATTTTATATAATAGAAATGTTATAGATAGTATCTAATATGGATGAATTAGAAGACAGCAGTTTTTATCTATTTTTTGTAAATGTGGTAGAACATTACAGGTGAAACCACTAAAATGATTTAAATAATTGGTTATCAGGAAGAGAATTCAGGAAGATGAGAGAGTTTTATGTCTTTTAGGACTATTTAACTTTTTAAACTATGTTCATGTTTATCTTAATAAAACACAAAAATACATTGAAAATAAATATATAATTTTTTAGGCCGCAGTCACACCAATATGAAGATAATAAACAATGTCCCAACTTTTGTCCTGATTGATGCTTTATCTCTTTAATCCACCTGAAAAAAAAAATAAACCTGGAGTAATATATTTCACAAAACAGCAATTAAAGAGGCGGTTCTCCAAATAGATGGTATCCCCATCTTTTCACCTCATCAGGTATGAGAGGAATTTCCAGAAAAATAACCAGATATTAATAGGCTTTTCTTTTGTTAAATCAATATTGCATTATAGCTATAACCTGAGAAATTTCCTACCATCATCCTTCCAAACCCCACCTCTCCATTCAACTGAGCCCTCCGGATGAGTTACAGACCTTACCTTATCACCTCTCCTGCACTGCCAACTCTCTCCCAAAACTAACTGCATTCTTCAAGGAAACAGAATAGAATTTCCTCCAGGACTCCTCCCTCAATATCATAGCTTAGGGAGGAACAAATCTTGAAGGAATCATCAGTCAACTTGAATGAAATGCTCCAGGAGGAGCAACAGCATCTGTCTGCACAACAAATACCAGCTGGGATTAAAAAAACTGATCATCTAAATCCATTATTCTAGAATGTTTACAAACAAAGAAATTAGGATTTTTCTTCAACATACTAATGTGTTTCTTCTGTTTATACAAAAGCATGAAGAATTAATTATTACTTAATCATGAGTCAGGGACGTCTCCAAAAGTATCTCAAGCTATTTTGCCTCTAGCTGTATTTTCTTTTCAATTGTTTGTCCATTTTTTAAGCCCTTAAGGAATCCTTTGCTGCATCCTACCAGACTGAGTTAGCTGGCCAAGTTATGGGCTTTCATATTCCATTTATAATTAAGTTATTAGTTTTGTCACTATTTGTTTAATTGTACCTTCTTCCCAGAGTGTGACACTCAAGGAGACAGAGAATGTATCTCTTTCTTACCACTAGGTCTCAGTGTTTTAGACACTCAGATATATGTTTATTTGTTTTTGACTGATAGGCTGTAGGAGTGAATAGCTAAAATTATGAGCTTTGGAGACTCAAGAATTGTTGCCTATATTAAGTCATCTGTAAAAAAAGATAATAATGTATAGTACATATGTCTAAAGTAATTAGAAAGACTAAATGATGCAATAGGGCTCTTCAAGATGGTAATTACTTTAAAAATGTTACATTTTATTTATTTTTGGATTGTTGATAATAGAGACCTTCAGGACAATCAAAACAATAACAGAATAACAATGGTTTCCAAATATATACTTTACAGTAAAATTAATCTGGACAGGCTAGAGGAAAACAGCGCTGCATTGTAATTAGACAGGCTGCCTAGGAACTTGACTGCTTATTGTAAAGTACAATGAGGACTTTGGACAGGCTGGAGAGAGGTAACATGAGCAACAAAGGAAAGGAAGATTCTCAAACATACTAAATGTTTTCAAAACATTAAAGTTATACCGCATCTAGATCTCTTTTTGGAGGGTTCTGGTCTTGGTACAAGACCAGAATATTAAAACATAGCACTGATCACAATCAGCTTAAGTGCTTACTTAGTATTTATTGATAAATTAGTTTATAATCATTGTTTATAGATATATTCTATACAATGTATTATATGGTTTTAGAAATACAGTTTTCTATGTAGCGATCATATATAGCAAAAAATATTTGGAGAAAGCTTCAGAGAAATCAAGAAGAAATGTGAAGGTCTGTAAACAATTTTTCAGGCCTCCATGATCTGATTATTCAAGACCGTTTCTCTGCCTATCCACCTTTCTTCACTTCGATGACCAAAACTGAGGCTTTTGTAACTCTGAGAAGGAAGACTTACTTCTCCCTTTCTTCCTGATTCCTTTTCTTACCTGCTTCCTCATGGACCTTGCTCAATTAGTTTTCACCTTTTTTTCTTTATTTTCAAATGATACACTATGCACTGTATCTACAGAAGAAGAAACAAATGCCCAAACCTAGAAAGTTTTGTACGTGGTTTCAGAAGATCTGTGAACTTGTCTGAAGTTCATCTATTAATCTTAAAGTAGTCAGTGCAGTGAAACAAACTCCTGGTCTTTAATAGTTGATGTTTCTACATTCATCCTTTTTGTTCTTTCATTCCATTCTGGTATTTGGCCTTAGGCTCTTTCTTCCCACTTTAATGCTTTTGCCTGGGTCACCAACATGGGAATTTAATGTGAATAAAATACCTTGCAGAGGGTACACAATGCTTGCGTACCACTGAGGTAGTGGCCGATGTCCTTATAAGGCACCATATTAGTTTAGCTTTCCTTCAGTTTTTAATTTTGCAAGCATTTTGTAAAGTTTACATGACAAAAAATTAAAATTGGACATGTGTCAATGCTAATTAATTGATATTATATACAATTTTGTCTTAAACTTTAGTACACCTCATTTTGTTACAATTATATTATCTTTCTGGAAAATCAGGATATTATTTTAGGATCCTGGGATTTGAGAAGCACTGTATATAGTTATTTAACGAGATTCCTGAAACAAGAGAATCAATGAATGCTTTTCATTTTCCACCTGCCTAACACCCCTGTTGTATTATTTCCTTCTTGAAACTTTCTTTTTCTTTGTGTTTGCTGAAATCTCATTTTTCTGGCTCAATTTCTCTGGCACGTCTTCTCAAGAGATCTGGTTTTATTCCAGCTCTTTCTCTGGTTTAGCACTGTTTTAAAGAACTTTATACAATAATCTGCATGACAAACACCAGTGACAAGTGTTTACCTGTATAACAAACTTGCATACATACTGTTGAACCTAAAATAAAAGTTAAAAAAAAATATGCAATTTTTCATATAAGGTATATACAAAGGGCCTGGTAGTTGGTAGTTCTTAATGTATGTTAGTTATTATTATTATTGAATTAGAGGAGCAAAAATTTCTCCAGCGTTGACTGCTCTTGCAGTGATCACACCAAAGAATATGAAATGATAAAAGCCTATTGCAGTAGTGGCTATAGAAATGAAGATGGGGGAGTAGACTTGGAAAATACTCCAAAGAAGTCTATGGATAAGACACAATTTTTTTTACATTGGAATTACGCAATGTAATTAAACATAAATTACAATGTGGTTAAGATAAATGTATAGTTTTTAAAAAAGGAAAACAACTTTATGCAAAGAGGAACATGTTTGGTATCTGTCTGAATAATACAGTAGTCACTAGTCATATGTAGCTATATTGAGCATTTGCAGTGAAACTGAGAAACTGCATTTTAAAATTTTATTTTTTGTAATTTAAGCTTAAATAGCAACATGTGGCTAATCGCTACTATATTGATCAATGTAGCACTTGAAAATAGTATGATATTAGGAAGATATTTCTCTTCTCAGCTGCTTCATCTGCAAAATAAAGAGGTACAAAAAGTTGGTTTCCATGATCTTGTCTACTTTCTAGCTCTAAAATTTTGCTTGTATTTCTTCACATGAAGAACAAAAGTGATTTTCTGAAAACTATGATGTGAAGCAGGTTGAATACTGGAGAAGAGAATTAGCACTAATTTAGTCACTGTCATTTATTCAGAAAGAATTTGGACAAAGAAAGTAGAATGCCACTTAGTAAATTACAGTCTGATGCTAAAAGAGGCATGAGCATTAGCAACTTTGGTTTTAACTGATTTAGGAAACATTGACTGAAATAAGAAAACATAGGTTCTATGGTAGATTTAAAAGTTATTGCAATTTAAATCTTGTGAGCTGTATATATTATTTCTTAAGAAATTTCTTCAACATATTATTCAAGGGTCTGTATACAGTGGCCATTCAGTAAACGTGGCTGATTTCAAATGATTTTTACAGCAAGAATTTAGAGACTATATTTCAAATGAGAAAATGCCCTGCCGCCCTCTGGTGTTCAAATTTAGCCTTGTATGCCACACAGTCAGTATCCCCTTCCCTTACTCCCACCATTTCATTAAGCTTTTTCCTATTGCAGATAGGGTGTTGTGCATAATTTTGGCTCAGCAAGCAGATCTATTTTTATTCTAGCTATAGCTTTGGTGATATTAGTAAATGTGTTTGACATGTTTAAGTTGATGCAATTGGTATATCTGAAATAATTCCAGCCTGTAATACAAAATTCAGAGTTTGTATTGGTTCTCTCTTTTTCTCACCTTCTTTCCCTCCCTTGCTCCTTTCCTTTTCTCTCCCTCTCATTAATTACTTGGTGTATTAGTCTCTGTTCTCCTATATTTATTGATATTTTGTTAATATTTTCTCTCATAATAATATATAATCTTATAATAATACATAGCATATATATATAATTACAATACACATATATTTCATGCAATTATGGAGGTTGAGAGGTCCTGAGATCGGCACTCAGACACATATTATGCTAGGCACAAGGCTGACAGTTTCTATTGTCTAATAAAGGATACAGACAAATAAATAGGACTTATAGTGTAATGTGATAAGTGCATTAAAAATAAAGTGTTATGGAGGATCAAGAAGAATTTTTATCAATATAGATGACAGAAATAAAAAAAGAAACTTCTCATAAGAAGTTATGGCTAAGCTTTGACTAATGTAGCAATTTCAATCACAAATCCATTAACAGTTGGTTTGGTTGTATCTGCAAGAAATTTGACCAAGAGGTATAAGAGTAAGGGGCTTATATTTCCAGAGATGATATTTGTTTGGAAATAGGGATGAGTTTGTAAAGAAAAATAAATAAATAAATAAATAAATAAATAAATAAAACCTGGAAATCATTATCTTCCACTAAATAGTTGAGTCTCCCCTAAACTAGGCTTAAGGGAAAATAAGGAAAGTGGAGAAAGAAATAAGTTGGCAGGAAGGACAATAGAAGGTTTTTAAATCATTTCAGTAAAAAATAATGCACTAAAGTGTTTTAGGGAAAGGATCACATGTGAAATTCTAGCAGACTAAAGGGAATTTATATAAAATCAATGCTCAAACTTTATTTGAGAAAATCTGTTTAGAGAACTCAGAATCCCAGGAAATCTTTGCTACACTTTGGGGGAGGTGAGTGTGATCTTATAAAAAGACCATTTTATATTGGAATTGAGAAAAAAAAAACATCATAGTGAGGGTCAAAATTAGACGTTAAGTTCCAGATGTTTTTAAATTTGCTTTAGAAAATCATCTTTCTTATTTTACTGATAATTGAGAATTTATCATCCAAGACATCTGCAATTTCAGATTTTAAAATTTCTACAAATGCTATAATTGTGACTAAAAGAACTTTCTGCATACAATCGATGGCAATAGCTTTTTGGCTTCCACACACAGAGTCATTAAGAATAAATGTCAGTATTTGTAATGGTACAAAAATTAGTCTTGCTGCAATGGTAATGATTTTCAATAGTCCAAGAGTGAGGAAGAAAAACTGAAAACGCATTTAGCTGCTGAGGATAATGTAAGAAATAGATTACTGCTCCAGCAGTTTCTCCAAGTATTGAGGACTTGAGACCAAGAAAACTATAATTGTCTAGCTGAAAACTCACAATTTTATGTGGAGCACAATCACTTCATTTTACCTAAAATCAATTGTTTAAAAATAGTATTTATTTTTTAAATTTGTATTAATGACATTAGATACAATGTATATGGCATTCATTTCATGGAGTTAGTTATTCTTGAAGTCAGAGTCAGAATGAAGTGTGTAAATAATGCAGTATATGGTGCTCAAATAATTTGTTTCTATGAAAATAGCCTAGATTCATTTTTCAGTGGGGCTCCTCTCTCCTCAGCTAGTTCCTTCATTCCTTGTCCATCTGAGATCTAGTCTTCACTTGTTCTGAGGCTGCAAATAATTCCGAATTGCTTACTCATGTGTCAGTGACTTGGGGGCAACTCAGCCTGTGCCTCTCTCACATTGAACACAACTGGACAAAGATGCTTCTACTTAAAGAATTCTAGGCTTTCTCATGTGTGGTGACATAACTAGATCATAAGAAAGAAGCCCCTGGCCTCTGAAAAAAAAATGCAGGATGCTTATTTTTTCAATTAAAAATATACACCTAATTCTGTAGGTTTTAAATCCAGTGAAAATGATCATTTGGAGCATTCTTAAAGGGGAAATGAGTTTATTTAAAGTCAGCACACAAGAAGCAAAGGCATTGGAACTATGGAGCTTTGGTCTGACGACTGTCATTACAGCCAGCCTTCATCGAGCACACATCCTATGCTGTGTTAAAGGCACACAAGGGAAATAAAATTATCATCCCAAGATAAGCACTGAGTCCATGCTCTTAACCTCTAGAGGATAACCTCTTAACCTTCAGATTCTGAGCCAATCACAGTACTCAAACTTCAGTTTTCATTAAAATGGCTTGAAGAACTAATTGAAAACCTAGTAAATACTGAGTGGGAGAGTGGGGTTCGGGGATCTCCATTTTAAGTTTAGATCAGATCACAAGTTTAGACACACGAGAGTCTGTCCTTTACTGGTTTGGCAAGGATCATGAATATAATAATGGAGTAATTTTGTACCGTTAGCTTAAGGTATTCGTTTGTGAGGAGTAGAAGGAGCTGCCTCTTTACACCCCTCCCCCTCCTGCATGAGCTGCCTCCCTGCATTACTGTTGAGCACCAGCCAAGCACCTTCCTAGGGGCTGCTCTATTTTCTCTAGAAAAGTGCCCTCGCTTCATCCAAATATTCACTTTTCCTAATGTAACTGCTTTTAAGCGTTGATATATTCTTAGAACGCTATGCCAAGCGTCAGAAGAATGTAATACTCCTCTCACGCCCGCTGGGACATGCTGAGTGGAGAGTTGAAAAGTAACTCCTTCCAAGTTTTACTAAGAGCCATGAGTGGCAAGTTAAAGTTGAATCCATTTTCTAAACACAATTAAATAGAGATGCTAAAAGGAAGTAGTCATCTTTTATGGCAATAACACAATTTCCAGTATTATTGTAACTTGAATATAAAAGAAGTGTTAAATAACTTGTAAAATGAATTAGCATCTCGGTCATTTTTTTCCCTTATTTCTAACCACTCTCTTTCCACTTTCACTGACATCTAAATGTACTTCTAAATTTATTTTGCAGTGAATATTATTTATAACCATCTAAAAGGAATCCAGGTTTAGTCTCACACCAAGTTTTGTAATGTCTGAGCAGTGCATAGTGCACTTAAGAAATGTTAACAGAAATAATGACTGTACTGTAAGTGCTATAAAATATGAAAAATATGTGTTTGGGTAAAGTTGTTGGTTTTGATAAAGCTTGGCATTAGCACTGGTCTTATTAATATATTCAGAATTTCAGCTTATGTGAAAGATCCGTTATTTGAGGATACTAACCTGGTATGTGCTGCTAGGATGGGTAAAGGTGTGCCCCAGATATGAAAAATAAAATGGTATGGAATTTAAAAAAAAGTCAGAAAGTCAATCTAACAGTATTCTTGAGTATCAAATTCAAAACCAGCAAATAATTTTGTTCATTAAAAAGGCAATGCTAAATACAAAAATTAGCTAGGCATGGTATCGCACGCCTGTAATTTCACCTATTCGGGAGGCTGAGGCAGAAGAATCATTTGAACCCAGGAGACGGAGGTGGCAGTGAGCCAAGATCACACCACTGCACTCCAGCCTGGGTGGCAAAGTGAGACTCTGCCTCCCAAAAAAAAAAAAAAAAGGCAAGGCAACACTGTAGAAATACGGAATATCTTTCTAGAGTATGACAGGCAAACTTGGGCTACCTGAGCACATCTGTCACCACTTATGGCCATGAGAGAGACCAATTCTAGAGTCCTAGCTATTGTCACTCTACTAACTTTATGTAAACTTTGTCCTAACCGTTGCAACATTACCTAATGCCAAATTTTGTAACCCTTGGTCTTCCCAAAACTACCTATCCAGAGAAAGTTCCACATAGCAGTTGGAAGGATTTGGCTTCACTTACCAAAGATAAAATGGTCAAGTGAGACACCTGGAAGTAAAAGGAAGTTGATCTTTCATGGGGAAAGTTTTGATCAATGAGAAGTATGAGACCAGAGGTAACCCAAATAAATTCTCTCTCAATATATATCCTCCTGGTTCGTACTATTTGAAAAGCAAAAACTCATCCTTGCTACAAAGCTGTGGCCACTTATTAATGAACTCCTGTAATTCTGTTCTCCCTCACTCCCTTTAAAAAAATGAAAAAGAAATCAGAAGCTGAAGGAAGCATAAACTTATTTGCTTGTGTTTTCTGGTGATTGTCGTTCCTCAGACCTGTTCCCATGGAATTGCAATCATTAAAAGGCACATAACCTTCTAACTCATATTCTGTTTTCTGTGTAATTCCACCTACTACAATGTGGCTGGCTGGCTGGCTAATGTTTACATAATTTCAGTCGTAATGCAAGTTTCAAACGGTGCAGCAGTTTGTTCAGCTTCCACTGAAGGGAGCATAGAAAGCTATACTGAAATATGCTTCACTAGAGAAAAGAGTCAGAGAACTCAGAATCTGATCCAATAGGGAAAGTTGTATGCCCAACACTGTTTAAAGACTGCCTGAATATTGTTAGAGAGAGATTTGGAATTGTGATTGACAGATACCCCAATTCGGGACTAGAAACTTTCAAAAGGCAATAGAAAGGAAAATAGAATAATATGAAAAATGACATTAAGGCTGCACACCCGCAATCCCAGCACTTTGGGAAGCTGAGGTTAGAGGACTGTTTGAGCTCAGGCACTGAGGCTGCAATGAGCCATGATTGTGCCACTGTACCCCAGCTTGGGCAACAGAGTGAGACTTTGTCTCAAAATAATAATAAGAAAATTATATTAAAAATAAAGTTGAGGCTGGGCACGGTGGCTCACGCCTGTAATTCTAGCACTTTGGAAGGCCGAGGAGGGCGGGTCACAAGGTCAAGAGTTCGAGACCAGCCTGACCAATTTGGTGAAAACCCGACCCTGCTAAAAAATACAAATATTAGCCTAACGTGGTGGTGCGTGCCTGTAGTCCCAGCTACTCAGGAGGCTGAGGCAGGAGACTAGCTGCAACCTGGGCGGCAGAGGTTGCAATGAGCTGAGATCACGCTACTGCATTTCAGCCTAGGTGACAGAGTGACTCCATCTCAAAAATAAATAAATAAATAAATAAAATTGAGAAAATCAAGAAGCAAAAGAGGCAAATGGTTCAAAATTCAGTTGAAAGAAGGACTCTGGCCTGGAGATGGAACTCTGCTGTAGACTGTCATACTATCTTTGCATTCCTGCAAATAACACAAATTTGATTATGGATTATTATCCTTTTTAATATATTGAATTTGATTTACTAACATTTTGCCCAGAGTTTTGGGATCTATGATGATAAGAGACATCGGCATGTAATTTGTCTTTTTATAATATGCTCGTCAGCTATAGGATTTGTCATTATGCTGATCATATAAAAGAATTTGAGTAGTTTTACTATTTCCTGAAAGAATTTAAGTATATGTTTGAAAAATTCACTTGCAAAATCATCTGGACCTGGTATTGTTTGCAGGGTAATGATTTAAAGTTTTATTTAATTTTTTAAATAGAAATAGAACTATATTTTCCATTTGTTCTCATGCTTTATTTTGAAAATTACATTTTAAAGAATTTAGTCTATTTTGGTATAAAGTTGTCCATTATACCCTCATCTTATTATCTTAAACCTATAGAATATGTAGTAATGACCCATGTTTAAATTCTCTCTTATTTTTTCTTGATTAGTTTTCTTTTCCTTTCAATTTTCTTTAAGAACTAAATTTGGTTTTATTGAATCTATTATTATTTTCTATTTTATTGTGCACTTATTTTATCTTTATTATTTATTCTCTTTCATTTGGAATGGATTTGCTGATATTTTCTATCTTCTTGAGATGGATTCTTCAGACTTTCTTCTTTTCCACAATATACCTTTATGTCTATCAATTTTACTTAGCTCGGCTTTAGCTGCATTTCTCAAGTCTCTGTTTTATTTTCATGTTCATTTAGCTCAAAATATTATCTAAGTTCCTTGACAACTTGTTTATCCAATCAGCTAGTCAGAAGTGCTTTATATAATTGCTAAACCGTTGAAGATATTTTATTCGTTGCTGTTATTTACTACTAGCTTAATACATTGTGATCAGAGAAATATTCAGTGTGCTTTTCAAACCTTGGGTTAAGGTCCAAGATATAGTCTATTTTGTTAAATATTTCACAGCCCTTGGGCAAAAAGGTGTATTCTATTATTGGGTAGAATGATCTTATGTCAGTGAGCTCATTTTTGTTAATGGTGCTGTTCAAATATTTTATATGCTTTCTGATTTTTTGCCACTTTTTTATGAGTTACTGAAAGAGGTATGGTAACATAGGTTAGTATGATTTTTGGATTTGCGTATTTTTCATTTTATTTACTCAATATTGGCTCTTCTGTTTGAAGCTACATTTGGGGTACACAAACATGTAATATTGTGTCATTTTATCACTGTATTTAATCTTTTATCATTTTGAAATGCCATCTTTGTTTCCAGTGATGCTTCTTGCTCTAAATCTTTTTGTATGATTTTAATAAGACTGTTTATTCTTTCTTTGGTTAATATTGCATGGCATATCACTTTATATCCTTTTATTTTCATCCTTTCTTATATTTAAGGAATGGCTAACATCCTCTTAATCAGCAATCAAGATTGTTATCAACAAATAGTTAGGCTTGGTTTTCATTCAGATTAGAGAATCCTCATCTCTTAATGTTGTCATTGGCATATTTGGATCTAGCACTATTTGCTTACTCTTTTATCCATCTTTCCTTTTTGTTCCTGTTTTTCTTTGCTGTCTTTCTTGACTTATTGTAAATTAAAAGCTCATTTAAAAATATTTCTATGTTTCTTTTATATTAACTTGTTCACTATAGATTGTGTTATTTCTGGGGAGGGGAGAATGAGTTTTCTAAAGATTAAAAAATGAACCCATGATTTATTAAATCTATTTTAAATTAGCATTTTACTTCTTCTAAGGTGTACAAATTTCTCATAACACTTTAACTCAGTTTACTGTATTCTCAACTTGAGTTATCTTCATCATGTATTTTAAATGTACATATTGTTATTATTGTTTTAAATAACCAATGTTTATTTACATTTCCTAACATATTTATATAATGTATTTAGATTAACCAATAGAACTATACCTTCTAAAAATTATAGCAATTCAGTAAATACATGAGAACCAGAAGAAAATTATAACTTCAATAGTATTTGTTGATTAGAAGAAAATTAAACTCAAGAAAGTAACAGAAGATCATAACAACCTCAATCATGTAGTATGAAGGGATTAATACTAGTAAAAGTATAAACTAGTAATAAAATTTAAAAGAAAAATTAAAAGGCACTATAGACTTGATGAATAAAATTAAATGAAAATCCAAATAAAATAAATAAACTATCTGCGAGCCTATAAAAGGAAAAAAAGGTACAATAAAATTAGAATAAAGATGACATATTTTCAGTTGCAGAGAATGCTAAAAAGCATGAAGTAACTAGTGTCATTAGAAGTACAACATTACATTTGAAACTGCAAATGAATTAAACTAACAAAAAAGAAAAAATCCAAAGAGAGCAATAATTAGAGAATAATTTGAAAAGATATAAAGATTTACCACTAATAATGATACTGGCCCAGGAAATTTTATTGGAGATTCCAAATATATTTTTAGAGAACAAGTAATTCTTATGTTATGTATATTAAAAAAAAAAGAGTAGACAAATCTAACATTTCACCTAGGGGAACTAGAAAAAAGAGCGAACCTTAAAGCTGGCAGAAGAAAAGAAATAACTAAAATTGGAGAAGAAATGAATGAAATAAAAAGAATTCAAACAAAAGATCAGAAATCAAAAGTTGGTTCTTCAAAAGAATAAACCAGATTGATAGACCACTAGATAGATTAACAAAGAAAAAGAGAGAGAAGATTCAAATAAGCACAATCAGAAATGACAAAAGTGACATTACAACTTATCCTACAAAAATACAAAAGATCCTTGGAGACTATTATGAATACCCCTAGGTGCACAAATTAAAAAATCTAGAGGAAATGGATAAATTTCTAGAAACACAAAATCTTCCAAGATTTAGCCAGGCAGAAACCGAAAACCTGAACAAACCAATAACAAGTTCCAAAATTGAATCAGTAATAAAAAAGAATTTACCAACCAAAAAAAGTCCTGTACCAGAAGAATTCACAGCTGAATTCTACCAGACATAAAGAGAAGAGCTGGTACCAATCCTACTGAAGCTATTCCAAAAAATTGAGGAGGAAAGATTCCACTTAACCCATTCTATGAAGCCAGTATCACCCTGACACCAAACTCTGGCAAAGACAAAAAGAAAACTTCAGACCAATATCCCCAATGAACATAGATACAAAGATCCTCAACAAAAGACTAGCTACCATTTGGCCCCAAAATCTCATTACTGAGTATATACACAAAGAAAATAAATCATTCTACAAAAGGACACATGCACCCACATGTTCATCACAGGGCTATTCACAACAGCAAAAACCTAGTATCAACCCGAGTGCCCATCAGCGGTAGATTAGATAAAGAAAATGTAGTACATATACACCATGGAATACTATCTAGCCATAAAAAAATAAAAATAAAATCATGTCCTTTGCAGCAACATGGATGAAACTGGAGACCACTATCCTAAGGAAACTAATGCAGAAACAGAAAACCAAATGCTCTATTTTCTTACTTATAAGTGGGAGCTAAACATGGGCTACACATGGACATAAAGATGGCAATAGTAAACAGAACTACTAGAAGAGGAGAGTGGGAGGAGGGAAGGGCGGAAAAACTACATATTTGGGACTATACTCACTACCTAAGTGACAGGTTTAATTACACCAAGCCATGGCATCATGCGACACACCTTTGTAAACAACCTGCAGATGTATACCGATTATAAAATAAAAGTTGAAAATTTAAAAATAAAAATAATAAATGACAAAAGAATGATAAAGGGGGATATATTCTCAATTCATTCTATAGTGAATCATGTTAAAAGAACAATATAAAATGTCTACATAATGTTCATACCAGGAATTCAGCATGAGGTAACATTAAGAAAAATATGAATAAAACCCTCTATAATAATTCTAGGAAAAAAATATGATTGTTACATGTCATTTATATAATTCATAATTCATTTCTTCTTAAAACTTTAAATGTTACAAGATGCTGACTTCATTTTATTTAGTAAGTGAACATTTTAATGGTCCTATGCTGGGAATATATTTTAAACTTAATACAATTCAAAGATACATCACCTTACCACTATCATTCAATAGTGTTTTAAAATTTACTAGCCAATTGCAACTAAACAAGACAGGGAAAATTTGAAAAGGAGCAGGTAAAATTAATATTATTTTCTTTTATGTGATTTTATATCAGAAATGCTTAACAGAGTAAATTAAATCATTGTTACAAAGAATAAGATGATATGGTGAAGTGATTGGGTTGAGTATTAATTTACAAAAATTAGTACCTTTTCCATACTTAAGAAACAATCAATTAGAAAAATACAATGAAAAGAACAACCCATTGTAATAGCAACAAAAAATCTAAGAAACACCCCAATAAAAATGTGGAAGGTTAAATAAAAATATTATATCAATAATATATTAATAGATTTTATTAATCATTTCATATAAAGATTCAATATCATAAAAATATTATGAATATGTCTAGACTTTCAAAAATAAATTTATAAATGCAATATTATTCCTGTAAAATTTCTAACATGATTTTTAAAAATGATTTTTTTTCCCCATTGAGTGGTCTTGGCAGTATTGTCAGAAATCACTTGACTGTATGTGTGAGGGTTTGTTTCTGGGCTCTCTATTCCATTTCATTGGTACATATGTCTGTCTTTATACAAGTACCACACTATTCTGATAGCTGTAGCTTTGTAGCAAGCTTGGAAAATTGGAAGTGTGAATCTTTCAGCTTTGTTTGTTCTTTTTTAAGATTGGTTTGGCTATTTTGGCCCTTGAGAAACCATATACATTTTAGGATAGATTTTTCTAATTCTGTAAAAGCATTATTGTAATTTTCACAGGGATTACATTAAATCTGAATTGACATCTTAACAATATTTTCTTCTAATTCCTAAACATGGGATGTGTTCCCATGTATTTAGGGCTTCTTTTATTTCCTTCAGCAATATTTTGTAGTTTTCATGTACAAGCTCTTCACCTCCTTGATTAAATTAATTTCATTAATAGAATCTTAAATATTTTATTCTTTTTGATAGTATTATAATTGGGATTGTTTTATTAATTTCCTTTTCAGATGGTTCATTGTTAGTGTATGGAAATGCAACTGATTCTTGTGTGTTGACTTTTTATCCTGCTACTTTGCTGAATTCATTTATTCCAACAGTTTTTTTGTGTGGAATCTTTAGGGTTTTCTACATATAAGATCACATTATCTGTGAACAGAGATAATTTTACTTCTTATATTCTATTTGTATGCTTTTCATTTCTTTTCCTTGCCCCAGTGCTCTCACTAGAACTCCAGTTCTATTTTAAATAGAAGTGACAAAAGCAGGCATGCTTGCATTGTTCCTAATCCTAGAGGAAAAGATATTAATCTTTCACTATTAGTATGATTATCACTGTGGGTTTTCCATATATGGATTTTATTATATTGAGGTGGTTTCCTTCTATATGCATTTTTTGAGTGTTTAAATCATCCAAGTGTTTAATGTTATGAAATCCTTTTTCCACGTTGAGACGATCACATAGGTATTTTCCTTCATTTTGTTAACGTGGTGTAGTTCAGTGAACAATTTTTATATGTTGAATGATTGTTACATTCCATGACCATACACCTGGTCATGGTGTATAATCCTTTTAACATGCTACTGAATTTGATTTGCTAGTATTGTTGGGATTTTGCATCAATATTCATAAGGAATATTGGTCTGTAGTTTTCTTTTCTTGTAGCGTCTTTGTCTGGGTTTGGTATTAGGATAATACTGGCTTCACAGAATGATTTAGTGAGTATTCTCTCCTCTTCAAATTCTTGGAAAAGTTTGAGAAGGACAGGTATTAGTTCTTTAAATGGCCGGTCGGTGGAATTCACTAGAGAAGCCATCAAACCCGTGATTTTTGTTGTCTGGAGATTTTAAATTAGTGATTCAATGTCTCTACTAGTTTACAGCTCTATTCATATTTTCTCTTTCTGTGTGATTTAGTCTTGGTAGGTTTTGCATTTCTAGGAATTTATCCATTTCATCTAGGTTATCCAATTTGTTGGTGTATAATTTTTCATAGAACTCTCTTACAATCCTTTTTATTTCTGTAGAATTATTAGTAATGCCCCAACTTTTATTTCTGATTTTAGTAATTTGAGTCTTCCCTCTGTTTTTCTTAGTCTATCTTGCTAAAGGTTTGACAATTTTTTTAATCTTTTTTTTTCAAAGAACCAACTTTTGATTTCATCGATTTTCTCTATTGTTTCTCTATTCTGCATTTTATTCACCTGTGCTCTAATCTTTATCATTTCCTTCCTTCTGCTAGCTTTGTTTAGTCTATTTTTCTTTTATAGTTTCTTAAGTTATAAAATCATGTCATTGATTTGTGATCTAATTTTTTATAGTAAGTGTAAAGCCTCTGCATTTTAAATATATCATTTTTCTCCAAACTGATTTATAAAGGCAATGCAATTCCAATTGAAGTCTCTGCAAATCTGTTTAAATTGAAAAGCCAATTTTGAAGTCGATATGGCACTATAAATAGCCAAAATTAGTGGACATAATACTCTTGACAAGAAAGAATATGGTTAGAGGATTTATGCTATCAGAAGTGAAGACTTATTATAAAGTACAATAATTAAGGCAGTGTGGTATTGGCATAAAGATAGACAAATCAAACAGTATATTAGAATGGAAAGCCCCAACACATATAGACACATGTTGATTCATAATAATTTATAATGAAGTTGATACAAAAATGCTTTTGATAAAAAATGATCTATTACATAACTAGTGCTGGGTTAATTGAATAACCATATAGAAATTTATAGATTATCCTTACATAGATTTTCTAAAAATATATTAATCTTGACTCTATACCATCCATAAAAATCCCTTCTATGAGTATGATAGACCAAAATATAAAACTTACATCATAAAATGTCTAGAGGATATTGTAAGAAGCTATTTTTCATGATCTTGGTGTAGAAAAGGATTTCTTAAAGAGGATAGAACAGTACTAATCCTAAACAGGCAGATCTGCAAATTGAACGCTATTAAAATTTAAAACACTCTTAATCAAAAGACACCACTAAGAGAGTAAAACTGCAAGCCACACACAGAGAGCAAGTATTTGCAACACATATACCCAAGAAAGAACTAATATCTGGAATATATAAAAGATCATGTAAATCACTAGGAGAAGGGTAGACAAGCAACTTTTTTTAAAGGACAAATAATTATAACAAGAATATCAAAAAAGAGGCTATCTAAATTATCAGTAAATATATGAAATGTTACTCAGTTTCATCTGTCATTAGGGATATTCAAATCAAAACCACAATAAAATACCAGAACAAACCTACCAGAATGGGAAAAATATACACGTCTGACGATACCAAGTTATGACAATACCACACTTCATATTGTGTTATTGGGGAGGAAATTTGTAAATCCACTTTGAAAAACTGTTTGGCAGTGTCCATTAAAGGTTAAAATTCACATACCTATGACTAAGCAATTCAACTCCTTGATATATACCTAACAGATATATAAATACTCCAGAAGATACATGCAAGAATGTTATGGAAATAATATTTCTAGCAGCCAAAACTAGAAATTATTTAAATGTTCGCCAAGAAATTGATACATAAATTATGGTATATTCAAATTACTGCTACACACAACATTTGGATGAATCTAAAATCAACATATAGAGCTAAAGAAGGTAAGTACAGAAGAATACATACTTTAGGATCTTACCTCTATAATGCATAGCAACAGCCAAAACTAATCTTTGGTGATATAATTCAGACTAAAGGTTTCTACTGGGGATGGTGCTAAAGATGGGGCACAGGGGAGATTGCTTAAGTGATGGCTAGTTTCTATATTCTGATTTGCATGTTGGTGGTAGGATTTTACCATATTCTTACTTTGAAAATTCACTGAAATGTACACTTACATATATATGCTTCTATAAATATATTAATATATGTTATATTAATATATATTAGTCTTTAATAAATATTAAATAAAAACCCAGTTTTAGTAACACCTTATCCGGGCTAACTTCTATAACTTTCCAGGCAGGGTGAAGCAATCCTTCTGCGTTCACAATGTATTGCTTATGTGTCTTTTTGAGTACTCATAAAGGTAAATTGAAAATGTGTCAGTTTACTCAACGGATTCATAATTAACTTGTTTATTCTTTAAGGAGAGTTCTGTGAAATGCAGGGGCAAGAATCCTTAAGGAATCATAGTAACCATTTTGTAATCCATGTTGATATTGGGAAAACATCTATGGGTAATGCTCTCTTCAGCTCTGCCCTGGGCTTGCTGTGGTGATCCTTGAGATGACAGGGCTTGACAAAACAGCCTACCAGGAACCTGGGGGACCTTTCTCCAAGAAGATGACACTTTCCTGCATGGTATCTAGTCCCTCAGATCTGCTTCTTTTTTCTTAGACCAGAATCCTGCCAAAATTCCCCTCCATTTTCTTTCTTCATTCCTCACTAATTTTACCAAGTGATTAAAGTGTGTGTTAGACATTGGTAAAGAGTATTTCAGCAATGTGTGATCAAGACAGATTTCTTCATGAAGATATATTCTTCCATGTTTTAATTTAGCTGGTATTGATCTTCCAAAATACTGGCTTCTTGAGCTGTGACGCAGAGTAGAAGTTTCTTCTCTCTGAACTCATAAGGTAGACTATGTTTATTTTACTCTTATTGTTTAAGGAGTCATAAGTTTTGCATATGAATCCAAGTTACTGTACTACCTCTAGTGTATTCAGGGCATCCTCTGCTGAAGTACTGTTTACCAGTGTCTGATCCTGCCGGCCTTTACACAAATGGCAGCATTTTTGTGCTTTTTAAATACTTTCCATCTGTCTCCTATTACAAGAGCTTGTTGTTCTCTTCACCCAAATTCTGTTTCTCCTTCTCTTTGCACAGAATTAACTACAAATTTCTTCAGTCTCTAGTACAAAAAAGCCCTAACTTTATTCAATTCCATACCATCGGCTACATCTCCAGAGACCTGGTCTTAAACAGCAAAGCAGCAAGATGGTTTTAGAGTCATCCAGGCATGTTTAATATTGACCTTATCATTCCAGCCAAGAAAAGCTCCTACTGCTTTAGAAATTGGGTTTCCAAGCAGGATGAAAATATTGTTTAGTTTGCAAATTTACAGAAAAGTTTCTCTTTCTCTAGGTAATAAGAATAAAGAACAAAGGAGAAAAAAATGTACAGAATACTTTATGTCTTTTACCTTGATAAACATTTTCCCCCAAATCACAACTCAAGTCTGGCCAACTTGCGTGCCTGTCAACAGTAAATTTCAGTGTCATGTATTCATAGCTAATCAGTACTCTTTTCTTCTCTTTAGGTTGATATTTTAACCCTAGATAAACTCTGCTTTCATTTTGAAAACAAATTTGTTATAGAGGCAAAAATAAATCCCAAACCAGTTTCTAGTTCCCTCTGGTCTATCCAGGAATACAACTGTTATATAACCAACTAGTTACTTAAGCCAGAAACTTTGGAATTGTTATGGTTCTTTCCTCTCCTTGATCCTCACGACTATTCCATTATTACTAATGGAACCTATTGATTTCATGCTTAAATAGCTTTCAAGTCCATATACTCACCCAGACTTGCAATATCGCTATCCTACTCCATGCTACTAGCAGTGTTCACTTGGAGTAATGCAATGGCTTCCTAATACAAGGGTCCCTAGTAGCTAGAAAGAGCAAGGAAACAGATTTTCTCGAGTCTCCCAAGGGGAGTAGCTCTGTGCACACCTTGGTCCATCCACATATTCTCTTCCATTTCAAGCAGTTGGAGAAAAAATGTTTTCACAGTACCTAAAAGACAGATTACATCAACCCATTTGTCCTAAAAATAAATATCAAAATCCTTAATGCAACTTGCATGGCTCTACCTAGTCTGACATCTTTCTACCCTTCTAGTCTCTGGTCACTCCAGAACCCGCCTCACTGAATGCATCCCAGCCACATACGCCTTCCTGCAGCTCCTAGAACAAGCTGTGCTGCCTCTCTCATTCATCCTTCAGAGCCCAGAGAAAGCTTTGTTGACCACCCTGAGTAGATCAAGCTCCCCTACTCTTTCAATTATAGCAGTTGCCACATTAGTAGTTTAATGTGTTTAGTAATTTAATTTGATGAATTATTTAAAGAATTTTTGTCACTTTTTCTGAACAGAAACTAAATACTGACAGGAACTTAGTTGTTTTTTCATTCATGATTATCTCAAGTACCTAGCACCGAATGTGACTCATGGCTTTTAGCTCATTAAGAATTTGATGAATGAATGAATGAAAAAATAATCATCTAGCCTGTGTAAATAAATAAAAGCATTTTAATCTTGGCTACATTCTCTTAAAAATTCTAAAGGCTTGAAATATTAGTATGACATTTTCTTTAAAATTATTTTTGATATTTCTTATACTTCTCCATTTCTTCTCTCCCTTTTCTTCTCTCCCAAGAAAATCTGTGCCCAGCCAAAATAAATCCCACTAGCTTTTCTTCTTCCCCAGCGTTTTCTTGCATTGGCTTACTTATTAGAATAAGTATGATGCTTTCTGGTTAGAAGATAATCTTTATAGAAATAAGTGAGAGCTGGGAAGAAATAATGGTTAACATCTACTGAGGGCTTCTTATGTGTCAGACACTGGTTTAAACACTTTATATGCGTTGGCTTATTTAAACTTCAAAACAACCCATTAGGTTAATGCTAAGACAATTCCCATTTTATTGAGGAAAAAATGTGAAGCCCAAAAGAGTTAGTAACTTGTCAAGATCTTAAGGATGATAAATGGTTGAGACCCTGTCTGAGCCTGGAAAGTCAGGGTTCACTGTCAATGATCTTCATCACTTAGTAACACATTGTCACCTCCCTAAAGCAACAAAACACTTATCATTGGGAGTGATCGTGGAATAGGCTGTGGAAATGCATGCATTTACAGTTTTTTTGTGTGTGTATTATACTGCCTCCCTCCCTCTGCTCAGTGTTTATCACAAACCCTTTCCAGGCCAATAAAAAACCAGTAGAATGAACTATTAAATGAAATAATTGATTACCCAATGAGTCAGTCAGTTAAGTGGTACAATTTAAGGAGTTGAAGCAAAAAAGTGACCGATAAACAATGTGTGTTAGGAAGAATAACCCATAGGATAGATTGTAGAGGCAGCCTTGAAAAACACTAGTGTCTAGACACATGATATGGAGTAAAGGCATTTAGAATAGAATATAATCATGAAACTGGATAGAGAGACACCCTTTACAGAATGTATTAAATGTGAAGTTTTTAACTATTCTTTCTTTTACTTCCATTTACATAGCCATAGAAGGACACATAAGGTAGTTATTAAAAAACGGGAAGAAAATTTACGTCTATATAAGTTGTTTAACTATCTCATGGCCCAGATTAGAAAGTTACTGTCTAGAAAAAGTCTGGCTTCTGCCTTAACTGAACTTATTTCTCACTTAACATCTCACAGGAATTACAGTAACCTCTCTCACTGTAGTTTCAGTGATAAGAAAGGAATTTAAATTGTTTCCAAAAGGGTCTTTCTCTCTTTACATTCATCTTTCTTTCTCTTCTCCAAACCGTATTAAATTTATTCTCAAGTTTCTAAATTCTACTCTGGTAATCAGAATAATGCTCCCCCTGGAGATGTCCACCTTGCAATCCTCAGAACCTGTCAATATGTTATTTGTCTAGAAAAAATGGTCTTTGCAGATATAATTACATTAAGGATCTTGAGATGGGGAAAGTGTTTTGGATTGGATGGGTTGGCCCAATATAATCGCAAGGGTTCTTATAAAAGGGAGACAGGGATGTCAGAGCCAGAGTCAGTGTTTCGGAGATGATACTGTTGTCTTTGAAAATGTAGTAAGGGGCCATAAGCCAATGAATGCAGAAGGCACCTAGTAGCTGGATAGCGCAAGAAAGCAGATGATTCTCTATAGTCTCCGAAAGGTTGCAGCCCTGTGCACACCTTGATTTGCAGGATTTCTGACCTCCGGAATTGTAAAATAATAAATTTGTGTTGCTTTAAGTGATTAAATTTCTAGAAATTTGCTACAACAGCAATAGGAATCTAATATCTCTGTGGTATGTCTATAATAATTTTTTTTGTGTTTTAAGGTTGGCAAAGGAAAAAGGAACTAGTGTTGATTCACCCCAAAGTGTCAATTATTTTGCTTTTGCTGAGGCAAAGGACAATCGAAGCAACTCTTGAAACATTCTAAGGTTAAAAATATTCAGTTTTTTTTTTCTTTCAGAGTCACTTTAAGTGGCTTCAATATATTTTAGTTTTTCAAACTGGATTAGTCCTGGAGGAGTAAGAAATTGATAGTGAGAAGAGGACGAGGAGGCAAATGTAGATGTGAATACATGCAGACTTGATTTAGATATATGCATAATTTATAAAGTACCAGTTTGTAAATTACCAATTTTCCTATTCCATTGTCTAAGATTGTCAGAAGAAATGACAATAGCCCCAGAGAGTTTACAATACATAAAAGTAAGCTGGGTGCAGTAGTGAATGCCTTTAATCTTAGCACTTTTGGAGGCTGAGGTGGGCGGGTCCTTTGAGCTCAGGAGTTTGAGACTGGCCCGGGGAACACAGCGAAATCCTGTCTATACAAAAAAAACACAAATTAGTTGGGCATGGTGGTGCTTGCCTGTAGTCCCAGCCATTCAGGAGGCTGAGGTGGGAGGATCGCTTGACCAGGGAGGTGAAGACTGCAGTGAGCTGTGTGTGACAGTCTGGGTAACAGAGCAAGACCCCGTCTTACACATACACACAAAAGTATGTATCTGTTTGATAATAAATCTTACTACATAAAAGACATTCTGGAATCATATCATTCAAACTTTGCTAGTAAATTAGAACCAATGTTTACATTTTTCTCTGTATTAATTACTCCCTTTTATGCATATCCTAAACTAGGATTTTCACTTCAAATTGTTTTCCACCAATATCCCTACTTGTAATCTAAATATTTGATTTCTTGGTTGTGTTGAATTGATAGATGTTTATCTTTTCCCATTTATTGTACAGTTAACCTCTTTCTCGCTACTACCCAAAACCTTTGCAAGGTTGATTGAATATATATTTACATAATATTGGAAAGGATTTATGTCTTGGTATAATTTAATATCAAAATACAACAGATAGGAAAAGTATCCTATATTCTTTATATAATATTACTAATGCTATGCAGATAAATTGGGAATAATTTCAAAGTATCTTCTGACTGTACCTGTTAAATGATGTGTGATTAGCAAGTTTTAATCCTCAAAGTAATTTAAGAAACAAACCTACCTGCCAGACATCACTTTCACCTCCATTACACTTACTCAGGGAGAATTCTCACAACCCAAATAAAGTTTTGCTTTCCCAGAAGCTGCAGAGTACAAACTGATGGGCTGTGATCTCACTAGATGATCCCAAGAGAATCTGTTATTCCTGCCTGATAGTATGAAAGCATAGACCTTATGAGTATCTCAAGTCATAGATTTAAGCAAGACCTCTAGAATCTAGAACCTAAAAGAAGGAGCAGGTATCCATTTAAAATGTCCCAGACAAATGAGCCTTTTTACCTTATCTCAGTTACCTCCTGCCACCATTTTTTCAGTTAAGAATGTGTCTTTGTGCTTGTGTTATTCTTCTGATGTACAGTTGAACATTTGCACTGGATGAAAACAAGAATTGGTAGCCATTCTTCCTTTAATGCGTTTGTTCTTACATCAATCATCACTTTATAGTTAGACTTCGTTATGTTAAACCATTCATTTAAGGGGTGACTACCGCTGACCCACTTGTAATTCATTCCACAGTCTTTTGAAATTTCACATTGTCTCTTTAGGTTCAGTTCCAGTCCATTTCATGGTCAGACTGTAATGTCTTAGTCTCCCATGAGCTTCATTATAGGCCATCATTTAAAAAGTCCTCTTAAAGAGTTGTCAAATAGAGAGGAAAACAGCATGTTTTAGAGTTACTCAGCTTTTGCGTATACTCTAGGCAGATGGTAACATTCCAGAAACAATCTGGACTTGTGTTCAAGTAGCCTTGGGCACTTACTATAGTTTCTATGGTTCCTATAATCAGGGGGTTTGAGTGACTTTAATTAATCACTCTTTCTGCCTTTGGGAATTTAACCAGTTGAAGCCTGACAAAGAACCAGGAAGTATTAAAACAGGCTCAGAATTCTTACAGTAAAGCTGGATTGATGATTACGAGAGGGTCTTGCTACCTTTATTTTGAGACAAGAACTTGACATCCTCCCCTCTCTGACCTGTCCACCGTATTGCAGGTAGATATGCAAGACCTAAAAGAGACCCTGCTTCTTTAGCCTACGTCATGGAAATTACAAGCATGAGTATTTGCTGTGTCTGGACACAGTTCTCTTCAAAGCATGAGAGAGAATTGGGTCCATGCTGCCTGGATTATAATGCTGGGGTCCTACACTCATGGCAATGTGATTCATGGAATGGCAGATTCTCAACTGGCTTCTCACTTCTTCTACCATGGGACAAGGCAGGAAAGGAGGATGGGAAGAAGTACACCTTACTGGGAAGTGGAGTGGAGATGCCTCCAAAGAAAAATGGATAAGAGAAATAATCCCCTGCTCCCAGGAAAATACCCTTATGTGCCAGACGTATGACACTCTGGACTTCGCAGTATTTCTATAGAGCTGTTAGAAGTTGTTCTAGTACTGCCACCTTTCAGCTACAACTTTGGGTAAATATATTCTATTAGGGTTCTCCAGTGGGACAGAACTAATAGGATATATGTATATATGAAAGGGAGATTTTTAAGGAGAATTCACTCATATGATCATAAAGGGAAGTCCCACAATAGGCCATCTGCAACTTGAGGAGGTAGGAAGCCAGTAGTGGCTCAGCCTGAGTCCAAAAGTCTCAAAAGCAGGGAAGCTGACAGTGCAGGCTTCAGTCTGTGGCCAAAGGCCTGAGAACCCCTTGCAAACCACTAGTGTAAGTCCAAGAGTCCAAAGGCCAAAAAACCTGGAGTCTTATTTCCAAGGTCGGGGAAGTATTCAGCATGGAAAAAAGATGAAAGCCAGAAGACTCAGCAAGCCAGCTTATCCCATCTTCTCCTGCCTGCTTTGTTCTAGTCATGCTGACAGCCAATTGGATGGTGCCCACCCACATTGAGGGTGGGTCGTACTCTCCCAGTGCACTGACTCACAAACACACCAAGAAACAATACTTTACCAGCTATCTAAGCATCCTTCAATCCAATCAAGGTGATACCTGATATTAACCATCACATATCTTAAGTATCTAAACCCCAGTTTCTTCACCTGGAAAATGGCAATAATACTGGTAGGGTTGATGCGGATATTATTATTTTATTAATTTAAATAGGTTTTCCGGGAACAGGTGGTGTTTGCTTACATGGATAAGTTCTTTAGTGGTGGTTTCTGAGATTTTGGTGCACCCATCACCTGAGCAGTGTACATTGTACCCAATGTGTAGTCTTTATCCCTCACCCCACTCCCACCCTTTTCCACAAGTCCCCAAAGTCCACTGTATCTTATGCTTTTGCATCCTCACAGATTAGCTCCCACTTAAGTGTAAGAACATACGATGTTTGGTTTTCTATTCCTGAGTTACATCTCCAATTCCATCCAGGTTGCTGCAAATGTCATTATTTCATTACTTTTTATGCATGAGTAGAATTCCATGCTCTCTCTCTCTCTCCATATATATATAGCTACATATATATAATTATATATACAATAGAAATATATATAACTCAAATGTTAATCTCTTTTGGCAACGCCCTCACAAACACACCAAGAAACAATACTTTACCAGCTATCTAAGCATCCTTCAATCCAATCAAGTTGACACCTGATAGGAATGTGACATATATAGCTATATACATTTATATAATTATATATAGCTATATATGAAGATATATAAAGACATGTGACATATATAGCTATATATATATAATTTAATATATATCATATTTCTTTATCCACTTGTTGATTGATGGGCATTTGGGCTGGTTCCATAATTTGCAATTGCAAATTGTGCTGCTACAAATAAGTGTGTGCAAGTATCTTTTTTGTATAATGATTTTTCCTCCGGGTAGATACCCAGGAATGGGATTGCTGGATCAAACGGTAGACCTACTTTTAGTTCTGTAAGGAATCTCCACATTGTTTTCCACAGTGCTTGTACTAGTTTACATTCCCACTAATGGTGTAAAAGTGTTCCCTTTTTACCACATCCACACCAGCATTTATCACTTTTTGATTTTTTGATTACGGTCATTCTTGCAGGAGTAAGGTGGTATTGTATGATGGTTTTGATTTGCATTTCTCTGATCATTAGCGATGTTGAACATTTTTTCATATGTTTGTTGGCCATTTGTATATTTTCTTTTGAGAATCGTCTATGCATGTCCTTAGCCCACTTTTTAATGGGATTGTTTGGATTTTTTCTTGCTGATTTGTTCCTTGTAGATTCTGGATATTAGTCCTTTGTCACAAGCATAGATTGTGAAGATTTTCTTCCACACTGTGGGTTGTCTATTTACTCTGTGGACTGTTTCTTTTGCTGTACAGAAGCTTTTAAGTTTACTTAAGTACCATCTATTTATCTTTGTTTTTGTTGCATTTGCATTTGGGTTCTTGGTAATGAAATCTTCACCTAAGCCAATGTCTAGAAGCGTTTTTCCAATGTTATCTTCTAGAATTTTTATGGTTTCAGGTCTTAAATTTGATCCATCTTGAGTTGATTTTTGTATAAGGTTAGAGATGAGAACCCTGTTTCATTCTTCTAAATCTGGCATTGCCTGACTTGTTTTTGTCTACTATTTGTATGCAATTCCCAAAATAGATGTATTGAAATCTCAAGTATACTTGAGCACTAAGAAGAGCATAATATGACCTCATTCATGCATATGTAAATTACCCTTAGATGTGTGTGACCTCTCTTATTCCCAAGTGTTATTGCCATGCCCCCTTATATCACCATCACGTTCTTATTTTCACCAAATCAGGGTTTCCATTGCAAACCTTCCTTTGTTTAAAACTGATACTTGAATGAGTACTTCTGTTGACTGGCCCTGTACATATTTGGCTAATTCCTTAGATCTAAGAACGGCTTCTCTTGCACGACTGTTTTTCCGGATGGCAAACAAGAAACACAGCAGCAGTCTCTTGACTGTGCCTGCTTTGAGTCCGTGCACAGCCTTATGCCAGCTGCCTAATTTCTGAGTCTTGCCCATGACGGATTAGTTTTCACTTCCAAGACCTTATCCCACCATAGAACACTAGGTGGCACTAAAATCACACTGAATGGTTCTCATAAGGGCCACTGATATTGTGGTGGTGTTTTTTAATCATATCGATCTCAAATTCTGACTTTTTTTTTTCTGTGCCATTTTCTTAAGCCTCATATGTACACCACACTTCACAGTCATTTGTAATCAACTGCAAGTTTCATATTGCAAAAATAGAAAGAGAAGAAAGTTGAAACAGCAGAACTATCAAGCTTATTTGCCCACGCTGCTTAGGTGTAACTGAAGCCAGGAATCTGAGCTCCACAAAGTATAAATTAACTTCAGATGAAGTTTGGAATTTGTTTATTAGTCTCCCAATCTTCATGGCCAGAATGGTTTAGAAAGCTTCCAAAATATGATTTCAGTAAAACTTAATTTGATCCTTTCGGAATTAGTCATTTAAATTTCAGAAGAGTCAATTGGTGCAGGTTCATTGCTTATGTAGTACGATGTAAACATTCAGCATTACTCACACTTTTTGGAGGGAATCTGGTTTAGAAATATTTTTCCCTATATGAAATCATAAATATATTCTATCATTTAACAGTTCATTTTTTCATACTAGGCCTTTAATCTGCAATGCATTTTTTAAAGTCTAGTGAGAAAAAAGAATTTGCTGAGGGAAAAAGTCTGTGGAAGGAGTTGAGGAGCACGGGGACATAGAATGTATTAAAGTGTCTATCCTGTCTCACAGGAAGATAGATATTAGTAAATGGAAAACAAAAGTTGGAGGGAGAGGCAGCAACCAGAACACATTTGAAAACAATGCATGAATTTAAAACCATCAAATGAAATTTGATCGCTGTAAAGTGCAGGGCAAGAAAGGAAAAAATGAAAAAAAATATTGTAAGTAAAAAATAAAAAGTAACTTGGCAAAATATTTGTTTTAGCCAGATTGGGATGCCATAACAAAACACCATAGACTGGATGGCTTAAACAATGGGAATTTACTTCTCACAGTTCTGGCGGCTGGGAAGTCCAAAATCAAGGTGCCCATCAATTCAATTCCCCAGTGAGAGCCCTCTTTCTCACTTGAAGATGCTACCTTCTCGTTGTGTTCTTTCAGGGCAGAGAGAGGAAGCAGGCTCTGGTGACCAAGGACACTGACTCCATCATGAGGGCTCCACTCTCCTGACCTCATCTAAACCTAATACTTCCAAAGGCCTCATCTCCAAATATAATCACACTGGAGGCTAGGACTTCAACACATGAATTCTGGGTGGGAGGCACAATATAGTCCATAGTTACTTTGTAGATAGTACAAAGTAACTATATATTTTTTTCTATGGTAATGTAGTTTTTAAATGTTCTAAATGGATTCAGCTCACTAATTAAAAGACTGGAATTCTAAAATTATATACATATTTAAATATTTTAGCATATATATACATTCATATATAATTAAATATTTAATTCATATATAATTAAAATATATATCTATTTGTATATGATGCATATACATAGTATTTATGTAATATCCATTAGGTATATAAATATATATTAGACATTATATATAGTATGTGTTTTTCCTTTTTTTCTTGGCCAACATAGTCTAATATTGTATATAGTACAGATTTTAGACAAGCAATGCTAACAGAATCAATGAAAAATTAAGAAATGCTATAAAACAGAAACCAATTTAGCAAATATGCACAGTTTTTATTAAGAAAAAGATTGTTATATTGAATTGATTAGAAGGATTTGAATAAATAACAAGGTATATCACATTCATGATGGGAATGTTATAACAGTAAATGTTTAAAATATTGAGAATTTTCTCTCAATTAGCTTACGAAGTCAACATAATCTCAAAAAAATATGTTGGTTTTGTGATGTATATAACTGATCCAAATTTTTCATTCCAAACTTTATGTTGAATACTAAACCCTAATAGATTGCTAGGTTCACTTTAAGAAGATAAATGACAACACTGTTCAGATATTAGGACATTTTGTAAAGCTATAGTTGTAAAACTAATACCATCTTTATACATAAAGAAACAAGTCGATAAATGAAGCAGAATAGAAACTTTAGAAATGGATGCATGCACTTATGAGAACTTGATATATTATGAAGATGACACTATAAATCAATGGTTAGAAGATATTAGGAAAATATACTCTATAAAGGAAAAACACAAACCTGGATCTTTCTTATACCCAATACAAAAGCAGATTCCACATTATAGAAAAAGCATGTGAAATTAACACCATAAACAAAGAAAAGAAAATTATTAATAGAATAGCTTTGAGGACTATGGGCAAAAAAAGACTTCTTACACAAGACTACAGCATAAAGAAGCCGACTGTTAGGATGTGTCCAGATGTAAAGTTTTCTGTTCACTGAAGGATATCATTGATAAATGGGTAACCTGTTGGCTAAATTTAAAACGCATAAGGGATTGTTATCCGAAATAGAGAAATAACTCCTGTTAATCAAGAAAAAGACAGAAACTTCAATGGGAAAAAAAGGACCAATGAAAGAGACAAACTACCATAGATCAGATTTCTTCCCATAGCTAAACAGTATACAAAGAAACTTCATATTTATAATTATACAAATGCAAATCAAGGCAGTGAGTCATTACTCTTATCAGAAAGACTCTAATTTAAAAGGATAAACATAACAATTATTAGAAAATGTGCATAGTGTTAACTTTCACTCACTTGTAGTGAAAAGTAGTCTGGAAATATTTTATACATCATAGAGAAATTCCGAGAATCATATACAGGTAGATGATGATAAGGATTATGGTATTGCTTGTGGTGACAGTCATTTGGTGGCAATCTCATGATTGGTGGCAATATAATGATGTTTAAATGTAGTGGATGTTTATTGTGGTTCACCATGAAACACTAGAATAAAACAACATGTGTTCAGCAACACTGAAAGATCCCTTATCGGGGTCTGGATAAGAAAAGTAGAAAACAGGATGATATTTTCACCACACAGGTAAATTGAAAATACATATATCCACAAAACATATTACATATTTTAAAAAGCTATATTCAAGGGCATGCATCAAGCAAATTATCTTTGAGATGAGGGGAATAAGAATAGTGTTCATGAAAGAAAGACAAAAATAAAAGGATGATTGGCAGAGATTAATGACGGCAATGTGTTTTTTAGTTTTAAAATATGATTAACTCAGTGATTTGAAACTGAGCTCCAAAAGAAAAATAACTAAAAGGGAAAAAAAGAATGAAAGGAAGAAAAAAGCCACCTAATATCTATCTGCTGCTTAAAGTTCTGAACATTTTATTTAATATTTTAAAATGGACATATGGAGCATTTTAACCAATGGGTACACAGTAAGGAGAAGGAAATCTCCTCTAATGTTTCTAAATGTAAAATTCTTTGTCATTACTTATTCTTGCAACAATTATTTACTGTTGCAATTGTTTATTACTCCACCAAGACCCTTATATCATATATATATACCCTTATATGTATATAATGATTAATGCTTGTCTCTCCTGCTTATTGTTCTATGTGTGCTTTCCATCAGAAGATTCATTCTATTCATCCTAGAATATTCTCAGTCTTAACTCTTTGGGTAATTGTTTGTTTACTTCTTTCTCAATTTCATTTCTCATGTATTCCTATTAGAGATGAATTAGATCTATCTAGTCTGGGCAACATGGTGAAACTCTGTCTCTACAAAAAAAAAAAAAAATTAGCAGGGTGCAGTGGTGCATGCCTGTATTCCCAACTACTTGGGAGGCTGAGGTGAAAGGATGACTTGAGCCTAGGTGGTTGAGATTGCAGTGATCTGCAAACCTGGGCTACAGATCAAGACCCTGTCTCAAAATAAATAAACAAAAGAAAGAGGGAAGAAAGAGAGAGAAGGAAAGAAACAAAGAGAGAGAGAAGGAAAGAAAGAGAGAGAGAGAAGGAAAGAAAGAGAGAAGGAAAGAAAAAGAGAGAGAAGAGAGAGAAAGAAAGAAAAAAAGAAAGAAAGGGGAAGGGGGAAGGAAGGAAGGAAGGGAGGGAGGGAAAAAAGGAAGGAAGAATGGAGGGAAGGAAAGAAGACAAGGAAGGAAAAATGTTAGATTTCTCTAAATGTATCATTGGGCTCTGATCGTCTTTGTGTTTTTGCTCTTAAGTTTACTATGTCTTACATGTTTGTTGTGCATTTATTATGATAAGCAAATATTTGAATTCATTCTTTGGCTATGTCTCTTTTCAACCTAAACAATCTCTTTTTAAATTTTGTTGATTTTAATATTACATTTTTAATATCTAACATTTGAAACTAGTTCTGTTTAATGTCATCCTGCTCTGGTGTTTCCTAGTGTTCTCTTATGCCTTTGATAATCTGCAATATAGTCATTTTAGGTCACCTTAGATCTATCATTTTATATTGTATCTGAAGTGACAACTTCTTGAATTTTGATTTTGTTACCTATTGTTCTTAGCAATCATTTCCCATTTGTGTTGGAATTTGGGTTTGCAGGCACATCTATAGTGGCATTTGTTCTCTGTCTCTCTCTCTCTTGTGCTCACGTTTCTCTTGACTGTAGTTTTGAGTGTCTCAATTTGGATATTATAGTTCCTTACATATAACCAGATGTGATAGTGTCAGCGCTTTAATCTTCGGAGGATTATTGGGGATATCTCAGGTCACAGCATGGTTTAGTAAGCAGGTTCATACTAGTCTTCAGTGGGAAGATTTTTTAATTTTTTTCCCACATCTTTAGGTGTCCCTCTTTGTGGAAGTCATTTCCTTGGGAATAATTACAGCCTTTCTTTGCCCCCTTTATTTGGCGGGCCTGGATTCAGTGTCCACCCCTATGAACCATTTTTAGTCTCGGTTACTCCCTATCTACTCTGCCTGCCACTGGAGACAAAGTCTAATAAATCTAAAGTTTAGATCCTATTTTCTATTTTTACATCTAATTTCATTTCTGGTTCCCTAGATGTTTATCTTGTTTTGGGGTATTTCTATGTTTTTTTTTTTAATTTTTTCTTTCCAGATTGTCTGTATAATCAATATTTCTCTGACGTACAGAGCCTATCTCAAAGAGTTAACTGGTTTCCTTATCTTCTTTTTCATTAAAAACAAAAAAATAAGTAAGTGTAAGACGTAGGGAGATTCGTGTAAAGTCAGTTAAAATAAATTATTTTCTCCAATGAAGCCTTAGCATGTGTAAGTATATTCAAGTCCCCAAGTGATGTTTCAAAAATTACTTTCCTAAACTCATGCAAATTATTTTTAATCTGCTAGTTGCTAGTCAAGATTTTTAAAGTTTAAAATGACAAAATTATAGCTTTTAGAAGACTTAAGCCACTTTTTTTCTTTTGATGACACACCAGCAAAGCATAATTGCAAATAATATTGCTTAATAGACAGACTTATTTTAGTAGCTTAGTCAAACTTATTTTAGTGGATCTATTTTGTAAAAATAAAACTTGACGAATAAATGTGCTCTAACTGAGTCATTAATTCAGACCATTCTCTTTATTGGAAAGTGTAATTTTACACCAACTGTTGGCAACATATAAAATTTTGAAATTGCATTAAAAATAACATAGTACTTATAATTTCACAGGAGTATTTTGGTCACTGAGAGATAAATCTATGTTAATATTAATGAGATACACTTACTCAAATGTGCAGTAACTACTTGCAGTGTGTTTTGCAAAACTACTATAAAAATGATCGTCTCTGTGAATCATCCTTTACAGATATTTTTCATAAATATATTTATACATTAATTTGTATATGACATGTTTAAAGAACACTAAGTACATTTTTTCAAAAGACATTGCCAATTTTATCTTCATATAAGCTAATGATGTTGAAATTAAAGATATTGAAAAGATATTTTACTCTCTACAAGGCACAATTGAAATAAATACTTGAATTGCATTTGAGTGCTTTCAGTCCCGTTTTAGGTTTTAGAAATTAGTTATTTCCAATTTCATATATCTTTTAACTAGAAATCTGTTCATTCTATTAATTTAGCAAGTTTATAATTAGAAATATTCAGTCATCTTCAAGAGTTTTATTTTAAAATCTACCATTAACTGGAAGAACAGCCTAATCATAAACTATACATAGAAACAAGCCTCACCAACTTCACATGAATTAAATATGAAAAGAACATGGCCTCTAGAGTTGGAAAGATCTAAATTTGTATTCTGGCTTCACCACTTAAGGCCTCTATGACATTAAGGAAGTTATTTAAACCTCAGTTTCATCATCTATGAAATGCTGGAAATAGCACCTAACTCCCAGATTTCTTGGAGGATAACATGAGATAAGATAAAAACATTAGCCCAACACCTCTCCCTCATCAAGGACTCTCTCATTCATGATTCTATCAGATATGAGATCCCAAATGATTTATTTGATTCCTTGGAACCAAAACATCTAAAGCAAATTATTGTCTTTAATGTCTATATACTTTAACCAATAATCATTATTAAGTCCATACTATGAGGCCTATATAATTCTTGTGGTTGCAGGTGCAGACATGAGCTTGAATCTCCTTTGGTGAGGAAGAGATATTTATAAAAATTAGAAAGTGTTCTAATTTCAAAAAAAGAGGCAACTGGAATTTGGCCATTAGAAGAAGAAACGAAGAACCATAACATAATCAGACACAAAGCGAGTTATCCCTGTTTCTTGCTTTCTCACTCTCTGGGTTCATATTTCTCTCACCCCTGCTTCCTTTTGTGGCTCAGTTTTTTTCGTATGTTTTCCTGCACACCAAATGTCTTTAAGTTATTCATGGCAGCCAAGTGACAGACACTTAAGACTGTTTTGGATTCAGAGCCTGTATCTTCTCATATCTCTGGTCAACAACTCCATATTCTCTGGAGACAAATTCCAACTGGCAGTTCTGGCTGAATGTCCACCTGGTGCAATCAACTGTGGCAGGTGGCAAGGTCATGGGACTGACCACTCATTCAGAAAATAAGAAGGTCTAAGGTTCTAAGGATGTTATCTGTGCAGGTGGGACTGAATTGGTTTCTTGCCACTAATAAATATTCTTAAGAAGGGAAAATATATTATTCAGAGAAAAGGAACTTAAAAATTAGCAAAGGCTGATTTAAATAAAATCAACCACGTAATATCTAACTTCATGTAAATTTTTGCACATCAAACTTATTAAAATGCAGTGACAAAAAGGGTAATATTTATGAGAAATGAAGAAACTGTTCTGTGAAGCCAAGAATTCCAGGGCAAAGACTTTTGGTATTTTGATAAAATGTTATAATTGTACAAAACCTTCTTTTGACATGTTGTAAACTATATTTTTTTGTTAGCTCATTTGCTTCAATCACCTGGCTTATATGGAGAAGGACACAAAACAACATTTGGCGTCACTCAACTCCAGTGATAAAAGTTATTCCCCAAACCCCAGCTGAATGGATTCTATTGGTCTGAAGGATGGACAGATGAGACTCTATGTGTGTATTTTAATGTATGTTTGTGTAACCATATTGGAGAAAGGATTTATGGTAGCTAGTTTAATACTGAATAAATAATATTGAACTACTAGAAAAGTTTTCATACAGCAAGCCCTACTGAAAGTGGATAAAGGGTACCACTCTACATTATACAAGATATCAATAGTATTATCTGGAATTTAGATCTAGGAAAAAAGTTGTGACATCCAAGGACAAAGAGTAAGTGAGATAGAAGTAGAAAGATGATTTAGATTCTTGAAACCAGCTAATTATGCATAGGGACAATAAAATTTAAAATATGGCAACCAATGGACAGAGGAGAGATTAAATTAAAAAATTAATTCTTAGGCTGTGTGTTGATATGAAGAATTAATAATATATGAGTTTCATGGCTAAAAATTACTCTTTTTCTTGAACCAAATTACCTTTAGTTAAGTTCAGGTAAACCAATACTTACTGAATGCCCGCCATATTTGAGATTCTATGCTAAGTTTTGAGGACAAAGAATGAACAAAAGTTACAATGCCATTTTTTCTATATTTTAACAGATAATGCACAGGAAGACATGAATACATGGAACTACTAATTCAGCATTACTTTCAGAAATGATAGAAGCATGTAACAGGGCAAAAAAATGTGAAGAAAGTGTTTATGCTGCCAGTATTGTAATCACAGTGTATTCAAGGAACTCCACTGATGTTTTATAGAATCCAGATTTATGAAGCCTGGAGATTCACCATAAACCTTAGCATCAACTTGCTGAAGTGAATAGAAATGACAACAGATTTCTCCTCAATAGCAGTCAAAGCTTTAAGTCAAATGACTAAGATGTCAAGTATTAAATTGACAATCAGTGAATGTATAAAATCATTTCCTTTCTGTTTATACAGCAGAGCCTTCCAATGCATTTGAAATCAAGCATGGTAGACAATTACCTACTTCATGCCTAATATCTGGAATGAGTCCCCTTTCAACTTGTCCCCTTTTGGGACCCCTCTTTGTGACAGTTCTTAAACAATGTTTCTGACCTTCTTGCCTCTATTCTTCATTCTATAGCCCCAATTTACTCTTGCCTGCAACTTCACATGTACTTGTGACCTCCTGCCCTAGTTATATTAAAAGCTGTCCCTCAATTGTCTACTCTGACTTGGCATCCATTTTGTTCCTGTTATTTTGTCCTGATGACTCTAGCTCTCCTTAAAATTTTTCATAAAACTCACATCTCTCTGCATTATTATCTCTGAATAATGCACATAATTCATGCCTTAGTTACCTGGCCCAGCTTCTCTCTTTTGCTGCTTGCAGCATGCTATAAAAATGATAGTTCTCTTGTATTGCTCAAAATCTGACTTATAATTTGTTGTTTGCATCAAGAATTTGCAATCTCTACTGTCTTTATTTCCACAGTATCTGCAGATTCTATCACACCCACTCCCCTGATTTTCCCAGTGCCAGTGTGAAGCACTTTGACTGTATCTGTGATTGGAAGATAGACATGAAATATGTTCAGAAAATACTTCCAATAGTATTGTACTTGAATTGTTTGATACAGGATGGAAACCACAGCATGGGTTATCTCTTCTGACTGCAACATTATCTTCTGTACTTAGATATTTGACTTTTAACAAGCTCCACTAAGAATACAGGTATTATTTAGGAGAATAATTTCTTAAGAATTTTTTGACACAACCTCAATTCTAAGTATATACATTAGTGATGTTGTATTGATATCTCCATTGAGAACACATGTAGAATACAGGAGAGTGACAAGTAGAAGGGGAAGCAAAGTCAAAAGGAAGTGAGTGGAAGGATTTTAACGATGCCGCATACACTAAGTACAAGACTGACAATTACAAGATTTCTGTACTACTAGTCTTAGATGTTCCTCTGACTCTAACTGGCAAACCATATTTTCAAGAGTTTCTCCTGGAAATAGAGAAACTTGAAGGTGCCTTCAAGTACCATGTGCAAATTTTGTCATGACTATTGGAAATTCATTCTTTGTTTTAGATTACATTTTATTGAAAATGCAAACATTTGTATTGCTTTAAAAACTACATTAAAATAATACTGGAAATTTATGGATTACAAAATAGAAAAAAGTAAGATATAGACCATCTAAAATATTATAAACATGTTTGGGATCTGGGGATTACTTGTATTTAAATATCCTTAAATGTTGGATATTAGTAAGTAACATACAGTGCAACCAGAACTGGCAAGTGTATACATTAGTGGCATTTGTTAATACCCTCAGTTCTTATATTTCTTATTCTCCAAATTTTTAGACATATCCTCTCTTGAAAGTTTTTATTCACTCAGTACTCTCAAATTCTGAACTTCCTCCCTTCTATCCAAGGATTTACAAATTATTTATATGAAGGCATCACTACATTATGGAAATTGAATTTCTGACTCTTACCAGGAATATTTTCCTTTAAGCAGGGTCACAGCTCTGAGCCAAATGATGGAGGTGTTAAATGTGGAATACCGAGAACCAGCCCACAGATAAAAGAGTTTTTCTTAAACAGAAGAACATTTCAATGCATCCGAAATCAAGTATGGTAGACAATTAAATACTTCATGCCAGGACAATGCTATTCTTTTTTTTTTTTTTTGTATTTTTGTGGGTAATAGTAGGTGTAATATATTTTTATGGGGTACATGAGATATTTTGATACAGGCATGCAATGTGTAACATGCACATCATGGAAAACGGGGTATCCATCCTCTCAAACATTTATTATTTGTGTTATAAACAATCCAATTATGCTTTTAGTTACATGAAAATGTACAATTAAATTATTATTGACTATAGTCACCCTGATGTGCTATCAAATACTAGGTCTTATTCATTTTTCTAATCGTTTTTTGTATCCATTTACCATCCTTACTTCCCCCTTAATTCCCCACTACCCTTCCCTCCCGGCCTCTAGTATCCATCCTTCTACTCTCTGTTCATGATTTCAATCGTTTTGATTTTTAGGTCCCAAAAATAAGTAAGAATATGTGATGTTTGTCTGTGCTGGGCTTATTTCACTTAACAGAATCTCCAGTTCTACCCATGATGTTGCAAATGACAAGATCTTACTCTTTCTTATAGCTGAATAGTACTCCATTGTATATATGTACCACATTTTTGTTTGTTTGTTTGTTTGACACAGAGTCTCGCTGTCGCCCAGGCTGGAGTGCAGTGGCGTGATCTCGGCTCACTGCAGGCTCCGCCCCCCGGCGTTCACGCCATTCTCCTGCCTCAGCCTCCTGAGTAACTGGGACTACAGGCGCCTGCCACCACGCCCGGCTAATTTTTTGTATTTTCAGGAGAGACATGGTTTCACCGTGCTAGCCAGGATGGTCTCGATCTCCTGACCTCGTGATCCGCCCACCTGGGCCTCCCAAAGTGCTGGGATTACAGGCGTGAGCCACCGCGCCCGGCCATGTACCACATTTCTTTATCCATTCATCTGCTGATGAACACATAGGTTGCTTCCAAATCTTGGCTATTGTAAACAGTGCTGCAATAAACTTGGGAGTGCAGATATCTCTCCAATATACTGATTTCATTTCTTTTGAGTATATACCCAGCAGTGAGATTGCTGGATCACATAGTAGCTCTATTTTTAGTTTTTTTTTGAGAAATCATCAAACTATTCTCCACAGTCGTTGCACTAATTTACATTTCCACAAAAAGGGTAGACAATTCTATTCTTAAATTCATTATTTGCTGTCTTATATTTCAGAGAAATTTATATATGAGTTACATTTACATAGAATTTTCTTACACTTTGTATTTTTCACATCAGGACTGCAAAGACATTTTAAATTAAGATAAAACAAAATTCACAAAAATGAAGTAAATTGAATCTCATTTCATCTGTAGTATTTGATGCCTGAGACATATTAGAATAATCATTTTTTACTTAAATGAATTTGTTTTATTTACACTGTTCTAAAGGAAAGGGAAGAAACATTACTTTAAACACAGAAAACTAGAGTATATTCCACTGCTGAGCTAGAGTGTTGCACTACTTCTTGACCAATGTCATCTTTATGACTTTCAAGGTGGTGCAGGCATTTGGGCCTAAGAAACTGGTCTTGCTCAAATGTTGTAATCACTATCCAGAGGCAGAAAGTGATGAAGAATAACAGAGCAGTGGTTGTTGACCATTTTAAATACCTTTCTTGTAGATTTATTGGTCTTGGTGTTTATGGCTTGGAAGAATTAATTTTACTGGTGTGCCCTATTATTGTTTCCCTTTCTGTTTCTTGTGTATTATTTGTAACACCATGAGATAACAGTTTGCAAAGCAGGGTGTTAAAGAGCATAGAGAACTTAATTTGGCTTACCTTTGAGATTTATTACCTTGCAAAAAGAGGCACAGGAGAGAAATTCAAGAACTTCATTATAGTACAAACTGAATGAGACTGAGAGTTGTGCTGTTAGAATATAAATTAATTGATTAATATGTAATCTTGTAGTAAATAAATATTATATCTGTTTGTCTCCCTTAAAAATAGATAATTTCTACTTAAGAACTGTGCCTACAAATTAAAATGTAGTAAAACAGTGTTCCATCTTTTCATAAATATGAAAAATTTCGCTTCTAATATTTAAAAATCCTTCACTTACAGAGACTGAACAGAAGTTTTGGCAAGTAGATGAATTAAACATATCAGACTCAGATTGATCTTCCCATCTATTCATAATTTTAACAACCAAAATTATTTCTCACTGTATATAAGGTATGAAATTGAGATTCAGTTTTCTAGAAGACTGAATTTAACTATTTTTATTTTTGTTTATATGTGAGTTTGTATAATATATTAAAAATAAATAAATTTGCCATTGTCTCCTACTCACAAACTTAGGCATAATTCACAATAATTAAAACTTAGAATGAAATATACAAAGAGCAATACAAGTGAGTTTTAAGCTATTTTTCTATTTGATTTAAGCCAGAGCTCTTTGACCACACCTTAACTGGTGCTATTTTAAAGCTTCACTTAAATTTATTGTTTGAAAAATGTGAAGAGTTTTGCTAAAATTTTAAATAATTGAAAACAGCAAAGACCATCAAGAAAAATTGTCTATTAATTGACTGCTACTTCAATTAAGGGGTATTAATTTGAAGTGGTTGTATAACATGAGTGTGAAAACCATTACTTCTATAAAACATAAAATCTGATTCCTTCGTAAAAAGTCTTACCAGTTGCTTCTTTCTGAGATTTTAAATGTTCATTATTTAACATCTAGTTCCTTTTTGTATTTTAAAAGTGATCAAGCATTGTAAATACGAAATGAGACTAAAATAAAACACAAACTTGCATGGATTTATAACTTCCAGCCAAGGTGGAGTGGAGTAACATAACTTAATACATCCATGTAACAACAACAGTAGCAACAGCAATAGCATGCAGTAGAGTGAGGAAGGAACTCAGTAGTGTTTTGGTGAAGTTCGTGAGTTGAGGAGATGGAACTTAGAGGCTGGGGACGCCAAGGTGTTGATATGTCATAAGGCAGAGTTCTGGAGAGACAACAGCTGTGCAGAGAGAGTACTCTGGAGATTTGCTGAGGGTCCCATGGAAGTGTTCAGCTGAATAGAGACTACCCAGGGCCAGGAAGAGAACCATTCAAAAAGCATAAACAATCCAGATATCTCACACAGGGTCTAAAAAAGTTGTGTTTTTCACAATCCAGAAAACCTCATATTTCATGGTACACTGGGTATCGCCTCAGTAGAAAAGAAAATTAGTGTTATATTATGCTGCTTAAATCCCAGAAAATAGGCCAGGTGCAGTGGCTCACACCTGTAATCCCAGCACTTTGGGAGGCCGAAGAAGGTGGATCACCTGAGGTTAGGTGTTCGAGACCAGCCTGACCAACATGGAGAAACCCCGTCTCTACTAAATATACAAAATGAGCTGGGCATGGTGGTGCATGCCTGTTATCTCAGCTACTTGGGAGGCTGAGGCAGGCAAATCACTTGAACCCAGGAGGTGGAAGTGGCGGTGAGCTGAGACCGTGCCATTGTACTCCAATCTGGGCAACAAGAGTGAAACTCCATCTCAAAAAAAAAAAAAATCCCAGAAAATAGAGTTTAAAGGCAAGCTTTGAATGTACCAAAGTTTCCCACAGAAAAACTCAAGAGTATATCAGCAGAGTATATAGGCACATATTAAAACATAGACTACACCAAATTAAAATTTACAGTGTCCAGCATCTAGTCAAAAATCACCAGGCATGCCCAAGAGCAGAAAAATATGATTCATAATGAAGACAATAAAACACACAATGAAACAATTAAACATACCCAGAATTAACACATGAATAGAATTTGTAGATAAGATATTAAAATGGTAATTATAACTATATTCCATATGTTCAATACATTGGACAAAAATTTAAGTAAGTTTAGTAGAGAGAAAGAATCTACTTTTTTTTGTTGTTGTTGTTTTTGAGATGGAGTCTTGCTCTGTAGCCCAGGCTGGAGTGCAGTGGTGTGATCCCGACTCACTGCAACCTCTGCCTCCCGGGTTCAAGTAATTCTCCTGTCTCAGCCTCCCAAGTAGCTGGGACTACAGGCGTGCGCCACCATGCCCGGCTAATTTTTGTATTTTCAGTAGAGACGGGGTTTCACCATATTGGTCAGGCTGGTCTCGAACTCCTGACCTTAGGTGATCTACCTGCCTCAGCCTCCCAAAGTGCTGGGATTACAGGCATGAGCCACCGCACCCGGCCACGGAATCTACTTTTAAGAGTCCCTTAAAGTTCTAGATATAAAATATAAAAATATTTTAGACAATAATTACACTGAAAAAAGACAGCAAATTGAACACAGCAGAAGAAAAGATTAATGAACTTAAATACAGCAGTAAAACCTATCCAAAATAAAAATCAGAGAAACAAAATGACTTAAACAATGAAAAAGGTATGTAAGAGCTGTAAGACAAGGTGAGTAACATATGAGCAACTGTATCTCAAAAGAGAGGAAAGCAGTCAGAAAACACATTTGTTTCCAAGTTTTGATGATCATTTTAAACCAACAAATCGAAGAAACTCACTAAATCCAAATATGAGAAAGTTTACAATGACTACACCAGGATGTATTATAATACAATTGTCTAAAACCAATGCTGTATAGTATGTACATGGGTACAGTAATAAAAATGATGCCTGACTTCTCATTGGAAATAAGGCAATCCAGAAAACAACATCTTTGAAATACTGAAAGAATAAAAAGTTATCAACCTAGAATGGTATATCCAGTGAAGGTATCTTTCAAAAATGAAGGAGAAACACTTTTTCAGACATACAAAAACTGAAGGAATATATCAATAGCAGGCTCACTATTAAAAAATGTTAAGGGAATGCAATTTTTCTTCTATTAAATTAAAGTTGGGGTTTTCTGCATAAAAGCTGATGTGTTTTTTACTAACACATCAATTTGATCATTATCAGGTTAAGGAAATGAGTATTACAATGTTTGCTAGTAATGATGATATGTCCAATATTGCTCTGGAGTATTAAGAAATCCTCTATTGGTATAGTTCATTGACATCTTGGTCAAGGGGAAAACATTTTAAATAACAATTCCTACTCTAGTCACTCTATTTCAGAGAGATTTTAAGAAGACTGTTGGACAGGTTGGGCGCAGTGGCTCACGCCCGTAATCCAAGCACTTTGGGAGGCCGAGGCAGGCAGATCACGAGGTCAGGAGTTCGAGACCAGCCTGATCAACATGGAGAAACGCCTTCTCTGCTAAAAATACAAAAATTAGCCGGGCATGGTGGTGCACACCTGTAATCCGAGCTACTCAGGAGGCTAAGGAAGGAGAATTGCTTGAACCTGGGAGGCGAAGGTTGCAGTGAGCTGAGATCACGCCACTGCACTCCAGCCTGGGTGACAGAGTGAGACTCTGTCTCAAAAAAAAAAAAAAAAAAAAAAAAAAAAAAGACTGTTGAATAATGGGTAGTTCAAGAGTAAGGAGCCAGTGGGAGTTCTATATTTTAGGGCATGTTAAATATTGTCTCTTTTACAATTTTTTTTTGTAGTCCTCATGATAGAAAGACTTCCCTTCTCTTTCTACTTCAAAAGCTCTGATCTACAAATTGCTTTCCCATCCTGGTCTCTCTACATTTCTTCATCTCCAGTTTTATTCTACATTTTGAAATGGAAAAATCATTCTGCAAGTACCTCATTCATCTGTGAGCCTTCCATGGCTGAGAAAATTCTTAAGACTATATAAATAGCATAAGAGTAAGGAATTATGGAGAAAGCAAACATTAATTATTTGAATATAATTCTTCTCAAGTGATTAACATGAAATGCCAGGCTTGGTTTACAATGCTAGTTTGGAGGCTCTGAGCTTAGCCTAGATTAAATAGCTAAATGGTCCCTTGGTAGGTCTTTCTTTTATCTTTCTCTGTTATAAATTTATCACTTCTTGGTACTCTCTGAAAGCATCAGAAGAATGCAAAAATTATCTATGTTTTAATAAAAATGTTTAATTTTGGTAGCTGTAATTAGGATGTGAATGTAGCCACAAAAAAAAAATAGATGAGGTGAGTGAAATATTTTTCATATAGTTGGCCAGAATTCGCCTAAGGAAATTATGCTTAATGTAGCTGTAGAAAATTATAGCTAATTCATATCATTCACATTTTCATAGGTAATAATCAAGGATTAAGAAAATATAATGAGGTTTTCATCCCTCTTATTAAAAAGTATGATTGTTGAAGATGAAATAAATACATAAAATAAAAATCAAAGAACAGGATTTGATTTTCAGAACCCTGGGTTTACTATTCCAGAATTACTTTCTCCTAGAAAAGAAAAGAACATGTTTGACAGAAAAACCAATGACTTGATTTTTAAAAGCCTTAAATTTAATGAAAAAAGACACAGAAGGTCACATGGTCATTTTCAAATGTTAACATGTTTCAAATAAATACCAAATTTAAAAAGTAAAACATGAGTGTTTCAAAACTAAAATATTTCAATTAAGTATATGTGGTTATATACAGGGCTTTTGATGTGCTCAAATTTTAAATGTGCATTTATAAATGATGTAAGAAGTATCACAGAACTATAACAACTATTATAAATTTAAAATATCCTGCAAAAATAGAGTGAAAATCTACAGACCATAAATTTAAAAAGATGTTAGGAAACAATGAATGCTTTCAGCCTATAGTCAGAACACAGAGAACAAGAAAGAATTACTATTTGGAACAAATGTAGTGAAATTATCAGATAAAATAAAGCAAGCAAGCAAGAGAGACACAGAGATAGACAGGCAGAGATAGAGACAGAATACTATTACTTTTTGGTTTTTGCTTCCATAGAAGGAGATTTGTATGAATTTCTAGTATTAATATAATTGCATTAAAGAATATTGAAAAATTATAGACATTGAAAGTTTGACTGTGATCATCACTGGTGGAAATCTTTTAGATATAACAGACATCGGGCAGTGTAATAGAAGACTGAATATTGAGATTGAATGCAGACATTATTTAAACAAAAAAAAGGAAAAGGTAGGTTGAAGATCTTGAGTCTGGCAGTACATGTGAATAAGTAATTTAAAATTAATTACTATTATGTTCTTTAGAAGTAAATTAATCTCTGAATTTATTGAGAAAATTTCTCTGAAAAATGTATTTCCTTTATAAAATTTTTTTTTTTTAAGATGGAGTCCCACTCTGTCGCCCAGACTGGAGTGCAGTAGCGCAATCCCAGCTCACTGCAACCTCTGCCTCCTGGGTTCAAGTGATTCTACTGCCTCAGCCTCCTGAGTAGCTGGGACTACAGGCACCTGCCACCTCGCCTGGCTAATTTTTGAATTTTTAATAGAGACGGGGTTTCACCACATTGGCCAGGCTGGTTTGAACTCCTGACCTTGTGATCCGCCTGCCTCAGCCTCCCAAAGTGCTGGGATTACAGCACCGCACCTGGCCTATAGGAATCTTTTAATTGGTTAATAAGTCACTATAAGAGTAAGTAAAAATATGATCGCTGGGTTTCTGTTACAATAAATTAAGTTTACCTCAATAAAAGTAGTTAACTAGAAGTTTAAGATAAGCCAAAACACTTTGGGAGGCCAAGGTGGGTGGATCACTTGAGGTCAGGAGTTCAAGACCAGCCTGACCAACATGGTGAAACCCCATCTCTACTAAAAATACAAAAATTAGCCAGGCATGGTGGCGTACCCTTGTAATCCCAGCTACTCGGGAGGCTGAGGCATGAGAATAGCTTGAACCCAAGAGGTGGAGGTTGCAGTTGGGCTGAGATCACACCACTGCACTCCAGTCTGGGCAACAGAGGAGACTCCGACTCAAAATAAATAAATAAATAAATAATTTTAAAAAGATGAGCTAAGATAAGCTAAGATAATGTGGCTTAAAAAGTAACATAAAGAATTTTCAGTAACTTCTTTGTAGCAGCAGCAGAGATTCAAATAGAACAGAGATAGCAAGATAAAAACCTCATGGACTACAACTTTACTAGAACCAGTTGAAAGGGAATTCCATTTCTAGTAAGGATGCAAAAAGGTATGGACAACCTTCATTCCTGTAGTAACACAAAGGGAAACCCAGATAAAACACAAAACAGTACTATTCTATGAAATTATTAAAGACCAGTCGATGCAAGAAAGTCTTCATGAGTTGATTCCCAAAGACAGAAATGACTCATATGCAACCAGCAAGTCTCAGAGCAGTTCTGAGGCAACTTCTGGGTTGGGTCTAGGTAAAGGATAAAGGCTGCCAAAAAAAAACATAAGAAATTGACATGCTAAGTAAAGGCCAGCTAAGCTACTAGTCAAGATTGGGGCAGGCAGGAATAACTGTAGTTTTGAAGATGCTCAAATAACAAAATAGTTTGCTTGGCCTAACAATAATCTCTACTGCATCACCACCATCACCTGTTTTGCTGAGAATAGTGCCACAAAAGTAGGGCTGAAAAGCCAGACAAGGAAACAACACAAATTAAATCAAAAAATCAATCTAATGTCAATCAGTCAACTATTACAGTCCCTGAGAAGTAACAAAACATGACAGAATATATTTAAGTAAATAATAGTTAAAGATTTTCCAAATTTCATGAAAGACATACATCTACAATATTAAGATTTTTAGGAAATCTCAAAAAGAATAGAGCAAGAAAATCACACATAAATATATCACAGTCATACTGCTGAAAATTCACTATAAATCCTAAAAACATCCACAGGAAAAACATTATGTACAAGGAAACAAAGTAAATAACTTCTCATTAGGGACAAGGCATGCCAGAAATTATGACATTTTTAAAGTGGTTAAAAAGCAAAAAACACTACCCACTGCTACTGCCCCAACCCCAACAGCAACAAAGCAACTATAAACTTAGAATTTTATATCCAGCAAAAAACATCTTTTAAAAGGGAAGGTAAAATAAAGACATTTTCAGATAGATGGCGTCCAAGAGAACCTGTGGTCAAAGCAAAGTGCCAGTATTTTAGGAATAGTATAGAGAGGGATCCTGCCTTAAGTAGATATCCATTCGTATGAAAGAAAAGACCCCTTCAAATTCTAAAAGTCTATTATATTACCTGATTTTTAATTGGAATATTCACAATTTCAGTTCCCTGATTTTCTCTTTCCCTTCAGTCCAAAACACATTTGCATCTTTTAGAAGTTATCTTTACTTATCATATTTATCATATTTTATTGTATTCATAATTGCTTCAGGAATTAAGGTACTTTACAAATACTAAGTGAAATCTTCATAATCTGAAATCTAAAGGGGGTCTTAAACTTCATTAAAAATTTTAAGCTCCATTAAACTTAGTTAAGCTTCATTAAATAAGGGTTATCGTCTTTAGTCTTCTTAAATAAAGCTGAGAACAACTAAACCTTTGAAAATTCTTTTTAATGCTTCTATGCTCAAAAGACTACATAAGACTGGTTAAGCATCAAAAGTTAATTAACCCAGGATCATTTAACATCTTTTCTTCCTGGTTGATAGAACACCTACATTGTTAAAGTAATATGAATCCCATTAAATAGTTTTAAATATTGTTAAAATGTGTTAAGCATTATTAATCCAATTAATCACCATAATGACAGTAAACACAGTACATATTATTCAACTTTCAGAAAGAAAAATTGTTTAGTTTGGATAAAATATACTAAGCTTATGAGTAACTAACATTAATATTTATCTCCCTTTAATATTATTAACTACTCCTTATTTTGAAGTGAAGATACTGAATCAGTGAAATTGTAAGCCTTTATCTGAATTGCATTTTGCCTACTAACCTATACATTCAATATCATAAAGAATCATTTAAAATCTGCACTTTGCATGATTCAGATTTTATATCTATACTTATATCTATCAATTCGTCAACAAATGAATAAAGAATGAATAGATAAAACTGTCAAATAAGGTAGTTCTGTATATGCAATTACCAAAGAAAAGAAAATGCATAGCAAAGGGCACTTGAAGTAGCCCACAGTTATTTTTCTGAATCAATATCTGGTACTTGGTGGGGCCATTAGGCTATTGATTCATCTTGATACCACATGAATTAATATTTAAGAATATCTACACACTCTTCAGACAGTTGAATTTTCTCGATGGTTTTTTTTTTTACCTATTTTCTTTCAAATAAAGAAATGCATTAAAATCAGAACAAGGTGTCATAAAAGGGAAATATTTTTAAAATGATAAAAATCACATGTATTTACTCTTTTAACAAATATTTTCATTTAATCAAGGCTGCTGCTCAGTTCAACTTTATCAGTTATTAGGTTAATGCCCAGGTTGTGAAGGACACATGACTTGAATTAGTCACTTAGGGCCCATAGCCAGTCTCTACCAAGATGCTATAGCAATCTAAGAGCTGTGAAGAAAAGAGCATGTCCTTAGTTCAAGTCCCTACATTTTGATACCATCATAACTTGCCAGATGCTCCATATAACATCTCTGCCTCTGCCACTTTCATTGCTATTGGGTGTGCCACTTTCACTGCTATTGGGTGTAGCACTAAAGCCTGAATGGCACAGCAACTTATACTGTAGGCTTTGTCTGCTGTAAAGTCCTTGGTTTACCTAGACCACATGCTAAACTGACTGGTAAATGGGTCAAGTCCAAATACAGTATTTGTTTTCTCCAGTTATCCTAAAAACCCAAACATTATGCTTCGTTGCACATAGAGTATGGTATAAATTGCTTCTCACATTCGAAGAGATATTGCAACATACCACTTTTTCCTAGAAACTGCACAGATGTGGCAGTCTACTTAACTTTTACAAGATTTACCTCACATTTTCTTGCATGCTTTTACTTCACTAAGGCAGCTAGAGAGCTTGCCACATCATGATGCTGGTCAAATTAGCCTAATGTCATCAGTACAGTGAATTAGCCTTATATTTAGAAGAATACAGGACAATCAAAGTCCCTCTGGATTTCATGATGACCAGGACCAGAAAAGTCGACACATCCTCAGGTAGGACAGCCAAGGCATTCTGCTGTTTCTGAGTGTGAGGATATCTGTTGATAGGAATACTAAAGAAAGCAACATAGGTGTGTTGGAATATATTTTTCCCACTAAAAACTCTATTTCTCCACCTCAGCTGTGATTGGTAAAATCTCCCGATCAGGTTTGCAATAATATGTACAAGTATTCATTTTGCAAGGCCTACTTGGATATTGTATCAGCTGAAAATGTAAATGAATGGGGGGCTCCAGTAAGAATTATCACCCTTGAATTTTCCAAGTGTTTGATAAAGGCGTTGATCTCTACCAATTTCCTGGAACAGAGTATTATCTTTTTGTTTATTATCATGTTTGCAGGTGTGTCATAATGGCTTCCACTTAACACAATGATTTCATAATGACCTTCGCTTCACTGAAACTAACATACAGATTTTTCCATTTACTAAGTATATATCCTAGGACCAAGGAAAGAACCACAGTATGTGGTTAGGATTCCATTGGATGACCTGTGAGATGAAATCAGATCATATATCCATCTTTTTACTGACCTCCAATCCCACTCATTCTGACTAGTGGATTCTAGTGGGCTTTGGGGTCTCTAAGAATTAGCTTCAATTCAGAGGCAAACTATAATAATTCCTGGAGGGTCTGAGTATTTTCCTGTTCCCAGGCATGCTCACCTTACCTTACCAATGTAAGGTAATCTTACCAAGGTCTCCTTACATTACGAACATTACATTTACATTACCAAGTTCCTGTAACTCTTTTAGGCAATGGTTATCTCTTCCCACACTGGATCTTTCACTTCTCTATTTGGCTATTTTTGGATAAAAATCTCATTATTGGCCACACAAAATTTTGATGTTGGGGTTTTATGAGAATCAGGCATCCATTGGAGCAACTGCCAAAGTCAAAGGTTTTTAGGAGGATTAGGCGGGTTCTCTTGGTTAAGGAGGAGACAGTTCTGTAAAGACAGAGGTTTAGGGTAATTTGGAGATTTGTAGTCCTTGGTCTTTTCTGTTTTTACCCAAATGATCCTGTATCTCAGTTTCCAACTTCTTCAAATCATACATTAGTGTAAATGAGGAGAGACATGATGGAATTCTGCCTTTAATTGACACTATAACTTTATAGCTTTTCAAATCACACTCAGCTTCATCTATTTTGAGGCTGTAGAAGACAAGAAGCCTTTTAGAGCTCCATAGAGGTTTTCTAGTTCTTTTCCTTTTTCCCCATGTTCTGAGATGGTCATTGAAAAAATTTCACTTCTCATTTTCTGTGGGTATCATCTAAGGTTTTCAGAAGCAGCTATCCCACACCAAAATCTTTGTAATCCTTACAGTGACATAATCACTAATGCAACTGCATATTGATATGCAAATATCAAGGCAAAATAGCAAAAACATATAGCATTTTTCTCAATTTATGTAATAGTTCAATCTTTTAGGAAAACTGTTTTTATAAATTGGAAGGATCAATTGGAGCCTCAGAAATCTAGCAAAATCAAGTATGCTCATATAGCAATGGTCTTTCTATTCTTAGAGCTAATCCTGTGCTAAAATTGTCCTCACTAATTAAACTTAAGTCTAAATGAGAGCTTAACTCAATCAGGAGGGCTGATTCTTAAGTCAATCAGAGGGCTGTTCTGCTTCTCTCTGAAATATCTGCAGGGCTCACTCAATTTTTGTTCCAGCATTTTGGGGTATGAATTCTCTCTATTACTCTCAATAGCAACCACTAGGTGTTTGACTCCTTGAGGATTCATATTTCAAAGTTAAAATGTCTTAAGATTTTTCCTCTGAATTTCAGTAATAGATTCAGACAGATTACCCCAATCTCCTAAATCCTGCTGTGCACTATGACATGTACATTTTCAGTATCTGCATTGTGCCAAAATAATCCAATCTGGTGAAGTTATCTGATTATTTACACAATAACAAATGAAACTGTATTCGGTGCCACACAGTACAGGAAAAACTCTGTTTTTCTAGGTGCCATCTTTCACTCAGTTATGGAAACAATCTTACTATCAACCCACTCAAATTTCCTATCTCGGAATGTGAACAGATTAATGATCAGGAACAATATCTAGTAAAGGAAACATTATGTTCTAAGTTACTTCATCTTAAAAAACACATATATTTGAATAAGTAAAATTATAGATTAAAAAGCTTTTTCTTAAATAGAAATGTCTTTTTATAGCATCCTCTACCATGCTATTTCAGCCTTGAACTGAAGAGAGTCTCTTAGAGAAGTGGATCTTTAACAACTTGATTTAACTCACAGCTAAGAATGATTTACAACTAGTATATCAATTATTCATATACAAATATTTTTAGGCTACACGGAATATGTGTACAATTTGTCAAATAAGCAGTTCAATTTCCTTATAAGATAAATATGCTTAGCAAATTATTTTCTCATAAAGCAAAGGTAAAATTAAGCTGAACCCTTGCTGACTTATCAAAAATGTGAATTAGGAGGGCCCAAATTAGTTTTTCCTGTAGCCTTATAAACAGTATCTAATAGTTTTATAATCATGTGATATTTAATATCCACATATTTGCATATAAATTACTCTCTAACATACAGTTAATATTTATATGCAAGGACTACTGAAAAATGTAGGGAATGTTAAAAGCAGCAATAAAATACATCTATTGTTTGAAAAAGTGTTTCTCCTAAGACTGCATCAATGAGTTCCATATTAAGTTTTCTTAGTTTATGCTTCCCAATGATATTTCTCCTACTGTTCTAATGTCATAAGTGTAACGGGCCAACTGCAAATCAAACCAGGTTTATTTTACCTCTAGTCACTAACTCTAAAGAAAAATTTTGGAGTCAGAGTTTACCTGACAACTTTCAGATGATGCATGAAGCAGTCTAGTATACCGCCTTTAATTTCCCTTCACTATTCAGGCTGTAGTATTGAGAGCAAAGGCCGAGTATGTCTACATTCAAACAGAAAATATGTAAAAGGATAATCACCTCACAGCATGGAAAGTCTAGTTGATGGGCAATGTAAACTGCATGCCTCCCAACACTTGGGGCTAGAGCATTTCTAACTATCGGGAAGGAATTGAAAGATTGTGGCATAACACCTGGTAGGGTGGGTTGAATTGTGTCTTCCCAAAAGATATGTCAAAGTCCTAACTCCTGGTAGCTGTTGAATGTAACCTAATTTGGAAAAAGGGTCTTTGCAGGTGTAATCAAGTTAAGATGAGGTCACACTGAATTAGTTTGGGTCCTAATCCTACATGACTGGTATCCTTGTAAGAAAAGAGAGACAGAAGATACACAGAGAGAAAGCCAGATAATTCAAGGAGAGAATGGAGTGATTCATCTATAAGCCAAGGAGCACCAAGAATTGCTGGTAACATCAGAAGCTAAAGAAGGCATGGAACAGATTTTTCCCTAGAGACCTCACAGAGAGCATGGACCTGTTGATACTTCCCAGCTTCCAGAACTGTGAGAAAATACATTTATTTTAAGCCACCCCGTTTGTGGTAATTTGTTACCACAGTCCTAAGAAATAATATATCAAGATTTCTATGACAGGCATGGCTTTCCTTTAAGTCAAAGGAGACTTCATTAAAAACACGTGAGCCAGGCATGGTGACTCACACCTGTAACCTCAGCTACTTGGGAGGATGAAGCAGGAAGATCACCTGATCCTAGGAGTTCAAGGTTGCAGTGATTGCACCATGGCACTCCAGCTCTGGCAACAGAAGGAGACCTCAGCCCTATATGTGTGTGTCTGTGTGTGTGTGTCTGTGTGTGTATTTGACTTGGTAATAGGTTAATATGTTAGCATCCATTAACACATCTTCCAGAAAACAGATTCTCAGAAGAAGTAAAACAAAATCAGATACACTTTTGATGAGAATAAGCATTATTACAAAGTATGGAAAATCTGTCCTAAAAGAAGTGATATAGCTGAAGTCTGACCATTGTATTCCCTATTTATTCACAGGGTAGAGTGAGGGCCTAGTAACTGGAAAAAATATATATACGTTAAATAGCAATCAGAGTGCTGGAAACACATACGTAATTTAACATTGTGTTGAGGAGTAGAGCAAAAACATTAAAACATTATTGTGATACTTCCATTAAGACCAAGGATAAGAGGAAATCGGATAAAGAAATTCATTGCATTGACTAGAAACGGACACCTTTAAACATCATAATATTCAATATTTGCTGATGTTAGAATTAAATGTAGATAACAGAACATTACTAGAAGTAGTGTTCAATAAATTGAACTAAATTATTACTTAACATGTAATATAATGATAATATCAATACAAATGATATAGTGATAAAGAATAAATATTTATATGCTAAGAAGATCATTTGAAAACTATAATCATCTGGAATAATTTATTTTATCTAATCCTTGCATAAAACTTCATTGAGATTTTATGTCTGCTATAGCTATTTAAGCCAAAGCCCTGAAGATAAATTACTATGGGAGAAAGCTACTCTGGAATGAAAACTCTTGCAATTTTAATAAAACAGAACTCATAACTGCAATTTTAATAAAACAGAACTCATAACTACAATTTTAATATGTTCTGTGAAACAATTTTTTTATCAAATTCATTTGTTTCGTTATATCCCAATGACAAAAAGGACCAAATTGCTCTGGGTGAGTCAGGGAATGAGTGGTGAGTGAACGTAAAGGCCTAGGACATTATTATACATGACTATAGACTTTATAAACATTGTACAGTCTCCACTCAATTTACTAAAACACTTTTTTCTTCAATAATAAGTTAGCTTAGTGTAACTTTTTTATTGTATAAACATTTTAATTAAATTTTTTGACTCTCAAAATAATAGTTTAAAACACAAACACAATGTACAGCAGTACAAAAATATTTTCTTTAAGCATTCTTCCATTTTTAAAATTATTTATTTTACTTTTTAACCTTTTTTGTTAAAAAAGTAGACACAAACACACACATTAGCCTAGGCCTACATAGAGTCAAGATAATATCACAGTTTTCTACCTTTATATTTTTTTCACTTTAATGTCTTCAGGCGCAATCAACATGCATGGAACTGTCATCTCCTATGATAATAATGCCTTCTTGTGGCATACCTCCTGAACCTGCTTAAGACTGTTTTACAGTTAACTTAAAAAAATAAGTAGAAGGAGTACACTATAATTGGAGATGTATTCTCCATAGATCCTGGTCTGAATCCATCATGTAACGTTCTGGCAGGAATGGATGAACATGCTAGGAAACAATGCAAAATGAGCTATACAACAAACACTGCAAAGCAAATAAAAAAGTTTATTGCCATGAAAAAGGTCAACATACCCTTGAGTAGAAAAATTATACATGGAAAAAACATTCAGAGTATTAAAGTAATTTGAGGCCACTTTAAAGTGAATTCGTTTAAAATTTTCAAAAGGCATCTATAAAATGGCCAAGAGATTGTAAACTAATAGATGAACATGTAAAAAGAGCTAAGAATATGTTAGAAAATTAGAATCCTTTACATTTAAAAATCAATAAATAAGTAGTAAATTAAACATAGCTGAATAAAGAATTAGTACATTTGATAATACATTTAGGTACAAATAAATGGAAAGATACTCAGTTTCCATGGATTGGAAGAAGGTCCATACTACTCAAAGAAGTCTATAGATCCAAAGCAAAATTCCAATGACATTTTTTCAGAAATGGAAGAAACAATCCTAAAATGTGTACAAAGCCATGAAAGGTTAGGAATACCTGAAGAAATCTTGAGCAAAAGAACAAGCTGGAGGCATCACACTACCTAATATCAGAATCAGTTACAAGCTGTAATAATCAAAACAGCAAGGTACTGGCACAAAACCAGACATATAGACCAATGAAACAGAATAGAGGCTCCAGAAATAAATCTATGCAATTCTCTTTTGATAATGATATTAAAAATACATATTGGAGAAAAGATAAAATTTTTAAAAGTGGTATTGGGAAAACTGGATGTGAAGAAAAAGAAAATTAGACCCTTATCTCATACCATATTAAAAAAATCAATGGAAAATGAATTAAGGACTAAAATTTAAGGTCTGAAACTGTAAAATAACTGGAAGAAAACACATAGGAAAAGCTTTATGACATTGGTCTAAGCAATGAGTTTTTGGCAATGACCATAAAAGCCCAGGCAACAAAATCAAAAATAGAAAAATGAAATTACATCAAACTAAAAACCTTTTTCACTGCCAAGGAAACAATCAACAGAATGCAGAGACAACTTAAAAAAATGGACAATATTTATAAACCATATTTCTAATAAGGGGTTAATATCCAAAATGTGTAAGGAATTCAAACAACTGAATAGCAAACAAACAAACAACAACAAAAAAAAAACACTTAAAAATGCGCAAAGGTTGTGAGTAGACATTTCTCCAAAGAAGACATGTAAATAGCCAACAAATATATAGAAAGATGCACGACCTCACTAATCATCAAGGAAATGCAATTAAAACCAAAATAAGATATCACGTCACACCTGTTAGAATGGCTATTCTCAAATAGAGAAAAGATAACAACTGTTTTGTGAGGGTACAGAGAGAAGAGAATCCTTATACATTGTTGGTAGAAATGTAAATTAGCATAGCCATTATGGAAAACAGTATGGAGATTTCTCAAAAAATTAAAAATAGAACTACCTGATGATTCAGCAAGCCCACTAGTGGGTATGTATCCAAAAGAAATGAAATCAGTATGTCAAAGAGATATCTGCACTTCCATGTTCATTGCAGCCTTATCCTCAATTGCCATGATATGGGATCAACCTAATTGTTGTCCTTCAGCAAATGAATGGATAAAGAAAATGCGGTATATACACACAATGAAATACTATTCTACCCTAAAAAAAGAAGGAAATCCTGTTATTCTCGAAAACATAGATGAACCTAGAGGAAATTATGCTAATTGAAATAAACCAGACACAGAAACAAATACCACATCCTCTCACTTATACGTGAAATCTAAAAAGGTGAAACTCACAGAAGCAGAGAATAGAATGGTGGTTACCAGGTTTTGGGGGTTAGGAGATGGAGACTAGGGAGGTCTTGGTCAAAAGATACAAAATTTCAGTTAGACAGGAAAAATAAGTTTAAGAGATCGACTATGCAACATGGCCACTATAGCTAATAATATATTGTGTACTTAAAAATTGCTGAGATAGGTTTTAACTGCTTTTATCCCAAAAAAACAAGTGTATGAGATGGTGTGTATGTTAAATAGCTTGATTTTTGCTATTCTATAACGTATGCATGTTTTAAAACATCACGCTGTATACCATAAATATATATAATTTTAAATTATCAATTAAAATAAATACATAAAATCATGTAAATTTCCAGAGTGTAACAAAATTAGGACATATGAAAGAGAAATTAGTTGTATCAAGAAACAGCAGCATATAATAAACTTCAAAGAATAGGATAATAGAAAGGATGAGAAGGTGATAATCAAAGAGATAATGGCTCAGAATTTTTCAAAATTGAGAAAGAAGTGGCGAAAATTTGACAAAGCCCATTAGGTGCTAAGCAACATTAATAAAAATGAATCTACAATCAGCATACAAAAATAATGAAACATATTGAAAATATTTAAAAGTGAATATACAGATTTTCTATGGAGAAATAACAAGCATATTAAAAGCAGAGTTTATCTCAGCAACAATTTATCTTCGAAGACAATGGAATAATATCTTCAAAGTGTTGAGGGGAAAATGTCTTTAAATGTTGAGCTCTGTGTCCAAAGTGTTTATTAAGGCATTTCACACACATACAATAATCAAAACAGCTCACCACTATCAAGACAGAATAAAATAAGACCTCTCTATACAAAGAAAACAAAAGTGACAGCAAAGTTAGTCTTCTTTAAACAAATAATCTCTTTTAAATAAAAAGAAAAGCTACAGTGTAAATCATTAAGATCTACAGCATTTCTATTGATCTAGAAACTATGCTGTGAATTATTTCTTTTCACTACTAACAGAAGGTAGACATTGGGAATATTTACAACACAGGGTGTTAAGCAAAACTCTGTCTTCCCACTTATCAAGTTAAAACAGATCTTAAGACATGGAAAGTGTTCTGCATGATTGAAAGTAACAAGCTTCCTGTGCTACGTTTTCTTGACATTTAATGTTCATGATAAGAACTCGCTGCGGAAGATGAAAACATTCTGGAAATGGATAGTGGTGATGTTAATGTACTCAATGCCACTGAACTACACACATTAAAATAATAAGTTTTGCATTATGTATATTTTACTACAATAAAAAAGTTTCCAATAAAAAAGGAACTCTCAACATTTTATTTTTTATTACTAGATAAATGTGAAATTTATGTTTGTTAACATCATAAAACATTTAGAAAAGTATAAATCAGAATATGTGGCTCATTTTTAATGTAACATTGGTTCATTAATTAAATTTATTGTAAATATTCCAGATTTCACTGAAATTTAAATTAAAACCACATTACTGGAGTTTAAGACATATGTGTGGCTGCATTTCTTTTACAAGAGCTATCATTTTTCTTTTCCTTTGTATTATAAAGATTCCAATATGATTTATGTTATTTGTAACAATAGCTAAGAATATTGTATTCTCTTGCAGAAGTCTAAAAAAAAGCTTAAATAAAATTAACATATGTCTTAAGTGTTTGTTCTTCAATCTACCCACGGACTGTCATCGACAAGTTATTAAATGAAAAAGAAAAATAACTCCAGGCAAAAGAAGTGGGATTCTTGAGACAATGGTGAGAAAAAGATCATAAAATATATTGATAAACTTAATTAAAGGACTCTAAAATAAAAAATATGTGTGTACATATTTGGGACAAATATGTATTTGTTTGGGACAAAATGTGAGAGTTCAAAAAAGATTAAAGTTTGTTAAGATCCCTTTCTTCAGAAAAGAAATGTATATGCAGATTTACTTTAGAATGTATTACTATTACTGTATATTAATTAAATTTGGCTGTTTATTATTGGTAACTATTAGAAGAACAGAAAAAAATCTAACCTATATCTTTGCATATGTTAGAAATATATCAATTTTTAAATATTCTTGTATAAAATATGTATTATTCATGTATATGTTTATGTTAAAATACAAAATATTATCCAGAAACATGCACACCAAACTCACCATAGGTTGTCTCTGAAGTGGGTGCTATCAGAAAGGGTTGGTGATAGGGCTTGAAGAGAATGCTTCCTCTTACACAGTAGGGCCTTCAGTCACCTCGTTATTTTAGAATAGGGTAAAGTACCATGAACACTTCTTTCCAGCCTGTAGGTGAGGTGGGGAAAGGAAGGAGTTAAAGGGAGGATAGCAAAAAGCCATTAGACTTGCACCTCCTGGATTTTCATCTCCAGGTTTCCACTGTTTGTTGCAGGTCAGGGGAGACAGGGTTACATCAAGCAAAATTAGGTAAGTTGAGAGCAGGGGCTAGCCTATTACTCCAGGTTGATCTATCAAGTCTCAGGTGAGACTCTTTCGAGAGTTGCCTAGTACTAGCTTGGAGCATGATAATAACAAAAGGAACTTGGTAGGCCTTCTTAACTGGGCTGCAGCTGATCTTGACGTTTTTACTTTCCTACTTGGCTCTCCATTCCCATGTGGTGTGAGCTCTGACTTACATGCAGTGGGGCTGCCGTGACAAATCAACGTGACCCCAGAGCTGAGGCTGGGACAAAGGATACAGCTTCTGTTGGGGAAGTAAAATGAGACAACAAATCAGAAAAATACTTTGGCATTTAAAATAAAAATTAAACACATGCCTACCATATCATCCAAATCATTAGGTATCTGCCCCAAACAAATGAAAGCATACATCAACAGAAAGACACATACAGAATATTAATAGCAACTTTATTTGTAATAGCCAAACTTGAAAACAGCCCAAATGTCTATTAATCAATGAATAGTTAAACAAACTGTAGAATATTAACAATAACGAGAAAAATTATTGGACATTCATCCACTTAAATGGGTCTTAAAACAATAGTGACAAGTGTAAGAAACCAGATTTTAAAAAAGAGTGCAAATATATTCTTAAATTTATATATAATTCTAGAAATTGAAAAACAATCTATAGTGAGAGAAGGAAAATAAATGTTTTCCTGTGAAATTGGTGGGAAATGTCATGAGGGATGGATCTCAAAGGGCAAAAGGAAACTTGGAGATAGAAGAATTTATTATTTTGACTATGGTAATAGTAACTTGGGGTTGTACAAATGTCACAACTTTATCAAATTTTATAGTTAAATATGTACAGTTTATTATACATCAATTATATCTTCATAAGGCTGCAAAAGTATTTTTAATGAGCCAAACCCTCAGCAAAAGATAACTGAAATTTTGAGCACTGCAGATATAAGAAAGTACACTACACTTCTAGCCTCCAATGAGAAAATGTATTCCCTTTGTTTTTCTTTTATAATTCTTTTCTTGGGTGAACCTAAGTACCATCATAATGTGTATACCATCTATATTTAAAATACAACATAATTATGCTAATACAAAAATTAATCATATCAAACATTAATCAGTGGCAATAACTAGAGTTGATGAGTATTTGAAGAAATGGCTACTCTCATCCAATGCTGATGGTAATAACCTAGTAGAAAAAATAATGACAACACTGATCACAATTCTAGAATTCTACATTGTTGTTAACTGACTTTTGAGGTTAGACTTATGAAATTATTTTTATTTTTTATTTTTTTGAGAGGGAGTCTCATTCTTGTTGATCAGGCTGGAGTGCAATGGCACGATCTTGGCTCACTGCAACCTCCACCTATCGGGTTCAAGTGATTTTCCTGCCTCAGCCTCCCAAGCAGCTGGGAATACAGGTGCCCGCCACCAAGCTAGGCTATTTTTTTGTATTTTTAGTAGAGATGGGGTTTCACCAGGTTGGCCAGGCTGATCTCGAATTTCTGACCTCAGGTGATCCACCCACCTCGGCCTCCCAAAATGCTGGGATTACAGGCATGAGCCACTGCGCCCAGCCAACTAATGAAATAATTGTAGATGTTCATTGTAATTAAATACAAGAATGTCCATATCATTTTGTACACACTAGTAAAATGCTGGGGGAAAATTCCATAACATAGATGGTCATTTATATGGCATTTTAAATAAATTACATACACAGTGAAATAATATACAGACAGAAAAAATAGTATTGTAGAAAAATATATAATTATTGTCCATTTCTGTGAATGTTTCCTAACACTAGTAAAAAGTATACATAAAAGTATATTTTTTCAGACTTGTTCATAATTATAAAATTTAGATACACCCTACATTTACAAGAATAGTAAAAGAAATATTGTTACAGTCAGACCATGGAATGCCAAGTCACAACTAAAAGAAAAGCAGTTTATCATCTACATTTGTACCGACTTGGAAAGATGCCCATGATGTAAAACAATACCCACACACAAACACATGAGCACATCATTCCCAAAATATTATGTATGATCCTATGATTCTATTTTACAAATGTGTGTGTATGTATCAAAGTAAGGGAAAGAGAAAGGAGACGGCTCCTATACTCACAGAAGTACATGTTGTAAACTGTTAATATTATCCCTGGGACTGGCTAGGTTTGGGCAAGTTTAGAGAGGTGTAAGAAATTTCACTTTTAACTTCACTCATTTAGGTTAAGTTTGAAAACTTTTATAAAATACATGTTATTTATGATTTAAAACACAAGGAAATTAATTGGTAAAGAAGATAGCACTAGTCATGCTATTTTTTATATAGAAAATCCACTAAACTAAATATAACATTATGGTTTTGTTTTTGTTTTGTTTTTTTGGGGGGAGTGGGAGATCCTATGTTTCCCAGGCTGGTATCAAACTCCTAGGCTTAAGTAATCTTCCTGCCTTAGCCTTCTGAGTAGCTGGGATTATAGGTGCCCACCACCATGCCCAGAAAAACATTATGTATTGTATGACTTCATTTCTGAAAATTATATTTGCATATATCTTACTCATCTTTTACTAGATTATCATACATTAACACAATCTCTATGAGTAGCAATAATTGTGTTTGATGACTGGTCAAGGTGGTTTTAATTTCAGAACCCAGTAGGAAAGTGAGCCCACATGTGGGATATGTTCCTCTCTTGGTAGACGAGTATGCAGAATTGCTGGTAGAAACAAGTAAGGCTCTTCAAGCTTCTGCTCAAAACCAGCATGAATCTTTTCTGCTCATATTTTATTAGTCAAAACAGGTCAGTCGCCAAGCCTGACAATGGAGCAAGAAAGTGCTCTCTGCCCATAGTTAGAAACTTTAAGTAACAGGGCAATTAATGAAAAAACAGAATCATCTTATTGGAAGGCATATATTAAACACTTCAAACAATAAAACAACATACCACAGTTTAAAAAATATTGTGAAAAGAACTAGCATAAAATGTTGGCATAGGCTATCTATCTCTGGATCATGAAATAGATCATATTTCAGTTTTTTATTTTGTTCACCTTTATTTGTTAAAATTTTCTACAATTAGCATGCATTTTTCTTGAGACAAGTCAGTTTCCCTGACTACCTCAATGAAATTAACTTCCCACTAACACCTCATTCTCTATGCCCTTCACATGCTTTATTTCTCTTCATAGTACTTACATCATCTGACATGCTCATTTTTTTCAGTCATGTGTTTGTTTATTCTATACTTTTCCAGCTAGAATTTAAGCTGCATGAATGTGGAGAATTTCTCTGCTTTGTTCATTTCTCCACTCAGAGTAGTTTCTGGCATATAACAGACACTCAATAAATATTTCCAAATCAAAGAAAAATAGTAATAAAGGCAATTTCAAAGTTGAAATAATCAGTTGGGAGGCAAACTCTTTTGGATGTTGAATTGATTTAAGGAAATGAATGATTGTGAATTATTCTGGTTTTTTTTTCCCTTTTGAATCTTAAAGTACAGAAGAAGCTTCCTCAATACAAATCCTCTCTCTCTTTCTCTGTTTTTGTTTGTCTGTTATTCAGAGGATTACTCTTCTCTTACAGTCAGTTGCTGGCTGACACTTCCCTGCAAGCCTTTTGTCCCATCCCCCTCCTCTTTCCGTCCTGTCACTTGATTACTTTCCTTTGCTCTGATGTGAGTCAGGAAATAGCATCCAGTATAGGAGATCCTACCAAAAGGGAGGACAGTCAACAACACATCCATTGCTCATTCTTCTCCTCCTCTTCTCCTGGGAACCGTGAGGTAATCCCGGAAGGAATGCTGGGGAAAGAATTTGAGAAAGAGTAAATACAAAACTTGCTATTAAAAAAAAATTGAACTTAAGCAAAAAGGAATTTGTTTTTATTGAACTATGTGAAAAGAAGGTAAGCTCAAAGTATAAGATTCCTAGTTGGGAACAGCTAAAATACCCATGGGCTCTGCATCAGGGCTGTGTCCCAACTTAATAGAAGTTATCCCGAGATAACCAGTGGTTCTGGGCTGCACTAAAAGCAAGTGCACATGGAAAACCCAGGGTCCCCACACCTAGTAAACATATAAAATCTGTCCATAGGATATGAATTCACACAAAATTAGACTCTCAGGATATCAGAGAATTGTAAAGATGACTCTACACATTAATCATGAAAATGTAGGGGAACTCTATGTCTCTAGATAAACTGGGTCTCTTATTTATAAATCTCCCACGAGGCTATTGAAAACATGAAACTACTAAACAAAGCATGACAGTGAAATAGAAGAGTTCATTTAAGCCTTTTATAACTATTACTTTTTTCTTTCGGTACAGAATATCTTTTGTTAAACTATATCATATTCACATTCATAACTTCAAAACAGTATGCTGCTATAAAATAAGCCACATAGAATAGTACTCATAATTATTAAGTGTAAGAAATGACTCAAATGTCATAGTTCCAATACCTGTAATAATTTGGGAAAGAATAAACAACTAATAAATGTATAATTATTGAAGTAAAAATGTGGTCACTTGCATATCTATTTAATAATTTTCATAACTTTTCTTAATTCTGATTATAAATTATCAAGTGAGGCAAGCAACAATCTAGAAATCTTAAGTATTTATGTCAGAGTTGAAAAAGATAGAAGGAACACCACCACAAAGGAAAAGAAAACCTTAGAAGATCAATTTTTTGTTATGGTATACAGATTAAGATTCTAGATAGGTGACCAGACTGTATCTCCACTTACACTAGTACATTTCTGGTCAATCCTTTGGAAAAATATTAAGTAATTAAAGGACAGATTGTGGTGGTGGTAGCTAATAAATATGTATTAAATAAGTGCATTTATGGCCCGGCGCAGTGGCTCACGCCTGTAATCCCAGCACTTTGGGAGGCCAAGGCGGGTGAATCACCTGAGGTCAGGAGTTTGAGACCAGCCTGGCCAATATGGTGAAACCCCATCTTTATTAAAAATATGGGGGTGGTGGTGCATGTCTGTAATTCCAGCAACTCAGGAGGCTGAGGCAGGAGAATTGCTTGAACCCAGAAGGCAGAGGTTGCAGTGAGCCAAGATTGCACCACTGCACTCCAGGCCTGGGCAACAGAGTGAGACTCCATCTCAAAAAAAAAAAAAAAGTGCATTTATAATTGATATATGTATTTACCTATTTAAATAATCTAACTTTCCAGATGTCTTTACATAACAATATATACAATAGAATTGGTATTTATATGGCAAAGAGTTACACAATTTTGATATATAGAATCTTCTTGCTATATTTCTTTATAATTTTACTATATATAACCTTAGCCATGTGTTGGGCAGCATGAATGTGCAGCATTTGCATTATATTTACCACAATATGTACTTGATCTATCATTTTGTTTTTCTAATATATTAACAATTGAGATAAATCTATAAAATTAAATTTTTCTTGGTCTGAAGACACGTAATCAATTCACAGGAACGTCTTAAGAGTATGTATTTTGATTCACTGCAACAACCATTTTAGAGCTTTCAATACCAATAAACTACCAACTAATGCACTGTGGTATTATTAGAACTTGAATGCTGCAAGAGAAATTTAAGACTAAGCTGTTTTTCCAGAAAAATCAGTTGAGAAAAAAAAGCAAATTGGAGGATTTCTTGTTTGTTTTTTTGCTTGCTGAAATGTTGCTTAACAGAACATTATATGAAAACAATTACCATGTCTTTCTTTCTAGTCAGCCATGTGGAGTATGGGCTCTGAAACCAGACTGATGGGTTTCATCTTGACACTAATTCTCAACAGAGGACAGCTTTGGTCAGTTGCCTACCTTTTCTGTTCTTCAGTTTCTGGTTTGTTAAAATGGAGATAACTAGAACACTTTTTTTTTTAATGGAGTCTCACTCTATTGCCCAGGCTGGAGTACAGTGGTGCTACCTTGGCTCACTGCAACCTCCGCCTCCCGGGTTCAAGCGATTCTCCTGCCTCAGCCTCCCAAGCAGCTGGGACTACAGGGGCTTGCCACGACGCCAGGCTAATATTTTTGTATTTTCAGTAGAGACAGGGGTTTCACCATATTCGTCAGGCTGGTCTCAAACGATCTCCTGACCTCAGGTGATCTGCCTGCCTCGGCCTCCCAAAGAGCTGGGATTACAGGCGTGAGCCACGGCGCCCGGCTAACTACAGCATTTAACTCAATAACATGATGGGAGGAGCAGAAACCTTAGAACACTAACCAGCACATAGTGAACACTAATTTTTAGCCATTTTTAGGTAAGAATAGTAAGGAAAACAATTATCACAACACGGAAGATCTATTGCATGAAATGGACTCAAAGACTCGAAAGGGTACTGAGATGTCTGCAAATTATCCAGAAAAGAGATTCATAGAAATCCTTAAGGCAATTTAACATGTCTAAGAAAACTCTTTTAAACAGCTTTACTGTTATATATTTTTTTCAGTACTTTAAAACTGTCATTTCACTGTCTCTTGTGCTCTATCGATTATAAGTCAGAGGTCATTTAAACAAACTCTTATTCTATAATGTGTTGTATACTGTATTGTTTTTCAGCTGCTTTCAAGATTTTCTCCTTATTTTTCTTTTACTCTGGTAAGTTAAACTCTAGTGTACTTAGGTATAGTTTTATTACTATTTACCTCTTTTAGGCTGATTTAACTTCTTCCATCTGTACATTTCCACCTTTTACCAAATTTAGGGAAACTTTGGCCACTATTTCTTGGAAAATATTTTCTACCCAATTTTCTTCCTCCTTCTTCTAAGATTCAAAATGCATGTATGCCAGACCTTTTGATATTTCCCCATGAGACACCAAAGACCTGTTCATATTTTCTTCAATTTTTTTCTCCCTGTTTTTAAATTAAATTTTTCAAAATTTGTTTTTATTGATATATAATGCTTTCAGAGTACATGTGGTAATTTAATACATTCACAATTTGTAAAGCTCAAATCAGTGTAATTAGCATGTTTATCACCTTAAATATTTGTTTTTTCTTTACGGTAGAAACACTCAAATTATTCTTTTCTAGCTATTTTGAAATACACAATCAATTATTGTAAACTATAGCCACCCTACTGATCTATCATACTGTATGTTCTATTTCTTCTTTCAAACTGTATATTTTATCCATTAGTCAACCTCTCTTCATCCCCTACTTCCTGGCTTCCGGTAACCACCAATCTACTTTCTATTCTCATTAGATCCACTTTTTAAGCTCCCACATATGAGTGAGAAAGTGCAATATTTGTCTTTCTGTGCTTGGCTTATTTCACTTAACATAATGCCCTCCAGTTCCATCCATGTTGCTGCAAATGACAGGATTTTATTCTTTTTTTAACTTCTTAATTATACTTAATTATGAATATATACCACTCTTTAAACCATTCATCTATTGATAGGCACTTAGATTGATTCCATATCTTGACTATGGGGAATAGTGCTGTAACAAACATGGGAGTGCAGCTATCTCTTTGACATAGCAATTGTATTTCCTTTGGCTAAATCCCAGTAGTGGGATTGCTGGATCATATGATAGTTCTATTTTTAGTTTTTTGAGGAACCTCCAAACTATTCTCCATGGTGATTGTACCAATTTACGTTCCCATCAATAGTGTACTGGGCTCCTCTTCCTCCACATCCTCGCCAAAATATTTTACTCCCTGTCTTTTTGATAACAATGATTCTAACTGGAGTGAGATGATATCTCAAGGTGACTTTGATTTGCATTTTCCTGATGATAAGTGATATCGAGCATTTTGTCATATACCCACTGGCCACTTGTATGTCTTCTTTTGAGGAATGTCTATTGAAGTCTTTTGCCCATTTTTAAATCAAATTGTTTGTTTTCTGGATATTGAGTTGTTTGAGTTCATCATATTTTCTGATTATGAATCCCTTGTCAGATGAACACTTGGCAAATATTTTCTCCCATTCTATGGGATGTCTATTCAATTGGTTGATTGTTTCCTTTAATTTGCAGAAGCTTCCTAATTTGATGTAATTGATGTAATACCAATCGTCTATTTTTGCTTTGGTTGCCTCTGCTTTTGAGGTCTTACAAAAATCTTTGCCTACATCAATGTCCCGTAGCATTTCCTCAATATTTTCTTCTAGTAGTTTCATAGTCTTAGGTCTTAGATCCAAGTCTTTAATCCATTTTGATTTGACTTTTGTATATGGGTGAGGCAGAGGGGTCTAGTTTCATTCTTTTGCATATGGTTATCCAGTTTTCCCAGCATCATCTATTGAAAAGACTCTTTTCCCCACTAAATATTCTTGTTGTCTTTGTCAGAAATGAGTTTCCTGTAAATGCATGGATTTATATCTGGGTCTTCTATTTTGTTCCACTGATTCCTCTGTCTGTTTTTAATGTTGTTACTACACTGATTTGGCTACTTTTGCTTTGTAGCATATTTTGAAGAACTAGCATGTCCCTCTAGTTTAGTTGGGTGGTTTTGTTTTGCTCAGGATTTCTATGGCAAGTTAGGTCTTTCGTGGTTCCACATAAATTTTAGAATCTTTTTTTCCATTTCTGTGAAAAGCATCATTGGCATTTTGATAGAGACTGGATTTAATCTATAAGTTGCTTTGAGTAGCATTGTCATTTAATAATATTAATATTTTCAATTCAAGAGTATGGAATACCTTTCAATAATTTTTTGTTTTCTTCAATTTCTTTCACCTGTGTTTTATAGTTTTGCTTGTATAGATCTTTCACTCCTTCAGGTAAATTAATTCCTAGCTATTTTATATTATTTGTAACAGTTGTAAATTAATTTGCTCTCTTTCTTTTTAGATTGTTCACTGTTGGCATATACAAATGCTATTGATTCTTGTATGTTGATTTTTTTATCCTGAAACTTTACTGAGTTTGTTAATGAGTTTTAACAGGTTTTTTTTGGTGGCATCTTTAGGTTTTGCTAAATATAAATGTTATCTGTGAACAAAGCTAGTTTGACTTCTTTCTTTCCAATTTAGATACCCTTTATTTCTCTTGATTAATTGTTCTGGCTAGGATTTCCAGTATTATGCAAAATAAAAGTTGTGAAAATGGGCATCCTTTTCTTATTCTAGATCTTAGGGGACAAGCTTTCCATTTTACCCTGTTCAATAGATATTAGCTGTAGGTTTGTTGTATATGGTTATCATTATTTTGAGGTGTGTTCCTTCTATACTCAGTTTGTTGAGGGTTTTTATCATAAAGAAATGTTGAGTTTTATCAAAAGATTTTTCATCATCTACAGAAATGACCATATACTTTCTATTCTTGGTTTTGTTAATGTGATGTATGTTTATTGATTTGCATATTTTGAAACATCCTTGCATCCGTGGGATGAATCCACTTCATCATAATGAATTATCTTTTTAATGGATTGTTGAATTTGGTCTCATGGTATTTTTTTAAAATTTTTGCATCTATGTTTACCAAAGATATTGACCTATAGTTCTTTTCTTATTGTCTTCTTGTCTGATTTTTGTATGAGGATAATGCTGGCCTTGTAAATATGTTTGGAAGTACTCTATCCTGTTCAATTTTTAAAAATAGTTTGAGTAGAATTGGTATTAGTTCTCCTGTAAATGTTTGGTAAAACTTGGTAGTAAAGGCATCAGATCCGAGGCTTTTCTTTGATGGAAGAGTTTTTATTACAGCATCAATCTCATTAATCATTATTGGTTGGATGAAATATTATATTTTTTCATGGTTTAATCCTGGTAGGTAATATGTGTCCAGGAACATATTCATTTCTTCTAGTTTTTTCAACTTATTGGTATATAGTTGTTCATAATAGTCTGTAATGATTTGTATTTTTGTGATATCAGTTGCTATGTCTCCTTTTTCATCTCTGATTTATTTGGGTTTTCTTTTTTTCTCAGCCTAATTAAAGATTCATTGATTTTGTTTATCTTTTAAAAAACTAACTTTTTTTTCACTGATTTTCCATACTGTTTTAGTCTAAGTTTCATTTATTTCTGCTCTCATCTTTATCATTTATTTCCTTCTACTAATTTGGGATTTGGTTTATTCTGGGTTTTCTAATTCCTTGGAGTGTATCATTGGGTTATTTAAAATCTTTCTACTTTGTTTTCAATAGGTGCTTGATATGATTAGGCTGTGTCCTCACCCAAATCTAATCTTGAATTGCAGCTCCTATAATTCCCACGTGTTGTGGGAGGGACTGCAGGGGAGATAAGTGAACCATTGGGGTAGGTTTTTCTTTCTTGTGCTATTCTCATGACAGTGAATTAGTCTCACAGAGCTGATTTTTTTTTTTTTTTTTTGAGTCTCGCTCTGTCACCTAGGCTGTAGTGTAATGGTATGATCTCGGCTCACTGCAACCTTTGCCTCTTGGGTTCAAGTGATTCTCTTGCCTCAGCCTCCCAAGTGGCTGCAATTACAGGCACCTGCCATCATGCCTGGCTAATTTTTGTAGCTACAGGGTTTTACCATGCTGGCCAGGCTAGTCTTGAACTCCTGATCTCAGGTGATCTGCCCATCTTGGACTCCCTAAGTGCTGGGATTACAGGCATGACCCACCACACCTGGCTAATCTGATGGTTTTATAAAGGGAAGTACCCCTGCATAGGGTCTCTCTTGCCTGCTGCCATGTAAGATGATGTGATTTGCTGCTCATTCGCCTTCCACCATGATTGTGAGGCCTCCACAGCCATGTGGAACTGTGAGTCCATTAAATCTCTTTTTCTTTATAAATTACCTGGTCTTGAGTTTTATTTTCTTCATAATTTTTAATTTTCTTTATAAATTACCTGGCCATCAACAAGCATAAATATATTCAAAAGTATTGAAATCATGCAAAGTATTTTTCCAGTTACTTTGGAATTAAATCTGAAATTAATAGTAAAAGGACATTTTAGGAAAATCACAAATAAGTGGAAATTAACAAAATACTCATAAATAACTGATGAGTTGGGCCAGGTACGGTGGCTCACGCCTGTAATCCCAGCACTTTGGGAGGCCGAGGTGGGCAGATCACGAGTTCTGGAGTTTGAGACCACCCTGGCCAACATGGTGAAACCCCATGTCTACTAAAAGTACAAAAATTAGCTGGGTGTGGTGGCGCATGCCTCTAGTCCCAGCTACTTGGGAGGCTGAGGCAGGAGAATCACTTGAACCCGGGAGGTGGAGATTGCAGTGAGCCAAGATCGTGCCACTGCACTCCAGTCTGGGAGACAGAGTGAGACTTCAAAAAAAAAAAAAAAAAAAAAAAAGGTTTAATAACTGATGAGTCAAAGAGAATACTAAAAGGAAGTTTAGAAACTAACTGGAGATGGGAGGGGTTCCAAGATGGCCAAATAGGAACAGCTCCAGTCTGCAGCTCCCAGCAGGATCGACGCAGAAGACGGGTGATTTCTGCATTTCCAACTTAGGTACCTGGTTCATTTCACTGGGACTGGTTAGACAGTGGGTGCAGGCCATGGAGGGCAAGCTGAAACAGGGCGGGGCATCGCCTCACCCAAGAAGCACTAGGGGTCAGAGGATTTCCCTTTCCTAGCCAAGGGAAGCCATGACAGACTGTACCTGGGAAAAATGGGATACTCCCCCCTCCAAATACTGCGCTTTTCCAAAGGTCTTAGCAAATGGCAGACCAGGAGTTACTATCCCATGCCTGGCTCAGTGGGTCCCACACCCACAGAGCCTTACTCACTGCTAGCACAGCAGTCTGAGATCTAACTGCGAGGCAACAGCCTGGTGGGGGGAGGGGCATCTGCCATTGCTGAGGCTTGAGTAGGTAAACAAAGCTGCCTGGAAGCTAGAACTGGGCAGAGCCCACCGCAGCTCAGCTAGGCCTGCTGCCTCTGTAGACTCCACCTGTGGGGGCAGGGCATAGCTGAACAAAAGGCAGCAGAATCTTCTGCAGACTTAAACGTCCCTGTCCAACAGCTCTGAAAAGAGCAGTCATTCTCCCAGCACAGTACGTGAGCTCTGAGAATGGACAGACTGCCTCCTCAAGTGGGTCCCTGATCCCTGTGTAGCCTAACTGGGAGACACCTCCCAGTAGGGGATGACTTACACCTCATACAGGCGAGTGCCCCTCTGGGACAAAGCTTCCAGAGGAAGAATCAGGGAGTAATATTTGCTGTTCTGCAATATTTGCTGTTCTGCAGCTTCCGCTGATGATGCCCAGGCAAACAGGGTCTGGAGTGGAACCCCAGCAAACTCCAACAGACTGGCAGCTGAGGGACCTGACTGTTAGAAGGAAAACTAACAAACAGAAAAGAATAGCATCAACATCAACAAAAGGGACATCCACACCAAAACCCCATCTGTAGGTCACTAACATCAAAAAGACCAAAGGTAGCTAAAACAATAAAGATGGGGAGAAACTACAGTAGAAAAGCTGAAAATTCTAAAAACCAGAGCGCCTCTTCTCCTCCAAAGGATCGCAGCTCCTTGCCAGCAATGGAACAAAACTGGACAGAGAATGACATTGACAAGTTGACAGAAGTAGGCTTCAGAAAGTCAGTAATAACAAACTTCTCCAAGCTAAAGGAGGATGTTTCGAACCCATTGCAAGGAAGATAAAAACCTTGAAAAAAGATTAGATGAATGGCTAACTAGAACAAACAGTGTAGAGAAGACCTTAAATGACCTGATGGAGCTGAAAACCATGGCACAAGAATTTGTGATCCATGCACAAGCTTCTATAGCCAATGTGATCAAGTGGAAGAAAGGGTATCAGTGATTGAAAATCAAATTAATGAAATAAAGTGAGAAGAAAAGTTTAGAGAAAAAAGAGTAAAAAGAAAGGAACAAAGCCTCCAAGAAATATGGGACTATGTGAAAAGACCAAATCTACATTTGACTGGTGTACCTGAAAGTGACAGGGAGAATGGAACCAAGTTGGAAAACACTCTGCAGAATACTATCCAGGAGAACTTCCCCAACCTAGCAAGGCAGGCCAACATTCAAATTCAGGAAATACAGAGAACACCACAAAGATTCTCCTCGAGAAGAGCAACCCCAAGACACATAATTGTCAGATTCACCAAGGTGGAAATGAAGGAAAAAATGCTAAGGGCAGCCAGAGAGAAAGTTTGGGTTACCCAGAAAGGGAAGCCCATCAGATTAACAGTGGATATCTCAGCAAAAACTCTCCAAGCCAGAAGAGACTGGGGGCCAATATTCAACATTCTTAAAGAAAAGAATTTTCAACCCAGAATTTCATATCCAGCCAAACTAAGCTTCATAAGTGAAGGAGAAATAAAATCCTTTACAGACAAGAAAATGCTGAGAGATTTTGTCACCCCAGGCCTGCCTTACAAGAGCTCCAGAAGGAAACACTAGACATGGAAAGGAACAATCAGTACCAGTGATGGCAAAAACACGCCAAATTGTAAAGACCATCAATGCTATGAAGAAACTGCATCAATTAATGGGCAAAATAACTAGCCAAAATCATAATGACAGGATCAAACTCACACATAACAATATTAACCTTAAATGTAAATGGGCTAAATGCCCCAATTAAAAGACACAGACTGGCAAATTGGAAGACTGGCAAATTGGATAATGAGTCAAGACCCATCAGTGTGCTGTATTCAGGGGACCCATCTTATGTGAAGAGACACACACAGGCTCAAAATCAAGGGATGAAGGGAGATCTACCAAGAAAATGGAAAGCAAAAAAAAGCATGGGTTGCAATCCCAGTTTCTGATAAAACAGACTTTAAACCAACAAAGATCAAAAGAGACAAAGAAGGCCATTACATAATGGTAAAGGGATCAATTCAACAAGAAGTGCTAACTATCCTAAATATATATGCACCCAATACAGGAGCACCCAGATTCATAAAGCAAGTCCTTAGAGACCTACAAAGAGGCTTAGACTCCCACACAATAATAATGGGAGACTTTAACACCCCACTGTCAACATTAGATCAACGAGACAGAAAGTTAACAAGGCTATCCAGGAATTGAACTCAGCTCTGCACCAAGCGGACCTAATAGACATCTACAGAACTCTCCACCACAAATCAACAGAATATACATTCTTCTCAGCACCACATCACACTTATTCCAAAATTGACCACATAGTTGGAAGTAAAGCACTCCCCAGCAAATGTAAAAGAACAGAAATTATAACCAACTGTCTCTCAGACCACAGTGCAATCAAACTAGAACTCAGGATTAAGAAACCCACTCAAAACCACTCAACTACATGGAAACTGAACAACCTGCTCCTGAATGACTACTGAGTACATAATGAAATGAAGGCAGAAATAAAGATGTTCTTTAAAACCAATGAGAACAAAGACACAACATACCAGAATCTGCGGTGTGTAGAGGGAAATTTATAGCACTAAATGACCACAAGGGAAAGCAGGAAAGATCTAAAATTCACACCCTAACATCACAATGAAAAGAACTAGAGAAGCAAAAGCAAACAAATTCAAACTCTAGCAGAAGGCAAGAAATAACTAAGATCAGAGCAGAACTGAAGGAGATAGAGACACAAAAAAAACCTTCAAAAAATCAATGAATCCAGGAACTGGTTTTTTGAAAGGATCAACAAAATTGATAGACTGCTAGCAAGACTAATAAAGAAGAAAATAGAGAGGATCAAATAGATGCCTTAAAAAATGATAAAGGGGATATCACCACCGATCCCACAGAAATACAAACTACCGTTGGAGAATACTATAAACACCTCTACACAAATAAGCTAGAAAATATAGAAAAAATGGATAAATTCCTGGACACATATACCCATCTAAGAATAAACCAGGAAGAAGCTGAATCTCTGAATAGACCAATAACACGCTCTGAAATTCAGGCAATAATTAAGAGCATACCAACCAAAAAAAGTCCAGGACCAGATGGATTTACAGCTGAATTCTACCAAAGGTACAAAGAGGAGTTGGTACCATTCCTTCTGAAACTATTCCAATCAATAGAAAAAGATGGAATCCTCCCTAACTCATTTTATGAGGCCAGCAACATCCTGATACCAAAACCTGGCAGAGACACAACAAAAAAAGAGAATTTTAGACCAACATCCCCGAAGAACATCGATGCAAAAATCCTTAATAAAATACTGGCAAACAGAAGCCAGCAGCACATCAAAAAGCTTATCCACCATGATAGAGTCGGCTTCATCCCTGGGATGCAAGGCTGGTTCAACATACGCAAATCAATAAGTGTAATCCAGCATATAAACAGAACCAAAGATAAAAACCACATGATTATCTCAATAGATGCAGAAAAGGCCTTTGACAAAATTCAACAGCCCTTCATGCAAAAAACTTTCAATAAACTAGGTATTGATGGAACGTATCTGAAAATAATACCAGCTATTTATGACAAACCCACAGCCAATATCATATTGAATGGGCAAAACCTGGAAGCATTCCCTTTGAAAACTGGCACAAGACAGGGGTGCCCTCTCTCACAACTCCTATTCAACACAGTGTTGGAAGTGCTGGCCAGGGCAATCAGGCAAGAGAAAGAAAGGGTATTCAATTAGGAAAAGAGGAAGTCAAATTGTCTCTGCTTGCAGATGACATGATTGTATATTTAGAAAACCTCATAGTCTCAGCCCAAAATCTCTTTAAGCTGATAAGTAACTTCAGCAATGTCTCAGGATACGAAGTCAATGTGGAAAAATCACAAGCATTCCTATATACCAATAACAGACAGAGAGCCAAATCATGAGTGAACTCTCATTCACAATTGCTACAAAGAGAAAAAATGCCAAAGAATCCAACTTACAAGGGATGTGAAGGAACTCTTCATGGAGAACTACAAACCTCTTCCTCAAGGAAATAAAAGGGGTCACAAACAAATGGAAGAACATTCCATGCTCATGGATAGGAAGAATCAATATCGTGAAAATGGCCATACTCCCCAAGGTTATTTATAGATTCAATGCCATTCCCATCAAGCTAACAATGTCTTTCTTCACAGAATTGGAAAACACTACTTTAAAGTTCATATGGAACGAAAAAAGAGCCCACATTGCCAAAGCAATCCTAAGCACAAGGAACAAAGCTGGAGGCATCATGCTACCTGACTTCAAATTATACTACAAGGCCACAGTAACCAAAACAGCATGGTACTGGTACCAAAACAGATATATAGACCAATGGATCAGCACAGAGGCCTCAGAAATAACACCACACATCTACAACCATCTGATCTTTGACAAACCTGACAAAAACAAGAAATGGGGAAAGGATTCCCTATTTAATAAATGGTGCTGGGAAAACTGACTAGCCATATGTAGAAAGCTGAAACTGGATCCCTTCCTTACACCTTATACAAAAATTAATTCGAGATGGGTTAAAGACTTAAATATTAGACCTAAAACCATAAAAACCCTAGAAGGAAACCTAGGCAATACCTTTCAGGACACAGGCATGGGCAAGGACTTCATGATTAAAACACCAAAAACAATGGCAACAAAAGCCAAAATAGACCAATGGGATCTAATTAAAGTAAAGAGCTTCTGCACAGCAAAAGAAACTACCAACAGAGTGAAGAGGCAACCTACAGAATGGGAGAAAATTTTTGCAATCTACACATCTGACAAAGGGCTAATATCCAGAATCTACAAAGAACTTAAACAAATTTACAAGAAAAAATCAAACAACCCCATCAAAAAGTGGGCACAGGATATGAACAGACACTTCTCAAAAGAAGACATTTATGCAGCCAACAGACACATGAAAAAATGCTCATCATCACTGGTCATCAGAGAAATGCAAATCAAAACCACAATGAGCTACCATCTCACACCAATTAGAATGGCGATCATTAAAAAGTCAGAAAACAACAGATGCTGGAGAGGATGTGGAGAAATAGGAATGCTTTTACACTATTGGTGAGAGTGTAAATTAGTTCAACCATTGTGGAAGACAGTGTGGCGATTCCTCAAGGATCTAGAATTAGAAATACCATTTGACCCAGGGATCCAATTACTGGGTATATACCCAAAAGATTATAAATCATGCTACTATAAAGACACATGCACACATATGTTTATTGTGACACTATTCACAATTGCAAAGACTTGGATCCAACCCAAATGTCCATCAATGATAGACTGGATTAAGAAAATGTGGCACATATACACCATGGAATACCATGCAGCCATAAAAACAATGAGTTCATGTCCTTTGCGGGGACATGGATGAAACTGGAAACCATCATTCTCAGCAAACTATCACAAGGACAGAAAACCAAACACTGCATGTTCTCACTCATAGGTGGGAATTTAACAATGAGAACACTTGGACACAGGGCAGGGAACATCACCGAGGCCTGTTGTGGGGTGGGGGCCTGGGGGAGGGATAACATTAGGAGAAATACCTAATGTAAACGACGAGTTGATGGGTGCCCAAACCACCATGGCACATGTATACCTATGTAACAAACCTGCACATTCTGCATATGTACCCTAGAACTTAAAGTATGATTTAAAAAAAAGAGAAAAAAAGGAACTGGAGATCGATAAAATAAAACCACATACAAAATTATAGGATGTAGCTAAGGCAGAGCAATTTATATCTATAAACACATATATTAAAAAGAAAAAATCTTAAATCACTGCCTTAAATTTGTTCTTTAAAGAACTAGAAGAGCAAACCCAACCAAAAATCAAAAAGAGGAACAAAATAATAAAGTTTAAAGTTAAAATAAGTGACATAGAAATATTTAAGTAAATCAGAAGTTAGATTTTTTTGAACAGATCAAAAAAATTGACAACCTGTTTATAGGCTAACCAAGAAAAAAGAGAGAAGCTTCAAGTTGCTAAAATAAAGAACAATATAGGGGTTATTAGCACTGTAGAGATTACTACCATAGACCTCACAGAAATGAAAAAGATTTTAAAAGAATGCTATTAACAACTACATGTCAAAAAATAGATAGCGTATATAAAATTGACACATTCCTAAACAGGCACAAACTACTGAAATTAAACCACGTGGAAATAGAAAAAATGAATACATCTGGAACAAGTAAAAAGTCTAAATTTATCATTTTATAACTTTCTACAGAGAAAAGCTTAGGCCTGTGTGGTTTCACAGGCCAATTCTGCCAAACATTTAATGTAGAATTAACATCAATCCTTTACTAATTCTGCCAAAAAAAGAGTGAGCCCTTCCTTCATTCTGTGAAGCTAGTGTTATAACATTATACCAAAACCAGATAAAGACATCACAAAAAAGAAAACTGCACAGCAATATCTCTAAGAATATAGATACAATAATCTACAACGTAATAGGAAACCAAATCCAGCAACATATAAATATGTTTGTCCACCACATGCAAGTGGGATTTACCTCATGGACAATTGATTTAACATACAAAAATCAATTAGTGTAATACAGCATATAGAGTAAAAACAACAAGTTTACCTCAATGCATACACAAAAAGCATTTGACAAAATAAAGTTCCCCTTCATGATAAAAATAGTCAGGCAAGTAGGAATATACAAGAAAGCTTATTCAATCTGATAAAAGATATCTATCAAAAAACAAAGCAAAAAAAAAAAAACTCTCATGTAACATAAAAAAGTAAAAAGCATCAACATCGGAAAGTAAGAAATAAATGTATCTCTATTCACAGATGACAAAATTCTATATATAGAAAATCCCAAAGAATCCACAAGAAAATTACTAAAGCTAACAAATAATTCAGCAAAGTTCCAGGGTACATGATAAACACACAAACATTGATTATGTCTTTATACCCCTACAATGAACAATCTAAAATGTAATTAAGACATAATTCAATTTATAGAAGCATCTAAAAGAATAAAACACCTTGAAATAAATAACCAAGAAAGTTAGACTTTCAAAGTGAAAACTATAAAACATTGTTGAAGACATAAAAGATGTTCTACATAAATGTGTTACTTCACCAATATCGTGCAGCCTTGATCACTGTAGCCTATATAATATCTTTAAATTTGTTACAGTAATTTGTCCCCCTTTATTTTTCTTTTTAAAATGGTTTTGAGTTCTCAGGTATTTCTATGTAAAACTAAGAACTAAATTCTATATAAATTTTAGAATAATCTCAGTGTTTCCAAAAATTGTGCTACAATGTTGACAAAAATTGCCTTAAGTCTGTATATCACTTTGGAAATAATTGTTGTATTTACAATGTTGAATTTTTCAACTCATTAACTATATGTTCCATTCATTTAACTTTAGATTTTTTCATCACTTTTTTGTAGTTTTCAGCCTAAAAGTTCTCTAATGTTTAGCTAGATTTATACCAAACTATTTCTCTTTTCTTGAGCAGATCTAAAGACTATTGTATGTTTAATTTTGATATATATATGTGGTCATTGTAAAGACAGTTTAAATAAATATTTATCTTGTATTCTGTGATGTCCCTGAATTCACTTTTTAATTTTAGGATTTGTGGGGGGGTACATTCCTTCGGAGTTTCTACATAGACAATTATGTCATCTGCAAATAAGAACATTTTTATTTTGTTCTAGTCTATATGCCCCCTTCTCCACTACAAAAAAAAAAAAAATTCTTGTTACATTCGGTAGTTTCTAGTGCCATATCAAATAAGAGTGTTGAGAACAGATATCCTTGCCCTGTTCTTGATATTAGACAGAAAACATTCTGTAGTCTCCCCCATTAAGTATAATGTTAGCTGTAGGCTTTTTGTAGATGTTAAAAAAAGAAAGAACAACAACAACAATAATAAAAAACTTTTATTTTCAGGGGTACTTGTGCAGTTTCGTTGTATAGATAAACCACGTGTCATGGGGGCTTGGTGTTCAGATAGTTTTGTCACCTGAGCAATAAGAATAGTGCCCGATGGGCCACTTGCAGTGGCTCATGCCTGTTATCCCAGCACTTTGGGAGGCCGAGGCGGGCGGATCACGAGGTCAGGAGATTGAGACCAGCCTGGCCAACATGGTGAAACCCTGTCTCTAATAAAGACACAAAAATTAGTTGGGCATGGTGGCGCATGCCTGTAATCCCAGCTATTTGGGAGTCTGAGGCAGGAGAATCGCTTGAGCCAGTAAGTCAGAGGTTGCAATGAGCCGAGATCATGCCACTGCACTCAGCCTGACAATAGAGTGAGACTCTGTCTCAAAACAACAACAACAAAACAACAAAGAATAGTATCCAATGGATATTTTTTCTTGGAAAGGGTCCCTTTGATTTCTATTTTTCTGAGAGCTTTTATCACGAATTGACGGTGAATCAATCTCTGTCCATTTGCTTTCCCTTATCAAAGTCATTTTCAGCACCAATTATTATGATCATGTAGTTTTTCTTCTGTAGGCTGTTGTTAATGGTGAATTATATTTATTGATTTTTGAATACTGAACTAGCTTTTGATCCTCAGCATAAACTCCACTTAGTCATGATGTATAATTGTTTATCTATATGCAGACTTTCATTTGCTAATTTTTAAAAGAATTTTTGCATTTATATTTATTAGGAATACTGATCTGTACTTTTTTTTTCCTTTTTGTACTGTGTCTGTCTAGTTTTGGTAATAAGGTATTATTGGCTTTATAAAATTGAGAAGTTTTCCCTTCTTGTATATTCTGGAAGAGCTTGTATAGAATTAGCATTAATTCTTCTTTAAAAACATGGTAGCATTCTCCAGTGAATTCATCTGGCCCTGGAAATTTATTGTTTGATTGTTTAAAAATAATAAATTGAATTACCTTAATAGTTTTTGAGCCTATTGATATGATCAATTTCCTCTTGGGTGAGTTATGGCAGATTGCATTTTTTGAGGAATTGGTCCACTTGTTCTAAGTTGTCAAATTTATGTGTGTAAAGTTGTTTCTAGTATTCCCCCTTAGTATGCTTTGGATGTCTGCAAGGTCTGTAATAGTATTTTCTCTTTCATTCCTAAAACTGGTAATTTGTGTCTTCTTTTATTTTCTTTGTCAGTCTTGCTAGAGGTTTGTCAATTTCATTGATCTTTTTCAAGTTCCAGATGTTTCTTCTGTTAATTTTTTCTATCATTTTTCTGTTTCCAATCACATTGTTTAATTTTCTCGTCTTATTTACTTCGTTCCACTTGGTTTGAATTTATTTTGCTCTGCTTTTTCTAGTTCCTTAAGTCCTTAGACTACTGATTTGACACTTTCCTACTTTCCTAATATGAGAAATTAGTGTTATAACTTTCCCTCAACAATGAGTTTCATCTTTTCAAATTTGATATTAGATTATCATTTTTACTCAGTTAAATTTTATTTCCCTTGAGACTCCCTCTTTGATCTAGTATTATTTACAAGTGTGATGTTGTTTTCTTTTCAACCGTTGGATATTTTTCCCTTGTCTTTGTTATTCCTAGTTTTATTCATTATGATTGGAGAATACACTATGTATGATTTAGTTTTCTGAAGTTTATTTATGACATTTCTTGGCCTGGATATTTCAAAGTTTATCTTGTTTTGCTTTTCCTCTTATTCTTTCATCTGTAAGCTTACATTATTGCCTAATTTCAGAAATTTTCAGCTATTATGTCTGTGAAAATTTTCAGTTCTCCTTTCTCTCTTCTCAACTTCCAGAATTGTAATGGACCACAAAAGTTAGCTCTCTTTTTATACTATGACAGGCCAGTGAGACTTCAGAAATTTTCAGCTATTATGTCTGTGAAAATTTTCAGTTCTCCTCTCTCTCTTCTCACCTTCTGGAATTGTAATGGCACAAAAGTTAACTCTCTTTTTATAGTATGACGGGCCAGTGAGACTTCATTTTCTTTCTTCTCATAGTTTTCAATTATTATTATCTTCATTTTTGTGGACTATTTCTTCTCTGTCCATTCTGCTGTTGAGCCCATCAGCTAAGGTTATTGTATTGGTTATTGTAATTTTCAGTTCTAAAATTTATACTTGATTATTGTTTACATCTTATGTTTATCTACTGAGACTTTCCACTCCTTTTCAGAGACTCCTTATTTCAAGTGTTTTTGTAATTACTCATTGAAGTTTTTTGTGATGGCTCCACTAAAATCCTTGTCAGATATGTCTAATATGTCTGTAATCTCAGTGTTGGTGTCTGTTGGTTCTCATTTTTCATTCAATTTGAGATTTTCCTGCTCCTTGGTATAAAAAATGATTTCTGATAGGAAACTGGATATATTGGTTATTACACTATGACATTCTGAATCTTACTTAAACATTTTGTTTTAGCTTTGTTCTTCCGACACTTCTCCAAAAAGAAAATGGTGGTACTCACTAGTTACTGCCAGGTGAGAGTCAAGATCCAGGTACCTTATTCAGCCTCTGTTAACTCTTGAAGGGAGGGGCACCCCTTTTCTGCTTAATGGAAGTGAAAGTTCCAGCTCCCCAGTGGGCCTCCACTGATAACACCCTGGCTGGGAGGAGCAAACATATCCATTTTTTTGCCCCATACATGGCTTCCATTGACATGGAGTTCGGGGACAGGGAAACTCATTACTGCTGAATAATGAAAGTTTTATGTTTAGGCCTCCTGTTATATCACTACACAGGAAAAGGGAAGTTGCCTCTCTAATGTGGAATGAGAGTGTAAGTTCAGATTCCTCACAAGGTCTCCACTGACATTTCAGGGATCTGGGGGTGCTCATTAGTGCCCAATGAGGATCTAAGTCCTGGCATCCTACTCAATGTTCATTGGCACTATCCCAACCCCCAGTAGTGGGTTCGGGGTGCATTGTTATAGTCTATGGGGATGGAAGTTTAAGCGTCTTACTTGTCCTTTGTTGGTATATTTGGAGGTATAACCACAGCCCTTCATGTGGTATTTGGCTTGAATACACAGATTATTGTCTAAAAGCTTTCTGTCTTGCTATAGAAACTATTCTTTTCTTTCTTTCTCTCTCTGTTTGTTCAAAAGAGCATGCTTTTTTGTTGTAGTTGCTCACATTTATATTCCAGGATTCTGCCTTCTCCAGCTACAGAATATATGATAAACAAAACCAATCGATAATATTTGGCTCTGTATCCTCACCCAAATCTCCTGTAGAATTGTAAGTCTCAATGTTGGAGGTGAGGTGTGGTGAGAGGTGATTGCATCATGGGGGTGGTTTCCAATGATTTAGCACCATCCCCTTAGTGCTATCTTGTGATAGAGTTCTCCCAAGATCCGCTGTTTAAAACTCCTGCTCCCTTTCTCTCCAGATGGCCATGTGAAAATACGCAGGCTTCTTCTTTACCTTCCACCATAATAGTGTTTCCTAAGGCCTCCTCAAAAGAAGAAGACTGTGTAGCACACAGAACCATGAGCTGATTAAACCTCTTTTCATTAATAAATTAACTGGTCTTGAGTATGTCTTTATAGCAGTGTGAGAACAGAATAATACACCATGGACTCATTCTTATGTCATTCCTCAGGTTCCAAGCTCCCTCACTCATCTGCTTTCTTCTCCCCACCATTTAATATTTCTTGTTTATTTTATATATAATTTCAAAGTTTTAGTTTCACATAGAAGATGCAGTAGGTGAAGTACTTCTCATCTACATTGTAGGAAGCAGAAGTAAAAATGCAATCCTTTTTTAATGCAACTTTTTATACAATTCAGTATTTCACTGACTTTATCTCTGCTGTTTTATCTGCCTGAGATACTTACCCAGCCATGCCTCTCTGGCAAAATGGCAAACTCCTCATCATTCTTCATGACTCACCTCAAGTATTTCCATTTTTAAAGCCTTCTGTAACCTCCATTTCTATGACTGTATTCATTTTTTTATAGTGACACTATGACTACCACCATGTGAATGCACTTACATTCATTTACATTAACTCACTGTCAAACTATCACTTTTAAACTATTTAAAAATACTTTAATAGTCTGATAAGAGCTATCTCTCTTACTACACTTTCAAGGGAGGAATCATATCCTGTTCACATTATGTACTCGAAAGGTATAGTGCCTCACAATAGAAAAGCTCAATGTTGTTAAATGAGTGAATGGGTATAAGGATGAAGGAATGGCAGGCTTTAATTGAAAATGAAGACTAAGTATTTCTGCAGGAACACAGAGGTGTAACAATGAAAAAATCTTTTAAAAAGTATGAGGAGGAAGATAAATAGATAACTAATAATTTGATTTTATTTTATAGTTAATGGGTAGCTTCCTGGAAGACAGAGAGAGAGAGATAGGTAAAATAAATTAACTTTTATGTGAAATAAGATGTAATAATCCTGATTTTTTCACCTCTGTACTAGTGTCATTACAAACAGATCCATTTACTTGACATATCTTATTATCACAATTAAGCATGAAATACCCATTTGAAATGTTGATTTAAAAAGTTGATATGAGACAACAGGACATTAAGTGCTATGTACATTAAAATTCGTTATTATTTGTTTAATTTTATGTTCATTGTTGCCTACAAAAAACACACTTCACTGTTTATAAAGATAAGCATGTATTGAAAATAAAAGAATGAAAAAAGATATTCTGTGCAAATAGACACCAAAAAAGAACAGGAGTAGCTACACTTATACAAACAAAATAGATTTCAAGACAGAAACTATTTCTAAAAAAAGACAATGAATGTCATTACATAAGAATACAGTGGTCAATTCGGCAAGAGGATATAACAATTATAAATATATATGCACCCAATACAATACTGAAGCACCCAGAAATGCAAAGCAAATATTGTTAGTGTTAAAGAGAGAGATAGACCCTAATACAATAAGAGCTGGAGACTTCAACCCCCCGCTTTCAGCACTGGACAGATTATACTGACAGAAAATCAACAAAGAGTCTGGGCTTGGTGGCTCAAGCCTGTAATCCCAGCACTTTGGAAGGCCAAGGGGGATGGATTACCTGAGGTCAGGAGTTTGAGACCAGATTGGCCAACATAGCAAAACCTTGTCTGTATTAAAAATCAAAGAAAAAAACAAAAAAGCCAGGCATTGTGGCGTATGAGTGTAATCCCAAATAGTTGGAAGGCTGAGGCAGAAAAATTGCTTTAACGCAGGAGGCAGAGGTTGCAGTGAGCCAACATTGTGCCACTGCACTCCAGCTTGGGCAACAGGGCAAGATTCCATCTCAAAAAGAAAAAAAAAAAAAAAGAAAGAAAATCAACAAAGAAACATTGGATTTAATCTCCATTACAGACCAAATAATGTTTATAGAACATTTCACTCAACATCTGTAGAAAACACATTCTTCTCCTCAGCACATGAATCATTAATAATGATAGATCGTATGTTAGGCTACACTAAAAAATAAGACTTAAAAAATTCAAAATTTAAAATCATATTAAATGTCTTTTCTTCCCACATGTAATAAAACTAGAAATCACTAACAAGAGGAACTTTGGAAACAATATGAACACATGGAAATTAAACAATATGCTCCTGAATGACCAGTGAGTCAATAAAGAAATTAATAAGAACACTGATAGATTTCTTGAAACATATGAAAATGGAAAAAAACCCACACCAAAAACTATGGGGTATGGCAAAAGCAATACCAAGGAAAATTTACAGTACTAAGTGCCTATTTCAAGAAAGTTAAAAAAAATCAAATAAACAATCTAATAATGCATCTTAAAGAACTAGAAAAGCAAGAGCAAACCAAATCCAAAATTAGTAGTAGAAAAGACATAATAAATAATGGAGCAGAAATAAATAAAATTGACATTTTAAAAAATATAAAAGATCAATGAAATGTTTTAAAAAGATACACAAAATCAACAAACTTTTAGACACATTAAGAGCAAGACTTGTATAAATAAAATCAGAGATGAAAAGGACAATACAACTTCTACTATAGAAATTCAAAAGATTATTAGAAACTGCTATGAGTAATTATATGCCAATAAATTGGAAAACCTAGAAGAAATGGATAAATTTCTAGGAACATACAACCTACCAAAACTGAACCATGAAGAAATTCAAAAACTGAATAGACCAATACGAGTAATGAGATTGAAGACCTGCTAATGTCTCCAACCAAAGAAAACCTGGGACTCAGTGGCCTCACTGGGGCATTTTACTGAACATTTAAAGTAGAACTAATACCAATCATACTCAAACTATTTTGAAAAATAGAGAATGAGATAATACTTCCAAACTCATTCTATAAAATCTCTATTATCCTTATAGCAACACCAGACAAAGACACATAAAAAAAGAAAGAAAACTATAGGCCACTATCTCTGATGCACATTCATGTAAATATCTTCAAAAAATACAAGCAAACTAAATGGAACAACACATTCAAAAGATCATTCATCATAACTGTATTAGTTCATTCTCACGCTGCTATGACAAAATACCCAAGGTTGGGTAATTTATAAAGGAAGGAGTTTTAATTGACTCATAGTTCCTCATGGCTGGGGAGTCCTCAGGAAACTTACAGTCATGGCAGAAGGCACCTCTTCACAGGGCAGCAGGGAGAAAATGAGTGCAAGCAGGAGAAATGCCAGATGCTTATAAAACCATCAGTTTTCATGAGAACTCACTAACACGAGCACAGCATAGAGAAAACTGCTCCCATGATCCAATCACTTTCTACTGGGTCCCTTCCATGACATGTGGGGATTATGGGAACTACAATTCAAAATGAGATTTGGGTGGGGACATGGCCACACCATATTATTCCACTCATGGCTCCTCCCAAATTTCATGTCCTCACATTTCAAAACACAGTCATACCTTCCAAATAGTCCCCAAAGTCTTAGCTCATTCCAGCATTAACTCAAAAGTCCAAGTCCAAAATCTCATCTGAGACAAGGCCAGTCCCTTTTGCCTATAAGTTGATAAAATGAAATATAAGTTAATTCCTTCCAAGTTACAATGGGGGTAGAGGCATTGGGTAAATACACCTGATACAAGTAGGAGAAATTGGCCAAAACAAAAGCACTATAGGCCCCATGCAAGGCCAAAATCCAATAGGGCAGTCATTAAACCTTAAAGTTCCAAAATGATCTCCTTTGATTCCATGTCTCACATCCAGGTCATGCTGATGCATGAGGTAGGCTCCCATGGCCTTAAGCAATAAGCAAATGGGATTCATCCAGGGATGCAAGGATGGTCCAATGTATGCAAATCTATCAATGTGCTACATCATAACAACTGTATTAGTTTGTTCTCACACTGCTATAAAGAACAAACAGAGACTGGGTAACTTAGAAAAAAAAGAGGTTTAATAAACTCAGTTCCACAGGCTGTACAGAAAGCATGGCTGAGAGGCCTCAGGAAACTTACAATCATGGCAGAAGGGTGAAGGGAGAGCAAGCATGTCTTCACATGGGGGCAAGAGAAAGAGTGAAGGGGGAAGTGGCACACATTTTAAGCAACCACACCTCCTGAGAACTCATTCACTATAATGAGAACAGGAAGGGGGAAGTTAGGCCCCATAATTCAATCACCTCAAACCAGACCACTCCTCCAACATGTGGGGATTACAATTCAACATGAGATTTGTGTGGGAAAAAAATCCAAACCATATCACTCTGCCCCTGGCCCCTCTCAAATCTCATGTCCTTCTCACATATCAAAACACAATAATACCTTACCAACAGTCCCCTAAAGTCTTAACTCATTCCAGCATTACCTTAAATGTCCAAGTACAAAGTCTCATCTGAGACAAGGCAAGTCTCTTTGGCCTATGAGCCTGTAAAATCAAAAACAAGTTAGTTACTTCCAAGACACAATTCACGTATAGGCAGTGGGTAAATATTCCCTTTCCAAAAGGGAAAAATTGACCAAAACAAAGTGGCTTCAGGCCAAAACCCAGCAGGGTGGTTATTAAATCTTAAAGCTCCAAAATAATTTCCTTTGACTTCATGTCTTGCATCCAGGATGCACTGAAGCAAGTGATGGATTCCCAAGGCCTTGGGCAGCTCTGCTGCTGTGGCTCTGCAGGTTACAGCACCCATGACTGCTTTCATGGGCTGGTGTTGTGTGCCTGTGGCTTTTCCAGGTGAATGATGCAAGCTGTCAGTGGATGTACCATTCTGTGGTCTGGAAGACAGTGGCCCTCTTCTCACAGCTCCACTAGGCAGTGCCCCAGTGGGGACTCCAACCTCACATTTTCCTTCTGCACTGCCCTAGCAGAGTTTCTTCATGAGGGCTCCACCCTTGCTGCAGACTTCTGACTGGACATCCAGGCGTTTCAATACATCCTCTGAAATCTATGTGGAGGCTTCCCAAACTTTAACACCTGCCTTCTGCACACCTCAGGCCCAACCACATGTGGAAGCTGCCAAGGTTTGGGGCTTGCATGCTCTGAAGCAATAGTCCAACATGTAATTTGTCCTCTTTTAGTCATTGCTGGAGCTGGAGCAGCTGGGATGCAAAGCACCATGTCCTGAGATGGCATGGAGCAGCAGGGCCCTGTGCCTGGCCCACTAAACCAGTTCTCTCTCCTAGGCCTCCAGGCCTGTGATGGAAGGGGCTGCTATGAAGGACTCTGAAATGCCTTGGGGGCATTTTCCCCATTATCTTGGCTATTAACATTCAATTCTCCTTTACTTATGCAAATTTCTGCACCCTTGAAATCCTTCCTAGAAAATTGAGTTTTCTTTTCTACCACATGGTCACGCTACACATTTTCCAAAGTTTTATGCTCTGGTTTCCTTTTAAATATAAGTTATCTTTGCTTATGCAAATGACAGTAGGCTTTGAGAAGCAGCCAGGTCTGAATGCTTTGCTGCTTAGAAATTTCTTCTACCAGGTAACCTAAATAATTTCTCTTAATTTCAAAGTTCCACAGATCCCTAGGGAAGGGGCACAATGCTGCCAGTTTCTTTTCTAAAGCATAGCAACACTGATCTTTGCTCCAGTTCCCAGTAAGTTCCTCATCTCCGTCTGAGATCACCTCATCCTGGATTTCATTGTCCATATCGCTATCAGTGTTTTGGACAAAATTATTAAACAAGTCTCTAGGAAGTTCCAAAATTTTCCTCATTGTCTTATCTTCTTGTGAGCCCTCCAAACTGTTTTAACTTCTGCATATTACCCAGTTCCAAAGTCACTTTCATATTTTTCAGTATCCTTATAGCAATATCCAACTCCTGTTACCAATTTTCCATATTAGTCTGTTCTCACACTGCTATAAAGAAATACCTAGGACTGGGTGACTTATAAAGAAAAAAAAAGAGGTTTAATTGATTCAAAGTTTCACAGGCTATTCAGGAGTCATGGCTGGTGAGGCCTCAGAAAACTTACAATCATGGCAGAAAGGCAAAGAGAAAGCAAGCACATCTTCACATGGTGGCAGGAGAACGAGTGAAGGAGAAAGTAGTGCAGACCTTTAAACGACCAGATCTTGTGAGAACTCATTCATTATCATGAGAACAGCAAGTGAGAAATCCACCCCCATGATTCAATTGCTTTCCACCAGGCCCTCCTCCACCACATGGGAATTACAATTCAACATGAGATTTTCCTGGGGACACAGAGCCAAACCATATCACCAAGAGAATGAAGGACAAAAACCATATGATCATCTTCATTGATGATGAAAAAGCATTTGATAAAATTCATCATTTCTTCCTGATAAAAACCCTCAAAAATTAGGTTTAGAAGGAGCATACCTCAACATAATAAATTCCATATATGACAGACCCACAGCTAGTACACTAAATGGGAAAAATTGAAAGCCTTTCCTCTAAGATCTGGAACACGACAAGGATGCCCACTTTCACAAGTGCTATTCAACAGAGTACTGTAAGTCCTAGTTAGAGCAATCAGACAAGAGAAAGAAATAAAGGACATCCAAATTGGAAAGGAAGAAGTCAAATTATCCTTGTTTGCAGATGATACAATCTTACATTTGGAAAAACCTAAAGATTCCATTAAAAAACTATTAAAACTGCTAAACAAATTCAATAAAGTTGCAGGGTACAAAATCAACATCCAAAATTCAGTAGCATATTTACATGCCAACAGCAAACAATCTGAAAAAGAAATCCAGGAAGTAATCTTATTTACAATAGCCACAAATTAAACTAAATTTGCAGGAATAAACTTACACAAGAAGTGAAAGATCTCCACAATAAAAACTATAAAGCATTGATGCAAGAAATTGTAGAGGACAAAAACATGGACAGATATTTTGTGTTCCTGGATTGGAAGAAACAATATCGTTTCAATGTCTATACTACCCAAAGAAATCTATAAATTTAATGCAATCTCTACGAAAATATCAATGACCTGCTTCAAAGCACTAAAGACACAAAATAGGCAATGCTATCATGAGCAATAGAACAAAACTGGAGGAATCACATTATCTGACTTCAAATTATACTACAGAGCTACAGTAACCAAAACATTGTAATACTGGCATACAAACAGACACATTGACCAATGTAACAGAACAGAGAACCCAAAAATCAATCCATACATCTACAGTAAACTCATTTTCGTCAAGGGTGCCAAGAACATTCATCAGGGAAAGTACTGTCTCTTCAATAAATGGTGCTGGAAAACCTGGATATCCATATGCAGAAAATGAAACTAGACTTCTATCTCTCACCATATCAAAAATCAAATCAAAATGGATTAAAAACTAAAATCTAAGACATGAAACTGTTAAAAGTAAACATGGTGGAAATTCTCTAGTACATTGTCTAGGCAAAGATTTGTTGTATAATACCCCAAAAGCACATGTAACCAAAGCAAAAATGAACAACCAGGATCACACCAAGTTAAAAAGCTTCTGCACAGCAAAGGAAACATCAACAAAGTGAAGTGACAATGTACAATATGAGAGAAAATATATCCAACCTATCCATCAGACAAGGGATTAATGGCCAGTATATAGAAGGAGCTCAAACAACTCAATAGGAAAAATTCTAATAAACTTATTTAAAAATGGGCCAAATATCTGAATAGATTTTTTTTTTTGAAAAAAAAAAAAAAAGACACATAATGGGCAAACAGGCATATAAAAACCTTCTCAACACCATTGGTCATCAGAGAAATGAAATTAAAATGACAATGAAATATCATCTCACCCCAGTTAAAATGGCTTTTATCAGAAACACAGGAAATAACGTATGCTGGCAAGGATGTAAAGAAGAGGAAACCCTCAAACACTGTTGATGGGAATGTGAATTAGTACAACTACTATGGAGAACAGCATGCGGGTTCCTCAAAAAACTAAAAATAGAACCACCAGGTGATCCAACAATCTCACTCCTAGGTATATACCAAAAAGAAAGAAAATGTGTATACTGAAGAGATATCTGCATTCCCATGTTTATTGTAGCACTGTTCACAATGGCCACAATGTGGAATTAATCTAATTGTCCATCATCAGATGAATGGAAAGGAAAATGTGGAACATGTACACAATAGAGTCCTAGTCACCCATAAAAAAGAATGATATCCTGTTATTTGCATCATTGCAGCATTGTGGATGAAACTGGAGGATATAATGTTAAGTGAAATAAGACAGGGACAGAAAACAAACTTCTTATGTTCTTACTCATATTTGGGAGCTAAAAGTTAAGACAATTAAACTCATGGAGATAGAGAATAGAATGCTGGATACCAGAGGCTGGGATAGGGAGAGTGAGGGGCTTGTGGGGATGGTTAATCAGTACAAAAATATGGTTATGTAGAATAAATAAGATCTAGTATTTGATAGCACAACAGGATGACTATACTCGACAGTAACTTATAGTACACTTCAAAATAACCAAAAGATTGTAACTGGAATGTTTGTAATATAAAGAAATGATACATGCTTGAAGTAATGAATACCCCCATTTACCCTGATGTGATTATGTATTCTATGTCTGTATCAAAATATCTCATGTACCCCATAAATATATACACCTACTATGTACTCATAAAACTTAAAAATGTAATAAAAAAGTCAGTGACTTCATATTGTGAATAAAATACAATCCCAGAAAATCAATAAACATATACTAAATTAGAAAAATAAAATTTAAAATAATGTGTATATATATATGTTATATATTTTTCTACTATGCATCCAGTAGAATATCAATAGCAGTAAATAATCAGGCTAATATTAAATAGCTGTTGCTAAATGACAAATTCTGCTGATTAAAACGAAATGGGTGACTTGTTAAACAGAGGTATTAGTCAAGGTTCTCTGCAAAATCAGAACCCAGAGAGTACAGACAGATAGATATGGAGGTAACAGGAGATTTGTTATGGAATTGGCTCCTGCAATTATGGAAGCTGAGAGGTCCCGTGACACGATGTCTGTAAGCTGGAGAACCAGGAAAGCAACTGATATAATACAGTCCCAGTCCAAAGGCCTGAGAACCAGGGGACTAAAAAGTATAACTAACTCCCAGTCTGTGGGTTGGAGTTGGGGGTGCTGATATAAGTCCCACGTTCAAACCTGAAAACAGGAGCACTAATGTTGACGGCAGAAAAAGACAGATGCCCAGCTCAAGGAGAAAGAGAGAGAGTTAATTCACCATTTCTCTGCCTTTTTTTTCTATCTGGGCCCAAAACAGATTGTATAATGCCACTCACATTGGTGAGTGGGTAGCTTCTTTACTCAGTCTTCTGGTTCAAATACTGATCTCTTACAGACACACACAGAAATCATTCCTTACCAGCTATCAAGGCTTCCCTTAACCCATTGAAGTTGACACATAAAATTAACCATCATAAATTTACCCCTTGTCAATTTGACACCTTATGCATCGCCTTGAACCTTAATTAATCCCCAAATAAAAAATAATGAATGATTACATCTAACATGATACAACTGTCCTGCCTACAACCAGAAATACACTAATTCCTTCTCCAGAATAGGAGGTAAAGTTCTTCAGTGATCTTTACTCTTTCCATGATATGCCATAACAAATACAATGTAAAATTGACAGTAGTTAATATTGATCTAAAGATAATACATCTTATGTTACATAAGGGAATGAGAGAAAATAAAAGTATTTGCTCAATATATGTATATGCACACATACTTGTAACAAGGAGGAAATACTCATGACAATTACAATTTTCATTATTGTAACTAGTTTTGTGGTCTTGTATTTGTGATTATCTTCTACTTCCCATTCTGTATTCCCTTTGCCTTCAGCAAGAACCTCTGCTGGTTGTGGCTTTTGACTTTGTGGAGTAAAATCTTCATTCCTGAATCTGGGTATTTGTAGTCCCACCAGGATTGGGTTGTTGTAGTGTTCCACTAACATTAATTTACAGGGCATGATAACACTAAGTGATGCACTAAGCCATCACCTATATTTCAGACATACTCATCCTTACCTCCATTGTAGAGTGGCAGTCCAGTTTTCTCTTAGTAGTCTGGATCACTCAATCCAGCCAATATATGTAACTCCCTTACTGGCCTGTTGACTCAGAGCATAAGGACCGCAAGAGGCCATGTGGCAGTCTTAACTTCTAGTTCAGTGGAATCATTTTTTGTGTCTCCTGATAGAAGTACTTCTCCCTAGAGAACTAAAACTTCTAGGCCAGTGGAGCATAAAGTGATAGGACAAGGAAGCAAAATATTTGCTAGTGGATTACTAGGGCTAACGATTATGGTACCTCTTCCATTTTCACTTCTTGATTCCAGAACCAATGAATCCTTGCTATCAGAGAAACAAATATATTGGATGCTGATTAAAAACATACACAGCCTTCTAGAGAATCTTTCTGCAGGGCTGCAGGTATTGTGACCTAGCTGACACTGGAATTGAATATCCAAAAGGCCATTTCTTCATTCCATCAGGACAGCTGCTTCAGGGTGAGAAACATGGTAACTAGGGAATTTCATGAGCATAGACTAATTACTGCTTTTCTTTGGCTGCAAAGTGAGTTCCTTGGTCAGAAGCGACGTTATGTAGAATACCACGATGATGGATAAGGTATTCTGTAAGTCCTCCAATGGTAGTTTTGGTAGAAGCACCGGGTGGAGGAAAGATAAATCCATATCCAGAGTGTCCATGGCAGTAAAGACAAAACGTTGCCTCTTCCATGATGGAAGTAGTCCAGTGTAATCAACCTGACATGAGATAGCTAGCTGATCACCTTAGAGAATGGTGCCATATTGGAGGCGCTGATCACCTTAGAGAATGGTGCCATATTGGAGGCACCATGTTGGTATCTGCTGCTGGCAGATTGGGCACTCTTTGGTGGTGGTAGCTAGGTTATTTCCTTCGTGAGTGAAAGTCCATGTTGCTGAGCTTATGTATAACCTCCATGCCTGCCACCATTTCCACTTTGCTCATGAGCATATTGGGCATTACTCAGTCTACTGATTCAAAGGGTGATCTCCTCTGGAAATACCCAGAAATGATATTTTATCAACTATCTGGGAATCTCTTAGTCCAGTCAAGATGACATACAAAATTAATCATCACAATAGATTTTTTCAAGTCTCACTATGGATCTATTAAGTTATAATTAATGAAATTAAATACTCAAGGGTTTACATGTTTATAACGCTCCCAAGTGAAGCATCCAGATTTGCATATGACATTGGTATGTTGATCCATTGAGTGAGTAGTGGAATAATACTGAGGCAGTTAACAGTAAACATCATAATAAAGTCATAAATTTTTTTTTGAGACAAAGTCTCATTTTGTCACCCAGGCTGGAGTGCAGTGGTATGATCTCAGCTCACTGCAGCCTCCACCTCCCAGGTTCAAGCGATTCTCATGCCTCAGCCTTCTGAGTAGCTAGAATTACAGGTGTGTACCACCACACCCGGTTAATTTTTGTATTTTTACTAGAGATGGTGTTTCACCATGTTGGCCAGGCTGGTCTTGAACTCCTGACCTCAAGTGATCTGCCCACCTCGGCCTCCCAAAGTGTTGGGATTACAGGCATGAGCTACCACGCCCAGCCAAATATTTTCTTACAACAGAGATTGAGAAAAAATTTACACACACAAAACACAAATGAAAATTAAACAAAATGAAAACCAAACACAACTTTGTCCCTTATTTTGAATTTTTTTGGTCCATATTTGCTTTCAGTCTTCACTAATCTACTATCTTTTTTGTTGGCAAGGACTTTGTCTTATTCTCATTTCTTCATACACTTCCCTATGTAACAAATCTCTTATTCACCAGTACAGAGGAGACTACTTTGTATTTTAGTATTTCAATAAGCAGATATTTTACTTTTAAATTCACGGTCAAGTTTCTGTGGTGCACAGATTGATGTATTATGAAGACAATAAAGGACTGTCTCATAATGAACAATATATCAATAGCCTGTGACATCTAGATCAGTAATTCAAATTAATGCCAAAATAGACCATGATATATTGGTTTTCCAACAGTACTTTATCTTATTAATAGGAATTTAACTGTGCAGTGTAGATAATGGTTAGAACCCTTTGAGCTCTCAAATTCAAGTGACTTGTATACATAAAATCCATGGCAACACCTGGGATTGAAAAACAAAATTATGTTACCTTTTTTTTTTTTTTTTTGCGACAAAAGGATCTGTTTAGGAAACAGCAACATAAGTAGTAAAAAGCTATTAGAAATTTTCTTTAGTTGAAGTGATAACATTTCTCCTTTCAAGTTTTGAGATATAAAAGTGCAAAGTTCAATTTCTAGCAGAAATTAATTTTTCACATGCTGGCATCAAGAATACACGTCGTCTTGATAACTGTCTGTGATTAGAGGGAAAGCCACAAGACAAAGGCAAGCTCTAGAATAATTTAAAAGACCTACTCTCTGATCTTTCAGATACTTGAGAGAAAAAAAATAGAAAGTAATACTTGTTTGGGAAAACTTGTCATATTTAGAAAAATTACTTTCAGTCTACCATTTATATACCCTCAGGAACAATTAATATAAAACTAGCTTAAACAAAAAACTTGATATTTACTGTAGACTAAAATAAATCACAGTAAATCCAGTATCTCTCACTCCTTTCCTAGTAACTTTTTCGGCTCTTGCTCTTTTCATGTGTTGGTTTCATCCTGAGATTGTTATGTTTGCAGAACCAATTCCAGGATTCACATCAATTCATGGTAATCACCTAGAACAGACTAAGTGTCACTTAAATTATTTTTAGAAGATAACAGATTAATTGTGGCATGAATTCCCAGTAAACGTCTCCTCATATCTCATTGTTTCAAAGTGGGTCACATGATTCTTAAACCAGTCACTACAAGGGAAGGTGGGGTTATTATTTCAATCAGGTCCAACCTAGCATTTGGAGGTGAGGTCAGCTTTTCCTGACCCACAGGGGAATATAGGAAGAGTGGATACCCATACAAAGAAAAAAAGCAAAGCAGGAGGAAGAGAAACTTCGCTAGAAATAAAATGAAAGGCAGGAATAGATACATCAGTAATACACACTGTAACCATATGTGTATATATATTTTAATGCAAACCTCTAAACAAAACATCTTTATATTCTTGATGAAAACAAATCAATATATAATTAGTTGAGAACTGAGCCTTGTTGATCAAGTTTCAACTTATATTGGGTTGCTACAGACAAAAATTTTATTCCCTTTACAGAATTAGATCACTATAAAGGTAACAAAATTTTGTATTATTACAAAGAAAATGGAAAGATGGCTGAAAAGTTAATTAAGCTAGTATATAAAGTGATTAACTGAAATATGATTCCTTATATGTGTTCTTCACATATAATGAAGCTCCACTTAGCTCTCCAAAGATTAAGTGTATATGCATCCATGTTCATTCTCAATCCACTTCCATTCTGCAGTGAAGATGAAAATCTTTCATCTTACAGATTTGACTTTTCTGTCTCCAATCCATTAATATATCAAAAGACCATCTATTTTAGCAAGTAAGATTTAGAATACAAGATGAATGCTTCATGTAAGTAATATGTTGTGTTTAGACCCAACTTATAGTGTCTAAAGGCATATTTGGTTAAAAAGAGACATTATTTGGGCTCATAAACTCCAACTCCCCTCACATCCAACTGAGCACACCACATATTTTCCATTTGATCTGAAGAGAGCACAGGCATTTCAGCCATGAACTCCCAGTTAAGCACAGAATATGATAATTTGTAATGGGATATGTGATGTAATCTTGCCCTCTAGTGCCTTCTATGCCTAGATGGCAGTTTCATGATCACCTATGACAAAGAAAAAAAAAAAGGAAATTGTAATTCTATTTTTTTAAACTCTTTCCTAAATTAATTTGAAAACTTTCTCTAGTACTAATACTGCCAGAGTTTTGACAATAGGCAGTCCCGGACTCACCTCTCATAATACTATTTGTTACATGTTTCTTGCCGATTTGTTACAACCACCTAATGTGTGAAGGCAGTAGCCATTTTGAATATTCAAAAATTGGTCACTTACTTTGGGAGACTAAATGTGACACAAATTGTGTCTTCCTACATTCTTTAAGAATATAGTCCCATGAGAAATGGAAGCTTGAAAAATTTAGTCCCTGGTGAGGCAGTCCCTTCCTAGCAACCAGCCTATTCTATGAAGAGAGACCACAAATTCTTGGTGAACAGAATATCTTGGGCAAAAATCAGTGTTATTAACTAGAGAGATCGGTTTAGTAATCGTTCCAGAAAACAATAAAGAGCCAACAATTCATCTTGGAAAATGATTCATGACGTTGCATGAACTTGGACACTTCCATTTTTATTGCAAGCCAAAGAAAAAAAGGATTCTGTTGAAATCTATTCTACCGAGAACCTACTTAAAAACAAAAACCTCAGACTTCTTGCCATGCTGGCCGAAAGTGGTCCAGTGAACCCTTCTAAAAATAATTATAAAAATTGAAAAAATATTTTAAACTGTTTGAAACAAGACATTTAAAAAGGAGACAGATACAATAGGAAAGGTTGCCTTTGAAAGATGACTATGATAAAGAATTATATGTATATGGCTTTTTTTTTTGGTCTGAGGATGGTCCCCACCTATCAGCTCCAGTAGCAAAAAGTCATAGCCTTACCAGTTCAAGGTAACATTGGACAAAGTTCAAAGTTAACAGCTTCAAAAATTAAATTCAAAAGTTAAATCTGGAGATGTAGGTGGAAAATCATGGGAACAATGGAGCCACATAAAGGCCAACCTTCTAGATCTCATAAACTACATTTGCACTGGAGTTGTGACAGTTACTATTTATTGCCTGTTAGCTTCAAGTTCATTCTTCATTGCCTGCTCTGCAAAAAATGCACATGGGCCCTATAAATATTATTTTTCTGTTGTTGGCTGACAGTGAGCATTGTTATTAGAGGGTGTTGAAGAGACATTGTAAGAGGTTAGGAGATGGGCTTCTTGGTTCTGGTGTGCTCTCTGGGTAGGCTCTTGCAGCTTAGCCTCTGCAGCTCATTCTCCTGGGAGATCGGTTTAGTAATCGTTCCAGTAGAAAATAAAGAGGCAACAATTCATCTTGGAAAATGATTTATGCATGGCTTCTCTAGCACCTATCTCCTGCAGTGTACAGCACCCAGCATTTACCTGAGCACTTCCCTTGGGCAGTTTTGTAGTAGAGTGTTTGCAGTGAAACATCTCCCCTTGAACAACTTTCTCTGGTGTTCTACAGGATGGATGTCCAGCAAGTTCTACCTACAGAGCATCAAAGTGACTATTCTGCCATCCAACCAGCCATAGCCACGTCCTCTCTAGCATGGCCTGGGCCTCAGCCCTGGAACCTCTTTCTTAGACGTGGGGGCACTTGGGCTGTTAATATATGCCTTCTAGTTGAAGTTTGCCTACTTCTGCCCCAAAAACCTGTAATGTTTTTTACACATTCTGTCTTTAGGAAAGTGAAACAAGTTGGAATAATGTATAGGAAGCTGATGCTGAGGAGCTTGTAATGCAAGTTTTCAGGGGATCTTTGAAACGTTAGAATGCTACGAGATGTTTTTAAAAGAAAGCATGTAGGTCAAGTCACAGACTGTTCGTTAAAATGGAAAGATTTTAGAAGCAGCCATACAAGGGAGGGAGTTCTTAATTTACATCTTTTTCTTATCTTTTACAGATGATACCTAAAATAAAATTTTAGAATTTGATTTCCTGTGAAACAGTTTGTAATAAATGGTATATTCTCTGTATTTTAACTAATAAGGCTATGATGATACTTGATTAGTTATTTAGTCTGATTAGATTCAACTGCCTTTAGTAAAATCCATTAAAAGTGCTCACCTCATCTCCAGCACAATGGGAGCAATGTTGGAGTTCAGCTAGTGTTGAGGGTAGGACTGGAAGTAGGAGTAAGATACACGTGAGTGACCTTACCGACCTCTCTGTAACAGGTGAGATTCCTATTCAAATCTGCGGAAAAAATTTGCCTGTCCAACAGAGAAACCTGTTGGCATTCACTCAGGATGGTGGCAGAAATATTAAAGGGAAATATTAGGGAAAGTTATAGGGAATAGTCACAAACCTTTTTGGAAGGCCAAAAGGTTGCATAACCTGTAATAATTGAACAGGCTGAAGGCAGCCAGTTCTTACCTTAGAGCTTAGGTCATAGGGTAAATACTAGAGACAATAGCCGCTTCCCCAGTTCTGTTTACCCTACCTCCATTAACTAACCTTTCAGCCTGATAGCCCTCTCAGGGTTGGGGGGAGGTCGACTGCGGATATTGCCCCCTAATGGTATTTACTTTAAACTGCGGTACCTGAGCTTTAATCATTCGTAGAACTACTCTCTTAACCATGTTAATTATCCTCAATGTGTTGACTCAGAGCTTCTGTTAATTGTATACTAAATAAATGCCTGGAGTGCGAGCTGCTCAGGGCCGGCCACAGTGACAAACTTCTCTTGGTGTACAGGCAGGCGGACACTCGGCAGGACTGGCAAAGCAGACTATCTGTGTCAGTGTACGTTTCATTCATCCATCGTTTAGGTCAGGGTCTGCGGGTAGACACCCGCAGCTAATGCCCTCTCGTGAGGAGCAATACCTCAACTGGTGCCCCGTGTGAGGCCAGTCAGGGGTCTGCAGAAACAGATTCCCCGCAATTGGAGCCCCTCGTGAGGCAAGCTACAAAGGAAGTGTGAGGAACACCCTCGTGAGGAAAGCTGCGAAGGAAGCGTGCAGGAAACACGATGGACCCCCGGAAAACGAAGGTGAAGAAAGGAACGTGGTCAAGTCAGTGAGTAATCAGTAATGTCAGTGGTGCCCACTAGAGGTTACTAAGTTCTGGGGGAAGTTAGGTCAAGCTGAGTTTTCATCATGGGACAACAGTTATCAGCACAACAGAAACAGTATATAACAGTATTAAAACAATTGTCTAAGGCTAGCGGAGCCTGTTTCGCAGACTCAATTAAAGGACCTAATCATCCATGCTAAACAAACTGCTGTAATGCGAACTGTTAAATCCCAAAGCCCATCGTTTCCGGAAAGAATGTTAGATGTAGAACTCTGGGAACAAGTAGGGAGAAACCGTAACATCAGGCGCAAAGGCGACAGGTCCCAGTAACAGTTTTAACGTTATGGACTTTAAGTAGAGCTGCCGTGGCTCAGTTACACACAGAAGAGCCTAAAAAAGAGGAAGGAGAAAATTGTCACCTGCCTTATCACCTCCTCTTCCCTGGCCCCTAATATCACCAGGCTAACATAAAAAAGAGGAAACGGAGGTTTTTACCTGAGCTGCCTCCTCCGATAGATGAGAAAAAAGAGGATACGCTACAGCAATCAGTTCCTGTCTTAAGCAGGCAGCATTAAAAGGAGAGCTCTTAACCTGCCCAGTAATGCAAGATTGGCAAAGCAGTCAGGTACATAAAGATATAAGAAAAAGCATTAGAGGCCGGAGCCTTGCGGCCAGGCAGGCAGTAGATGGAAGGAAAGACTCAGCAGCAAGGAAGCTTGCAAACACAGAGCTGGTAAATGCCCCGGGGAACTTGGCCTGCGCGGCGGCAGTAGCAATGGGGAGGCAGGCCCAGCGCCACGGAGTTAGCCTACTGTGGAGAAGCAGAAGTGTGCGCGCCAGAGTCCGCCCAGCCGGCAACAGCTCCCCTTAGGCAGGGGGAGGGGGCAGCACACGCGAAAGAAGCGGCACAAGTGTGACAACCCCCGCCCCGGGACCCACCTGCTCAGCTCTGTAGCTCTGCAGGCGGCCCACAGCAAAATCTCATGTGCTCCTTGTTTACTAACGACATCCGTGATTATAATTCTCTGCTAAGATTTAAGTAAAATGTAAGAAGTAAAATAAAAGAAAAACCTCTTTTCTAATGGCTTCTGTTGTTCTCCCTCCCCTACCCCTGACGTAGCTCTCCAAATCCAATTTAAGTAAAACAGTAACCTCTGAAGGGAGAGATATTACAGAGGGCCATGAATTAGTTAGAAAGTAATATAAAAGCTAGGCATGTAAAACCACACATTACCCTTTAAAGGAGAAGTTTAAGCCTAATCAAGTTGTGTCCGGAATTGGTGGGTTCTTGCTCTCACTGACTTCAAGAATGAAGCTGCAGACTCTCGCAGTGAGTGTTACAGTTCTTAAAGGTGGTGCGTCTGGAGTTTGTTCCTTCTGATGTTCAGACATGTTCGGAGTTTCTTCCTTCTGGTGGGTTCGTGGTCTCGCTGGCTTCAGGAGTGAGGCTGCGGACCTTCGAGGTGAGTGTTACAGCTCATAAAGGCAGTGCGGACCCAAAGAGTGAGCAGCAGCAAGACTTAGTGCAAAGAGCTAAAGAACAAACCTTTCAAGGTGTGGAAGGAGACCCAAGCAGGTTGCCACTGCTGGCTGGGGCAGCCTGCTTTTATTCCCTTATCTGGCCCCATCCACATCCTGCTGATTGGTTCATTTTACAGAGAGCTGATTGGTCTGTTTTACAGAGAGTGGATTGGTCCGTTTTGACAGGGTGCTGATTGGTGCATTTACAATCCCCGAGCTAGACACAAAAGTTCTCTAAATCCCCACTAGATTAGCTAGACACAGAGCACTGATTGGTGCATTTACAAACCTTGAGCTAGACACAGGGTGCTGATTGGTGCATTCACAAACCTTGAGCTAGACACAGAGTGCTGATTGGTGTATTCACAATCCCTGTGGTAGACATAAAGGTTCTCCAAGTCCCCACTAGATTAGCTAGACACAGAGCACTGATTGGTGCATTTACAAACCTTGAGCTAGACACAGGGTGTACGCTGTCACCTCTCAAAATGATATATGTTAAATTAGAAGGTAAAAATGCTGTGCCCTTCTCAGAAAGTGAAGAAAAGTTTTATGTAAGTGTAGTGAAAACATATGCATGAATGACTGTCTTAACCCACTGATTACAGATAGTCTTTGATTTGTACTTGCTAAAAGAGTCCTGAATTGAGTTCCCCAGCTAGTGAGTCCCTGTTTTCAAGACTGTTTGCCACATTAGAGTCCATAAACTTGGTCAGCCTGAAAACTCGATTACAAGATGTAAGCTATTCTGCCTGTGGCTTTAAGCACATGGTTAAAATATATTTAAGTCTCTGCTTCTAGAAATGCTTTCAGATTTTCTTTTTAAACTTCATGTTACTTATTTCAGCTTGCCAGCTTAGTGATTAATGCGGTAAATTGCTAAGTTATGACCCTGATATCACCAGGATTCATTTAAGTAAAAGGCAATTCGAAGCGGTATTGCACTCCCCCATACCTAATGCTTTAACGCTGTTTAATGATGGGTCTGGTAAACATGGACAAGCGGCAGTTTGGTAGAGACCACATAATCCAGTCACTCAATCTAAGTTTACTATCACTCAGAGCTGAGATTACTCTGTATTTTATTAAAGCACTTTTACAGCCTCAATTAAGTTCGCTCTGGAGCCCACTCTGTGTGCTCTTTTTCTCCAGCCTCAGCAATTGCTAGACCAATGTACACATCTTATTTTTATTACACACATTGGAGCCCACAGCTCACTGCCTGGCCCATTGGCTTATAGCAATGATGATCAAGCAGACCTTCAAGTTATGACATTACTACTTGACTAAGCCACTCAATCGCATCTGTTTTTCCACCAAAATTGAAAAAACTTATCTAAACAACTTCAACTTACCCAGAGGCTGGCTAAACAAATTATCTACAATATCCAGATTGCCAGCTCACAGGCACATCCCCTCCTTCAACAAGTGTTAACCCTAGAGGATTGGAACCCAATCAGTTATGGCAAACAGATATTACACACATCCCTGAATTTGGAAAACTAAGATATGTGCATGTATCCATTGATACCAACACTCATTTAATTAATGCACATGCTTTGCCTGGAAAGTCTACTCAATATGTCATTAAACATCTTCTTTTAACTTTTGCATTTATAGGACAGCCCACAAAAATTAAGACTGATAATGGTCCAGCTTATACCAGCTCACTTTCAACAATTTTGTCACATGTGGAATATCGAACATTCCACAGGCATCCCGTATAAGCCCAAGGACAGGCAATAGTAGAAGGAGCACAGTTCACCCTTAAAAATTTGCTCAAAAAACAGAAAAAAAAAAAAAAAAGGAATATAGGTAAGGACCCTGCAACACTACTGGCACAAGCCTTATTTACCCTTTTTTTTTTTAATTTAGATGACAAATTTCAATCAGCTGTAGAAAAGCGCTTTGCTAAAACCTCTCAAGGCATAAAACCTGCAGTTGTATGGAAAGATGTGAACAATAATAAATGGTGTGGTCCAAGTGAATGATTAACATGAGGAAGAAAGTATGCTTGTGTCCATACCTAGAGAGAGAAATAAAGGGAAAGAATGAGTAAGACTAGAAAAATACAGATCAGAAAGTGATGCAAAAAGAAAGACTTAAGGAAAGAAACTAGGAAGAAGGGAAAGGAAATATTAAGCAAGTTATAAATATATAGGAATGTACCTTTAGTAATGAAGATTATGAAACACAGCCAGAAAGTTAAGGCATGTTGAAGATTGTCTGTGAAAGTCATGAAGAAATTTAGGCAGGAAATGTATAATTTTTGTTTTGAAGGTCTAAAGTTTTAAAATGTTAATTATGAAAAAATTCTATGTGTAAACATATTGGCTACGGTTAAAAAGGTATCATTCAGGTTTTCTGTAAACTAAACATTAAAATAAAGCACAACAAGTCTTTCTTAAAGCACTAACCTGCTCTTTAAAGATTGTAAAAATCTTAGCACAGGCACCACCTCTAGAATTTCGAGCACCAGCCTGGAGACTATGTCCTCATCAAAGGAAGGAAAGAAGAAAAAACTCAAGCCAGCCTAAGAAAAACCCTACAGGACCCACAGCCTCAACAATGTGGCTTCCATGAACAACACAGACCCCAGACATTATGCTGAAGAAGCCGAAGGCTAAGCCAAATAATTTATTCATTTTTAATTCTCTCGTTTTGCCTACTACCTATACCTGCTACACTCTATTAAGCTCGTCTCTTAAATCTGTCCTTTTCAGCCCTGTTACTTAAGCAAACACTCTCTTTCCAGCTTCTAGTAAGTAACTGCTTGGCTGGAAGGAGTTAACATACCCCCAGTAGGGTTCCTTAGTAACAGCACTCATCAAACTGAAGTGTCAAGTAACACTACAGCTCACTCTTTGACTAGAAAAGAATGTTGCTGATTGTACTCATAATTGTCTTATGTTATTTGCTAATTCTAGGATGGAAAGCTGGAATAAGAGCAGTGACCACCTCACCTGACAAACGTGTGGCTGCACATATCTGCACTCTGCAATTAAAAAAACTTAATACGGAAAACAAAAGGGAGTTGTTGGGATTCACTCAGGATGGTGGCAGAAATATTGAAGGGAAATATTAGGGAAAGTTATTATTATTAGGGAATAGTCACAAATCTTTTTGGAAGGTGGAAAGTTTACATAGCTTGTAATAATTGAACAGGCTGAAGGCAGCCAGTTCTTACCTTAGAGCATTAGGTCACAGGGTAAATACTAGGGACAATAGAGGCTTCCCCAGTTAAGTCTGTGTACCCTACCTCCATTAACTATCCTTTGAGCTAGATGGCCCTCTGAGGGGTTGAGGGGAGGTCAACCAGGGATATTGCCCCCTAATGGTATTTACTTTAGACCATGGTACCTGAGCTGTAATCATTCCTAGAACTCTCTTAACCATGTTAATTATCCTCAAGTGTGTTGACTCAGAGCTTCTGTTGTTAATTGTATACTAAATAAATGACTGGAGTGTGAGCTGCTCAGGGCCCGCTGCAGTGACAAACCTCTCTTTGTGTGCAGGCAGTCGGACACTTAGCTGGACTGGCAAAGCAGAATATCTGTGGTTCAGTGTGTTTTATTCATCCGTCATTTAGGTCAGGGTCTGTGGGCAGGCCCCCGCAGCTAATGTCCTCTTATGAGGTGCAATACCTCAGAAACCCATGAAACAGAAATCTATGCATCCTCATGGCTGTTAAGTTTCTTGGGAAGAGTTTTCAGGAGATGGTAATAGAAGCCATTATAGCTAATTTTATCCAAATGTACCTTTCCTCTTTTTATTTTCTCTGCAGCCAAGATGTGTGGAAACCTCGGGATAGGAGATTGTCCAATCTGAATGCAAGTTACCTTTCTTCTATATAGCTATTTAAGTCACTTAATAAAACACTGTTTTAAGTTCCAGGATACATGTGCAGTTTATGCAGGTTTGTACATAGGTAAAGGTATACCATCACGGTTTGCTGCACCTATCAACCCATCACCTAGATATTAAGTTCTTCATGAATCAACTATTTATTTTGATGCTCTCCCTTTCCCCAACCCCACAACAGGCCCCAGTGTGTGTTGTTCCCCTCCCTGTGTCCATGTGTTCTCATTGTTCAGCTCGCACTTATAAGTGAGAACATGTGGTGTTTGGTTTTCTTTTCCTGTGTTAGTTTGCTGGGAATAATGGCTTCCAGCTCCATCCATGTCCCTGGAAAGAACATGATCTCATTCCTTTATATGGCTGCATGCTATACAGTTTTTTTTTTTTTTTAAAAGAATGCTATTTGAAGATCTGATCTGTAGACAGTTTTAGGATCAAATTATAACAAATTTTATTTTTAACTCTAAAAGTTCTAATTTTTAATTGATTTATCAAATATGTCAAAGCTTTAGGAAAAAACATTGTCTTGTGTTACTAATGGGTTTTATAATAATCAGCTAAATTATATTTCATTAGAAAAAGACCATGTATACTGGCATTCAACAAATAAGTAAACGTATGGTTGATAACAGCCAGGTTGGTCACTCTTGGAAAGGGAGAGTTCCAGGCTAAAGTTAATCATGTGTTACTGGGTTATGGTCAGAGACATCAGTATATGCTGATGCTTAATTTAGTATAGATGAATATTTACAGAAATAATTACACATATGTGTTTTTTATTGCCTCTTTCTGTTTGCCCAGGGTGTCTTGGAGCAAGCATAGCACAGTAGGAGTGAGCACACTCAGTACCCAGATCTTGGCTTCTAATACCATTCTCTTAAAAAAAAATCATCTTTTTGAAGAAATGATTAATTCAGAAATGGGATAGGGAAAATGCAAGATAAAACTGGAGCACCTTATAGTGCCAGAAAGTAAGGGAGTACTCAAAAAAATAATAATAAATAAATAAAAAGTTTAGGGCATAAAAATAGGACTCAGGAAAGCTCACAATGGTCAATGCTGGAACAATTTAAGCAACAAAATAAATAACAGTATATCATGCTGTTGTTGAATAAATATACTATACATGTTAATCAGATCCATTAGATTGATAGTGATGTTCAGTTTAATTATAGTTGCTGATTTTCTGCCTGCTGGATCTATTACTGATACAAAGGTGTATATTTCCAACTATAAGAGTGGATTTGCCCGTCTCCTTTAAATTATGTCAATTATTGTATAGTGTATCTTAGTGCTCTGTTGTGTTACACACATAGATTACTATTCCTCAAAATATTGATCCTTTCATCATCATATACTGTATCTTTTATCCTAGGTAATTTTTCTTGTTCCAAAGACTTCTTTGGATGAAATAAATATAACTACTCCAATTTCCTTCCTGGCATTCTCTGTATTTAATTGGGCATTTTATGTGAATTTATCTTCTCTCCTCTTAGCATATAAATAAGTGTCTTTGAAATATTATTTTAGTGGTTGCCCAAAAGTTTGCAATATATATTTAAGACTAATATTTAATACATCCACTTTCAAATAATGCTATACTACTTCACAGTAGTGCAAGTACCTTAAAACCAAGTATTCTCAAGTTATTTTCTGCCGTTCTTTATAATATTGCTGTCATTCATTTTACTTTTTCTTGAGCTATAATCAGAATAGATTTTTGCCATTTTTATTTGAACAGTTATTTATATAGCAAAGCAATTAAGAATAAGAAAAACTAAAGATTTTATTTTACCTTGATTTATTTTTTCTCTGACACTTCATCATTCTCAATGTAGATCTGAGTTTCTGACCTATATCATTTTATTCACTGGATAAATAATTCTAGGATGGTATTTTTTGTTGTTCTTTCAATAATTTAAATATTTTACTCCACTTCTTTGCTTTTAGTTTCTGAAGACAAGTCTCCTGTAATTCTCATCCTTATTCCTTTACAAGTAAGATTATTTTAAAAGCTCCAGGGTTTTTTCAAGAATTCCTCTTTGTCTTTATTTTCCTGTAGTTTGAATATGATATTCTCAGTGTATAACTTTGCATTTATTCTGCTTTGTATTTTCTGTGGTTTCTGCATTTGTGGTTTGGTGTCTGTCATTAATTTTGGACAATTGCCAGCCATATTGCTTCAAATATTTCTTCTGTTCCTTTCTATCTTCTCCTTTGATTATTTCCATTAGGCATATATTAGACCTTTGAAATTGTTTCACAGTTCCTGTGTATTCTATGCCTGGTTGTATTGGTATTCTTTTTCTCTTTGCATATCAGTTTTGAAAGTTTCTTTTGACATACCTTCAAGCTCACTGATTCTTCCTCAGTCATGTCCGGAAGACTGGTGAGCCTGTCAAATGTCTTTAACTCCGTTATGGTGTTTATTATTTCTAGCATTTTCTTTTTATTTCCTGTTAGAGTTTTTTCCCCTCTGATAACATTACCCATTTGTTCTTGCATGTTATCTGCTTTTTCCTTTAGAGCCCTTAACATATTAATAATCATAGTTATTTTGAGTTATCTATTTGATAATTACAACACCTATATCATACCAGACCCTGATGCTTGTTTTGCCTCTTCAACCTGTGTTTCTTCTTGCCTTTTAAAGATTTCTTGCCTGTTTTCTTGTAACTTCTTGTTGAAAGTCAGACATATTGCCTGATATGGTTTGGCTCTGTCCCCACCCAGGAGAAATTCAAGCTGGCTGCAAAAATTTGCGTAAGTAATGAGGAGACAAATGTTAATCCCCAAGACAATGGGGGAAATGTCTCCAGGGCATGTCAGAGACCTTTGTGGGAGCCCTTCCCATCACAGGCTCAGAGGCCTAGGGGGGAAAAAATAGTTTTGTGGGTGGGGCACAGGGCCCCCCCTGCTGTGTGCAGCCTTGCGATTTGCTGCCCTGAGTCTCAACCACTCCAGTCATGACTTAAAAAAGCCATGGTACAGCTCAGGCCATGACATCAGATGGTACAAGTCCCAGGCTTTGGCAGCTTCACAAAAGTCAAGAATTGAGGTTTGAGAACCTCCACCCAGATTTCAGAGGATGTATGAAAATGCCTGGATGTTCAGGTAGAAGTTTGCTTCAGGGACAGGACCCTCATGGAAAACCTCTGCTAGGGTAGTACAGAAGGAAAATGTGGGGTTGAAGATCCCACACAGAGTCCCCCACTGGGGCACTGTCTAGTGGAGCTGTGAGAAGAAGGCCACTGTCCTCTAGAACCCAGAACAGCAGATCCACTGACAGCTTGCACCATGCACCTGGTAAAGTCTCAAACTCAATGCCAGACCATGAAAGCAGCCAGGAGGGAAGATGTACCCTGCAAAGCCACATGGACCGAGCTCCCCAAAACCATGAGAACCCACCTCTTGCATCAGCATGACCTGGATGTGAGACATGGAGTCGAAGCAAATCATTTTGGAACTCAAAATGATCTCAAGCAGTCTACCTGCCTCCCAAAGTGATAGGATTATTGGCATGAGCCACTGCACCTGGCATGGGGCTATTTTAACATGGCTTTTTCCTTTTCTGAAGCATAAGAAAAGTTTCCTCCAATCTTTCTGAGAACCTAGTGGACTTCCTGAAGGTAACGAGCATACCTCAATACCATAAAAGCCATAAATAACAGACTCACTCTCAATCCATCAGTGTTTGAGGTATTCCCCTAAGACTAGGCCCCCAGGAACTTTTAATTCTGAAGCAAGTTCATACTCACCTCCTGTAGTCAATTACCATGTCAGTGTTCCTATCAATGACTGGCTCCCTCTGGTGAGCTCACCTCAGCTGTGATTCTCTGTATTCACCTGTATCTCCAGGTATCAGAACCATGGTGTGCCCTGTGATTTCAATTCTTTGATGGATCTAAGAAAAGTTGTTGGTTTTCAGTTTGTTTAGTCTTTTCCTTGTGAGGGCAGGAGTGATGACTCCCAAAGTCTTTGTGTGTCAGAGCTGAAAACATAAATCCTGATTACTTTTTATTAGTAAATGAAAAATGCTTTGTAGCTTCCCTGACAACACTAATACTCTACACTCGAAATGTAAAATACATGAATGAGGCCTTTTCTTACAAATTCTTGATCTTTTTCCACCTTAATCTAAGATGAGATAGATAAGATTTTTTGCTCTCCTTTTCTTGGCTGAAACATACGCTCTAGCTTTGTTCTCTAAGTGTGTTATTTTTTACAATCCTCGTTTTATTCAGAGTTCTTAATTCCAATATCTTATGTTGTTCTAGCCCAGGGCCTATCTTTATCCTCTGGAAGTAACAAAGAGCAGCAAAAGCTCTCAGTTATCTGGTTGTTGCACCAAGTGATCACTCTGGTTTTCTGTTTCTACTTCACTCTTGGCCCCTTGCATTGTTTCAAGTTCAAATGAGAATTTAAAAGCTTGTTATATTTTTTATTTTAAAAAATCGTGTATTTTTATTTGCAAGCATGTTTTCACTTTTTATCTGTTTACTTGTTTTGGATATCTAGTCTAAAAGGTCTTTTCTAGTTCATAACTGTATTGTGGAAAGTTCAGACCATAAAATAAGTGGTCCCTGTGTCAAAGATGTATAGCTATCATTGTACATAAATGGGAGTAGTTATTTACTCTGTGTATCAGGAACATAGAATGTAAGAATGAGTCAAATTTCCTAAGATAAATTCCATTTTCTTTCAAATGTTTCTATGAAAAAAAAAAAGACAAATTTAAAAGTATGTCTAGAAAAACAAAGTGCTAGTGTGGTAAGAGAGCAGAGTGAAGAGAGAGTGCTTAAATATGCCTTGTTATGGTGAACATTGTTGGGGGATGTGTGCAGGAAAACCAAATGGAAAAGGTGACAATTGAGCAGAAACATGAAGAGTAACTAGAAATGATCTGAATCTAAAAGGCTAGGTAAAATTTTCCAATAATCAGAACCAACATATACATAGGCAACTAGGGAAAGTAAATGAGTTTCAGTGTGGCTAGAATGCTGTATTGGTGGGTAATGAGTGTCAATAAGAAATATGTGAGTCAGTCTACATGATGCCTTTTGTGCTAAGATGGGTCAAGATTGCATTTTCAAGATAAAATAGGAAATGTTGAAGTATTTTATTTTATTTATAAAATTGTTATGGGTACATATTAGATGTATATAAATAGAGGATATATGAAGTATTGTGATACAGGCATATAGTGCATAATAATCCATCAGTGTAAATGGAGTATCCATCACCTCAAGCATTTTTCATTTCTTTTTGTTACAAACATTCCAATTATACTTTTATTTATTTTAAAATGTACAATTAAATTATTATTGACTATAGTCACCCTGATTAAATACTACATCTTATTCATTATTTCTAACTATTTGTTGTACCCATTAGCCATTCCCACTCCCCTGCTTCAACACACCCTCACTATGCTTCTAGCCTCTGGTAACTATCACTCTATTCTCTATCTTCATGAAAAAATTATTTTAATTTTTAGCTCCCACAAATAAGTGAGAAGTTGTGAAGTTTGTCTTTCTATGCCTGGCTTATTTCATGTAACATAATGATTTCCAGTTTCACCCATGTTGTTGCAAATGGTAAATTCATTTTTTTCTTTGGCTGCATAGTACTCCATTGTGTATATATTGTGTATATGTACCACATTTTCTTTCTTTTCTTTTCTTTTCTTCTTTTCTTTTCTCCCTCCCCTCTCCTCCCCTCTCCCAGGCTGGAGTACAGTGGCACAATCTCAGCTCACTGCAACCTCTGCCTCCTGGCTTCAAGCAATTCTCATGCCTCAGCCTCCCAAGTAGCTGGTACTACAGGCGCCCACCACCACACCCAGCTATTTTTTCTATTTTAGTAGAGACAGAGTTGCTCAGAGTGGTCTCAAACTCCTGAGCTCAATCCACCCACCTGAGCCTCCCAAAGTAGTAGGAGTACAGGGGTTAGCTGCCACACCCAGCCACATTTTCTTTATCCATTTGTCTGTTTATGGACACATAGCTTGTTTCCAAATCTTCAGTGTTGTGAATAGTGCTGCAATAAACATGACAGTGCAGACATCTCTTCAGTATACTAATTTATTTTCTTGTGGGTATATACCTGGGATTGCTGCTCTTGTATTAGTTTTTGGAGGAACCTCCAAACTCTTCTGCATAGCGATCGTACTAATTGACTTTCCCACCAACAGATAGGGGTGTAGTACAAGGATTTCCTTTTCTTCACATCCTTGCCAGCATTTGTGGTTTCCTGTCTAGTGGATAAAAGCAATTTTAACTGGGGTGAGATGAATCTTATCGTAGTTTTGATTTTCATTTCTCTGATGATTAATGATGTTGAGCACCATTTCATATACCTGTTTGCCGTTTGCATGTCTTCTTTTGGGAAATGTCTATTCAGATCTTTTGTCCATTTTTAATAGGTTTATTATATTTTTCCTATTGAGTTTTTTGAGCTCCTTATATATTCTGATCTTTAATCCCTTGTCTGATGGATAGTTTGTACACATTTTCTCCCATATTGTGCATTGTGTCTTCACTTTGTTGTTTGCTGTGCAGAAGCTTTTTAACTTGGTGTCACCTCAGTTGTTCATTTTTGCTTTGGTTTCATGTGCTTTTGGGGTATTACTCAAGAAATCTTTGCCTGGACCAATGTACTAGAGATTTTCCAGCATGTTTTATGTCTTAGATTTTAGTTTTTAGTCCATTTTGATTTGATTTTTGATATAGTGAGAGATAGAAGTCTAGTTTCATTTTTTTGCATATGGATATCCAGGTTTTCCAGCACCATTTATTGAAGAGACAGTACTTTCCCTGATGTATGTTCTTGGCACCTTTGTTGAAAATGAGTTCACTGTAGATGTATGAATTTGTTTCTGGGTTCTCTATTCTGTTCCACTGACCTATGTGTCTGTTTATATGTCAGTACTATACTGTTTTGGTTACTGTAGTTCTGTAGTACAATTTGAAGTCAGGTAATGTGATTCCTCCAGTTTTGTTCTTTTGCTCAGAATGGTTCTGGTTATTCCATGTCTTCTGTGGTTCCATATAAATTTGAGGATTTTTTTTCTCTTTCTGTGAAGAATGTCATTGGTATTTTGATAGAGACTGCGTTGAATTTGTAGATTGCTTTTAGTATGGACATTGGAACAATATTTTTCCAATCCAGGAACATGAAGTATTTTTCCATATTTTTGTGTATCCTCCATAATTTCTTACATCAATGTTTTATGCTTTTCATTGAAGAGATCTTTCACTTCTTTGGTTTAAGTTTATTCCTAGGTTTTTAATTTTATTTGTGACTATTGTAAATGGGATTACTTTCTTGATTTCTGTTTTAGATTGTTTGCCATTGGCATTTAAAATTGCTATTGATTTTTTAGGCCGGGCGCGGTGGCTCATGCCTGTAATCCCAGCACTTTGGGAGGCCGAGGGGGGCGGATCACGAGGTCAGGAGATTGAGACCATCCTGGCTAACATGGTGAAACCCCGTCTCTACTAAAAATACAAAAAAATTAGCCAGGCGTGGTGGTGGGCACCTGTAGTCCCAGCTACTCGGGAGGCTGAGGCAGGAGAATGGCCAGAACCTAGGAGGTGGAGCTTGCAGTGAGCCAAGATCATGCCACTGCACTCCAGCCTGGGTCACAGAGCAAGACTCTGTGTCAAAAAAAATAATAATTATAATAAATAAAAATAAATAAATAAATAATAAAAATGCTACTGATTTTTATATGTTGATTTTGTATCCTGTAACTTTACTAAATTTGTTTATCAGCTCTAGTAGTTTTTTGGTGGAGTCTTGAAGTTTTTCCAAATATAAGATCATATCATCTGCAAGCAATGATAATTTCACTTCCCCCTTTCCAATTTGGATGACCTTTATTTCTTACTCTTGACTGACTGCTCTAGCTAGGACTTGTAGTACTCTGTTTAATAACAGTAGAGACAGTGGGCATCCTTGTTTTCCAGATCTCAGAGGAAAGGCTTTCAGTTTTTCCCCATTCAGTATGATACTAGCTGGGAGTCTGTTGTTTATGGCTTTTATTGTGTTGAGGTATGTTCCTTCTATACCTAGTTTTTTAAGGGTTTTTATCATGAAGGGATGTTAAACTTTATCAAATGTTTTTTCAGCACCAAATGAGATGATCATATTGTTTTCATCCTTTATTCTGTTGATACAATGCATCACATTAATTGATATGCATATGTTAAACTATCCTTGCATCCCTGGGATGATGCCCACTTGGTCATGATGGTCTTGTTTTTTTCTTTTTGTTTTGGATTTTAGGTTCAGGAGTACATGTGCAACTTTGTTCTATAGGCAAACTCATGTAATAGGGATTTGGTTTATAGATTATTTCATCACCCAGTTACTAAGCATAGTACCCAAAAGTCGTTTTTTCTAATCCACTCCCTCCTTCCAATTTCCACCCTCAAGTAGGCCCCAGTATCTGTTGTTCCCTATTTGTGGCCATATGTTCTCTTTATTTACCTCCCACATATAAGTGAGAACGTGTGGTATTTGGTTTTCTGTTCCTGCATTAGTTTGCTAAAGATAATGGCTGCCAGCTCCATGCACATTCTTGCAAATGACATAAGCTCATTCCTTTTTTATGAATGTATACTATTCCATTGTGTATATATACCACATTTTTTTACCCAGTCTATTACTGATGGGCATTTAATTTGATTCCATGTCTTTGCTATTGTGAGTAGTGCTGCAAAGTACTTATGTGTGCATGTGTCTTTATGGTAGAGCAATCTATATTCCTTTGGGCATATACCCATTAATGGGGTTGCTGGGTTGAATGGTAGTCCTGTTTCTAGCTCTTTGAGAAATTGCCACACAGCTTTCCACCATGGTTGAACTAATTTACTTTCCTATTAGCAGCGTATAAGCCTTCCCTTTTCTTCATAACCTCACAGCATCTGTTATTTTTTGACTTTTTATAAATAGCCACTTTAACTGGTGTGAGATGAGTACCTCATTGTAATTTTGATTTGCATTTCTCTCATGATTAGTGATGTTGAGCATTTTTTCATATGCTTGTTGGCTGCATGTATGTCTTCTTTTGAAAAGTGTCTGTTGATGCTATTTGCTTACTTTTTAAAGGAGTTGTTTGGTTTTATTTCTTGTAAATTTGTTTAAGTTCCTTATAGATGCTGGATATTATATCTCTGACAGATACATAGCTTGCAAAAATTTTCTCCCATTCTTCCATTTGTCTATTTTCCCTGTTGATAGTTTTTTTTCCCCTTGTGCAGAAGTCTTTAGTTTTATTAGATCCCAATAGTCAATTTTTGGTTTTGTTGCAATTGTTTTTAGCATCTTTGTCCTGAAATATTTGTGAGTTCCTATGTCCAGTATAATATTCCCTAGGTTATCTTTCAGGGCTTTCATAGTTTTTGGTTTTACACTGAAGTCTTTAACGTGTCTTGAGCTGATTTTCATATATGGTATAAGGAAAGGGTCCAGTTTCAATCTACTGCATATGGCTACCCAGTTATCCCAACACCATTTACTGACTAGAGAATTCTTTCCCCCTTGCTTGTTTTTGTCAACTTTGTTGAAGATCAAATGGTTGTAGGTGTGCAACCTTATTACTAGCATCTCTGTTCTGGTCCATTGTTCTATGTGTCTGTTTTTGTACCAGTACCATGCTGTGTTGATTACTGTAGCCCTGTAGTATAGTTTGAAGTCAGGTAACATAACGGCTCCAGCATGGTTCTTTTTGCTTAGGCTTGCCTTGGCTACTCACGTTCTTTTTCTGGTTTCATATAAATTTTTGAATAGTTTTTCTTCTGGTTCTGTAAGAATGTAATTGGGTAGTTAGATAGGAATAGCATTGAATCTCTAAGTTGCTTTGGGCCATATGGGCATTTTACCAATATTACTCTTCCTATCCATGAACACAGAATGTTTTTCCATTTGTTTGTGTCATCTCTTATTTCTTTAATCAATGTCTTGTAATTCTCAGTGTAGAGATTTTTCACTTCCCTGGTTAGCTGTATTCCTAGGTATTTTGTTCTTTTTGTGGCAATTGTGAATGAGATTGCTTTCCTGATATGGCACTCAGCCAGGATATTGTTGGTGTGTAGAAATTCTAGTGTTTTTGCACATTGATTTTGTATTTGGAAACTCTGCGGAAGTTGTTTATCAGCTCAAGCATCTCTTGGGCAGAGACTATGGTGTTTCCTAGACATAGAATCATGTTGTGTGCAAACACGGATAGTTTGACTTCCTCTCATGGATATCTTTAATTTCTTTCTCTTGCCTAATTGCTCTGGCCAGGATTTCCAATACTGTGTTGAATATGAGTGGTGAAAGAAGGCATCTTTATCTTGTTCTAGTTTTCAAGGGGTAATGCTTTCAGGTTTTACCCATTCATTATGATGTTGGCTGTGAGTTTTTCATAGACGACTCTTATTATTTTGAAGTGGTTCCTTCAATACCTAGTTTCTTGAGGGATTTTAACAGCAAGGAATGTGAATTTTATTAAGCACCTCTTTTGAATCTATTGATATAATCATGTGGTTTTTGTATTTAGTTCTGTTTACATAATGAATCACATTTATGGGTTTGTGCATGTTGAACCAGACTTGCATCCCAGAAATAAAGCCTATTCAATTGTGATAGATAAGCTTTTGGATGTGCTGCTGGATTTGATTTACCAGTATTTCTTAAGTATTTTTGCATCTGTATTCATCAAGATTATTGGACTGAAGTTTTCTTTTTTGGTTGTGTATCTGCCAGGTTTTGATATCAGGATGATGCTGGCCAGATAGAATGAGTTGGGAAGGAGTCTTTCCTCTTGCATTTTTTGGCATTGTTTCAATAGGAATGGTACCAGCTCTTCTTTGTACCTCTAGTAGAATATGGCTGTGAATCTATCTGGTCCTGGACTTTTTTTTTTTTTTTTTTTGGTTGTTTGATAGGCTGTTTATTATTTATTCAATTTCAGAGCTTGTTACTGGTCTGTTCAGGGATTCAATTTCTTCCTGGTTCAGTCTTCAGAGGGTGTATGCATGCAGGAATTTATTCATTTCTTCTAGATTTTCTAGTTTGTGTGCATGGAGGTATTTATAGTAGTCTGTGGTGGATATTTGTATTTCTTTGGGGTCAGTGGTAATTTCCCATTTGTCATTTCTAACTTTGTTTATTTGGATCTTCTTTCTTTTTTTCTTTATTAGTCTAGCTAGCAGCCTATCAATCTTATTAATTTTTTGAAAAAAAAAACAAATTTTAGATTTGTTGATATTTTCTAGCATTTTTCATGGCTCGATCTCCTTCAGTTCAGCTCTGTTCTTGGTTATTTATTGTCATCTGCTACCTTTTGGCTTGCTTTGCTTCTGTTTCTCTAGTTCTTCTATTTGTGGTGTTAGGTTGCTAATTTGAGATCTTTCTAATTTTTTGATATGGGCATTTAGTGCTATAAATTTCCCTCTTAAAACTATCTTAGCCGTGCCCTGGAGATTCTTGTATGTTGTATCTTTGTTCTCATTATCTATCTAATACTATCAGTGTGGTGTTGAAGTCTCCTACTATTATTATGTGGGAATCTATATCTCTTCATAGATCATGAAGGACTTTCTTTATGAATCTGGGTGCTCCTGTGTTGGGTACATATATATTTAGGATAGTTAGGTCTTCTTGTTTAATTGAACTCTTTACCATTATGTAACAACTTTCTTTGTATTTTTTTATCTTTGTTGGTTTAAAGTCTGGTTTTTTTTTTTTTGAATTTTTTTTCTTTTAGGATGTTGAATATAGCCCCCAGTGTCTTCTGGCATATAGAGTTTCTGCTGAAAGTTCTGCTGTTAGCCTGATGGGTACGCCCTTTGTAGGTAACCTGCCCTTTCTCTCTAGCTGCCTTTAACACTTTTTCTTTTATTTTGACCTTGGAGAATATGAAGATTATGTGTCTTGAGGATGATCTTGCATAGTGTCTTGCAGGGGTTCTCTGTATTATCTGAATTTGAATGTTAGTCTTTCCAGTGAACTAGAAAACTCTTGAGAATGTTCTCATGAACGATATCCTCAGATACATTTTTCAAGTTGCTTGCTTTCTCCCCATCTCTTTCAAGGACACCAATAATTTGTAGATTTGGCCTTTTTACAGAATCCCATATTTCTTGGAGGTTTTGTTCATTTCTATTCATTCTTTTTTTTCTTTGTGTCTGACTGTATTATTTCAGAAATCCAGTCCTCAAGCTCTGAGATACTTTCCTCTGCATGGTCTATTCTGCTATTAATACTTGTGATTGCATTAGGAAATTTTTGTAGTGTATTTTTTAGCTCTATCAGGTCTGTTAGTTTTTTTATAGTAGCTATTTTGTTTGTCAGCTGCTGTATCATTTTATTGTGATTCATAGATTCTTTGGATTGGTTTTGGATGTACTCTTGAATCTCACTGATCTTTATTTCTATCCATATTCTGAATTCTATTTCTGTCATTTTAGCTATATCTGCCTGGTTAGCAACCCTTTCTGGAGAACTGATGTAGTCATTTGGAGGACAGAAGAAGTCTGGCCTTTTGAGTTTTTGTATTGTTTTTTTCTCTTCTGCATGTTTGGGTGTTCGTTTAACTGCAGTGTAAATCAGGTACAGTGAGTAGGCTTCTTTTGCGGATGTTTTCAGAGGCCTGAGGCTTTATGCAAAGTCTTTATTTGTAGCTGACTTCTTGTCATTGGTTTCACTGAGAACTGTGTTAGTGAAGTATTTTTGGTGTTGAAGTTGTGGGGTGTGATCCAGTAGGTGGCACTTAAGCATAATGGTCAGTAGATAGGCTCTTGCTCAGTTATATGGCTCTTCTGTATTTCCTCACAGTTGCACTTCTGCTCTCTCTTAAAGGTCTGAATGTGTGGGCTACTCCCCCACTTGAGTGCTGGCTGCAGATTACTACTTTAGTACTCCTGGGCTACACAGCGCAGTTGTGAGGTGATGTCAGGGTTTCTGTTCCCTCCCCAAATTGGAGGCAGCACAGGAAGGGGCTTTAGCAGTGGTTGTGCCCCAGAAAGATGCAGAGCTGCAATCAGTCAGTATGATTGGCCTGGGATGGTGGGCTGCACTGTGGGTCCCAGCTAGGTAGTGGGGAGCAGGTGCCTGGTAATGGGCAGTGGGGTGGGACCTGTGAGAGACAGGCCTTTTTTCCTTAGGGAAACTGCAGCTTGCTGGAAGGGTGGATAAGGAACTTAGAGTCTTGGTTCTTTGCCCAGTGGGAGGGAAGCAGGGGCAGTACCACTGCAGAGGCAGTGGCCAAGGGGCTTTCAGTTGCCCCTTGGAGCTCCACCTCCAAGAAACACAGTCACTGGTACTGAAAGTATTCAGCTAGAGGGCAGGGCAGCTGCACTGCTAGCCTGAGCTGGGAGGTCAGCTTGATAAGGGGGGTGGGGCTTGACGGCTCCAGGAAGAAAAACTGGTCTCTCCTCTTTATGGTGACTGTGGCATGCTGTATGCTTGGTGTAGCCCTCAGGCTCTTTATTTCTTCCCCAGACTGAGGGCAGCAGGGGCAAAACTGCTGCTGTGGCAGTGGCAGAGGGGCTACTGATTGCCTCTGGGAGCCTCTCCCCAGGGAAACTCAGAATCACTACCATTGGGTATGCTCAGCTGTGGGTGGGGTAGCTGTTCTGTGGTTCTGAACCAGGATTCCTGCTTGATAAAGAGTGGGGGATGGGCATTCCCAGGGTAGAGGGACTGTATTGGTCTCTGTATGGTGGTTGCTGTGTGCTGGAGGTGCTAGTGACTAGGTTCTTTGTTTCTTCCACAGCTTGAGGGCAGTTATGGCAGTACCACTGCAGCTGCAGTGGCAGGGGAGTTGTGGGTTGACTCTAGGATTTCCTCCTTAGAGAAATGTGGAGCTGCCTCTGATTGAAGTGATCAGTTGGTAGCAGAGTGGTTGTGCTGGAGTCCCAGGTTGGGTGGCCCTGCCCGTGAGATGTGAGGACAGGAAACTGTATGGAAGGCAATTTGGCCCCTTTTCCATCGGGTGACTGCACTGTGCTAAAGGTCTGTGCCAGTCCCTAGTCACCTCTCCAGAACCTGTAGGCAACAATAATGAATGCTATGAGTGATTATTGTGCTGAGGAAAAGATGTATATTCTGCAGCCATTGTATGAAATGTTCTGTGAACATCTATTAGGTCCATTTGGTCTATTGTGCAGATTAAGTCTGATGTTTCTGTGTTTATTTTCTGTCTGGCTGATCTGTTCAATGCTGAAAGTGGAGTGTTAAAGTCTCCAGCTATTATTATATTGAGGTCCATCTCTTTCTTTAGCTCTAATAATATCTGCTTTATACATCCGGGTGCTTCAGTGTTGGATGCATATATATTTACAATTATTATATCCTCTTGCTGAATTGACTTATCATTATATAATGACCTTCATCTCCTATAGGTTTTGTTTTGACATCTATTTTGTGTAATATAAGGTATAGCTAGTACTACTCTTTTCCTGCACCCATTTGCATAGAATATTTTTTCTATCCTTTTATTTTCAGTTAATGTGTGCCTCCATAGGTTGTATGTTTCTTGTAGACAACAAATTGTTGGGTCTTGTTTTTTTATCCATTCAGCCACTATTTCCCTACATTGGAGGGCTTAGTCCATTTACATTCAATGACATTATTAATAAATAGAGACTTACTCCTGCCATTTTGTTATTTGTTTTCTAGTTGTTTTGTGGTCTTCTTTTCCTTCTTTCTTTCTTGTCATTTTTAGTGAAGGTAATTTTCTGTGGTGTTATGGTTTAATTCCTTGCTTTTTATTTTTCGTTTATCTGTTATATGTGTTTAGATTTGAGGTTACCATAAGGCTTGCAAATAATATCTTATAATTCATTATTTTAAACTGATGACAACACTGATTACATAAACTAACAAACATGGAAAAATAAACTAATAAAAACTCTACACTTTAACTTCATTCCCCCACTTTTTAACTTTCGTTGTTTCTATGTATATCTTAATGTACTGTCTATGTCTTAAAAAGTTATTGTAGTTTTTATTCCTTATCAGTTCATCTTTTTGTCTTTCTACTTAAGATACAGGTAGCTCAAACACCATAAATACAGTTTAATAATGTTCTGTTTGTTTTTATACTTACTAATTCCTCATTAAAGTCCTTTTCTTCCTGATCAAATAACTCCTTTTAGCATTTGATAGGATAGGCCTGGTATTGATGAAATCCCTCAGCTTTTGGAAAGTCTTTATTTCTCCTTCAGATCTGAGGGATTCTCCTTCCCCTGCCAAACCCCCACTGGCTATACTATTCTAGGGTAAAAGTTTGTTCCTTCAGGACTTTAAGTATGTCATGCCACTCTCTCATAGCCTGTATCATTTCCACTGAAAAGTCTGCTGCAAGATGTAGTGGAGTTCCATTGTATGTTGTTTCTTTTCTTTTTTTACTTTTAGGATCCTTTCTTTATCCTTGCCTTTTGGGAGTTTGATTATTAAATGCCTTGAGATAGTATTCTTTGGGTTAAATCTCCTTTGTGTTTTATAACCTTCTTGTACTTGCCTATTGATATCTTTCTCTAGGTTTGGGAAATTCTCTGCTATTATCCCTTTGAGTAAACTTTCTACTCCTTTATCTTTTTTTTAATGCCAATAACTCTTAGATTTACCCTTTTGAGGCTATTTTCTAGATCTAGTAAGTGTGCTTCATTCTTTTTAACTCTTTTTCTTTTGTCTTCTCTGTGTATTTTTAAATAGACTGTTTTCAAGCTCACTAATTCTTTCTTCTGCTTAATCAATTCTGCTCTTAAGAGACTCTGATTCATTCTTCAATATGTCCATTATATTTTTCAGTTTGAGAATTTCTGCTTGTTTTTAATTATTTCAATTTCTTTGTAAAATTTATCTGGTAAGATTCTGAATTCCTTCTCTTTGTTATCATAAATTTCCTTGAGTTTCAGCTATTTTGAATTCTCCGTTTGGAAGGTCACATAGCTCTGTCTCTCCAGGATCAGTCACTGGTGCCTTATTTAGTTCATTTGGTAAGTTCATGTTTTCTTGGAGGTCTTGATGCTGAGGATGTCTGTTGGTGTCTGGGCATTGAAGATATAGGTGTTTATCGTAGTTTTTGCAGTCTGAGCTTGTTTGTACTTGTCCTTCTTGGAAAGGTTTTCCTGGTATTCAAAAGAACTTGGGTGTTCTGATGGAAGCTTCATATCACTGCAGCTTTATCTGCATTAGGGGGCACCCCAAGCCCACTAACAATGTGGTTCTTGTGGACTCATAAAAATACCTTTTTGGTGGTCTTGGATAAGATCTGCAAGAATTCTCTGGAGAACCAGGCAGAGATTCCTCTCTTTCCTTATTTTGTTCCAGTGAATATCTCTCTCTCTGTGTGTGCTGAGATGCCTGGAGCTGAGGGAGAGGTAACCTAAGCATCCCTGTGGCCACCATCACTGGAACTATGCCAGGCCAGACATGAAGCCATTGCAGTACTCTGTCTTACCCAAGGCCTGCTCTATCTATTACCTGGCTACTGCCTATGTTTGCTCTAGGACCTAGGGCAGTACAATTGCAGGTCACAAAGCCAGCCAGGCATATATCCTTCCCTTCAGGGCAACAAATTTCCCTAGGCCCCAGATGGATCCGCAGATATTATCTGGGAGCCAGAGTCTGGAGTCAGAAACCTTAGAAATCTACCTGGTACTCTATTCTACTGCAGCTGAGCTGGCACCCAAACCACAAGACAAAGTCCTTCCCATTCTTCCCTCCCCTTTCCCCAGGCAGAGGAGTCTGTCTCCATGTTTATCCCCACCACAGGCCCATAGGGAGTACTGCCAGCCTATCACTGATATTTACTTCAGGCCCAAGGGCTTTTTAGTCAGCTTGTCATGAATGCTGCCAAGCCTGGGACTCACCCTTCAGAGCAGTGGGCTCCCTTCTGGCTGTCCAAGAACCAAGGGCTGGAATTGGGGACCGCAAGAGTCCATTTACTAGTCTAGTCCACTGTGGCCTCACTGGTACCTAATCAGCAAGACAAAGTCCCATTTACTCTTTCCTCTGCTTTTCTCAAGCAGAAGTCTCTCCTCATATTCTACCATAGCTCTGTGCTGGGTCACACCTGAAGCCAGCATGTCTGAGTCTCACCCAAGTCCCACAGCATGTACTACCTGGTTCTGTTGCTGATTTTGCAGGGCCCAAGGGCTCTTTACTCAGCAGATGATGAATCCTGCCCAGACTGTATTTTTCCCTGCAAGTCAGTGAGTTCCCTTCTGGCCGAGCATGTGTCTAGAAATATCATCTCAGATCTAGGGCCTCACAACTCTGCCCAGTACCCTATCCTACTATGGATAAGCTGGTATACAAACTGCAAGACAAAGTCCTCTTTATTCTTCTTTCTTCTCCTCAAGTGGAAAGAAAGGTTCTCTTTTGGAGCTGCAAGCTGCACTGACTGGGGCTGGGGGGAGGGGTGTTGCAAGCAGTCCCTTAGCTGCGCTGGCTGGTTTCTTATTAGGTCACATGCCTCCAAGTCCACTGGCTCCAAGCCCAGAACAGCAATAGGTCTTGCCCAGGAATTGCAGTCCTTGTGGTCTAGACTGCCTTTTAAGTTTATTTAGGACCTCATAGCGCATTAGCCTTCGCTGGTGAGGCATGAGAAAACTCAAGTTCTGACCACTGGGATGGGCAATTCCCTGCTGGCTCATCTAAGTTCCCCCTTGAAGGCCATGGGCTGATTTGTTCCCAGTGTTGCTTTCTGCTATGACAGGGCAGCACTGAGTTCCAATGCAAAGTCCCAGAATTGCTGGGCTCTCCCTTCCTCGAGCACACAGATTCTTCTTCCACATGTAGCTACTATTGGGGGATTGGGGAGGAGATGTATCAGCAAGTCAAAACTGTCTTTCCTATTCCCTTCAGTGCCTCTTTTAGCAGTATGAAGTTAAAACCAGGTATTGTAAATCGCCTGATTTTTGGCTCTTATGAAGGTGCTTTTCTGTGCGGATAGCTGTTAAATTTAGAGATCCAGGAAGACAATTGGTGGAAGCTTCTATTCAGGAGCTCCACCTCCCTCCAGAAAAATGCTTTGTGTAAGTACTTTAAGCAGAGGATCAGGAGCATGGTGAAAATTTTGCTTTTACAAAAGTCGCTCAAAAAGATGTATAGAGCAGTGGTTCTCAAATTTTAGTGTATGTCAGAATCTCCTGTAGATCTTTTTGAGACCAGATTGCAAGACACCCTCTTCTCCCAAAGTTTCTGGTTCTAAGTCTGAGGCAGAGCATAAGAATTTGCATTTCTAACAAGTTCCCCAGTGATACTCATACTGCTGGTCTGAGGATCATGCTTTAAAAAATCACCGTAGAGGATAAGTATACCAAGGGGAAAAAAAACAGGCAAGGTAACAAGACCAGTTAAGTAGTGTGAAAGCAATAAAATCCATGAACAAGGTGAAAACAAAACAAAAGCAGTAACAACCAAATTAGATTCAATTTATTTATGTTGTTGGTAAAAAGACAATTTAAAACATCGATGGTAGATATATATTCCTAATTGATCATTGGGATCCCCCTTTTTTCTCCCTTTTATTTTTCTTAATTCTCTTTGTTATTCTCTTGTCTATCATCATGTAAAATGAAGAGCCTAGGTGGAGGTCCAGGAGGAAGTAAAGTTCAAATATACAAAAGAAATGGAAGAGACTGCTAAATAATTATTGTGGTTCAGTTTTAATGCTTCTGTATTTTATGGTGCAACTGTTTTTACATTTGTTGGAGTGGGGGGGCATCATAAATTTAGGTGTCGAAGGCCTCTGACATCTTAATCTGGCTTTGAGTAAATGATTTGAGAAAAGACAAAGAAAAAAATATCAAAGAATTTGGGAGTAGATAAAGCATGTCTGCCAGGTAATAGAACATGAACATGAAAAGGGCAAGAATGAAAGCGGAAACACCAAAAGAATTTTTAGCTAAGATAATTTATCACTAGTCAAGTAAGCATCAATAAGAATGAGATTTAGGCATTTATGCCACATATTCTCACAGCACCTTCTTGACACCGTTTTATAGAACTTTTGTCTGATCTGTATATCTTGTGTTCAAAATAAAATGTCCACCATGATAAGGTGATAAAATCTGAGTTAACTGCAAAAATGCAGTTGGTGTGATTGAAATCACAATTTATCATTGATACTAAAAATACAGAACTGTGTTTTTCCTTTTGTAAAACAGAATTATATATAAAACTAAGCATTGAATGAAAAGGTTCAATGTCCTCATAGGATCTGGCTAAACATAAAATATTTAGAGGTATGTATCTTAAAGAACATTGCTATAGTAAAACCTGAAATACAAATATGTATATCTTTATACCACTTATTATTCTATTGCCCAAAATTGTCATTAAAATAATTTTTGTTTACTTCTTCTCTGTACATCCTAAGTGAATAAAATGATTAAAAGTATTTTGTACAAGTACAATCCGCAGTGTCTTACTGAAGCATGGCCTTTTCAAAACATCACAGCTTGAGTGTGTGGCATATTCTAATGTACTCATAATTAGCTTGTTAGTGTAACAAAAATAATAGAATATACGTAATAGCTGAATATGGAGTTTCATCAAGACTTTGTACCTACATCGGATGTCTTAACTTCTGGAATGCGCCGCTTGTCTTATAGATTTATGATGCAATCTCCTATTTTTAGTTCTTGAATAATGCAAAAATCCATCAAGTTACTTTAAAAAGAGTTTTGCCTTTTCTTTTTACAGCAGCTGCTGTAATCATTGTCATGCATGTACAAGAATATAGCTGAAAAGACTAATTCATCATCAAGCAAGAATAACTGTGAATCAGAAAGGTGTTATTGGGGAAATTAAGCAAATGAAAAAAATTCTTCTTGAAAGTCAATGAAATCTATCTTTTCAACATTTATTCTGGAATGCATATACTATACTATGTATTGAAATATTAATTTTTATCTTGGCATTTTCTCTTTTCTCAGCTATTATGATTTTACTAAAAATAAATATGAAAACAATAAAAAGCCTGTAGCTGATGAGGTGAAATTGTAAGGCACTGAGAAAACAACAACCACACTTCTTGAAGCAGATAGCATAACAGTGAGCAAACACATTCCCTTATTAGCTGGATTCTGGATAATAGTACACCACAGATGGCCGGGTGTGGTGGCTCACACCTGTAATCCCAGCACTTTGGGAGGCTGAGGTGGGTGGATCACGAGGTCAGGAGATTGAGACCATCCTGGCCAACATGGTGAAACTCCATCTCTACTAAAAATACAAAAATTAGCTGGGCGTGGTGGTGGGAGCCTGTAATCCCAGCTACTTGGGAGGCTGAGGCAGGAGAATGGCTTCAACCCAGGAGGCTGAGGTTGCAGTGAGCCAAGATGGCGCCACTGCACTCCAGCCTGGTGACAGAGCAAGACGCTGTCTCAAAAACACAAAACAAAACAAAACAAACAAACAAAAAATACACTGCAGACCTATTGTGATGAAAACAGATGTGGAAGGACTTGGCCCATTTCTCAACGTCTCTCAATGAACAGATTAGTTTTAGTTAACTTGAATCATTATGAAAGAAAGAGGCAAAAATATAGAGTGGTTTCCAGATACAGAATGGTGATCAAACATAAAGCAAATGGATAAACTATCTCTTGTGTGTGTCTTTTTTTTTCACAATTGTAACCGCAATGTAGGTAGCGTGCACCCTTAAACTGTGGCATAGAATTTGTCTCATCTGTTAGAAGCATAGTCATCCATCTAGTTTTTACCTTGTACAAGATCATGCTCAGTAACATTCACTTTCCACAAAATGTTTCAGGGGAGAATTTTACCATTGATACTATCAATTACATCTAAAATAAGAATCGTAAGAAAATTAAGATGTACTGTGTAAATAAATTACTTCAATGTGCTTTAGAACAGAAAATCCGTGGATTAGAAAAAAGCAGTAACATGGTACATTAAATATATCTATGTGACCATCAGCGTCAAAATAGGAAAAAAATGACAACATTTCTGTGGGTAAATTTGACACAATGTGTGGCACATGGTTTGTATTTACTGTAGTCAAATCTCCTGAAAGTAAAAAATAAAATTGCCAAAATCTTGAATGACATTTTCTGCAGTTAGTTGTACTCATGTGTTTTGAGATGACAGAAGGGATTTTAGATCCCATTTTATAAAATTCTATGTACATATTAAGATACATTTAAGGGTATTTAATGTAATACATTCTGTTATTTATTTTGGGAGAATGGAGGAATAGGATAATTAATACAGAATTTCTGTTTCCTATATGCAATCATATGTTATAAAATTAGTGATCAGAGTCAACAATATTGAGCATTGCATATATCCTCAGAGTTTATATCATCTCCTCATTTTACATTTGAGATGGCAAAACTGTGTTTTAATCCTGGGTACATATCTCATTCATGATAAGATTTATAATAGGCCATCTTTTATTGAGTATAATTATTATTTGTAATATTTATAATAGGCTACCTTTTATTGAGTATTATTATTATTTATAATATTTATAATAGGCCACCTTTTATTGAGTATTATTATTATTATTTTGACTGCTTTATACTTTCTGACTTTTTTACAGATTAGTAATTTGGAAGGAACAAGGAAATTTAGTGACCTGCATGTGTTTATACAACCATGTAATGTCTGAGCTAGACTATTTCACCCTGCGCCCATGTGACACATGGCAGTTCATTCCATCACACCTTGGCTCTTCTCATGGTGATGTCTTTATACAGAAAGCAGAAAGGTGATCAGCCATTTTCCATGTTTACATAGATTGCTGTCTAAAGAAGAATTTGAAAGTAAGAAAAACTGTGAGGTAAACAAATTTTTACTTTATAGTTCTGATCTCTACCTTCTATGGCCATTTCAAGACACATTTTCTGCATTTTTTCTCCTACTGTAGTCATCCTGGTCCCATATGGAGGCTCTGGTGACCCAGGCTCCTTGACTTCATGGCGTCATCATGATGAAATCTCTTGGCAATAACATTTAAGGCTTCCCTTTTATGGCTCCAAAAGAATGACTTCCTTGTTTAATTTCACCTTTTTTATGACAAGAGATTGTGGGGATTGCACTCCAATTTCTCCAAAGGGATAGTTGACAAACTAATCTTCAAACAAGGGCTCATATCTGTTACAGCTTTCCACAGGCATATTTATTCAACAGAGAAATGCAGTTATTTAAAAAATGGGGTAATCTTTTGATGACAGGCTCCTTGAGACCATAGCAAGCATTTAAGAGAAAGATTTGCAGGGAGGGGACATATTTATCAGACACCTCTGATCTTACTACATTAGCAAGCAAAGCTGATTTTGTTGTAGGTGTTTACTTGTTTGTTTGGTGTTTTGTTCCTAAACTGGTCTTGAGATCATTTTCATAAGACTGTTTATAAATTCCAGCCCTACCCTGAATGAGAATCCAAGGGATGTGGTTGTAGATGTTTACAGTGTATTTCACTGGCTTATTCTTAATTCCTAAATTTCTGACCTATAACCAAGTGTCTCTCTCACAGGAAACTTGTTTATATTGGAAGACGCCCTTGTGATTCTTTTTTTTTTTTTTAAGACGGAGTCTCGCTCTGTCACCCAGGCTGGAGTGCAGTGGCGTGATGTCACTGCAAGCTCTACCTCCTGGGTTCACGCCATTCTCCTGCCTCAGCCTCCCGAGTAGCTGGGACTACAGGCGCCTGGCTAATTTTTTGTATTTTTAGTAGAGACGGGGTTTCACCATGTTAGCCAGGATGGTCTCGATCTCCTGACCTCATGATCCGCCCGACTCGGCCTCCCAAAGTGCTGGGATTACAGGTGTGAGCCACTGCGCCCGGCCCACCCTTGTGATTATTATCTGATCTGTGTCCAGTTTATTCCTACCCTAACAGCCCCTCTCTAGGACAGCCCTTGACTGGGTAGAAGTGAGGTGTCAGTCAGGTGAGACACAGAGGAGACAACTCAACAAAACACATGAAATAACAGAAGCAGTTTATTACTTACAGATTCCATAGAGAAGAGGGCAGCACCCTTCACAGAGCCCATGGGAAGGGGAAGCTCTTCAGCACATACACACTTAACCAGTGGATGTAGGGCAAGAGAGAGGTGGTGCGGGTACTCTGTGAACCTGGGTCTTTATTAGGGTCCAGAGTATTGCTTAGGTGAGTTTCTTGTGGGGAGTTCTAATTCATGAGTTTAAAACAAGCTCCTGTGAGTTCTGTGGAGTCACACTGTGGCTGAGAAATGGTTACTGTAGCATATCTGGGCAGTCCATGTATGAGGTGGGGATAAGTGCGACAAATTCAAGTAGCTTGTATCTAGCTGCAACATAGGGAGGTGGTCACTAGGAGGTGGTTGTGTGAGACAAATGTCTGTACCAACCACACTGAAAATCTGGGAGGAGGTGAAGAACTGGAAACCCTGTCAAGAGCAACTAATCACTGCTTCTGGGATAGAAAAGGTAAACCTATATTGAAAATGCGTGTCAAGACAACATACAATTATGAAAATTCACTACAAAAGCTATTGTTTATTTTTAATATTAATGGCAAATCAATCTTATATACAATATTGTTTCCAAAGCAAATGATGATCAAAAGCAAAGTGTCTTAAGATAACAAGCAGCAGGTTAAAGTTGTTTAAATATGTATTTGATATTGCAGTATATCGAAATATATAATCAATAAGATCTTTTACTTACACGTGTATCTGACAAATGGGTCAAAAGTAGAACAGCAAAAGAACAACATTTCCATTAGCATCAATTAAGAAAGATAAGAAGTGATTGGAAGGAAATAGGACTGTATTTTAATTTTAGGGAAGTAGCTTTATGGAATGATAAGGATGAAAATTCTTTCTCTTTTGTTTTTATAATTGACATTTTTAATTGCATAGTCTCATATTGATTTAACAACCTACAATTAATTTATTACACGTAATTAATAATCTGGAGATAAAAATACTGTCATTATAAACCAGGTGACTGAAATTAGGCTGTCATGGTTAATGACTACTTCGAAGAAAAGAAACATAAATTCTGGAGTAGTCTGCAAGAAAGTGATTCTCAGTTACAGGTGCTCTATCCAAGAAAATTTAAAGCAGACTCTCTGGTCATGGACCTCAACACTGATTTTTTTTTAAAGGTTTCCAAGTTGATTGTAATGGGATGTCACAGTTGTCAAACTGGTCTAGAATTTTTTTAGATGATAGGATATGTAGAAGGATTGACCGAGAGCTAGAACCTATTGCTTGGTAACTTATTTTCAGATATTTTCCTAGTCCTTGACATATAGGAGGATTGTATGTTGAATTGAATCAACACTAACTGACACTTCAGTCAACAAAATAGGAATAGAGACATTCAGGATCATAATTGTACCTTATTCCTTGTCCCGGCTTGAGTGAATCCTGAAGCATTGTGTGAAAAAAGAGGTGTCATAAGAATGCCTAGAATTCCAAATTAGCTCACAATATGTTAACCATCTATTCACTTTTGCATGCCTGAAAAATAAACCTTCATAACGTTCAACCTCTGAGATTTAGGTGTTTTTTTGCTAATGCGACATTAACAGTCTATCCTGACTGATACATGGCTCCAGGTGTCCTTAACTCTCTTCCTCCAAACTTCTTTTTTTCTTTTCTACAATTATAATAGAGAGTGGTTTTCTTATCTCCAAGAGCAATCTGTCAGTTTTTACACTGTAAGTTACATGATGGAAAGGAGATTTTCTTCTTTTTACTTTTTTGTTTTGTTTCTTTGTTTCACTTATATATACCAAATATTGGGGCAGAATTGGATCTCACTAAATATTTTTGAGCAAATGAATCTTTTTTGCCTCTCCCTTCATTATCCTCAGGAATTTATCTCTTTCATTAGCATTTGAAATTGATATACGTCTTTCACCCAAGCTGTTACACCATTTCTTTCCTCCATTTATAGCTAGATGCAGATGTCAGGTCTTTATCTTTCACTATTTTTACAACCCATTAAAAACTGACTTCCATCCCCTATCACTGTATTAAACTTTAAAACGCATATCAGTAATGACTTCCTTATCTCTAAAATCAATGGGCACTTTGTTCAGTCATGTCTTTTTTGGTCTTTACGATCAGCAATCACTACTAACAGTCACCCTTGAAACACTCTCTAGTTTTGACTGCCAGGGTACTAGCCTAGTTATCATCCTCACCCTCTGGAGGCTATCCTCTTCTTCATTTCCAGGTGTCTTCTTCTCTACCAGTCATTAAATGTCAGAATTCCTCAAAATTCAGCTCCCAGCTTTCCTCTCTTTCCAGGTTATATTCTCTTGACAGGAAATTATCCTATAGCAATTGCTTCAAAATTCATTTTTCCAGGCTACATCTCTCCATGGAGCTCAATATTTACATACTCAGTCATTCGCCCAATGTTTATTGAACTTTGGTTATGTGACAAATACTATCATAAGCACTGGAAGTACACAAAAATAAGACTTTTTATGGGGTCTAGAGTATTGTGGAAGAAACTGAAGCTTGATTCAGCTGTGAATATTACATTCATGATATGATTACTTGTGTTATCCTTCCTTCATTGGATATAAGTGCCTCAGAAACAGAGATTATATCTGATTTTTTTATTATTTTCACTTCTCAGCACAATGCCTGGTAGAAACTCAATGAATATTTGTTGAGTGAATGAATAACTGAATGAGTGAGTGAGTGTACAAATAGCTCATACTCCTATTTTATGTTAGAGACTAATTTTGTTTTGTTTTTCTGCCTCATAATCTATAGCATCCTTTTTTATTTGCTATTCAATTATACAGATGCATAAACTAAGAATACAAATAATTTTAAGTCCTACCTCAGTTCTAAATAGAGTAATATATTCAAAGTATAAACCAAATGATATTCAGATATAAAAAAAGATAAAGGCCAGCATTAATATTAAAGGTAAAAATTGTAGAAGGCCTTTTGATCTTTTTATCTGAGAATTCCAACGGGCTTTATGAGTATTTTTAATTGTTTCTGTTTCTGTAAGTGAAAACACTTATTTGGAAATGACTACAAGAGAGTTGAGGCTGAAATTTATGTGTTCCAACTGCACACAGCATAGCATGCCTCTAATGTATGTGAAATATCCTCTAAATGTTAGTTCTACTTAGATATGAAAGGCAAGCATACTGGTTTTCAGAAGATAGGCATTTTCATGTTAAAATTGTGTTGCTGTCCTGCATGTCCCTGTGAAGAGACCACCAAACGGGCTTTGTGTGAGCAATAAAGCTTTTTAATCACCTGGGTGCAGGCCAACTGAGTCCCAAAAAGGAGTCAGCAAAGGGAGACAGGGGTGGGGCAGTTTTATAGGATTTGGGTAGGTAGTGGAAAATTACAGTCAAAGGGGTTTGTTCTCTGGCAGGCAGGGGCGGGGGTCACATGGTGCTCGGTGGGGGAGCTTCTGAGACTCATTGTCCAGGAGAAGGAATTTCACAAGGCAATGTCATCATCAGTTAAGGCAGGAACTGGCCATTTTCACTTCTTTTGTGGTTCTTCAGTTGCCTCAGGCCATCTGGATGTATACGTGCAGGCTTGGGCTCAGGGGCCTGAGAGTTGCAACTAATTAAAAGAATGTGTGCCAGACTATGTTCCATTTTTCTGAACACAAAGACAGCACCACTACATGTGCTGTGTAGGTTTTACACCTCAAAGAGCCATTTGGCCAAGAGGGCAAGTGTGTGTTGAAATGTTCATTGAATATATGGGAAGGTGTCTGATTTCCAAAGTCTCACTAAATTTTAAGAGCTCATCCTAAAGAGGAGATTTATCTTAGTCTCTGACCCTACAATTGAGTTAAAAATCCCTGAAAGGGCCTAACTAATTGTGTGTCCAGCATATCTAGGGGTCCCCAAGGTATAGGAAAGCCAGTAATGAGAACTGCTATATATCAGAGTGCAGGTATTATAACACACCCTAGTCTAGAGGATACCCATGAGTAGATTTTAAGGGCTCATGAAATTCCAAGAGAAAGCTGAGGCCTCCCTGGTGCCTGAAAATGTGAACTGACATTATGGCCACAGCTGGCCCTCTACCTGAAGATTCTTGACACACAGTCTGGGAAGCTTTTATGTCACCTGTGGATTCCATGAATAAACCTTTTTTATAAAGGGTTTTAATAGTAAAATATTTTTTGTTTTGGAGTGCTGTCAAAATAGTATTTGTATTTCAGACTCGATATTTAAACCTAGATTTACATGTACACCACACTGGCAATTTGTCTTATCTTGTCCTTGGAGTCTTCAGGCAGAGTTTGTATGTAACTTAAGAAAGGTGGAAATCAGTAAAGAAAACAACATTTTAACAAATCCAGTCAAAGAAATTGTTGTTCTGGAAATTATTTAGCTTTGTACCAAAAGCAAGATATTATCAGATAATCAGTATCATTTACTCTTTATGAACTGGCATTTACCTTTTGAAGAAGAGCTCAATTACATGAGGAAAAAATGTATTCTCTACAGAAAAAAATAAGGATAGTAATCAACTTAGAAGGCTGATTTTAAAGAATTTCAACAATTCAACGTAATGATTCTTGAATGGTAATATTTGCCAATGATGATTATTATATATATTTTTTTCTTATTTGGAAAGTTAGTAGCACTTTTCTTAAAATTAGACCTTCCTATACAATTGTAAAACCACACACTCACATTCAATACAGTGTATAATATACTACTTTGTCCATAAGCCTTTCACTAAAAAGTTTCTATTTACTTTTTGAAAGATGAAAAATTTTTGTTAATATGTTCACAATGTTGTGCAACCATCACCACAATCAATTTTGGAACATTTTCATCACTGCAAAAAGAAAGTCCGTAGCCATTACCAGTCATTTCTTATTTCACCACAAATCCCACAGCCCGAGGCAATGGCTAATCTATTTTCTGTCTCTGTAGTTTTGTCTATTGTGGACATTTCATATGAATGGAATCGTGCAATATGTGGTCTTTTGTGATTGGTTTCTTTCCCTTAGTGTAACGTTTTCATGATTTAGCCATGTTGTAGTATATATCAGTGCTTTATTTCTATTAATTGCCAAATAATATTCCACTTTATGGATATAACATATTTTATAGTTGATCAACATTTTAGTTGTTTGCACTTTTGGACTATTATGAATAATACTGCTATAAACATTAGGGTACTAGTTTTTGTGTGGGTATATGTTTTATTTTTCTTGGGTATATACCTAGGACTAGAACTGCAGGGTAATATAGTAACTCTATATTTAACATATTTAGGCACTGCCAGATAGTTTTCCAAAGCGTCTCTACTATTTCACATTTCCACGAGCAGTGTGTGAAAATTCCAATTTCTCCATATCCTCATGAATATTAGTTTTTATGTCTTTTTGTTATAACTGTACTAGTAGTGTGCATTTTACAGTTACACATTTTATAATTATTTTTACACGCATTTTATACACACAAAATAACTATCCATTTTATAGTTTTAAAAAATATATGGCTAATTATTTTATTTTAGCTATTATAACTATAATTGGTTTGTTTTATTTTCAGATTATTGGTAGTGTAGAGCAATATGATTTTTCTATATTGATCTTGCATTATACTACTTCTCTGAACTCATTTATTAGTTCTCATAGTGTTTTTAGTGGATTACTTAAGATTTTCTATATACAAAACCATATCATCTGTAAATAGAGTTAGTTTTCTTTCTTCTCAATATGGATTTATTTGATTTTATTGCCTAATTGCCCTGGCTAAAACCTCCAGTAATATGTTGAATAAAATTGTCAAGAGCAGATATCCTTGTTTTTCCTGATGTTAGGGAGTAAGCATTCAATCCTATGCCATTAACTATGCTTTCAACTGTTTTGTTTTTTGAAAATCCACAGCTGCCCTATAAGGTTGGATAACTTCCAGTCTATTTCCAGTTGGTTGAGTGTTTCTATTATAAGAGTGTGTTCATGTTGATTGAGTGTTTTTATTATGAAGGTGAATTTTATCATAAAGGTTGAAGTGTTTTGTCAAATGCTTTTTCTGCATATATTGAAATGATTATGCATTTTTAATCTTTTGTTCTATTGATAAGGTATATTATGTTAATCGATTTTAGATATTAATCCAATATTGCATTTCTGGGATAAATCCTATTTCTTCATAATGTGTAATCCTTTTTATGTTGTTAGGTTTAATTTACTAGTATTTCCTTGAGAAATTTGAGTGTATATTTGTAAAATATATTGTTCTGTAATTTTCTTGTGATTGTTTTGCCTGATTTTGATATGAGAGCTATACTGGCCTCACAGAATAAGCTAGGAAGTGTTCGCTCCTCTCGTATGTTTTGGAACTATTTGTGAAGACTTGGTAAAAATTTTTCTTTAAATGTTTGACATAATTTGCCAGTGAACCCATCTGGGCCTGAGTTTGTGTTTGGGAAGTTTCAAAATAATTGATTTAAACTTTTTAGATACCCTTTGGTCAACCTAGTTAAGATTTGTAAATTTCTAAAAAAAAAAATTCTTTTTTTTTTGAGACGGAGCCTCGCTCTGTTGCCCAGGCTGGAGTGCAGTGGTGCGATCTCGGCTCACTGCAAACTCCACCTCCCGGGTTCACGTCATTCTCCTGCCTCAGCCTCCTGAGTAGCTGGGGAAAAAAAAAATCTTTTCAAAGAGCAAACTTTGGTTTTCTTGATTTTCTTCATTACTTTTCTAATCTCTTCTTCATCAGTTTTTGCTCTAATCTTTATTTCTTTCCTTCTTGCTTTGGTCTGAATTCGCTCATCTTTTCTCATTGTCATAAGGTAGAAACTTAGGATATTGTTTTGAGGTCCTTCTTTGTTTATAGTGTTAGAATTCATAGCTATAAATTTCTCACTAACCACTGCTTTAGCTACATTCCATGGTGTATGGTGTCTTCATTTTAATTCACCTCATATGTTTTCTAATTTGCCTTATAATTGGATATCTAGGTGTATTTTTTTTTTTTTTTTTTTTTTTTTTTTTTTTTTTTGCTTATTATTGAATTTTCCCAAGGCTTTTTGTTATTGAATTTTAGTTTCACTCCATTCTTGTCAGGGCACTTACTTTGTATGATTTCAATCCTTTTAAATTTAGTGAGGGTTGTCTTATGGCCTAACATGTAAATCTGTGCTGGAGAACGTCCCACGTGCCCTTGAGAAAAATATGCATTGTGTTATTGGTATCTGGAATATTCTATTGATATCTTTTCAGTCTAACGGATCGATAGTGTTCAAGTTTTCTCTTTCCTTATTGACCTTCTGCTTAGCTGCTGTAGGCATTACTGAAAGTGAACTATTGAAGTCTCTCCATTATTTTGAATTGTTTCTCCTTTTAGTTTTAAGTTTTCGCTTCACATATTTGGGAGCTCTGTTGTTAGGTGCATATATTTTAAAAATTGTTATGTTTTCCTAATGGATTGTCCTTTTAAAAATTGTAAAATATTCTCTTTACCTTCAGTAAATTTTTCTTGTTTTAAAGTCTATTTTTGCCTGACGTTTTAGTATATTAGCCCCTCCAGATTTCTTATGGTTGCTATGGTGTATCATTTTCCAACCATTTACTTTCAATCTATTCATATATTTGAATCTAAAGTGTGTCACCTATAAACAACAGTAGTTGAGTGATGTTTTTATTTTGATTATAGTGTTCATTCCCTTCACATGTGCCATAAATACTGATAAAGTTGGATTTAAATCTGTCATTTTATGTAAATCTCATGTCATTTTCATGTGTCTATTCCTCCTTTACTGTTTTTTAAATCAATTGAATATTTTCTAGTGTAACATTTAAATAGCTTCTAATGACTTTTTTACTCTTTTCTGAATTTTTTAGTAGCTGCACTAGAGCTTATCATATATCTTACCTTATAAGAATGTACATCACTTTTATACTAACAGTTCTAGTGAAACAGAAATGTTCCTTCTACATAGCTCTATTTTATCTTCCTCCTTGTTTTTCTATTAACATGTAACATACATCTATATATGTTGCTAATGTAATGATATGTTGTTATAATTATTACTTTGTATAATTTCATGTCTATTAGGAATGCTGGGTATGATTTGATGATTTTATCCTACTTGGAGTTTGTTGAATTTCTTAGATATTTAGATTAATGTTTTTCATCAAATTTGGGCCTTTTTCAGTCATTTTTTTGCTAGTATTTCCCCTTTCTAACTCGACTTTCCTTCTGATACTCTCATTGTGCATGTGTTGGTGTTCTTAATGGTATCCCACATTTTTCTGAAGCTTTTTACATTTTTCTTCATTCTTTTTCCCTCTGTCCTTAAAATTGCACAATATCTATTGATTTAACTTCCCTGATTCTGTCATCTGCCAGTTCAAATATATTGCCGATTTTCTCTAATGAACTTCCCCTTTGGGTTGCTGTACTTTTCAATTTAGCTTTTATATTTTTTCTATCATGTATATAGCTCTACTGATATTCTCTATTTTGTGTAACATCGTCTTCATATCTACCTTTACTTTTTACAGTCGGATTTTCTTTTACTTCTTTGAACATAGTTATGATGACCACTTTGGAGTTTTTGTCAGTTAGCTATGACATCTAGGCCCTCTTCCAGTTTCTTTTGCCTGCTCTTTTCACTGCATGTGAAGAAATACCTTCCTGTTTCTTTACATGTGTCCTAGTTTTTTTTTTCCTGAAAACTGGATATTTTATTAATATATTTGAACACCTTGAGCTACTGAGTCCTTTTTTTTATCTCTGGGATTCATTATGTTGTCATTTACCTATTTATTTTAAAATATGGTATATTCATTTCCTATTGTTCTATAATAGATTACTACAAATATGTTGAAGTAAAATGAATTTGTGGTCTGTTTGGAGGTCAGTAGTCCAACATGGTTTTCAGTGGGATAAAATCAAGGAGATATTTTACGTCACCCAAGGTAGGTTACCTTCTTTCTGGAGGATTCAAGAATCAATTTCCTTGACTTTTCCTGATTCTATATTTGGCTTACATTTTTTTTTTTGTTTGGCTTATGGCCCCCTTCCATTTTCATTTGATAGTCAAGTCTTTCCTGTGTTGCATCACGATGACACTAAATTTACTGTCTCCCTCTTTGATTTTATAGGGACCGTTGTAATTATATAGGGCCCATCTAAATGATCCAAGAGACTCTCCCATTTCAAAGTTAACTAATCAGCAATGTTAACTCTATATTTAAAAATAAACTGCTTTTGAAATTTAACAAAACATATTAAATTTCTGGCAATTAGGATGTGGACTTCTTTAGAGGGACCCTTATTCTGCCTACCATGCTTGACTATAGTTTTTGGGGAAGTGTATTCTCACACGGTGTGAAGTCTCTAATGTCATTCCCCAGAGGCAGCAGCTTTAGGCATGTGCGCAATTACCCCAGATGATTTTATTTTGCATATTGAAAAACAGTAGTACATATATATCAAGAAACCTGTCAAATGTCATATAGTATTTATCAGGAGAGTTTAGACCAAAAACTAGTTAGTTTAAGCCTCCGTTAAGTGCAAATTTTTCTCCATCAATCTGTATTCAAATGAATTCCGAATGAGCACTATAATGATGGTGGATATAGATTCATCTTTCTACATAAAGAGAATAGTGTTTGTAATATTAATCTGCATATGTGGGCACATGTACTCATTAGGCAAGGGCCTATGACAGCTAAATCTATTCACATTCCAAATCATAAAATGTATCTTTCTAAAGAAAACTTTTTCACTGTGTTGGGCACTATTGGCAGACAAGTTAATTTAGAAGTAATTTACAAAAAGCCGAAAAGTTAAATTTATAGCTGTTTGCTTTGAACACAATGTGTTCTGAATATATTCCAAGAATTGTGATGTCATCACAAACTTACTGAGGTAATAAATGTAGATATTATAAGGGCTATCAGAATATGACTAGTTCCCTTGAAAATAAGAGAAAAGAGATCAAGTTACAAGACATTAATTACATTGAGGGTGCTGATTTGTCATGACCGGAAACCCTAATGTTGAACAGTTATTGAATAGCTGTTTTTTTGTAATTTATTGGATATGTAGGCATCTTTATAAATGTTCATACCCTTTTTATATGAAATCTGTCTGTGAATTTTTGCACTATTGAATTGTAAAAATTGGAATTTTTCCTGAGTTATTAAGTACCAAGCTGTATTTTCTCGGTTAGCCTTAAAAGCAATATATTCTAAATATTTGTTAATTTTATAAAAATAAACTTTTAAATAGTTTTTATCCAGTACTAAGAAACAGATAACTTTTCAAGTACTGCACTACTTATTAGGAACTAGCTTTACAGCAATTGAATGTGCTCATAAATTAAAAAATAGAACACACATATCTACATCAAGTAGTATAAAAAGATTAAGTTAATAAATCAAGAGTATCAATAACAAGATCTGATATATGAAGTGAAAGAAAATATAAGATAGTACCAAAGGAGGATAAATCTATTTAGAGATAGAATTATAAATTAGATGAAGTGACAAAAAGGAAAGGTGAAATGGTCAAATTGTTCAAGATGAAAGATGATATAAAGAATAACAGCCCAACAGTCACATAAATTTTCAAGAGAGCAGAGAGAAGACCACTATTGTAGAAGTCTTAGCTTGATTGAAATCTCTTGAATACATTAACCACAAAAGTTGTTCATTAACAATATTAGTGCCTACCTAGTTCTTGCAGTTGATATTTTCATAGCTAAAAGAGCTATTGAAATAGTAAAAGGTTATCATTGTTTTGATTTTCATTGCAAGGGTCAAAAGTTTTCAAGTGGAGCCTGAGGATGTACTGAAATGCTAATGGTTTTGCTAGATGTCTAGAACTTTATAAGATGATGTGTAGGATGTCACCTTTCTTCAGATTTGCTGCCTCTTAACTTGAAAATAATATCTGCCTATCAAAATAATAATTTCAATGAAGAATATCGAGGGGAAAGACAAAATGTGCTTAGTTATTACAACTCCAAAGCTTGCTTTCTTCTGGGGATACTGAGTGTAAGAAAAGAAAATTCCTATATTTAGTGTATTTGGTTTAAATGATTTGTGGGGAGTGGGGAAAGTTATGTAACGTCTGTCTTACCTTATGCATGATTCTATCATTTATGTTACAAAGTCAGAGATAGTCAAAATAATGGGTAAGCATGGCTGTCTGGCATAAAGATAAAGGTCAATAAAATACCCCCATGGTTTAAATTCCATGCAGAAAGCCAAGGAGGCTTTCACTTAATTTGGCGTACTTCAGTTTGCACTAAGCTGTAGATCTCTCAAAGATGAGCAGCCTCTTTGTATCAACTGAATGATTGATAGGAAATTTGCTGCATTCAGTACAAACTTCAAAAAGGAACTATTTTCTACTGAATGCTATCTTTGTAGATTATTTGTTTTGTTGTTAAAGCCTTAATTTGTAACTGCTAACAGCTATTTTACCATCAACATTTTTACAGGAAGCACCATTAATGAGTAGTTTTGCATAATGTATCAGTCTACTGAAAACACACCAATGGGTAAAACTATTGAAGGAATCCTGCTAGCTGACTAAAGTTATTGCTATGGTCTGAATGTGTGTGTCCCCCCGACCACACACCAAATTCAGATGTTGGAAACTAATACCCAGTGTGATATGATTAAAAGGTTTGGCCTTAGGAAGGTGATTAAATTGTAAAAGCTCCAGTCTCATGAATGGATTAATGTATGCTATGGTTTGAATGTGTCCCCTCCAAAATTCATGTTGAAACTTAATTCCCATTGTAATGATATTAAGAAGTGGGGCCTTAAGGAGGTACGTAGGCCATGGGGGCTTTGCTTTCATGAATGAATTAGTGCCTTATAAAAGGGATGGAGTGGGAAAGCTTGCTTCTTCTGCTCTTTTGTCATGTGAGGACACAGTGTCTGTCTGTCCTCTTTTGCCCTTTCTGTTTCTTCTGCCATGTGAGGACACCCAGACAGTGCCATCTATGAGAAATGGGCTTTCACCAGAAACTGAACTTGCTGGTGACTTGATCTTGGACATCCCAGTCTCCAGAACTGTGAGAAATAAATTTCTGTTGTTTATAAATTACCCAGTCTCAACAATTTTGTTAAAGCAGCACACTATAGACTAAGACAGTGCCCTTATAAAAGAGGCTCAAGGGAGATGCTCAGCCCCTTCCTCCCTTCTGCCATGTGAGGATGCAACAAAAAGGTACCATCTTTGAAGCAGAGTCCTCATCAAACACCAGATTTGTTTGTGTCTTGATCTAGACTTCCCAGCCTCAGGACTGTTAGTAATAAATTTCCATAATTTATAAATTGCCCAGTTTAAGGTGTTGTTGTTGTTGCTGTTGTTGTAGCAGCCCAAACAAACAAAGGTAGTTATTACTTAGCTATGGGGAATATTATCATTCATCCAGGATCTAAGTAAATAAAGATTCAGATTAGGACAACACCACTCTCACTTCGTGAACTAGTTATGCTGATAAGGGTAACTGGTTTAACAGTTGAAGGCAAAATAATCGTCAGAGACAGCTATTTTGTATCATCTTATGACTAACACTGACACATTTTATCAAATCTTTAATATCAGATATAGAAGATACCTTAGAGATCATCTAATCAAATTGGTGTACAATTTGTTATAGGCCCTACTTTTTAGAAATTAATCAGTTATCTGAATTTGTCAATAAATTAGTTTTATTAAAGTAAAGCTAATTCAAGATTAATTGGGTAACTTAATTCTCACTCATGAAATAGACTTGTTTGAATGATAGAGGATAGAAACTTACATTTAACCTGGGAGAAACTGGCTGGTAGTTCATAAGAAAGTAAATACAACCAAAGGCAGTGGGAAAACATTTAAGACCGGCTGACTTGGAACATGTCCAGGGAATTTCTTCAATAAGCAAATAACTTAAATAACACTGGAATTTCAAGACTCTATCTTCTCCCACACCACTCTCCATTGTGTCTCTACATCTTTGGAATTCAGAAAATAAATGAGTGGAAGTGGGCATGGAGCATTTTAATCTTGTTTCATTTCAGATCCTTCTGTTGGTCATCTAAAGAAATGCTGTGGCAGCCACAATACCAAGATGTGGCAGAACAGTGAGCTGATATGGAGCTATTGCAAACCAAGCGAGTAAAAGAAATAGCCTGTGAATTCTAGCCTCTAGCTGTGGAATTTTGACCTAAATAATACTGAGGAAGAAGATAGCCAAGCATGGTATACTATGCAGTGCTTGGAACCTGAAGGTAAGGCTCCATGTGAGCAGGTGGATTCAGTTTACTGATAATCAGAGGAGATGAGTCATATCCAGGAAACGACCCATAATCCAAAAACAACAGGATTTCTAGATAGACGATCCATTTGGAATGCTATAAATGAAATGCTGCCTCACACTAAATGAAAACATGTGAAATAAACAAATGGATTTAAGAAGTCAATAAAAAATAGAACTATGAAAGAATTATAAGGAGAGGCTAATAATTTTTATCTTACACAGACTCCTATATTACTGGATTACTTTCTAATGATAAGCATATATCAGATTTTATTAAAAATTCAAATAATTTAAAACTAAAATTGTGTGAAAAAAAATCATTGCTGGTGTCATCATGAACAGCAGCATCTTACTTTCCAAGTGGAAATATTCAAATATCTGTGACAAGTAGATATTGTTTGTATTATGCATTTGTTAGTCTTATTTATAAACGTAGACTTTAAACCTTACCAAGAAACATAATTTCAAATAATTTATATTTAAATCTCCATTTTATGAACCTACTTCAAACAAACTTAGTCTATAATAAAAATGTCAAGGATATAGCCATTCAGAACAGGACATTCCCAGGATACCAGTTAGAAGCATTTTCACACAATGCAAGAGCAAAACTCTTGTTAATAGGGTGCTGTAATTACAAGATGACTTGCAACACAAAAGAACACTAGATTAATTCTTTTAGAAGGGCAAGCCTGTGGCTCAGCCTATGAATGACACTTCTATTTCCCTTAGATAACCTTTTAAATATAAATATCAAGCAACATTAATATCAATGCTGCTGTTCTTTAAACACCATTTTTTAATAGTCATGGTTATAAATGTGGAATGTTGAGATGTACATAAGATTAAACTTTGCAACATTGGACATATCAGAATCTAATAATTATAGAAATGTAATCCTTCGGAGTTCAGAAAAGGAAGTAAATGCATTTCCTCCAGTTTTTTGTTAATGGGAAAGATCTAACAAGTATAAAAATTATAAAGGAGCTTAGAGAAAAGTTGGATGAGATAGGACAGTTTGGGAGAGTATTAATCTTTATATAGAATAAGTCCACAAAAGAATGATCGTATCTATAATTCATAAAGATAACTTTATGTATTTAATGCAGAGTGAAGGTCTGAGGATAATTTGAACCCATATCTTCTGGGGGAATTTTTAAATTAAAATTAGCCTGTGTAATCACCACATCATCATAATATTTGTAAAATTAACATAGAATGAAAAATAAATTGGTATAGATACATAGATTTCTTAATGGTGGCTCTACTTTTAAAATAACTTCAGTTTAGAGAAACCACCTAATATACATTTGCATCCTTGATTGTCAGCTTAGAGCCAGACATGTAGCAAGCATTTAATAAAAATTGACTCAGAGACTAAGGTAATACAAACAGACTATACCAGTATTCCCATGTATTTTTAATAGCTGAAAAAAAGACCCAATTTTTCATATATATAATTAGCTAGATTTAGATTTTTTTAATTTACAAGCAATTGTATGTATTATGATATACATGATGTCATGATGTTTGATATGTATGTATATTCTGTAATGAGAAAATCAAGCCATTGAGCATATGCATCATGTCACATATGTATTTTTTTGTGGTGAGAACACTTATAATCTACTCTCTTAGCAATGTTTAAGAATACTATATGTTGTTATTAACTATAGTAGCCATGAGGTACACTAGATCTCTTAGACTTATTCTTTTTATCTAACTGAAATTGTTTGGTCTTTGACCAACATCTCCACATCCTCCCCACTCCTCCCAGCACCTGGAGACAACCATATTACTCTTGGGTTATATTATGGTGACTTTAAATTCACATAAGTGAGATTGTGCAATACTTGTCTTTCTGTGCTGGGCTTATTTCTCCTATCATAATGTCCTCCAGGTTTATCCATGTTGTTGGAAATGACAAGATTTTCTTCTTTTCGTAAAGCTGAAGAATATTACATTGTATATATCCACCACATAAAAAAAACTATTCATCCATTGAAGAACATTTAAATTCATTACAAATCTTACCTATTGTAAATAATGCCACAATGAACATGGGAGTACCATTATCTCTTCAACATACTGATTTCATTTACTTTGGATACATGCTCAGTAGTGGGATTGCTGAATCATATAGTAGTTCTGTCTTTATTTTGCGGGGAGGAAGCTCTGTACTGTTTTTCATAATGGCTGTACTAATTTACGTTTCTGCTAGCAGCGTACAAGGGTTCTCTATTCTCTACATCCTCACCAATATTTACCTTTTGTCTTTCTGATAATAGTTATTCTAACAATTGTGATGTGATATCTCATTGTGGTTTTACTTTGGGTTTACCTGATGATTAGTTATACTGTGCAATTTTCTTATAACTTAACCAGTTATATGTGTGTTTTGTAACTGTGAACCAGTTACATGTGTTCTTTTAACTGTTAACCAATATAAGTTCTTTTGAGAAATGTTTATCTAGATCTCTTGCCATTTTTTAATCAGATGATTTGTTTTCTTACTATTAAGTTGTTTGAGGTCCTTATATATTTTGGATATTAACCTCTTATAGCATGTATGATCTGCAAATATTTTCTCACATTCTGTAGACCATCTCTTCACTCTGTTGATGTTTCATTGGCTGTGCAGAAACTTTTTGGTTTGATGCAATTCTGTTTTTCTATTTTTGCTTTAACTGTCCATGCCTTGGGGTCCTATCTGAAAAATCATTGCCTAGACAAATGTCACGGAGCATCTCCTTTTTGTTTTATTTTGGTAGTTTACAGATTCAGGTATTATATTTAAGACTTCAATAATTTTGGGTTGATTTTGTCTATGGTGTGAGATAATTGTATAAATTCATTATTCTGCATGTGAATATCCAGTTTTCCTAGCACTATTTATTAGAGAGATTGCTGTTTCCCTATTTTGTGTTCTTTGCATCTCTGCCAAAAATTAAGTGACCATAAATGCATGGGCTTATTTCTGGACTCTCTATGTTGTTCCATTGCACTATGGTCCTTTTTTCAATCCAGTGCCTTCCTTTGTTAATTACTGTAGCTCTATATTAGATCAGGTAGTGTGATGCTTCCAGTTTTGTTCCTTTTCCTCAGGACTGCTTTGGCTATACCAGGCCTTTTGTGGTTCCATATGAATTTTAAGATTTATTCTACTTCTATGAAAAATGTCATTGGAATTTTGATGTAAATTGTATTGAAGCTGTAGATTGCTTTGAGTAGCATAGACACTTAACAATGTTAATTCTTCGAATCCAGAAACATGGATGTCTTTCCATGTACTTGTGTCCTCAATTTATTTCATCGCATTTTATACTTGTTAGTGTACAGATTTTTCACATTCTTGGTTAAATTTATTCTTTAGTTGGTATTTTCAGTGGCTATTTTATTAGGTAGGTGCAAAAGTAATTGTGTTTTTTGCCATTAAAATAATGGCACCAACCTAATAAATGGGATTTATTCTTATTTTTCTATTGTTTGGAAAATTGTTAGTCTGTAGAAATGCTACTGATTTTTATGTGCTGATTTTGTCTGCTGTAACTTTATGGAATTAATTTATTAGTACTGTCAAACAAAGAGTCACATTCTGTAAAATATTTGAAGAGATAAGCCAAATATGAGTGGCCAGTGGCCCATGACATAGCCCCAGGAGATCTTGAGAACATGTGTCCAATGTAGTTGGGCTACAGCTTGATTTTCTACATTTTAGGGAGACAGGACATCAATCAACACATGCAAGATGTACCTTGGTTTGGTTCAGAAAGGTGGGACAACTGGAAGTGGGGACTTCCAGGTTATAGGCAGATTCAAAGATTTTCTAATTGGCAATTGGTTGAAAGTGTTATTTTCTAAAGACCTAGAATCAATAGAAAGAAATGTCTGGGTTAAGGCTAAGGCATTGTGGAGATCAAGATTTTATCATGCAGATGAGGCCTGCAGGTAGCAGGCTTCAGAGTTCTTATCAGACCTAAAAATGTGCCAGACTCTTAGTTAATTCTCTCCTGGATCAGATGAAAGATTTGGAAAAGAAAGAGGATTCTCTATAGAATGTAGATTTTCCTCACAAAGGATAGGTTTGCAGGACCATTTCAAAATACATCAAAAGAAATAGATTTTGAGGAAAAAAATACTTCAGTTTCTTTCAGGTGCTGACATCTATCATGTGATGCTATACTAGAGTCAGGCTGGAATTTGGTGTCTTATTGTTACAAAAGTCTGCTTTGTCAGTTTTAGGATCTCTGTTTTAATGTTGATGCTGGTCAATTGTGCCTGAATCCCAAAGAAAGGAGAGTGTAATGAGGCATGTCCAATCACCCATCCCTATCATAGCCTGAACTGGATTTTCAGGTATCCTATGGAATGCCCTTGGCCAAGGGTGGAGGGTGGGGTCCATCAGTCAATTTGGGGGTTTAGAATTTTATTTTTGATTTACAGTTCTAATATTTTTCTGATGGAATCTTTAGGGTTGTTACATGTAAGATCATGTCATCCACAAACATAGATAATTTAACTTCTTCCTTTCCAAATTGGATGCTTTTATTTATTTCTCTTGTCTAGTTGCTCTAGCCAGAATTTCCATGTTGAATGTTAAGTGGTGAGAAGTGTATCTTTGTCTTGTTTCTGTTCTTAGAGGTGAGCTTTGAACTTTGTAATATTGAATATGACATCAACTATGGGATTGTTTTATATGCATTGGGATGGTTGTAATATTGAGTATGACATCAACTATGGGATTGTTGTTTATTGCATTGAGGCACAATCCTATATCTAATTTTTGAGAGTTTTTATAATAAAAGATGCTGAAGTTTGTGAAATGCCTTTTCTGCATCAATTGATGTAATCATATTGTTTTTGTCCTTTTTTTCTGCTAATATATGTATCACATTTATATATTTGTATATATTGAACCATCCTTGCACTTCAGAGATAAATCCCACCTGGTCATGGAAAATGATCCTTTCAATGTGCTATTGAATTTAGTTTATTGTAATTTGTTGATAATTTTTACATCTATGTTCATCAAGGATGTTGACCTGTAATTTACTTTTATTGAAATGTCATTGTCTGGCTTTGGTATCAGGGTGATGCTGGCCTTATGAAATGAATTTAGGTGTATTCCCCTTCTTCAATTTTTTGGAAGAGTTTAAGAATTGGCATTAGTTCATCTTTAAATGTTTGGTAGAATTCAGCAGTGAAGCCATCCAGATTCTGAGCTTTCTTTGATGGGAGACTTCTTATTACTAATTCAATCTCTTTACTCATTATTGGTGTGTTCAGATTTTCTATTTCTTCACGATTCAGTCTTTGTAGGGTGTATGTGTATAGTAATGTACTCATTTCTTCTAGCTTATCCAATTTGTTGGACTATAGTTGTTCATAGTATTGTAACACATATGACCCTTTATATTTCTGTGGTGTCAGTTGTAAGGTCTTCTCTCATTTCCAATTTTGTCTTCTCTTTATTTACTAACTATTTTAATTATCTTTTAAAAAATCTAACTCTTAGTTTTCTTGTTCTTTTGTGTTGTTTTCCTAGTTTCTATTTTATTTATTTCTGCTCTTATGCTCCTTTTGTAGCATTCCATTTTTAGAATTAAGTATGTTGTGTTTATATTTTTCTTCATATCATGATATTTTAAAATTACCATTTTATTTTCTGCTTTATTGGTTGTTTAGAAGCATGCTGTATAATTTGCACATATTTGTAAATTTTCCAAAATTCCTTCTATTATTGATTTCTGGTTTTATACCATTGAGGTCAGAAAAGACACGTTACTTGACTTCAGTCTTCTTTTATTCATTAAGACTTGTTTTGTGACCCAACATAGGATCTATCTGGAGAATGTTTCATGTGCACTTAAGAAAAATGTGTATTTTCTGCTATTGAATGGACTGTTCTATATATGTCTTTAAGGTCCATTTGGTCTAACATGTAGTTCAAATCTGTTGTATTTTTATTTATTTGTTTTTGTCTGGATGAACCATCTGACTTTGAAAGCGCGTTGATGAAGTCCCCTGTCATTATTGTTTTCTATTATCTCTCTGTATTCAGTTTGATTTTAATTAAAATTATTTTCATAAAATATTTTTCTAATTGTAAAATTACCGTCAAACAATTTTCAAAACTTTGAACAATACAACAAAGGATGTTTGAGAAAAAAGGCTTTTAAAAAAGAAAGGAAAAATACGATAACGTAGAAAAGATAACTTATTATGCACATTTTGGGCAATTTTACCTGAGTTCATTTATTGTGATGTAAGTAACGTAATGCATATATCAATTTTTATGCAAGTCTTTTTCACTTAACATAAAACAACAATGTCTCCTTTGTGAAAAAACAGAAGCACGTAGTCAAAGAAGAATCAGGGATAATGTTATAGAGGTTGTTGATTATTCAAAGTAGAGATGATGATTTGGAATAGATGGTGCATGTGGAAGGTTCTGGAAGTGACAGATCTGGAATATTTTGGAAGTTGAGCCGATAATACTTGCTGATGAATGAAATGTGGTCTGTATATTAATGAGAGGGACCAAAGATGATTTCTGTGTTTTCAGCTTGAGTAACTGGATTAATGAATGTCATTTTCGAAGATGGAGAATCTTGGAGAGGAGTAGAGGGTATAAAGAAATTAAGAATTCTGATTGAGTCATGTTAAGATTGAGATGACTAGTAGACACCAAGTAGAGGTAATCAGTTTGAAGTTGTGTATCAAATATGAAGCTTAGAAAAGTGGTCAGCATTGAAGTGAAAAACTGCTGTCCATATAGGTATCAGGATGAATATGGTTAGCCATATTACATTAATATTTATTGAGCACAATTATCTATTATTTTTGAGGGAAAGGTGGCTAAATAACATAGACTTTTGGACAGTTACTATTACACAATTTAAAAAAATTTTCACATGCACCCTTACATCACAATGCTTTTCTGTTTGATTTTCCTTATGTGCCAGAAGGATTTAAAAAAAAAAACCCAAAAGGTTTTTTGTAATTAAAAAAGACATAGAACGTTTATATTGAGCAGGCTTTAATTTTTTTTGATCTTGTCCTTTGAAAAAATAACTCTTGTCCTGGTTTGGGTTATCCAAATATTCAAAGCTAAATCCTGGGCTGCATGGATTACAGTTATGTCTCAGCTTGGTAATTTGTAGGAAAATGTGTACTAATGCAGAGCAGATGAAACATGATTGCCTTGTATCAAAATGACCTGCATGTAAATTAATCAAACAGGCATTGCTTAGATACTACCTTGGCTACAGATTTCTGCAGAAGTTAAATTGATATATTAAAATGCATTCAATCTAGTTTTACTTCAGAAAATATAAGCCAAAATTTACCATCAGAAATATATACTAAAGTTTTAATATGATAGTCTACACAATAAGAAAAAGTTCTTATGGATGGATCTGGGTTGTGTTCTTTCTTGTTGACAGTATTGGTAATTTCCATGCATAAATAAAGAATAGAATATGAGATCCATGAACCAGGCTGACTACAGTGAATAATGATTCTGTAAAGTTTAAATCTGAATTGCAGTGAAAGCCAGACCTGATGAATGAGATGAGTAATTTGTAAAACTGACACTTTATGGGACATATCATATTACAGACTGTTATACTTGTAAAAAGAAAAAAATCAAAAACCATTTCACAAAATGAGGAAAGATTGTGTTTCAGTTTGTTTCTACTCACAAATTTTTCTCTTGACTTGTTTATATTATAGGTACCTAGAAACCCATACTGAACTCCGCAATTTTAAATATTGTGTGATGCACGCATGGACTTCTGATATTTTCTCTTACGCTGTATGAAATACAGAGCAAACATGCAATTTGAAAAGGAATGCTTTATAAAGCTGCAAGGGATAAGGCTATGGACATAGAGACTGATTAACTAAAAATGGGTTCTTTGATGAGAATATGATTACTAGCTTCAAGCTTTAAGATTTTTTGCTGGAAATACCACTGATTTTCTACAAGCTATTTAAGCAATGGATTTAAAATGGAAGAGCAAACACTAGCCCACAAGTCATGTATACATATATCTTCTAATCTTTCGCTCATTCTCTAATTCAGTAAATCATATAATCCCTTTTAGTTTTAGTTTCCCAATATGTGAAATAGAGATGAAGTGGTTGTCATTTCTCATTCAGTATGGTTGTGAGGATAAAATAAGAAAATACGTTGATAACATAGATACAAGGAAATAGAATAGTTATAAAAATGCTATTATATTTTACATTATCTTTAATCACTTAGACCCACATAATCCAAATAAAATATTTTTATTTTAATACTTAATGAAAAGCTCAAATGAGTACTTTAAAAAGCAGTCAATTTCTAAAAGACAGCTTTAAATGTGTGTCTTTAAAAGAAATTGGCCTATTTATAGAAATACAAATGAGCATTAGTTTCTCAGTAAATTAAGTTTGCAAAGATGTAAGCAGCAAAAGCTATTCTCAGTTTAGAGATTTTTTAAAAAACCAGATGATCCTCATAGGCATATGGAAAAATATTTGTGAATGATTTATGTTATTTCTGAGGTTTGTACATTTTAAAGTTCCTTGATTACTTATTCAGATTTGTTCGACATCTTAGCAGCTACAGTCAAGCACCACTATTCAAGGTGGTATGGGCAATGTGGTTGCCTTCAAGCAAAGCCAAACAAGACAAGAAAAAAAAGAAAAGCAAAAAATTTGTCATGTTTAACCCTTATTCTAGGGCCATGACTGTTCTTTTGCTTAATATCTTTATAAACAGAGATATATTGCTCGTTTATTCACTTGTCCAGCATCAAATATTTGCTGAGCAGCTACTATGTGCTGGATGCTGGGTATAAAGCAGTAATAAAAGTAGGCAAAGTCTGTCTTCATGGAGCCTGCATCTTATTCATGAAGACAGGCTGTGAAGTAAAGAATGAGCCATGCTAACACGTGGAGGAATGAGTGTTTGCAGCACAGAGAACAGCCATTGCAAAGCCCCTGAGAAAAAGCATGTTAAGCATAATGGAATAACAAAAAGGAGGTCAGTGTGACCAGAGCAGAGTGAGCAAGAGGAACAGTAGTACAAATGAAGATGGAGAAGGAAGCAGGGCCAGTTAATGTGTAAGATTTAAGCCCAAGGTAAGAAGATTATATTTCACAAACTTAGCACACGTAAAACTGTTAGATTAACACATTTTGCCACTCATTTAACATGACTTTTTCCTCAAACATTATACTTAATAAATGTGACATAATATGTGACATTTGGTAATACAGTTTCAGAAAGGCATACTCACCAACTTACTTGTTACAGGTGTTTTATTTAGAGAATAATGTATAGAACAAATATGAATTGTGCACCATGTTCAGATAAACCCATAATGTTTGGCTTTGTATAACTATACCAAAAAAGAGGTGGGCAGGGATAGCATTTTCTACAATATTTGACCTGCTAAATGCATGTGGTCTATACATGTGTTTCAAGGCATCCTTTGATTCACCTAAATTTTGCCCAAAAGTTATTTTCTGTGCTATATCTTATTTTTTCAGTGACATTTGTGTAAGGTGAAAAGGTTGTGAGGAATATGGTACAGAAAGAGGAACTTACCAATAAGAGGTGGCTCCGTTGCATTCTTCTCTCCACCACCCACCATTCACTATCAAGACTCTTTCTCCTTGGCTTTTGACTCTTTAAAAAAAATGATGTCAAATCGTATCTATTGTATTCACTTACTTTTAGTTATTTATTATTTATATTAGTTTATTTTCATTATTCAATTGGTATATTTTCTAACTTTGAAAATTGTTTGGGTTTCTTTGGTTGAAATACATTACATCATAATAATTTCCATGAAAATTAATGTTTCTTTAAAAAATTAACCACTTTTCACTTATGACAGAGTGTTATTAAATTAACTTCAGTGAGGGAAAGCTGTGTTCTGAGATGGAAGGCCCATGAAGAGCCCAAATAATTGAATATAGTTGTCTGTTTCAAGTTGACTTGCTCTCTGCAACTCAAGATACAGTGACAACTTTTAAATAGCTATTTATATTGCTAATAATAGCCTGTGACAACCACAAAAATAACAGCAAAAGTTCTGCCTTCAAGGGCACCTCACATGATTACTTAGCGAGGCACAACTGAAGTAAACTTTATGTTTATCACAACCCGGGATAGAGGTAGAATGCCAAAAATTTGAAGATTTAGTTTTGGTAAAAATTATTTTTAGAAATGGGCTTTTATTCAGAATCTTCAAATCAATGCTCCCTTTCCTTTGTATTGCAATATATTTTCATAAATTCCTTGTTTTCTCCTTGGAATGCCTTTGAAGTATTCAGGATAAATATTTCTTAATATTCATGTTATATGGAATGTTCTTATCCCCGTCACTCTTTTCCTTTTGGATCTAAATTTGGAAAGCCCCAATGTGGTTCCCATCAGATATTTATCAGAAGCATATCTGCTGGACAGAGCTGGGGCTTTCTTTGGTCCCTGTGTTCTGTCAATGGAGGTCTGCAATTCTTTAGAGAATGTAGCTCCGGCAGATATTTATCTACTCCTCATAGTCAGTTTAAATGGGTTTCACAAAACTCAAATTATCCAGTGGTTTTACTGACCCTTTAGCATCAAGGGTCTCTTTTTTCCCGCTTGAACACTGTACCAGTAATATACTTCCTTTCATTTCAAATACCTGTTAGCCATTTGTATGTCTTCATTGGAGAAATGTCTATTCAAGTCATTAGTCTATGTTTGAATCATAATATTGTTGTTGTTGTTTTTTTTGCTGTTGAGTTGTAGGAGTTCCATATTTGTTTTGTAAATTAAATAATTATCTGATATATTGTTTGCCAATGTTATCTCTCATTTCATAGGTTGACATTTCACTCTGTTAACTGTTTTCTTTGCTGTACAGAAGCTTCTCAGTTTGATGTAGTCCCATTTATCTATCTTTGATTTTATTGCCTGTATCTTTTGTGTCATATGCACGAAATCATTGCCAAGACCAAAGTCAGAAAGCGATTCCCCTATGTTTTGTTCCAGGAGTTACACAATCTCAGGTCTTACATTTAAGTGTTTAGTCCATTCTCATTTATGTGTATGGTGTAAGATGAATCTAATTTCATTTTTTTTTTTTGAGATGGAGTATCGCTCTGTCACCCAGGATGGAGTGCAGTGGTGCAATCTCGGTTCACTGCAACCTCCGCCTCCCGGGTTCAAACGATTCTCCTACCTCAGCCTCCCGAGTAGCTGGGATTACAGGTGCCCACCACCATGCCTGGCTAATTTTTTTGTATTTTTAGTAGAGACAGGGTTTCACCATATTAGCCAGGATGGTCTCGATCTCCTGACCTCGTGATCCTCCCGCCTCAGCCTCCCAAAGTGTTGGGATTACAGGTGTGAGCCACCATGCCCGGCCTAATTTCATTCTTTTGTATGTCCAATTTTCCCAGCAGCATCTTTTGAAGAGACTCTCTTTTCCCCTTTGTGTATTTTTCATATTCTTGCCAAAGATCAGTTGATCATATTTATGTGGATTTACTTTTGGGCTTTCTAGTCTGTTCCATTTGGTCTATATGTCTGCCTTTATAATAGTGTCATTCTGTTTTAATTACTTTAGCTCTTAATACATTGTAAAATCAGGGACTATGGTGCTCCTAGCTTTGCGCTTCATGAGATATAACTTCTCATCTATTAGAATAGCTATTATCAAAAAAACAAAAGGCAACATGTATTGGCAAGGATGCAGGAAAATTGGAACCCTTGTTGACTGTTGGTGGAAATGCACAATGGCGCAGTCACTATGGAAAACAGTATGAAGATTTCTCAAAAAAGTAAAAGTAAAATTACCATACAATCCAGCAATTTCAGTTCTGGGTCTTTATCTGGAAGAATTGAAATCAGGATCTTGAAGCTGTATTAGCAGTCCAATGTTCATTGCAGCACTATTCATAATAGCAAGGGCATGAAAACAACCAGCATGTCTGTCAATAGATAAAGGGATAATGAAAAGGTGGTATATGCATATAATAGAATATTATTCCGCCATAAAAAATGAAATTCTGCAATTTGTCACAACATAGATAAACTGAGGACATTAGGCTAAGTGAAATAAACCAGTAACACAAGAATAAATACTGCATAATTCCACTTATATGAGTTATATAAAAAGTCAAATTTATATAATAAAAGTAAAATTGTTGTTACCAGGGGGAAAGGAGAAATGGGAAATTACTAATCAACTGGCATAAAGTCTCAATTATGCAAGTCGGGTAAGTTCTAGGGATCTGCTGTAAAATGTTATCCCTAGATTAATAATACTGCATTATACACTTAAAATTTAAGAGGGTAGATTTTGTGTTGAGTGAGATCTACTTAATCTATTATAAAAAAAACTAAAATAAAAATGCTCCCTATCACTCTTTTGCCTTTTCCTGCCACTAAAAGGTAGCACTTTACTTTTTTACTTTTCTCTTTGTCTCTCTTCTCTTCTGTCTCCTCCAACCCCCATCTTTATCTCTGTTCTTACATCTCTTTCTTATTTCTGCCATTACCTCTCACACTTCAAATCCCTAAGAGACAATCTTTCTGAGTTTGTCGTGGGCAGAGCTTTTATACCAGACTCCCTTGGGACTCTGGTGAGCCTACAGATAACTGATTTAGTTCATACACTGTTCCCTGACCTAATCTGTTATGCCAAAGAATCAGGATAAAATGATATGAAGCACTGCAACCCAAGAGTACGAACTGATTTCTGGGCTCTTGCTCTGAAGAAGGCTGTTGACTTAGCAAGAACTTAAGGGTTTTATTTTCAGAATAATCACACACACACACACATGCACACACACACACACAGACACACACACACAGTCTCTCTATCAGGATGTACTAATCCCCCAAAAGACTTCTTGTTTTGGTCACTTCTCAAAGAATTGCTAGGTTGCTGTGAGAAAACTGTATAACATTGTTCATCTTCATTTACTTCCTGATTTTTTTTGTACAGTAGAGACATGTTCTCTAAGTAGAGACGGAAATTATTATGTTATTAGGATTAGATAAAGAGCATGACTCTGACTCTGAGGATGATTTCTGTGTAGTTGAGGTATGCAAATATAATTTTAGGTCTAAGTTGCTCTTAAACCCCAAAGATGGGAAAGGTATTAAGGATGATTTACAAGTTTCTTTTATTCATTGGGAAAAAACAATGTTCTTCTGTCTATAAGGGTAGACTACATGTAGTCTAATAATTAATCTAGTTCCAATAATGATAAAAGCAAATTTCTTCAGATAACAATATTGTTATCTTACACTTCTATTACTAGATTTTTTTTATTTTGGAAATTTTTATAGATAGTGCAATGAGTATACTGATTAATTTCAAAAGTCCCTCTTAATCTTCTATCAGATACAGCCCGAAGTCTAGGCCCAAGTTTAAAAACTTAAATGATTTAGGGACCAAACAGGTAACATAAATAAAAGAAGCAAGCAGAATTTAATATGTGTATAGTAATGTGAAGCATCACCAAGCAGAAAACATATGCCATGCCTAAAATTATTCAAAATAAAATTTATATTTCTCAAAACCTGAGTGTGGCAAAATAAATACATTCATGAGCCACGTGGGACTTTTGGACTTCCAAATTATAACATCTGCTGCTTTTTTTATTTTCAATTAACTCACCTGGTAAGAGAAGAAGAAATAGCTAGATATGGTCCAGCATAGGACAGAATTTCTTAATGTTTATTTAATTTAAAAAGATCAGGCCATGTTTATGAAAAGAAAAATGTTACAAATTATAAAGGAGAAGAGGAATAATGAATTGAACCAGTGCCAAACCTAGAGGAGAACTTTGGAGATGGACATTTAACGTTATATAAATGGATTATTTTTTCCTGAGATTCAGTGAACATTTCATGTCTCAAGGCTGTTCAAAACTAATCTCAATGAGGCCTCCTATGATCAGGTAATTTACTATTGCAAGCACCTAACATTGCTGATCCCTGTAACCTTGCTCCATTTTTCTACTTAGCTTTTACGTTAATACTGACCCATGACACTAATATCATATATATAATAACATTTATCCATTATTATTGTGTAACAATTTATGTATGTCTTGTAGTCATTGCTTAATGTCCATTATCCTTGCTAGGATGTAAGTTACATGAGGGCAGACATCTTCATTAGTTTTAGCTTCTGATATATCCTAAGGTCCTAGAAATAGACCTTGAAACATGACAGGTGCTCAGTAAAGATTTCTCAAGTGAATGAAGAAAATGTAACTAAACATAGGTATGAATAATTATTGGTAACAAATACATTTACTATTGAGTGACTTCATATTCTTGCCAAATAGGAAGGAAGGTAATCTGCTCAAAGATAAGGAACTGAAGTACTACCAGGATCTTTGAGTAGAATGCTGAAGTTACTAATACCTTAAGAACTAAAACCATCAACAGAAAATCTTCTGCTCTGCTCCACTGAAACTCTTTCTGAAGCTGAACACTAATTTTGCAATGACCAGCTTGATTCTGTGATTTTCCTCTAGCAGTACCCTGGCAAAAAAATCATGTGCTTAAATTGAACTAAAGTAGTGGATTAGTGGATTGGAAGTGGTCCAAAACCATGGAATTCTAACAATGATTCAAGCTCTTATACATTGCAGAGTCTACAGATGGAAGTAATGGCAATGTAAGACATTAGCCTGGAAGAAAATTAGGGCTTTCTTAAGCACAGAGAGATATCACAGAGGCAGCAAGCAAGTATACCTGGAAAAAGGCATGGGAACACTGTGGTTAGAGTAGCCTTTGGTAAAAGCAAGTTTTAAGAAAGCTTAGATCTGTTTAGATCATTGCTGTATGATGTACTCAGAGGTACTTGGCACAGAGTAGATGCTTAATGCATTCTTGTGGGATGAATGGTGAGGTCCAAATTGTGATCATGAGAGTAGGTTCCTATGAAGGAGGACAAGTAATATAAATATAATTATATGTAATATATATTATATAATAGGGTTCCATTCCATTAAAAGAAATGAAATAATGTCTTTTGCAAAAACTTGGATGTTAGACAAGTTATACATATATATATATATATATATATTTTTTTTTTTTTGATGGAATGTCACTCTGTCACCCAGTCTGGAGTCCAGTGGTATGATCTCAGCTCACTGCTGCTACCTCTGCCACCCAGGTTCAAGCAATTCTTCTGACTCAGCCTCCTGAATAGCTGTGATTACAAGCATCTGCCACCGCACCCAGCTAATTTTTGTAGTTTTTAGTAGAGACGGAGTTTCATCATCTTGGCCAGGCTGGTCTTGAACTCCTGACCTCATGATCCATCCACCTCAGCCTCCCAAAGTGCTGGGATTACAGGGGTGCACCACTGCACCTGGCTGAGGACAAGTAATATTTGTGTGATAAGAGGTAGAAGAGTATCTGTAATCAGATTGCAGAATAATTTACACCCAACCTTAGATGAATCTGTGATGATGTGGGAATAAAAACAGGCACAACAATGAGGGCCCATTGTTAAAGACCTTGAATAGCAAGAACATATGGCCAGAAGGTAGGTTGATTAGAAGTTAGAATAATATAATCTTGAAAGAAAACAGTTTTCTACGTGAAATTTCTCCATGAAATGATCTTGAAGTGACAAAAGCCTGTTTGGTGCATATTAATTTTGTCTACAACACCTGAAATACAAGATTATGGCTGATACATCAAATTCTTGTTCAAAAGTTACAGCAGGAAAAAGTCAAATTTTATTTAAGGCAAAGGAGTAGAAGTAGCATTCTGTGAACAATTTGAAGTATAAGACTGATTTCCAATGGAACAATTTCTCTAGATGGGGAGAGGAAAAGAACTGAGAGGCTGAGGAGGGGATAAGAGGAAATTATGTTTTTGTTGCATTTGCTTTTGGGGTCTTAGTCATGAATTCTTCACCTAGGCCAATATCTAAAATAGTTTTTCCTCTGTTGTCTTCTAGAATTTTTATAGTTGCATGTGTTATACTTAAGTCTTTGATTCGTCGTGAGTTGATTTTTGTAGAAGGTGAGAGATAAGGATTCAGTTTCATTCTTCTCCATGTGGCTTGCCAGTTTTCCCAGCACCATGTATTAAATAAGGTGTCTGTTCCGTTAAGGGGAATGAAATAATGTCTTTTGCAACAACTTGGTTGGAGCTGGAGGCCATTATTCTAAGTGAAGTAATACAGGAGTGGAAAACCAAAAACCGTATGTTCTCACTTATAAGTGGGATCTGAGCTATGGGTACACAAAGGCATACAGAGTGATATAATAGACTTTAGGGACTCAGAGGGGGAAGGGTGAGAGATGGGCTAGTAATAAAAAAAACTATACATTAGGTACAATGTACACTACTCGGATAATGTGTACACTAAAATTTCAGAATTCAAGGCTGTATAATTGATCCATGTAACAAAAAAACCACTTATACCCCCAAAGCTATTAAAATAAAACATAAATAAATGCATACATACATAAAAGATGAAATTGTGGGGGGAGATTAAATTCTTTTGATGATAAACTGTAAAGGAGACTGGACAATAATAACATACCAGTATCCCTGGAAAAGTATTAAGAAGCTTTTCTTATAAGAAAAGTGCCCAGTGTTTTGAGAGAATTCAAACTGTATTTTAGTGGCATTAGCATTTATTATTTGTAACTAAAACAAAGGTACTGTTATGCTCTGAGTATATCACTATAATTCACATCTATTTATTGAGCATCAGTATAAATACTCTATTGCATTATCAAAATTAATTCTTATCCTATGAGATGGCTATTATTATCCACAGACTGGAGCTTAGGGAGGAAGAGTAACTTGCCGGAAGTGACAGATATCAAATGGATGAATTGGGACTTAACAAGGAAGTTTGAATTCAGAGCCCTCATTTTTAACCACAGATACATCTACCATGCTTGAAATTCCAAGGTTCTTTAACTCTTAATATGAAATAGGTTTTCCTTCTTAATTTAGTTCCAGGTTTTCAGGGTACTAGAATATACGTTCCGAGTGCTTACTGCTAGCCTCCCTGAGGAACATAAACATGAAACTGGAAGCTAATAATCAACTTTGAAAACTTTCACTGAGGCTACTACATACTGTTATTTTAAAATAGAAACCCTAAATCATTTGAAATTTCTGTGGTGCAAATATATTTTTTAAAAAAACTTCTCTGAAAACAGTGGACATGTTCTAATTTGTTGTATTGGGTATTGGGAAAGGGAGTAAAGAGGAGAACTGACCTTTGTATGCCTACTATGTATTTCAGACACAGGATTCATAAGACTAATCTAATTAAATCCTCATAAAAATTGTGTGAGATGTATATTTAAATGAGGAAACAGGTTCAGAAAGGTTATGGCCATAAATTTATCAAGTCATAGAACTGGGTTTTCTTTTTTTTTAATCAAGTGCAGAATATTTGAAAACCTCCATTTTCTTCCACTACTCTATGCTTCCCTGAAGGAATGTGACCCTATTGGTAGAATTTAGCCCTGTACTCATATTTTATGGTAAACTACATAACTAAAAAGGCATCTGATTAAATATAGGGTTGTCATATGGTTTTAATACACACAGTAGATTAAAATAAGATTTGTTTGCCTCTCTAAAAAAAAGAAATATATGAGTAGTTTATTGATAACATCCAATGTATTCTTTCACATTATATTATGATTTCACTAAAATATTTTTGACCCAAAATGAAAAAAAACAGCAACAATAATTAGTATTTATTGAGCATTTATTGTGTGCCCAGTGCTATGCTAAGCACGTTAAATGTACATTAAATTAATCATCACCTGTCTACCAGGTCCTCTGTATACTGGTTGCTAATAGACTTGCCAGCTTCTTTCAGCAATTTTTCTCTCAGTGGCTCCCCAAGGCTGATGCAGATTGTTGATACTCTGGCCTCAAGGAACATACACCAGATCTAAGAAATTAAACATTCCAGGAGTGGGGCCTAAAAGTGTTCAAATTTTTTTTTTTTTTTTTGAGATGGAAGTTCACACTGTCACCCAGGCCGGAATGCAGTGGCGCAATCTCAGCTCACTGCAACCTCCACCTCCCAGGTTCAAATGATTCTCCTGCTTCAGCCTCCTGAATAGCTGGGATTACAGGTGCCCACCACCACGCCTGGCTAATTTTTGTATTTTTAGTAGAAACAGGGTTTTACCATGTTTGCAAGGCTGGTCTCAAACTCCTGGCCTCAAGAGATCTGCTTGCTTCAGCCTCCCAAAGTTCTAGGATTACAGGCGTGAGCCACAGTGCCGGCCAAAAGTGTTCATTAAAAATAAGCTTCGTTAACAAGTGAAAAGATCATGACAGTACATATCTTACTGATTTAACATGTAGTCTGATGCATTAATCAGCCCATAAATTACTCATGATTCTAAAAAATACATCTACACTGGTATGTGATGTATAAGTTGAATATTGAATATGTTTAGTAAATCTTTAGTAGTAGATTTTAATTTTCTAAAATATTGATCCAATCTCAGAAATGAAAATTATGTCCAGGGCACCCACCTCTCAAAGAGAGTGTGACTAGAGTTCTTTTTTCATGTTTGGTGATAACATCCATATCTGTTACATTTGGTCAACGGAAGATTTTTCATACCTAGTCCAATTTACAGCACTCAGAATATGGTATAGCAAATTTATAGATGGATCTCACTTCTCTAGATATAAGGGTGTTTTAGTCTATATATTTAAGTCTATTGTACTGTATTTATTGAGTATAGGAAATAAAGTATATGCCAGTCAGGTTGCTGAAATCCCTGGTGACATTGATTTGCAATTATATTCATTCCTTTGTATCTTAGGAGTAATTTAAAATATTAGTTGTCCAAATTATAGGTCTAGAAAGTATATGTCCTGAAATACATACTTATGTGAAGTAAGTATGTGAACTCAAATACAAAGCCACATTACAATACTATTGTAACTTCTTTTCTACAATATGACATTTTTTGATGTGCTGGAATACTTTTACTCAAAATTGGTTGTTTAAGGTACTCAAGATACACAACACATAAACTTTATTGATATTTATGTGCAGGATTGGACTTAACTACTGCAGGCTCACACCATGTAATTTGAAGAATACCCAGCGTTATGTTTTTTTCTTTAAAATAGCTCTCCTGCTGACCCTACCTCAGTACATACAATTAAATTTCACTCTTAATCAACGCCTTGAACATGACTGATAAAAGACACATGTTACCTGTGAAGCATCAAGCACTATCTTCACATTGGAGTTCAACTCTGTTTGATTACTTTTGAGTCACATGCTAAGACCCTATACTGACCTAAATTACAGGGCTCAGAGAATTGGGATAGGTGATATAAATGGAATAAAAAATAAAAATAAAATTTCACTATCTTTCCAACTTTAGGATATAATACAGACACACACACACACACACACACACATATACATTTTCACTCTTCTAAAATCTGCTTTATCCTCTAGAAAATATCTTTAAATAATTGCTTCATTCTTCTTTCCATATTACTTTGATTTCAATAAACTACTATGCAGAGTATAATAGTGAAGTGAATATTTAGATTAAATGCATTTAAATGATTCTTAGTTTTAGTTATAAAGAAATGTCTGAACTATGTTCTCCATGGTGGGCAAAGCTTCTGAAAATCCCAGTCCCTGAGGAATGCTCATGGTAAATACCTGATCTGAATAGTTTAATTTTGTGTTATAGCTTATTGTTGTGCCAAATTAAAGAAAGAGTTGACTGTAATCCTTTTATTATTTTCTGCCCAGGCTTATAAAATGACAGTTTAGCTGCTTTTGTTTCCCAATAATACATGGTGATGTCAGCATATAAATGTTCCATGCATTTTTGAATAAGACCCAACATTCAATAAACAAACCACAATCAAAGTTTGTACGTTGTTTCATAAAGAGGGGAAGGAAGAGTTTACTGTGCTGTATTGTTGCACGATTGTTTTATGGATGAAAAAAGGGAAATGCAGTAATTATGTGTCAGACAAGCCTATGTTTAATTTTATAGTCCTTTTTGAACTTGTAAAGAGTAGTGTATACAGGTATCATAAACTCTTGATCTAGTATCAGAATTGTGCAGAGGTATTTTGTGTTCAAGAAAGGACCATCTTTAGGGAGGGGCAAGGTGAGATGTCATTAGAATCTTCCTTACCGTTTTCAACACCTTCACATTTAGTTACCATTTTCGTTTGAATGCTTCCTACTTCCTTTCGATGACGCCTTCCTAAAATCTCATCAACCAAATGAGTTTTATCCTAGGCTCAGCAGCAAAGGAAAAGAAAATGCTTCATGCATTTATTCATTTTTTCATTCAGATCCCATTCATTGAATATCTGCCATGTGCCAGATGCTGAGAACACCATGATTAACAAGGCATGTGTTTGCACTTAGGAGCTCTCAGTCTGTTGCAAAGAAACAGACAAGAAAACCAAAGATGACAATGCAGTATGATAAGAACCATAATAGAGACATACACAAATCTTGGCTTAACTAATAGCCTGATGAGTTGGACGGGTGGAGTGAGGTGGGGGTAAATGTATTTCTAGGAAGGCCTCCAGGAGGAAGTGAAGCAAGAGCAATCCTGAAGAAAAAGCACAAGGTGATCAGTAAGGTGGAGGGAAAATGTTCCAAACAGGGAGATCAGAAAATGGAAAGAAACAGAGCCATGAAAAAGCATGGTATATTCAGGGACATGAAGTAGTTTAGGTTGGCTGATGTAGGGTGCTTTAGAGGAACATGGGTAGATATAAGACTGAAGACAAAGCACAGACTGGGTGACGAAGGGGCTTCTATATGTTGCTAAAGACTTTAAATATCATATAAAGGGCTATAGGGAACCATGGAAAGATCTTAAGCAGAGAAAGTGGGTGTTGGTTTTTAGAAAGCTTACTCTAGAATAAAAGTGGAGAATGGAGAGAAGGTCATATTGGAGACAGAGTTCTCAGTCAGAAATTCATAATAAATGGTGAGATTCTATTCTGAAGCAGTAACACTGGACATGTGAAACAGAGGACAAAATACCTGAGATATCTAGTTAAACAGTACCTTGTTACTAACTGATGTGGAGACAAGCAGGGAGAGAACGTTTTCTAGGATATGGCCCTATTTTTCTTTTGAACTTTTACTGGCAAGAAAATTATATCAGGAAAAACAGATTTGTTGAAAACTGCAGATGGGATAGATGGAGTTCAACATTGCACATGTTGACTGAGCTTCAGGACATTCTGGCCAATGGCTATGAATATAAAGAAGAGAAAAGCCCACTAGGTAAGAACACAGATTGTGAACTTAAATTTCCTGGGTTTGAGATTTAGATTTGCTATTTATTAGCTAGGGGGATACTAGGAAAAGTACTTACCCTTTGTAAGCCTCAATTTCACTGAGAGAATTGCTATAAATATTAAATTTAATATTTCATAGAAAATGCATGCCAGTGCTCAACAGATTTTGCTCTTGTTATCATTATTAGCATTAAATAAGCAGTATTATTTATGTCTTATACTCAAGAGAATAAGTGGACTAGAGAGTTGGATTTAGAGCTATGGATTTGAGAGTCGTCAGCATGTTAGTTGTTCTTATTTACTCTCTCATTTATACCACAGTAATTGCTGTATAACAACCCCCAAATTCACCAGCCTTTGGATTAGCTGGACATCTCTTCTCTTCTTAACTGGGTTCAATTTTGTTTCTTCAGTCAGTTGTGGGTTGCTGATTTGGGGCTGGACTCTCTCATATATTGGAACATTGGCTGGCTATTGGCTGGTTTAGAAAAGCCTCAGCTATTTTTTCAAATGTGTCTCAAATGCCTGCAATTTGTTCCAGTATGTGCTTATTCATGGAAGGGCAGAGGTATAAAAGCAGATAAGCCTAATTATGTATAAAAATAAATGCACATGTTTATCAAGCCTCTGCTTGCACAATGGTTGTTAACGTCCTTTTAGCCATAAGAATTCACATGTTTGATTTCAGTCATACTGGAGTAGACTACAGAATTAGAGGGCAAAGGGATACAGATATGGGGTAGGGGACATAAGTGAGACCATTATGTGCACAATTTACCCCTGTATTTATTGACCCAGAACTACAAAAATCACATTCTGACCATAAAATAAAATTAGATTTTTTGTCTTTCATAAACACGACTCTTTCTATTACATGGTATCTTCTACCCCATCTCAACCTGATTATTGTGTGTTGTTGCCCTTTTCTGTGTTACTGTAGAAGATTCCTAAATCAGATTTCTACAGAGAGCCACTTTAAGACCCACTTTATGAGAGGTAACACTCAAAACAGTGTTTTGATAAAAACCATGCCTAACATGGAATCATTTGTTCCATAAATATTTATTGAAAATGTGTGATCTTCTAAAAGATCTAAGAATAGTGCTGAACAAGAGAAACATGTTTACCTCAGAAATTTACATTCTAGTAGGGCAATAGGCAATGAACAAGTAACAAAACAAGTCATATTTTAAAAGTATTAATAAAAACTTCAGCTGAATTAAATTTAAAGAAGTTTAATGGAACAATGAACAATTTGCAAAATTGGGGAACCCCAGAATCACAGCAGGTTCACAGAGACTCCAGCACAGCCATGTGTTGGAAAAAGATTTATAAACAAAAAAGGGGAAATGACTTACAGAAATTGGAAGTGAGGTACAGAACAGCTGGATTGGTTACAGCTCAGTGTTTGCCTTATTTGAATCCTTTCATGACTTACACAGACCATTGATGACATCTTTGGACTTTTTGACTTGTCCTAAAGATCCCTCTTTTTAAACAACCACTCATTTTACTTTAGGACAAGGACAAGAATTTACCATTCAATATTCTTTCTTACATAAAATTTCTTTTCTTTATAACCTCCTTTGCATAGCTAGGGGACATGACTAATTTCACATATCCCCAGGTCTTATTTAGAATTTAATGTCTCCAAAATAAATTGAACAATTTTCAAAAGTTAAAGCAGTTTATGGCCTTAAAGCATTAAGCAAACCTAATATCTGACCTGCATAATTTAGACTAAATGTCTTTATCTTATCAATATTTTTTTTTAGATAAAGTTTCACTCCTGTTGCCCAGGCTGGAGTGCAGTGTCACAATCTCAGCTCACTGCAACCTCCACCTCCCAGGTTCAAGCAATTCTCCTGCCTCGGCCTCCCAAGTAGCTGGGACTACAGGTACCTGCCACCACGCCTGGCTAATTTTTGTATTTTTACTAGAGACAGGGTTTCACCATATTGACCAGGCTGGTCTTGAACTCCTGACCTTATGGTCTGCCTTCCTCCATCCCCCAAAGTGCTGGCATTACAGGTGTGAGCCACCGTGCCTGGCTAATTAAGCTGGCTTTTAACCATAGCACTCTTTAATAAAGTCCTTTTAAAATTTCTTATTACCTGACTTTAGCCAGGCCAAATGGCCAATATTTCTGGCTTTTAAACTATATCAAAGGTAGCCTCACAGGTGCTCTGAGAAAAGAAAATTCAAGACAGTTCACGGAGGGGAAGACAATTGAAAAATGGCAAAGCCTACCCAAATATCAATCAGAAAGGCTTATCCCCTAAGCTGGGGACTGAACCCTTAACCTGGGCCACCATTGTGAAAAGAGAAATCAAGGCCACATGGTTATAAGATCAAGCTCCCAAGGACATAACTGACCAGTTCCCTGGGCCATCTTGAACAGCAGGCTTATGGGGTTTTAGGCACACATTTTATCCTAAGGTACCCCTCTTTATGACAGAACAATACTGAAAGACACACAAAGCACACCAGAGTCACTATAGCTTAAGAACAGCCTCAGAACTCTTTCTCGTATTAATAACAGTGATTTTTACCATTCATTTAACCAGTTTGCACAGAGAAAAAGAGGGAGAAAAGCCAGAAATATGACTGGGAAGAATTCCTTCCCTTTTGCTGGCATGCTAAGTTCTGGGTTTTCTTTCCCTGAGTGGCCCTGGTGACCAGGTTTGCCTCACCATTGCCTTGGGGGCCAAACCACACCGTAAAGGAAAATTATCCTTTTCTGTTCTGACCAGAGCAAAATACGTGTGATAAAACATAGACATTAGCCACTTTGATTAGCACCCAGTATCAAACTGGCAAGGCTTAAATTTGCCCTCAGATGAGCCCTGTCATCTTTAATCCAACCTCTGACTAGGAGTTTCAACATGTGGTCTCTGGGAAAGATTGTTGCCCTAGTAACAGGAAAGATAGGAAAGGAAAAGCAGAGAAAGAAAAGCATTGCCTGTGGCAGGGTGGGGAAGGTGAAGAGCCCAGGGAGGCCAGAGCAAGACCCATTTATTGCAGCGACACTGCAAAGTTCAGGCATCCTCTTCTAAGTAGCAAAGGGATTTTTTCTAGCAGTCCCATCAGCTCTCAGGTTTACCCTTTTGAAGAGGAAAAAAGCTCCCCATGTCCCATGGTACTGTACATGCCTAATCCTGTCACCCATAGCCATCAGCAAAAAGCTTTAAGACAGATTAATCCAAAGAGAATAGCAGTTAACATCCCATAGTGACAAACCTGTTCTTAGGTGAAAGGGACTTTACTGAGAGTCCTCATTTTTAAAGGTACTTCAATATGTTGTTTATTTTGAATGTTCCACTGTAAATTATCTTTTGTAAGATTTTGCCATTTCTGTAAGACTTTACTGCTCCCAGGCCTGATGTATAACCCAGAAAGGACTCAGTTTTCCAGAAATTAAGGATTCTATTTTTACATTTTTACCTAAAATATTGGCTTTAATCTCGGGTTTTCTTGATTAACTTAGCCAATGATTTTTTTTTCCTGCTTAAGCATGCAAGAAAAATGAAACAAAGGGGTAGAACACAAAAATCCCTGTGAATTTTCAAAGGCCGAATTTTGTAAGTCCTGCAATATTACTTCTTACTACCAGTTTCCTTCTGACTCAGTCAGATGTTAAGAGGCCTCCAATTGAATCCTAGCCTGTTAATTCCCCAGATCAAATCCATTCCTGGCCTCAGCCCAGTTTCTATCACGATTTCCAAACCGGATTGGATCAGATATTTGCTCAAAGAAACTTAGAAAGCTCAAAACACAAATCTGTGGAGCTCCAAAATCCAAGAGAGAGCTTAGCCCTGATCCCCAGCTGCTCCTAGAGATCAATAGACACAAGTGGGTCCTGCAGGTACCTTGCTTGTTCACTCAGTGCTCCTGGGGATCACTAGAAGCTCTACTTCAGATCCCAATTCTGACACCATCTGATAAAAGAAAAACTTCAGCTGAGTTAAATTTAAGGAAGTTTAATTGAGCAGTGAATGTTTTGTGAATCAGGAAGCCCCCAGAATCACAGCAGATTCACAGGACTCCAGCATAGCCACATGGTGGAAGATTTATAGACCAAAAAAGAAAAAGAAAGGAAATGACCTACAGAAATTGGAAGTGAGGTACAGAATGGCTGGATTAGTTACAGCTTTGCCTTTGCCTTGTTTGAACATAGTTTGAACACTCAGTAGTGTATGACTGGTTGAAGTACATCTGCTGGGATTGGCCAAGATTCTGCTGTTTTTGCAGATACATACTTGTAAGTTAGGTTTTCAATGTTGTCTACCTATTAAGCTAGGTTGCAGTTTGTCCACAAAGACTCAAATATAGAAGTAATGAGTTCTTCTCAGGTCACGTTTAGTTCACTTTAACAGTATGATAGAGTGTATGAGAAACATAAGACAGAGCAAGTTCAAAGAGAATAAGTTGGAATTATAGAAATATTGAATGGGGTGGTTAGGAAAGGCTTCCCAATCAAGTTATCTTTTGAGCTCAGCCATGAAGAAATCTGAAGTGAGAGTACTCCAGGTGGAAGAAGTAAAAAGTGCTGAAGGCTTGAGATGGAAACAAGCTAGTTCATTAGTATATCAGAAGATGTGTCATACTCCTGAAACATAATAAATGAGTAAAATGAGATGAGAAGGAACCAGAACTTGGGGTCTTGCATGCCATGGTAGCATTTAGAGTTCATTCCAAATACAAAGTGAAGCATTGGAGGGTTTTAAGCAGGACAGAGACATGCTGTGATTATTGAGCAGTGGAGCTCTTTGGGACAGTCTAATGTCTTCAGGCCCAGAATCTCTCATCTGCCTGGAGCAGAGGATATTTTCTGTCTTCTACAGATAAACACTGTTGATATCATAATTTTCCAGTCACTGACAGATTATAGTTTCTCTAAATAAACTATTCAGACAAATTAAGGTATTACCACTATCTCCATTACTTTTCACAATTTCATACCTTTTCTTCGTATCTCTTCCTCCTGAAAAGCTCTAAGGTATTTGTCTTTCATCCATCACCTAAAGAGTGTGAATCTATTTACCTGGGTCATAGGAAATAGGAGGACATGGGATGGCTTTCTAGCTGATGTATAGCCAGTTCACTGCCAGCCCTTTCTGCTAGTGTCCTCCCTGCAACTCTATCTTTTAGTATACTTGAAAAGCACTGTACCCCACAAGAACCCCCTCCAGAGTTCCCTGCTGTTGGAAAATCTAGGAGGCATGTCCTTTATTCAGCTATCCCTCCTTCAGCAATAGGTCTACTCTTTATTCTCGGCTGATAAGATCCTTTGGTCCCAGTCAGTGGTTTCTTGATGCAGGCTGGGATGACTTGCAAATTTGCTAATATCCATGGCCTACTCTAGCTCACTGGAAACTGAGGATTTCCTGTAAAACAACAGCTGCTTTACAAGAAACTGGAGGCAAGTTTTATCTCATGTAGTTTAGCTGTAATGTTGTGTCTTCCTTCCATGTGTGTGTCCCATACTTCAGCAGCCTCCTTTGTGCTCAGTGAACTATAATGGCAAAACTACCTTTGGTCCTTATGTTTAGAACCATTCCCTGACCCCAATTTCAGAAAAATTTTCTGGTGGTTGAGAGAATATTTTCAAGGGAAGATTCATGTATGAATCAGACATCCCAATGAAAAGAAGCCCCATGAATGTAAAAATAAAAATGCCAACAACGTGACTTGCCGCCTATGGTCTGAATGTTTGCGCTCACCACCACTCAGTTCTTATGTTGATAGCTAATCCCCAGTGTAAAAGTATTAAGAGGTGGGGCCTTTGGGAGGTGGGGTCATGAGATCAAAGCCTTTATGAATGGGGTTACAGTCCTACAAAAACAAGCTCAAGGGAGCTTGTGTGCCCTTCCACCGAGTGCGAAGAGGTAGAAGGCACCATCTATGAAGCAGAGAGCTAGCACTCAGCAGACATTTAATCTGTTGGTGCCTTGATCTTGGACTTCCCAATGGCAAGACTGAGAAATAAATATTTGTTGTTTATAAATTACCCAGTCCTAAGTATTTTGTTATGGCAATCTGAATGAACTGAGACACCTCCCCCAACAGAAAATGCAAAAAATTCTAATGCACCAAAAAGACTAATTTCTCCTAGAAAACCCCTCTCTTTCTTCCAAATTCTTTTAATCATCTTCTCCTGCAGGTGGGTGAGGATCAATGCATTATATTTGTCTTGTTTCATCAATTGTCCCTGTCTTAACGCAGAGAATAACTAAATACACCTGAGCCATTTATATTCCACTTTCAGTTAAAACTGACTTGGGATTGTCAGAAGAAAAGGAATGGTGGCATGGATCTACTGCCACAGATAAATATTTTATTTGTCAATCAATTACCTATGATATATAAAGGGCACCTCTTTATGCTACATAAAGAGGAGCTTAGAGAAGAAAGAGGCAGGTTGTGGCTATGTAGAAGCTGAAACAAAGAAATTAGGAGGCCATTTTGCAGAATCAAGTAAGACAATAAATTGGACTAATTAAAACTACCTTGTATTTTCTTCCACAGAGGGACTACCAGAGAAATAGGTACTTGTAGATACTGAATGTTTCTTCTTTGTTCATTTATCACTTTTGAGGAGACATGGCTGTTCTCTAAGCCTTGAGTGTATTAGTCTATTCTCATGCGGCAATTAAAGACATGCCTGAGACTGGGTAATTTATACAGGAAAGTGGTTTAATTGATTCATAGTTCAGCATGGCTGTGGAGGCCTCAGGACACCTATAGTCACAGCAGAAGAAGAAGCAAACACATCCTTCCTCAAATGGCAGCAGCGAGAAGAAGAATGAGAGCAGAGCAAAGGGGGAAGCTCCTTATAAAACCATCAGATCTTGTGAGAACTCACTCACTCTCATGAGAGCAACATGAGGATAACCACCCCCATGATTAAATTACCTCACACAGGGCCCCTCCCACCACATGTGGGGATTATGGGAATTACAATTCAAGAAGAGATTTGGGTGGGGACACAGCTAAATCATATCATTGGGTATACCCTGAGAAAAAAGAACAAGGAACCTGTGCTGGAAAAAGTTATATTGAAAACAGCATTTTAGAGGTATTAACTTTATTTTGGAGTTATACAAGCTAGTATAAATACTAACATGAAATTGTTTTAAGCAAAGCATTTCTCCACAGGCCTTTGAAATGTCTGACTAGGCACTTAATGGTTGAATTTTATTATTGGTTTAAATAAGGTATAAACCCTGAAAGAAAACTGCAGGAAATCTAGAATCTGGGATATAAATATGTAAGCAATAGCTAGCTAGTTTGCAACTTTAAGTAGATGGATTTGACACACTGCTAGAGTCTGAATGTGTATGTCCACACATCAAATTCATATGTTGAAATCTTAACCTCCAAGGCAATAATCTTAGGAGGTGGAGCCTTTGGAGGGGATTAGGTCACCAGCATGAAACACTTCAAAATGGGTTTAGTGCCCCCGTAAAAGAGACCTCAAAGAGACCACTTCCCCCATCTGACTTGTGAGGTTACATTGAGAAGACAGTGGCCATTAAGGAAGCAGGTCCTCAGACACTAAATCCACTGGCACATTGATCTTGAACTTCCCAGCCTCCAGAACTCTGGACAATAAATTACTACTGTTTCTTAGCTACTCAGTCTATGGTATTTTGTTATAGCAGCCTGAATGGACTAAGACACACTTTAATTTTGAAGTTTTAAAAATCTGATCGTGTGTCCTTTAGGAAAAGCTGTATAGACATTACTTAACAATTTCAGTTGATTTTTTATTAAAATGGAAAAAATGGATGGTAATATTGTCTCCATTTTAATAACTTCAAAATATACATTATTTAATTTTAGGAGGTAAGGTCACAAAATAATAAAATAGAAACTCCTCTACCTTCATTAAAATGAGTAGAAAATATTATTTTATCTTGAATAGTTGTGTTATGTCAATAGCTTAAAAGTTTTAGTGCCAAATTCTTTTTTCTTTGGTATACATGTCCAGTGAGTAATGAATTTAGAATCAAACCTTATTGCACACACATGCTCACACATATACGCACATACTCATGCATGTACACACCCTAAAAACCCTGACAGGGCCCTTAGGATCAGGACAATAACCTGTTATATACATTTCTATAATACAAATTTGTCAGTTTGACAAGTTTTTTCCCTTATTAAGTCTCACTCTCATTTGTATGTTAGTCTTTTCTTATAAAAATACACAGCAGTTTAGAATGGCACAAGTGCAGAGTAGAGCTGATAGTGTGATTGATCATAGCTGAGCTGAATTAAGAAACTAGAATTACAGAAATTTGCTTTGATTAAGCTGGGGCTAGAGATCTTAGTGCTTTACCTACATGGCCTCTTGCTTTCATTCTTTTGAGAGACTCTGTTCCAAGTATTGTACTTTTCCTGCAGGGTATAAGTGACGGTAGTGAAAGTGCAGGGGTGGCAGTCAACAACAACGCAGACTTGATGGGTGGATGGGCATGTATGTCTACCTGATTGCTATACCTTCACCGTGCTTAAACACCACTACACCTTGCTTCCCATTAGTCTGCAATATATACATATTTTGCTAGATATGGCTTGGAAGAATAAAATAACTGGTCATTGTTCATATCACTTTCACAGAAACAGTCCCTCTAGAACCTTACAACTCAGAGTGTGGTCCACAGAAGGAAAACATCAACCTGACCTGGGAACTATTTAGGAAGGCAAAATCTCAGGCCCTGCCTCCAACCTACTGAATCAGAATCTTCATCTTACTAAGATGCTTAGGTGATTTTATTGTATACTAACATTTTAAAACCTGTGCTCTAAAACAGTGGTTCTCAACAATGGTTATGCATTAGAAACTTCTAGGGCACTTTAGAAAACATATTAGAACCAGTGCCCTTCCTCAGATGAATTAATATGAATAAGAAGGCTGGACTCCGGGAATCAGCCTTCGTGACATAATAGGAAATATATATTTGATCTCTGTCCCTAATTCCTAGCAAAGAGTTTCTAAAACTCACATAACTTTGAGTGATGAGGTGAGAGGAATGTATTTTGTTATAATATTCAGTCATACTCCTCAGCTAGGGGTATCTTTCTTTATAATATTTGGTCTTATTCACTGGTTCCTGACACAAGATCTTCTAAGATTTTGGAATCTCTCGAGTGTTAAGAGTATGTCTTTTTGTGTGCTAATGAGATGACTGGTGGCCAGAGGTCCCTGGATAATTTTAGGATAGAACTAGTCACCAGAAAGTGTACAATCTTAGACTATTTAGCCTTGTTCCCCATCCTCTGGGGAGTGGAGAGTGGCTAGAGATGGAGTTAATAATCGATGATGCCTATGTGATTAAGGCTCTATACAAATCCCTAAACTAAAAGGTTTGGAGAGCTTCTGGGGTGGTGAACACAGGGAGGTGCCAGGAGGGTGAAGACAGGGAATAGAATTCCACACCCCTTCCCACATACCTCACTCTATGTACCTGTTCATCTGGCTGTTCATCTGTGTCCTTTGTAATATATTTCATAATAATAGTGAAATAAGTAAATGCTTCTCTGAGTTCTGTGAACCATTACAGCAAGTTATCAAACATAATATGGAGGTTGTGGGGATCCCCAGCTTATAGCCAGTTGGTTAGAAATACAGGTGACAACCTGGGCCTTGCAAATGGTGTCTGAAGTGGAGGCAGTCTTGTAAATGGAGCCACTAATCTGTGTGTCTATACTAACTCTCAGTAGTTAGGATCACAATTAAGTTGTAGGACACCCCGCTGGTGTCTGCAGAAAAGTGGAGAATTACTTGGTGTGGAAAACCCACAAATCTGGTGTCAGAAGGGAAGTGTAACTAGATAAATAGTTGTGTTTTAACATTAGAAAAAAATGTTTCCCTGGTGATTTTAAGTTCTCTAAGTTATGAATCACTGGAGGGCTTAAAACCGGGGAGTGTCAACATTGATTCCAGCTACCTTATATGTTATATTCCATCTGTGCCAACTGATATAATATGAGAACAAGAACAAAGGAAGTCTAGTAGGGTAACTAGACTGAACTTACTGGGTCAATCAATCTTCTGCCTGGAAGAGTAGCTGGCTCTGTCACCCATGCCAACCAAGGCTCTCTGAATTAAGAGCCAAAAGTTGTAGACTGGAGGTTAGATAGAACTCAATGACTCCACATGATTTGACATGGAACTCTATAGTTACAATATTCGTGTGACATATTTTTTTCTGAGGCTGCATTTCGGCAGAGAGAAGATTATGTAGAAAGAATCTATGAGGCACAGAGGTGCAGCAACAGTTCTAGAAGCTCAAAGTTACTCTTGTAATTACTACTCTTAGGGTGGTACGCTCCTAATCTAAAATAACCTAATTGTTTTCTAAACTCTGAATTATGGGATACAGTCTCCCAGATTTGCCTAAACTATTTTCTTTGCTACACATGAAACTGAAGAATGTATGGTCTGGACAATCTACATCAGAAAACAGGGAAAGACATTTTTTTCTTGACTGTACATCTTGTTTCCTTGTCCCTTTTTCTTTTGATCAGCTTGAATACCTGTAATATCAAACTTGTGCTGACTTCCAGAAGGCAGGCAATCTCAATTCAGAATGACATTTCTGCCAGACATTTTAAATAAAGTATATGATTCAATTCTCCAGAGAAACAGACCAAATAGGATATATGTAGATATACAGGAAGATTTATTGTGATTTACTGTAAGGGGTTGGTTCATGCAATTATGGAGGCCGATAAGTCATCATATACAGAATCACCCAACTACTTGCTTCTTATAAGTGGTTAATTAGGCGTATTCAATGCAGATATTTTGCGCGTCTATAAACAGTTCACACTGTGTACTACTAGTGCTCTCTTTACTACTAGAAATAGTCACCAGCATCTTTAAATCGAATCAGACTAGAAAGCCAATTCCAAAACCCTAGAATTAATTCAGAAAACTTATTCTTAAAATTCTGTTCCTCTAGAACCACTTTTGCTACCAAAATCTACATTACTCTGGGTTCTCTAGATAAACAAAAAATAGTATCTATACCTATATACATACACATACCCATTTATAGACACTGCATGACATTGCACCCAACAATAGACTCCGTATATGATGGTAGTTTCATAAGATTTTAATGGAAGTGCTCTATTCAGATGTACCATTTTTTATCTTTTATACTGTATTTTTACTATACCTTTTCTATGTTTAGATATATTTAGGCACATAAATACTTAACCATTGTGTTACAATTGCCTACAGTATTCAATATAGTAACATGCTGTACAGGTTTGTAGCCTAGGAGCAATAGGGTTTAAGACATAGCCTAGCTGTGTAATAGGCTATACCATCTAGGTTTGTATAAGTACACTCTATGATGTACACACAGTGATGAAATTACCTTACAACATATTTCTTAGAGCATGTCTTCATTGTTAAGTGATGCATCTCTCTCTCTCTCTCTCTCTCTCTCTCTCTGTGTGTGTGTGTGTGTGTGTGTGTGTGTGTGTGTGTGTGTGTGTGTGTAGTCCTTCCTCAGTATCCATGATAGATTGGTTTTAGGACCCCTTGCAGGTACTGAAACCTGTGAATGCTCAAGTCACTTATATAAAATGGCATAGTGTTTGCATACAAGTTATGCTCATCCTCCTGTATACTTTAAGTCATCTATAGATTACTCATAATACCTAATATAATGTAAATGCTGTGAAAGTAATTGTTGTACTGTATTCTTTAGGAAATAATGACCAAAGAAAAATCTGTAAATGTTCAGTACATATGCAACTACCCATTTTTTCTCAAATATTTTCTATCCAGCCGGTTGAATCTGTGAATATAGAACCCACAGACATGAAGGGATGGCTGTACACATACACATGCATAAACACACACACACATATGGATAAATAGATACAGATATGTAGAGAAATATAGAGACTTATTGTGAAGGGTTGGCTCATGCCATTTTGGAGGTTAAGAAGTCCCAGATCTGCCACCTGCAAACTGGAGACTGAGGATAGCCTGTGATAGATATAGTTCCAGTCCAAACCTGAAAATTTGATAACCAGAGGAGCCAACAGCATAAGTCTCAGTCTAAAGGCTGGACAACTGACAGCACCAATATCAGAGGGCAGAAGATGTATGTCCCAGCTCAAGCAGACAGCAGATTCTCCCTTCCTCTGCCTTTTTGTTCTATTTAGGCCCTTAACAGATTGGGTTATGCCCATTACATTGGTTAGGGCAATTTTATTTTCACTCGGTCTACAGATTAAAATACTAGTCTTTCAGAAACACTCTCATAGATACACCCAGAAATAATGTTTTACGAGCTATCTAGACATCCCTTAGCCTAGTCAAGTTGACACATAGAATTAACTATCACACAAAGTCTTTTCTTTCTCTTTGTTACTCCATTTTGATCATCTTTATTTCAGAACCCTTCAAGAAATCTTGTGGCTGGCTTACAGATGCTGCATTCCAAGTGTTTAGAAAATCTGTGGCTGGGCGCAGTGGCTCAAGCCTGTAGTCCCAGCATTTGGGGAGGCCGAGGTGCATGGATCACCTGAGGTCAGGAGTTTGAGACAAGCCTGTCCAACATGGTGAAACCCTGTCTCTACTAAAAATACAAAAAAATTAGGCAGGTATGGTGGCGGGCGCCTGTAATCCCAGCTACTCTGGGAAAAAATGTATCAATTAGATTTTTTACCAAATTTTATGCATTAGCCATTAACAAGGAAGTAATCTAAAAAGTGTGCTTTGGAGCAAGGCAAAAATGACTAATTTTAGCTTTAAAATTTTGTTTAAGGTAAGCTCGTTCTTTTAAGAGAAAACTCTGCTCTACCTTAGGGCTAAAACAAATCTTGTATTTTGTACATTGGAAGACTCTTTCTAAACTACTCTAAATAAAAGTGTTATTTTGATTCAAAGCTTCCCATTTCCCCCATGCCATTAAGAGTGGGTTAGATTCAAGAGGGGGCCAGTTCCAAGATGGCTGATGGTCTACAGCTACCAGTGTGAGCGATGCAGAAGACGGGTGATTTCTGCATTTCCAACTGAGGTATACTGGGTTCATCTCACTGGAGCTTGTCAGACAGTGGATGCAGCCCACAGACTGTTTGCTGAAGAAAGGTGAGGCATCGCCTCACCTGGGAAGTGCAAGGGGTTGGGGAATTCCCTTTCCTAGCCAAGGGAAGCCATGACAGATGGCACCTGGAAAATCGGGTCACTCCCACCCTAATACTGCACTTTTCCAATGGTCGTAGCAAACACCACACCAGAAGATTATATCCCACATGTGGCTCAGAGGGTCCCACACCCATGGAGCCTTGCTCACTGCTAGCACAGCAGTCTGAGATCAAACTGCAAGGCGGCAGCAAGGCTGGAGGTGGGGCATCCACAATTGCTGAGGCTTGAAGGAGGTAAATAAAGCCTCCAGGAAGCTCAAACTGGGTGGAGCCCACCTCAGCTCAAGGAGGCCTGCCTGCCTCTCTAGACTCCACCTCTGGGGGCAGGGCATAGCTGAACAAAAGGCAGCAGAAACTTCTGCAGACTTAAACGTCCCTGTCTGACAGCTTTGAAGAGAGTAGTGGTTCTCCCAGCATGGAGTTTGAAATCTGAGAATGGACAGACTGCCTCCTCAAGTGGGTCCCTGACCCCTGAGTAGCCTAACTGGGAGGCAACTCCCAGTAGGGGCCGACTGACACCTCATACGGGCGGGTGCCCCTCTGAGACAAAGCTTCCAGAAGAACGATCAGGCAGCAACACTTGCTGTTCTGCAATATTTGCAGCCTCTGCTGGTGATTCCCAGGCAAACAGGGTCTGGAGTGGACCTCCAGCAAACTCCAACAGAACTGCAGCTGAGGGTCCTGACTGTTAGAAGGAAAACTAACAAACAGAAAGGACATCCACACAAAAACCCAGTTTGTACATCACCATCATCAAAGACCAAAGGTAGATAAAACCACAAAGATGGGGAGAAACCAGAGAGAAAACTGAAAATTCTAAAAATCAGACCACCTCTTCTCCTCCAAAGGAACACAGCTCCTCACAAGCAATGGAACAAAGCTGGACGGAGAATGACTTTGACGAGTTGAGAGAAGAAGGCTTCAGAAGATCAGTAATAACAAAATCCTCCAAGCTAAAGGAGGTCGTTCAAACCCATCGCAAAGAAGCTAAAAACCTTGAAAAAATATTAGATGAATGGCTAACTAAAATAAACAGCATAGAGAAGACCTTAAATGACCTGATGAAGCTGAAAACCATGGCACGAGAACTATGCGATGCATGTACAATCTTCAGTAGCCGATTTGATCAAGTGGAAGAAAGGGTATCAGTGATTGAAGATCAAATGAATGAAATGAAGTGAGAAGAGAAGTTTAGAGAAAAAAGAGTAAAAAGAAATGAACAAAGCCTCCAAGAAATATGGGACTATGTGAAAAGACCAAATCTACGTCTGATTGGTGTACTTGTAAGTGAAGGGAATAATGGAACAAAGTTGGAAAACACTCTGCAGGATATTATCCAGGAGAACTTCCCCAACCTAGGAAGGCAGGCCAACATTCAAATTCAGGAAATACAGAGAACACCTCAAAGATACTCCTCGAGAAGAGCAACTCCAAGACACATAATTGTCAGATTCACCAAGGTGGAAATGAAGGAAAAATGTTAAGGGCAGCAAGAGAGAAAGGTCCGTTTACCCACAAAGGGAAGCCCAGCAGACTAACAGCAGATCTCTTGGCAGAAACCCTACAAGCCAGAAGAGAGTGGGGGCCAATATTCAACATTCTTAAAGAAAAGCATTTTCAACCCAGAATTTCATATACAGCCACACAAAGCTTCATAAGTGAAGGAGAAATAATATCCTTTACAGACAAGCAAATGCTGAGAGATTTTGTCACCACCAGGCCTGCCTTACAAGAGCTCCTGAAGGAAGCACTAAACATGGAAAGGAACAATCGGTATCAGCCACTGAAAAAAACATGCCAAATTGTAAAGACCATCAATGCTAGGAAGAAACTGGATCAACTAATGAGCAAAACAACCAGCTAACATCATAATGACAGGATCAAATTCACACATAACAATAGTAACCTTAAATTGAAATGGGCTAAATACTCCAATTAAAAGACATAGACTGGCAAATTGGATAAAGAGTCAAGACCCACTAGTGTGCTGTATTCCGGAGACACATCTCACCTGCAGAGACACACATAGGCTCAAAATAAAGGGATGGAGGAAGATCTACCAAGCAAATGGAAAGCAAAAAAAAGCATGGGTTGCAATCCCAGTCTCTGATAAAACAGACTTTAAACCAACAAAGATCAAAAGAGGCAAAGAAGGCCATTACATAATGGTAAAGGGATCAATTCAACAAGAAGAGCTAACTATCCTAAATATATGTGCACCCAATACAGGAGCACCCAGATTCATAAAGTCCTTAGAACCTACAAAGAGACTTATACTCCCACACAATAATAATGGGAGACTGTAACACCCCACTATCAACATTAGACAGATCAACGAGACAGAAAATTAACAAGGCTATCCAGGAATTGAACTCAGCTCTGCACCAAGCGGACCTAATAGACATCTACAGAACTCTCCACCCCAAATCAACAGAATATACATTCTTCGCAGCACCACATCACACTTACTCCAAAATGGACCACCTAATTGGAAATAAAGCACTCTTCAGCAAATGTAAAAGAACAGAAATTATAACCAACTGTCTCTCAGACCACAGTGCAATCAAACTAGAACTCAGGATTAAGAAACTCACTCAAAACCGCTCAACTACATGGAAACTGAACAACCTGCTCCTGAATGACTACTGGGTACATAACAAAATGAAAGCAGAAATAAAGATGTTCTTTGATGCCAGTGAGAACAAAGACACAACATACCAGAATCTCTGGGACACATTTAAAGCAATGTGTAGAGTGAAATTTATAGCACTAAATGCCCACAAGAGAAAGCAGGAAAGATCTAAAATTGACACCCTAACATCACAATTAAAAGAACTAGAGAAGCAAGAGCAAACACATTCAAAAGCTAGCAGAAGGCAAGAAATATCTAAGATCAGAGCAGAACTGAAGGAAATAGAGACACAAAAAACTCTTCAAAAAATCAATGAATCCAGCAGCTGGTTTTTTGAAAAGATGAACAAAATTGATAGACCACTAGCAAGACTAATAAGGAAGAAAAGAGAGAAGAATCAAATAGATGCCATAAAAATTGATGAAGGGGATATCACCACCGATCCCACAGAGATACAATCTACCATTAGAGAATACTCTAAACATCTCTACGCAAATAAATTAGAAAATCTAGAAGAAATGGATAAATTCCTGGACACATACACCCTGCCAAGACTAAACCAGGAAGAAGTTGAATCCCTGAATAGACCAATAACAGGCTCTGAAATTGAGGCAATAATTAAGAGCATACCAACCAAAAAAAGTCCAGGACCAGATGGATTCACAGCCAAATTCTACCAGAAGTACAAAAAGGAGCTGGTACCATTCCTTCTAAAACTATTCCAATCAACAGAAAAAGAGGGAGTCCTCCCTAACTCATTTTATGAGGTCAGCATTATCCTGATACCAAAGCCTGGCAGAGACACAACAACAACAAGAAATAATTTTAGACCAATATCCCTGATGAACATTGATGCAAAAATCCTCAATAAAATACTGGCAAACTGAATCCAGCAGCACATCAAAAAGCTTATCCACCATGATCAAGTGGGCTTCATCCCTGGAATGCAAGGCTGGTTCAACATATGCAAATCAATAAACGTAATCCATCATATAAACAGAACCAAAGACAAAAACCACACGATTATCTCAATAGATGCAGAAAAGGCCTTTGACAAAATTCAACAGCCCTTCATGCTAAAAACTCTCAATAAACTAGGTATTGATGGGACATAGCTGAAAATAATAAGAGCTATTTATGGCAAATCCACAGCCAATATCATACTGAATGGGCAAAAACTGGAAGCATTCCCTTTGAAAACTGGCACAAGACAGGGATGCCTTCTCTCACCACTCCTATTCAACATAGTGTTGGAAGTTCTGGCCAGGGCAATCAGACAAGAGAAAGAAAGGGTATTCAATTAGGAAAAGAGGAAGTCAAATTTTCCCTGTTTGCAGATGACATGATTGTATATTTAGAAAACCCCATCATCTCAGCCCAAAATCTCCTTAAACTGATAAGCAACTGCAGCAAAGTCTCAGGATACAAAATCAATGTACAAAAATCACAAGCATTCTTATACACCAAAAACAGACAAACGGAGAGCCAAATCATGAGTGAACTCCCATTCACAATTGCTTCACAGAGAACAAAACACCTAGGAATCCAACCTACAAGGGATGTGAAGGACCTCCTCAAGGAGAACTACAAACCACTGCTCAAGGAAATAAAAGAGGATACAAACAAATGGAAGAACATTCCATGCTCATGGATAGGAATAATCAATATCATGAAAATGGCCATACTGCCTAAGGTAATTTACAGATTCAATGCCATCCCCATCAAGCTACCAATGACTTTCTTCACAGAATTGGAAAAAACTACTTTAAAGTTCATATGGAACCAAAGAAGAGCCCGCATTGCCAAGACAATCCTAAGCCAAAAGAAGAAAGCTGGAGACATCATGCTACCTGACTTCTAACTATACTACAAGGCTACAGTAACCAAAACAGCATGGTACTGGTACCAACACAGAGATATAGACCAATGGAACAGGACAGAGGCCTCATAAATAATACCACACATCTACAACCATCTGATCTTTGACAAACCTGACAAAAACAAGCAATGGGGAAAGGATTCCCTATTTAATAAATGGTTCTGGGAAAACTGGCTAGCCATATGTAGAAAGTTGGAACTGGATCCCTTCCTTATACAAAAATTAATTCAAGATGGATTAAAGACTTAAATGTTAGACCTAAAACCATAAAAACCCTAGAGGAAAACCTAGGCAATACCATTCAGGACATAGGCATGGGCAAGGACTTCATGTCTAAAACACCAAAAGCAATGGCAACAAAAGCCAAAATTGACAAATGGGATCTAATTAAACTAAAGAGCTTCTGCACATCAAAAGAAACTACCATCAGAATGAACAGGCAACCTACAGAATGGGAGAAAATTTTTGCAATCTACCCATCTGACAAAGGGCTCATATCCAGAATCTACAAAGAACTTAAACAAATTTACAAGAAAAAATCAAACAACCCCATCAAAAAGTGGGCGAAGGATATGAACAGACACTTCTCAAAAGAAGACATTTATGCAGCCAACAGACACATGAAAAAATGCTCATCATCACTAGCCATCAGAGAAATGCAAATCAAAATCACAATGAGATACCATCTCACTCTAGTTAGAATGTCAGTCATTAAAAAGTCAGGAAACAATAGGTGCTGGAGAGGATGTGGAGAAATAGGAACACTTTTACACTGTTGGTAGGACTATAAACTAGTTCAACCATTGTGGAAGACAGGGTGGCGATTCCTCAAGGATCTTGAAGTAGAAATACCATTTGACCCATCCATCCCATTACTGGATATATACCCAAAGAATTATAAATCATGCTGCTATAAAGGCACATGCACACATATGTTTATTGTGGCACTATTCACAATAGCAAAGACTTGGAACCAACCCTAATGCCCATCAATGATAGACTGGATTAAGAAAATGTGGCACATATACACCATGGAATACTATGCAGCCATAAAAAAGGATGAGTTCATGTCCTTTGTAGGGACATGGATGAAGCTAGAAACCATCAATCTGAGCAAACTATCGCAAGGACAGAAAATCAAACACGGCATGATCTCACTCATAGGTGGGCATTGAACAATGAGAACACTTGGACACAGGGTGTGGAACATCACACATCAGGGCCTGTCATGGGGTGGGGGGAGGGGGGAGGGATAGCATTAGAACTACCTAATGTAAATGATGAGTTAATGGGTGCTGCACACCAACATACATGTATACATATGTAACAAACCTGCACGTTGTGCACATGTACCCTAGAACTTAAAGTATAATAAAACTAAAAAAAAAAAAGAAATTTAAAGGCTCACCAAGTGCTTCATTGCTACTACTTACCATTACTTTCCATGATTCACAAATTGATTTTCTGGCTTTATATCTACAAGACACAGTGGGTACTGTAATACAGTAATTTTTCATAGGCTGATGAGTAGGGAGATGATGAACGAGACTTCATCCCACAGTCTCCCCTAAGTGGGCTACTTAAAATAATGTTGTCCTGTTCCATTGGTCTAGATCTCTGTGTTGGTACCAGTACCATGCTGTTTTGGTTACTGTAGCCTTGTAGTATAGTTGAAGTCAGGTAGCGTGATGTCTCCAGCTTTCTTCTTTTGGCTTAGGATTGTCTTGGCAATGCGGGCTCTTCTTTGGTTCCATATGAACTTGAAAGTAGTTTTTTTCCAATTCTGTGAAGAAAGTCATTGGTAACTTGATGTGGATGGAATTGAATCTTTATTTTAATGTTATTTTCTTTTCTCTGTATTGCTTTTCAAAGCTTTCTGGAAATTACATTTCTTTCTCTGTCAGTTATTAAGTCTTACATATGTCTTTTGTTCCTTCAAATATAGAGGTTATTTCAGTATGTGAAGCTGGAGAATGAAACAGATGAGTACTTTGTGCTAGCCCACATCTGAAGATAGGACAGGCAGGTGGTATTAATTCCAGGTTGTGACTAGAAATTATTGATTAGAAAGAAAGTTCTACAAATGAGTGATAAAAGAAATATCCTCAAAAGGATGACCAGGCTAGAGATGTGAAAATGTAATAACATTTCAGATTTCTTCCCTCCATCCTATGCTGTGTCTTTCTGTAGGTACTTATGTTAGTTACAAAAAGCATAATACAAGAAGGATCACAGTGCAGCCATCTGTGTCTTTAGTGTTTCTCCTCTCAGAATCTTCCTGCATTTATTTGAGGAAGAACCTATCTGACCGCTTGAGATATCAAAATTCCTTTTGGACACCCCGCAGGATATGGGGAGTAATATCATCCCCCTCTGCCCCCCTGGATATTACGATCAACATCGCAGGGGGTTGCACGCACCTGCGATGTGGGGAGTAATATCACTCCCGTCTCCCCCCTTGGATATTACGATCCACGGTGGACACACAGCGTATTTTCGATATTGTGATTCATATCATCTCCCCCTTTGGAAATTACAAACTATATCACTGATGGGTGTCCACCCTCTGAAGTATTGGGAGTAATGTCATCCTCTTTTCTCCTGGATATGAAGAACAATATCACAGGAGAGTTTACACCCCCTGCGATATTGGGTGTAGTTTCATCCTCTCCCACGTTGAAGTTAGGAACTATATCACTGCGGACCTGTACACCCCTGTGATATTTAAAGTAATATCATCCTCTTCTCTCCTGGGTCATGAGAACAATATCAGTGGGGGGTGGGGGGGTGTACACTTTCTGCAGTTTTGGGAGTAATATCATCCTCTCCACCTTGGAATATTGCGGACAATATCACCGGGGGTGTTCAAACCCCCTTCGATATTGGGAATAATATTATCCTCTCTTCTCTGAATATTAGGAAAAATATCACAGAGTGGGTGTACTCCTGCGACATGGGGAGTCATATCATCTTCTGGATATTAGGAACAACATCACATGGGTGTGTACACTTTCTGCGATATTTGGAGTAATGTCATCCTCTCCCTCTTTGAATATTAAGAACAATATCACAGGGCGGATGTACACCCTCTGTGATATTGGGAGTAATAACAGGCTCTCCGCCCCACCTCGATATTAGAAACAATATCCCAGGGTGGGTGTACACCTCCGGCTATATGGGGAGTAATATCATCCTCTCCCTTCCTGGATATTAGAAACAATTTCACAGGGTGGATGTACACAGCTTTTGATATTGGGAGTAATTTCATCCTCTCTCCCTCTGGATATTAGGAACAATCTCACAGAAGGGTTGTACAATCCCTGCGATATTGGGGGTAATATCATTTTTTTTCTTCTCTGAATATTAGGAGCAATATCACCGGGTGGATATACACCCACTGTTCTGTTGGGAGTAATATCATGCTCTACCCCCTGGATGTTAGGAGCAATATCACAGGGTGAGTGTAAACCCACGGCGATATTGGGAGTAATATTATGCTCTCCCTCTGTGGGTATTAGGAACAATATCACAGGTGGGTGTACACCCCTTGCGGTGTGAGGAGTCAAATTATCTTCTCTTCCTTTAGCTATTAGGAACAATAATATCACGGGAGGGGGGATGTACACCCCCTACACTATTTGGATGAATATCATTCTCTCTTTTTCTGGATATTAGGAATAATATCACTAGCGGGGTGTACACCCCCTGTGATATTAGGAGTAATATCAACCTCCCCCACGTTGAAAGTAGAAACAATATCATTGGGGGCGTGTACAGCCCCTGCGATATTGAAAGTAATATCATCCTCTTCCCTCCTGGATCATGGGAACAATATCACTGGAGGGTGTACACTTTTGGCGATATTGGGAGGAATATCATCCTCTCCGCCTTTGAATATTAAAGACAATATCACAGGGAAGGTGTACACCCCCTGTGATATTGGGAATAATATTATCCTCTCCCCCCCCTGCATATTAGAAAAATATCACAGAGTGGGTGTACATCTCCTGCGATATGGGGAGTCATATCATCTTCTCCTCTTCTGGATATTAGGAACAATATTACACGGGGGTGTACGCTTCCTTCGATATTGAGAGTCACATCAGGCTCTCCCACCCCTGGATATTAGGAACAACAGCCCAGCGTGGGTGTACACCTCCTGCTATATGGGGAGTAATATCATCCTCTCCCTTCCTGGATATTAGGAACGATATACAGGGTGGGTGTACACAGTCTGCGATATTGGGAGTCATATCACCCCCCGCTCCGGATATTAGGAACAATCTCACAGAAGGTGTGTACACTCCTTGCGATATTAGGAGTAACATCGTTCTCTTCTTCCGTGAATATTAGGAGCAATATCATTGGGTAGATGCACACCCAATGCTATATTGGGAGAAATGTCATACTCCACTTTCTGGATATTGGGAGCAATATCACAGAGAGTGCAACTGCTGTGATATTGAAAGTAATACCATTTTCTCCCTCCCTGGATGTTTGGAAAAATATCACAGGTGGGTGTACACCCCCTGTGGTATTAGGATAACATTAATATTAATAAATTATATTAATCATTAATATTATTTTTATATTTATTGATATTAATTATTAACATTAATATTACTCCCAGAACCTCATGGGGTGTACATTCTCACTGTGATATTGGCATATTATTAATATTAATAATTATTATTAATCCTAATGTTTATTAATATTTGTTAACATTAGTGTTGATATTAATTTTAATTACTGATATTATTGTTTTAGTTTTAATATTGTCATTATTAATAACAAGCGTTATTGTTTATTAACATTATTATTGTTTAATATTAATCATTAATATTGATAATCACTATTAGTTGTTACTAATATTAATAATAATTATTAATAATTTTAATATTTGGGGTTGAGAGGGTGGTAATACTCCTAATATTGCAGAAGGTGTACACCCCAATTTGATGTTGTTTCTAGTAGACAAGAGGTAGAAGATGACATTACTCCAAATGTCGCAGTGGGTGTACATCGCTTATGTGATCTTTTTCCTATTATCCAGGATGGGAGAGGATGATATTACTCCCAATATCGCAGGGGGCTTACACCTTCCCTGTGATATAGTCTCTAATATCCAAAGGTGAAGAGGATGATATTTCTCCTAATTTCGCAGGGGGTGTACACCACCCCTGTGATATTGTTTTTCATATCCAGGGGATGAGAGGATATTACTCTCAATATTGCAGGAGGTCTACACTCCCCAGTGATATTGTTCCTAATATCTAGGGAGGGAGAGGATGATACTACTCCCAATATCGCAGGGGAGTACACCCACCCAGTGATATTGTTCTTAATATCCAGGAAGGGAGAGGATATTACTTCTGATACTGAAGAGATTGTACACTCCCCCTGTGATATTGTTCCTAATATCCAGGGGGATGTGGATAACATTTTGCCCAACATCGCAGGGTGTGTACACCCCCCGCTGTGATATTGTTCCTAATATCTAAAAGTAGCGAGGGTGATATTACTCCTACTATCGCAAGGGTTGTACACCTCCCTTATGATAATGTTCTTAATATATAGGCGGGAAGACAACAATATTACTGTCCATATCACAGGGGTGGACAACACCCCTCTGATATTGTTTTTAATATTCAGTGGGGGAGAGGATGACATTAATTCCAATATCACAGGCGACTCACCCCCGTGGTATTGTTCCTAATATCCAGGGGAAGAGAGAATGATATGACTTACAATATGGCAGGGGGTGTACACCACCTCCATGATATTGTTCCTAATATCCAGGGGGGAAGAGTATGATATTACTACCAGTATCACAGGGGGTATACACATATACAGGGAAGGAGAGGATGATATTACTCCCAATATTGTAGGGGGTGTACATACTCCCCTGTGATATTGTTTCTAATATTTAGGTGGGGAGAGGATAATATTACTCCCAATATCGCAGAGGGTGTACACCCTTCCTGGGATATTTTTCCTAATATCAAGTGGGGGAGAAGATGATATTACTCCCAATATCGCAGGGGGTGTACACCCCCCTGTTATTTTGTTTTTAATATCCAGGTTGGGAGAGGATGATATTACTCCCGAAATCGTAGGGATTGTAGACCCATCCTGTGATATTGTTCCGAATATCAAGAGAAAGAGGATGGTATTACTCCCAACAGAGTAAGCTGTGTACACACCCCCTGTGATATTGTTCCTAATATACATGAGGGGAGAGGGTGATATGGCTCTCAGTAGCTCAGGGGATGTACACCACTGCTGTTTTATTATTCCTTGTATTCCAGGGCTGGAGAAAATAATATTACTCCCAATATTACAGAGAGTGTATACCACCCTTGTGATATTGTTCCTCATATCCAGGGGTTAGAGGATGATGTTGCTCAAAATATCGCAGTGGGTGTACACCCCCACTGTGGTATTGTTTCTAATATCCAATGGGGGAGAGGATGATATTACTGTCAATATGGCAGGGGGTGTACACCGCTTCTGTGATATTGTTCCTAATATTTCATGGTCGAGAGGATGATATTACTTCCAATATCACAGGGCGTGTATGCCCCCCTCGTGATATTGTTCCTAATATCCTGGGGGGGGAGACCATGATATTACTGGCAATATGCAAGTGGTGTGCACCTCCCCCTGATATTGGTCCTAATATCCAGCAAGGGAGAAAATAATACTACTCTCAATATGGCAGGGGGTGTACACTTCCCATGCGATATTGTTCCTAATATCCACGGTGGGAAAGGATGATATTACTCCCAATGTCGCAGCGGGTGTACAACTCCCCTGTAATATTGTTTCTAATATTTAAGTGGGGAGAGGATGATATTACTCCCAGAATCTCAGGGGGTGTAAACCGCCCCTATTATATTGCTCTCAATATCCATGGGGGGAGAGCATGATATTACTCCCAATATCGCAGGTGGTGTATAACCCTCTTGTTATATTGTTCCTAATATCCAGGTTGAAAGAGGATGATATCACTCAAAAAATCACAGGGAGTGTACACCCCTGCCTGTGATATTGTTCCTAATACCCCGGGAAAGAGGGGATGATATTACTCCCAAAAGCGCAGGACGTGTACACCACCTTTGTGATATTGTTCCTAATATCCATGGGGGGAGAGGGTGACATTACTCCCAATAGCGCAGAAGGTGTACACCCTCTCTGTGATATTGTTCCTAATTGTCAGGGGGCAAAAGTATGATATTACTCCCAATATCACAGGGGGTATACAACCCCACATGACATTGTTCCTAATGTCCAGCGGGGGAGTGGATGTTATTAATATGCATAATCGTAGGAAGCGTACACCATCCCCTGTGAAATTGTTGCTAATATCCAGCAGGGAAGAGAATGATATTACTCCCAATATTCCAGTGGTGTACACCCCACCTGTGATATTGTTTCTTATATCCATGGGGGAAAAGGATGATATCACTACCAATATCGAAGCGGGTGTACACTCCCTCTGTGATATCCGGGTTGGGAGAGGATGATATTACTCCCAATATCAGAGGTGATAAACACCCTCCTTGTGATACTGTTTTTAATATCCAGGGGGTGAGACAATGATATTACTCCCAATATTGCAGGTGGTGTACACCCCTCCCCACCCCGTGATATTGTTCCTCATATTCAGGGGACGAGAGGATATATTACTCCCAATACCGCAGGGGATACGGGGAATAATATCACCCCCCTCTCCCTCCCTGGATATTATGATCCACGATGGACACACGGTGTTTTTATATGCTAGCTCATCCAAAAAAGTACACAAGAACTTAATTTGAATGTGTGTAGATGATGTGTTTAATTTTGTTTTGAATTTTTCTTTCACAATAGAGTAGATTTTCAACAAATCCTAGTGTTCTTTTTACAAAGAAGATCTATATTTCAGGGTTTTGCAGTCTCTTCAAGACTAGTTTATTTTTACATAAACGAAAGACCCCCAAAATGTGAGCTTTAAGGATCAAAGATTCTCTAAATTGAGTGGCTCAGTTGAACTGTAGATGGCTCTGGATTATAGCTTAGAGAGACCTTTGTTCCCAAAGCAACAAAAGGCCTTTCGTATTTATTAGAGTTATTTGGTAAAGTGCAAAAGAATAATATAATTAATATTAATTACCAAACCTGACCTTATATATGTTCACTTTATGATTTTACACACACACACACACACACACACACACACACACACACACCATAGACAAAAGAACAAAAGTCTTTAAGTATTAATAATTCAACTTATTTTCCATATTGGATATTTTGTATTGGTGAAAATAAAATTAATTATATAGGATTGCCATTTAATTGAAAAAATATGAACCTTGAACTCACTTTGGTTTGGAAACTCTGTTCTGTTTTTACATTTTTGGTATGATTTAAGGCAAAGAGCCTACATTTTCTGAGCATGTATTTCTTGTCTGTAAAATGGAAGTGATAATCACGACCTATTAGTGTAGTCATGAGGAATAAGTAAAATCACAAATGTAAAGCATTGAGTCCTCTATTTGATATATAGGAACTGCTCAATAAACGGTAATTATATCAATGGGGTGATTTAATAATGTTTTCTTTCATTATTATCCTCTCCTAGGGAAAGCAATCTTGAACCTTGGGACAGCAATCTTGAACGTTGTTCCTGTTACAATCACACTTTTAAGGTTACACAGACAGCACACAAACAGCTGCTTCGTGCCTGTAATATCAGTTCCAACCCACTGGGCTTTTCAAAGAAATTGCTTTTATAAGCTAAACATGAGAGAAATAAATTTTCCCATCTTGATAACTCTGTTGGGGGTCTTATGACTTTGCTTCTTTTTTGTATTATACCATTTAGAATATTAAGGTCACTAAAAATCACTTCTTTTAGAGATACTATGACTTTCTATAACTGAATATTCCATTCTTCATGTAAAAATGAGTTGTAATAAAAGCTTTATTCTAATCATTTCAGTAGCACTGAGTATAGGGAAGTTCATCTAATGATATTTTATAATTATGATTCTCTAGGAAAAACATTCTGTACTACAACAAAACCATAAAGCTGGAAGTATTTTACCCTGTATATATGTGGGATATCAAAAAACTGTTGGCTATGTGACAAAACCTTATATGATGCCGCAAAGATTATAAACAACTTATTTCTAACAATTTTCCTGCAAGTTGTGCCTAAAAATAAACACATGAGTACATTTTGGAAATGTTAGAAGTATATAATATCTGCCCTATTTTATAACATGTTTCCAGAATTTAATAATATTAGGACAGAGGGAGAAATGTGCTGGAGGAGAGAAAGTGGGAGGTAATTTTTAAATATTTGCTCTAATATGTAAGAGACATGTTCATTGCCACCTTAATACTAATCAGTATACAAAAGGCAGCAGAACTGCAATGCACACTTGCAAACTATTGCAAACTTGAGCAATATTTCAGCAAAATAAATTTAGTTATTAAATACAAATACAGAATTACTAAATCAGATATAGACTTTTGTACAAGTGTGAGCTTGCACTAAAGGAAGAATAAAATGTTTTGTTTTATATTTCCTTTTTAAAAAATTTAGGTTTTTACTGTTTACTTTTAATATCAGACTCTGTATAAACTTATTTTATCCTTATAGCTGGAATTAAAGACCCAACTAGTGAGTTCACTATTAAATATTTTCCTATGACACCAGCAGAGGACAGCAGAACATAGACATTAATGCTAACCCTTAAACCTATTTTCTTTTATGTCAAGAGCAAAGTTGGAAAATGGCATACAATCTGATTTCGCTTAAGTGGGATGTATGTAGCAGATGACAGTTCTTTTTACAGGATGTTTATGATTAAATAGAAATAGTCTTGGAATCTCAAAAGACTAGATAACTCTGTCAATACAAACTGAGCAGCCGCCACTACCTTATTTTATGTTCTTTGAATTTATAAATGAAAAGGTCACTCAAGTTGTTTTTCAATGAATGTATGGCCTATTGAGTAAATAATCTATGATTTAAATTGACTAGATTAAGAAAGGTAGGAGAGAAAGACAGACATGAGAGTTGTGAATAGAGCAATATAAGCCTTGCCTTTTTTTTAAGGGCTTCTCTGCTCTTACTCAATGTCCTATGCCTTCATCTTTCTGCCTCTCGCAGACATTAACCAATGTAATATCCATCATTCTGCCTTTCTAGAAAAGTTAAATTGGGACAATCCCAACACATTCTAGAATTCTTCAGGTGAAGATGTATGACTTTGCTCCTTAAGAACAAAAGAATCAATCAGTTAAGTATAATCAGCAAACTTTGTAGTATTGTTTTAATGGAAAAAGAAGTTCATTAACACATTGATTATTTTGTGTTATAAGCAATTTACTAGCTATTTCTCCCTCTCTAACTGAGATAATATGTTCATTATCTGAAGGAATTTTATTTACTATTTAAAATAAGTATTGAAAAAGCTAATGGCCATAGGGAATGAAACTATTTTCTCCTGTTATTGGTATCAACAGGGACATCTAGTTTTTAGAGCTGAGAAGAAAGTGAAAATATACCTAGGTGTATTCTCTTCTTTTAATCCACTCATCAAACCACTGAGGGTAACAAAAAGTATGGTTATAATTATTTTGCGAATGGAGACTTTCTTTTAAGCTCTTCAGCTCGTGGGAAGTCCTCATGTCTGCTGGGGAATTTTGGAGACAAAGAACTACAGGATGTTTTTCTCTTCAACAATAGTTTCTATTAACCTGATGTTTGGCACAGAGGGCTGTAATTATGATCCCACTGATATCAGCCACCCATCAAAAATAAAGGAAAGATCTTTTGGCTCAAGCAACAAAAGGCTGAAGACGGAGGTTTTTGTACCTGATGATGTAACTGTGCAAGAATTGTGAGAAAGTATGTTGATATTGTGCTGTCCTCCTAGCTGTCTATTTGTGATGTTACTCAACTCAGCAATACCTAGTAAGTATGTACTATGGTCCTAGTAATGCATTAGGGATTTCAGGTATACAGGCATTAGACAAGTCACCTGCCCTTCAGAAGCCTTGTGGAGAGGAGGTTTCCACTGACAAAAATACAATTTAAATGCTAACTTGAAGTGACTCCTGTCAGAAAGGAAGTGTGATTTAGACATTAAATGATTCTGCTTGATGCCTAGAAGAGGAAAGAAAATTCCTCAGGCATAGAAACACATAAGATAGTATTCTACCTTGTCGCCTGTTGTAATTTACATATCTTAAGCTGGTTAAATACAAATACTCATCACTTTATACACATTCTGGCATTCTGATGAGTAGGCTCTTCTACTTTTCTCATTTTGTAAATAAGGCAATCAGAATGTTTTCAGATTAAGTGATTAGTCTAGGGCCAAAAGTGTTAAGAGTTAGGAACAGTGTTTGAATATATACTCTTTGAACTTTTTGTGTCTTGTTGAGCACAGAGTTATGGGAACCACTTCACAAACCTTCAATAATTACTATAGTAGTGGTTTTATTAAATATCCACTAAGATAAAAAATTATTTCTGCTAATTTAAAAAATCTTTCCTATTTAGGATGAGATGTTAGAGAACACCCAGAGAATAACAAAAGCAGACTAGGTTCTCCATGAACTACAACCATGCTGAAATAACACGAAGTAAGTAACTATCAAATTTGAAACTGAATGATTCCAAGCAACGCATCTTTGCAGTAAGTATTCATCATCAATGCTAAAACTATATCAGTGCTGCCAGTTTTTACCCTGTGAATCTGGAAGCTTTTCCAGGACAGACATAATGCCTTATAAAACCCTTAGTACCCTATACAATGTGATTATCTGCTAATAGGAAAGGGTTAACTTATCTAACTGATCATCTACAGGCTGGCCTCCCAGAAAAGGAGCTGGCCTCCTTGCAAAATTCCATGAAACTGGCTACGGCTGGTGCTTAGGGCAATTAACCAAGGTCAAGGGCTGTTACTTCACCACATATGATTGGTAATGTGCTTAATTTCTCCTCTACCTGCCACAATATAAAACTGCAACCACAAAATTAGGACCCAACCCCTGATCCCCCCATAGCTGAGCTGGCAGGACAGAACTAGAGCCAAAATTCTGTCACTTCATAGTGATATTGTAGCATGGTCCTTGAGCAAAGTGGGAGAGGGGTCATTGATTTTTCTTTCTTTTTTTTTTTATTATTATACTTTAAGTTTTAGGGTACATGTGCACAATGTGCAAGTTAGTTACATATGTATACATGTGCCATGCTGGTGCGCTGCACCCACTAACTCATCATCTAGCATTAGGTATATCTCCCAATGCTATCCGACCCCCCTCCCCCTACCCCACAACAGTCCCCAGAGTGGGATGTTCTCCTTCCTGTATCCATGTGTTCTCATTGTTCATTTCCCACCTATGAGTGAGAATATGCAGTGTTTGGTTTTTTGTTCTTGTGATAGTTTACTGAGAAAGATGATTTCCAATTTCATCCATGTCCCTACAAAGGACATGAACTCATCATTTTTTATGGCTGCATAGTATTCCATGGTGTATATGTGCCACATTTTCTTAATCCAATCTATCATTGTTGGACATTTGGGTTGGTTCCAAGTCTTTGCTATTGTGAATAGTGCCGCAATAAACATACGTGTGCATGTGTCTTTATAGCAGCATGATTTATAGTCCTTTGGGTATATACCCAGTAATGGGATGGCTGGGTCAAATGGTATTTCTAGTTCTAGATCCCTGAGGAATGGCCACACTGACTTCCACAATGGTTGAACTAGTTTCCAGTCCCACCAACAGTGTAAAAGTGTTCCTATTTCTCCACATCCTCTCCAGCACCTGTTGTTTCCTGACTTTTTAATGATTGCCATTCTAACTGGTGTGAGATGGTATCTCATTGTGGTTTTGATTTGCATTTCTCTGATGGCCAGTGATGATGAGCATTTTTTCATGTGTTTTTTGGCTGCATAAATGTCTTCTTTTGAGAAGTGTCTGTTCATTTCCTTCACCCACTTTTTGATGGGGTTCTTTGTTTTTTTCTTGTAAATTTGTTGGAGTTCATTGTAGATTCTGGATATTAGCCCTTTGTCAGATGAGTAGGTTGTGAAAATTTTCTCCCATTTTGTAGGTTGCCTGTTCACTCTGATGGTAGTTTCTTTTGCCGTGCAGAAGCTCTTTAGTTTAATTAGATCCCATTTGTCAATTTTGGCTTTTGTTGCCATTGCTTTTGGTGTTTTGGACATGAAGTCCTTGCCCATGCCTATGTCCTGAATGGTAATGCCTAGGTTTTCTTCTAGGGTTTTTATGGTTTTAGGTCTAAAATTGAAGTCTTTAATCCATCTTGAATTGATTTTTGTATAAGGTGTAAGGAAGGGATCCAGTTTCAGCTTTCTACATATGGCTAGCCAGTTTTCCCAGCACCATTTATTAAATAGGGAATCCTTTCCCCATTGCTTGTTTTTCTCAGGTTTGTCAAAGATCAGATAGTTGCAGATATGCGGCGTTATTTCTGAGGGCTCTGTTCTGTTCCATTGATCTATATCTCTGTTTTGGTACCAGTACCATGCTGTTTTGGTTACTGTAGCCTTGTAGTAAAGTTTGAAGTCAGGTAGTGTGATGCCTCCAGCTTTGTTCTTTTGGCTTAGGATTGACTTGGCAATGCGGGCTCTTTTTTGGTTCCCTATGAACTTTAAAGTAGTTTTTTCCAATTCTGTGAAGAAAGTCATTGGTAGCTTGATGGGGATGGCATTGAATCTCAAAATTACCTTGGGCAGTATGGCCATTTTCACGATATTGATTCTTCCTACCCATGAGCATGGAATGTTCTTCCATTTGTTTGTATCCTCTTTTATTTCATTGAGCAGTGGTTTGTAGTTCTCCTTGAAGAGGTCCTTCACATCCCTTGTAAGTTGGATTCCTAGGTATTTTATTCTCTTTGAAGCAATAGTGAATGGAAGTTCACTCATGATTTGGCTCTCTGTTTGTCTGTTATTGGTGTATAAGAATGCTTGTGATTTTTGTACATTGATTTTGTATCCTGAGACTTTGCTGAAGTTGCTTATCAGCTTAAGGAGATTTTGGGCTGAGACAATGGGGTTTTCTAGATATACAATCATGTCATCTGCAAACAGGGACAATTTGACTTCCTCTTTTCCTAATTGAATACCCTTTATTTCCTTCTCCTGACTAATTGCCCTGGCCAGAACTTCCAACACTATGTTGAATAGGAGTGGTGAGAGAGGGCATCCCTGCCTTGTGCCAGTTTTCAAAGGGAATGCTTCCAGTTTTTGCCAATTCAGTATGATATTGGCTATGGGTTTGTCATAGATAGCTCTTATTATTTTGAGATACGTCCCATCAATACCTAATTTATTGAGAGTTTTTAGCATGAAGCGTTGTTGAATTTTGTCAAAGGCATTTTCTGCATCTATTGAGATAATCACGTGGTTTTTGTCTTTGGTTCTGTTTATATGCTGGATTACATTTATTGATTTCCGTATATTGAACCAGACTTGCATCCCAGGGATGAAGCCCACTTGATCATGGTGGATAAGCTTTTTGATGTGCTGCTGGATTTGGTTTGCCAGTATTTTATTGAGGATTTTTGCATCAATGTTCATCAAGGATATTGGTCTAAAATTCTCTGTTTTGGTTGTGTCTCTGGCCAGCTTTGGTATCAGGATGATGCTGGCCTCATAAAATGAGTTAGGGAGGATTCCCTCTTTTTCTATTGATTGGAATAGTTTCAGAAGAAATGGTACCAGTTCCTCCTTGTACCTCTGGTAGAATTCGGCTGTGAATCCTTCTGGTCCTGGACTCTTTATGGTCGGTAAGCTATTGATTATTACCACAATTGCAGCTCCTGTTATTAGTCTATTCAGAGATTCAACTTCTTCCTGGTTTAGTCTTGGGAGAGTGTATGTGTCGAGGAATTTATCAATTTCTGCTAGATTTTCTAGTTTATTTCCGTAGAGGTGTTTGTAGTATTCTCTGATGGTAGTTTGTATTTCTGTGGGATCGGTGGTCATATCCCCTTAATCATTTTTTATTGCGTCTATTTGATTCTTCTCTCTTTTCTTCTTTATTAGTCTTGCTAGTGGTCTATCAATTTTGTTGATCTTTTCAAAAAACCAGCTCCTGGATTCATTAATTTTTTGAAGGGCTTTTTGTGTCTCTATTTCCTTCAGTTCTGCTCTGATTTTAGTTATTTCTTGCCTTCTGCTAGCTTTTGAATGTGTTTGCTCTTGCTTTTCTAGTTCTTTTAATTGTGATGTTAGGGGGTCAATTTTGGACCTTTCCTGCTTTCTCTTGTGGGCATTTAATGCTATAAATTTCCCTCTACACACTGCTTTGAATGTGTCCCAGACATTCTGGTATGTTGTGTCTTTGTTCTCGTTGGTTTCAAAGAACATCTTTATGTCTGCCTTTATTTCGTTATGTACCCAGTAGTCATTCAGGAGCAGGTTGTTCAGTTTCCATGTAGTTGAGCGGTTTTGAGTGAGCTTCTTAATCCTGAGTTCTAGTGTGATTGCACTGTGGTCTGAAAGACAGTTGGTTATAATTTCTGTTCTTTTACATTTGCTGAGGAGAGCTCTACTTCCAACTATGTGGTCAATTTTGGAATAGGTGTGGTGTGGTGCTGAAAAAAATGTATATTCTGTTGATTTGGGGTGGAGAGTTCTGTAGATGTCTATTAGGTCTGCTTGGTACAGAGCTGAGTTCAATTCCTGGGTATCCTTGTTGACTTTCTGTCTCGTTGATCTGTCTAATGTTGACAGTGGGGTGTTAAAGTCTCCCATTATTAATGTGTGGGAGTCTAAGTCTCTTTGTAGGTCACTCAGGACTGGCTTTATGAATCTGGGTGCTCCTGTATTGGGTGCATATATATTTAGGATAGTTAGCTCTTCTTGTTGAATTGATCCCTTTACCATTATGTAATGGCCTTCTTTGTCTCTTTTGATCTTTGTTGGTTTAAAGTCTGTTTTATCCGAGGCTAGGATTGCAACCCCTGCCTTTTTTTGTTTTCCATTTGCTTGGTAGATCTTCCTCCATCCTTTTATTTTGAGCCTATGTGTGTCTCTGCACGTGAGATGGGTTTCCTGAATACAGCACACTGATGGGTCTTGATTCTTCATCCAATTTGCCAGTCTGTGTCTTTTAATTGCAGCATTTATTCCATTTACGTTTAAAGTTAATATTGTTATGTGTGAGTTTGATCCTGTCATTATGATGTTAGATGGTTATTTTGCTCATTAGTTGATGCAGTTCCTTCCTAGTCTCGATGGTCTTTACATTTTGGCATGATTTTGCAGTGGCTGGTACCGGTTGTTCCTTTCCATGTTTAGCGCTTCCTTCTGGAGGTCTTTTAGGGCAGGCCTGGTGGTGACAAAATCTCTCAGCATTTGCTTGTCTGTAAAGTATTTTATTTCTCCTTCACTTATGAAGCTTAGTTTGGCTGGATGTGAAATTCTGGGTTGAAAATGCTTTTCTTTAAGAATGTTGAATATTGGCCCCCACTCTCTTCTGGCTTGTAGAGTTTCTGCTGAGAGTTCAGCTGTTAATCTGATGGGCTTCCGTTTGTGGGTAACCTGACCTTTCTCTCTGGCTGCCCTTAACATTTTCTCCTTCATTTCAACTTTGGTGAATCTGACAATTATGTGTCTTGGAGTTGCTCTTCTTGAGGAGTATCTTTGTGGTGTTCTCTGTGTTTCCTGAATGTGAATGTTGGCCTGCCTTGCTAGATTGGGGAAGTTCTCCTGGATAATATCCTGCAGAGTGTTTTCCAGTTTGACTCCATTCTCCCTGTCACTTTCAGATACACCAATCAGACGTAGATTTGGTCTTTTCACATAGTCCCATATTTCTTGGAGGCTTTGCTCGTTTCTTTTTATTCTTTTTTCTCTAAACTTCCCTTCTCGCTTCATTTCATTCATTTCATCTTCCATTGCTGATACCCTTTCTTCCAGTTGATCGCATCGGCTCCTGAGGCTTCTGCATTCTTCACATAGTTCTCGAGCCTTGGTTTTCAGCTCCATCAGCTCCTTTAAGCACTTCTCTGTATTGGTTATTCTAGTTATACATTCTTCTAAATTTGTTTCAAAGTTTTCAACTTCTTTGCCTTTGGTTTGAATGTCCTCCCATAGCTCGGAGTAATTTGATCGTCTGAAGCCTTCTTCTCTCAGCTTGTCAAAGTCATTCTCCATCCAGCTTTTTTCCATTGCTGGTGAGGAACTGCGTTCCTTTGGAGGAGGAGAGGTGCTCTGCTTTTTAGAGTTTCCAGTTTTTCTGCTCTGTTTTTTCCCCATCTTTGTGGATTCATCTACTTTTGGTCTTTGATGATGGTGATGTACACATGGGTTTTTGGTGTGGATGTCCTTTCTGTTTTTTAGTTTTCCTTCTAACAGACAGGACCCTCAGCTGCAGGTCTGTTGGAGTACCCGGCCGTGTGACGTGTCAGTCTGCCCCTGCTGGGGGTTGCCTCCCAGTTAGGCTGCTCGGGGGTCAGGGGTCAGGGACCCACTTGAGGAGGCAGTCTGCCCGTTCTCAGATCTCCAGCTGCATGCTGGGAGAACCACTGCTCTCTTTGAAGCTGTCAGACGGGGACATTTAAGTCTGCAGAGGTTACTGCTGTCTTTTGTTTGTCTGTGCCCTGCCCCCAGAGGTGGAGCCTACAGAGGCAGGCAGGCCTCCTTGAGCTGTGGTGGGCTCCACCCAGTTGGAGCTTCCTGGCTGCTTTGTTTACCTAAGCAAGCCTGGGCAATGGCGGGCACCCCTCCCCCAGCCTCACTGCCACCTTGCAGTTTGATCTCAGACTGCTGTGCTAGCAATCAGCGAGACTCCGTGGGCGTAGGACCCTCTGAGCCAGGTGCGGGATATAATCTACTGGTGTGCCATTTTTTAAGCCCTTCGGAAAAGCGCAGTATTCGGGTGGGAGTGACCCGATTTTCCAGGTGCCGTCTGTCACCCCTTTCTTTGACTAGGAAAGGGAACTCCCTGACCCTTTGCGCTTCCCGAGTGAGGCAATGCCTCGCCCTGCTTTGGCTCATGCACGGTGCACGCACCCACTGGCCTGCGCCCACTGTCTGGCACTCCCTAGTGAGACTAACCCAGTACCTCAGATGGAAATGCAGAAATCACCCGTCTTCTGCATCGCTCATGCTGGGAGCTGTAGACCGGAGCTGTTCCTATTTGGCCATGTTATGATGTTCGGTCATTGATTTTTCTAATCATTCACCCTAAAAACCCTGCAGTGTGAGACAATGGGAGTCCCCACCCTTACAACACTGAAGGCTGATTACAATTTTTCAGCAAATGAGATAGAGGGAATATTAGAGGAGGACACTGTCCACTCAGAAGAGGGAAATGAAGACCATCACCTCCCTATGAGTTTAGGATAGCAAAGGGGTTAGCCTGATGGAGTGGCCCCTTAGTGGATCACTAAGCAACAGATACCCTCAAGTTTCATAGTCGCTTAGTTTCCCAGAAGATAGACGGAGCTTTGTCTGTCCAAATGCTCATGTCCATACAAAACAATTCAACCACTGAATGAGTTGGAAGGGCTGGCCCTTTCCAATTGAGATATCCAGAATCATTTCCTCAGGTAATTCTTTTATTATATCACATTTTATTTTATTTTATTGTTTTAAGAACACTTGAAGTAAGGTCTGTCCTCTTAAATTTTTAAGTATATTATGCATTATTGTTGACAATTTGTACAATTTTATACAGCAGGTATCCAGAGCTTATTGACCTTGCTTAACTAAAACTTTATGCCTTTTGGTTAGTAATTCCTCATTTTCCCTCCCACAGCCCATGGTAACCATTCCTCTAGCCTTGGATTCTATGAATGTGACAATTTCAGATACTGCATAAAAGTGGAATCGTGGCATTTGCCATTCTGTGACTGCCTTATTTCACTTAGCAAAATGTTCTGAAGGTTCATCCATGTTGTCCCATATTGCAGAATTTCCCTCTTTTATAGGCTGAATAGTATTCCTTAATATATATATGCCACCAAACGTTCTTTATTCATTCAGCAATGGATATTTAGGTTGTTTTTACATAATGGCTATTGTGAATACTGCTGCAATGAACACGGGAATACAGTACTAATATCTCTTTGAGATCCGGATTTCAATTCTTTTTTGGGTAAATACCTAGAAGTAGAATTACTGCATTATATGATAGTTCTGTTTTTAATTTTTTGAGGACTCTCCAAATCTCCAGACTGTTTTCCGTAGCAGTTGACCATTTTGCATTCCCACAGTGTGCAATGGTTCCAAAATCACTGCATCACAACACATGTTGTGTTTTGTTTTTTTTTTGATAGATGTGAGGTGATAGCTTATAGTTTTGATTTGCATTTCTCTGGTGGCTAGTGACATAGAACATTTTGTCATGTACCTGATGACCATTTGTATGTCTTCTTTGAAGAAATGTCTATTAGATAGTTTAACCCTTTTTTCTTAGGATTATTAGTTTATTGCTATTGAATTGTAGGAGTTCCTCATATATTTTAGCTTTAACTCCTTATCAGATAAATAGTTTGCAATATTTTCTCTCATTCTATAGATTGCCATTTTGGTCTCTTGATTCTTTTGCTGTGCATAAACTCTTTAGTTTGCTGTAATCCCATTTATTTATTTTTTGCTTTTATTGTCTGTGCTTTGGTGTCATATTTAAGAATCATTGCCAAACCAATATGATGAAGCTTTTCTCCTATGTTTTCTTCTAGGAGTTTTACAGTTTCACTTTTGAGTCTTCAATTCATTTTGAGTTGATTTTTGGGTACAGTGTAAGATAAGGATCACACTTCATCCTTTTACATGAGAATATCCAGTACTATCACCACCATTTATTGAAGGAACTATCATTTGTTTTTCCTTGGCATACTTGTCAAAGATGAGTTGACTGTTTATGTGTAAATTTATTTCTGAGATTTCTATTATGTTCCATTGGTCTATATGTCTGTGTTTATATCAGTACTATAGTTTAAAAATTTTTATAATTTGTTTTATTTTAAATGTTTTGATACATTATATTTGTACCTATTTATGGAGTACATGGGAAATTTTGTAACATGCATAAAATATGTAATGATCCAGTCAGTGTATTTAGGATATTTATCACCCAATTATTTATCATTTCTGTGTATTGGGTATATGTCAGGTCTTCTAGCTATTTTGAAAAATACAACACATTGTTGTTAAGTATGGTCACCCTGCTCTGCTATCAAATATCCAACTGTATGTTGTACACTATAACCAACCTCTCTTCACTCTCCTCCTCTCCCCCAACACCATGCTCACAGCCCCATACACCATTCCCAGTCTCTGGTATCTATTATTCTACTCTCTACCTCCGTGTTTTCTATTTTTCTTAGCTCCCACATGTAAGTGAGAACATGCATTATTTGTCTTTCTGTGCCTGGCTTATTTCACTTAACATGATGACCTCCAGTTCCATCCATGTTGCTGCGAATGACATGATTTCATTCCATTGTGTATATATACCACATTTTAAAAATCCAGTTATCCGTTGGTAAGTACTTAGGTTGATTCCATATCTTGGTTATTACGAATAGTACTGAAATAAACATGCGGTACATGTATCCCTTTAATATATTGATTTCTTTTTTTCTGGATAAATACCTAGTAGGTGGGAGTGCAGGATCACATGGTAGATCTATTTTCAGTTTTTTGAGAAATCTCCCTACTGATTTCCATAATAGCTATACCTATTCTTTTTTTTTTTTTTTTTTTTTTTTGATACAGAGTCACACTCTGTCACCCAGGCTGGAGTGCAGTGGTGCAATCTCGGCTCACTGCAAGCTCTGCCTCCTGACTTCTCGCCATTCTCCTGCCTCAGCCTCCCGAGTAGCTGGGACTACAGGTGCCCACCACCATGCCTGGCTAATTTTTGTATTTTTAGTAGAGACGGGGTTTCACTGCATTATCCAGGATGGTCTCCATCTCCTGACCTCGTGATCCACCCTCCTCGGCCTCCCAAAGTGCTGGGATTACAGGCAGGAGCCACCACACCTGGCCCAATAGCTGTAATAATTCTAATTCACATTCCCACCAACAGTGTATCAGAGTTCCTTTTTCTCCAAATCCTTATCAACATCTGTTACTTTGTCTTTTTAATTGTAGCCATTTTAACTGGAGAAAGATGATGTTTTGTAGTATTGATTTGTATTTTGCTGATGATTAGTGATGTCGAGCATTTTTTTACATACCTGGTCATTTGTATGTCTTCTGAGAGATATCTATTCAGCTCACTTGCCCATTTTTAAATGGGATTATTTGTCTTTTGACTGTTGGATTTTTTTAGTTCATTGTATAATTCTGGACATTAGTCCCCAGTCACTTGAGTGAATTATAATACTCTTTTGGTTACTGTAGCTTTGTAATATGTTTTGAAATCAGGATATGTGATGCCTTCAGCTTCGTTCTTCTTGGCAAGATTGGCTGTTAATGAACATTTGTGGTTTCATATGAATTGTTGAATTGTCAGGTTTTTTTGTATTTCTATAATAAATGATATTTTGGGACTTCAATAGGGATTGCATTGAACCTGTAAATCACTTTGGGCATTATGTATATTTTTACAATACTAAGTCTTCCAGTCAATGAATACAAGATGTCTTTCCATTTGTTTGTATTTGGTTTAATTTCTTGCATCAATGTTTTATAGGTTTCAGTATTCAAGTATTTCACTTCCTTAGTTAAATTTAAGGTGTTTTATTCCTTTTGGTGCTAGTATGAATGAAATTGTTTTCTGAATTTCCTTTTCAAACAGTTTGTTGTTAGTGTATAAAAATCTAACCAATTTTTATATGTTGATTTTGTATCCTACACCTTTACAAAATTTGTTCATTAGTTCTAACAGGTTTTTGGTGGAGTCTTGTGGGTTTTCTCTGTACAAGAACCTGTCATCTGCAGAGGCAATCTAACATAATATTTTTAGATTTGAATGTCTTTAATTTTTTTGTCTGATTGTTCTGCCTAGAACTTATAGAACTGCGTTGAATAAGAGTGGCAAGAATGGGTATCTTTGTCTTATTTCTGATCTTGGAGGAAAAGCTTTCAGTTTTTTACCACTGAATATTATATTAGCTGTGCACTTTTCGTATATGGCCTTTATTATGTTGACATAATTTTCTTTTCTTATTGGTAGTTTTTATCATGACAGATTGTAGAATTTTGTAAAATGTTATCTTATTTTGCATGGAATTTGATGATCATGTAATGTTTATCCTATATTCCTTGGATGGTATATTATATTAATTGATTTGTGTATATTGAACCATCCTTGTATCCCAAGGATAAATACCAGTTGGTCATGGTACATGATCCTTTTAATGTGCTGCTGGATTAGTTTGGGAGTGTTTTATTGAGGGTTTTTATATCTATGTTTGTCAGGGTTATTGGCCTATAGTTTTCTTTTTTGTGGTCTGTTTGCCTGACTTTAGTATTAGGGCAATGCTGACCTTATAAAATTAGTTTGGAAGTGTTTCCCTTTCTTGAATTTTTGGAATAATTTGAGAAGAATTGCTTTAATTCTTTTTAAACATTTGTTAGAATTCACCAGTTAAGCCATCTAGTCCTGGGTTTACCTTTTTTGGGAGATTTGTGATTACTGATTCATTCTTCAAACTAATTACAGATCTATTCAAACTTTCTATTTCTTCATGATTTAGTCTTGGTAGATTGTATGTTTCCAGGAATTTAACCCTTTCTTCTGGGTTTTCCAACTTGTTGACCTATAATTATTCATAGCACTGTGGTTTATTATAATCAATTTTATTTCTATGGCATCAGTTTTTTTGTCTCCTTTTTTATTTTGTTTTTTTTTAGCATTATTTCTTTTCTCTTAATTTTTCTAGCTAAGGGTCTATGAATTTTGTTTATTTTTTCAAAACCAGTTTTTACTTTTGTCAGTGTTTTTCTAGTTTTATGTTTTTATTCATTTATTTCTGCTCTAATCATTATTTACTTCATTGGCTAACTTTCAACTTGGTTTACTCTTCTTCTTTTAGCTCCTTAAGGTGGAAAGTTAGACTATTTATTTGATATCTTACTTATTTTTAATGTAGGTGTTTATTACAATAAAAACTCCCTTTTAGTAGAGCTTTTGCTGTATGCCATAGAGTTTGGTATATTGTATTTTTGCTTTCTCTTGTCTTGAGTATGTTTAATATATAATATATAATACATTATATATTATATATATAATATATTAATTTATTATATATTGAGATATATATAATATCTTTTTATTTATATTATTATATGTATAAATTCTCTTTTTATTTATACTCTTGGACCTACTGGTGGTTCAAGAGTATGTTGTTTAATTTGCATATATTTGTGAATGTTCAAGTGTCCCTTCTATTATTGATTTTTAGTTTCATTTTTTGGGGTCAATAAAAATACTTGGTGTGATTTCTATCTCCCTAAACTGTGAAGATTTGCTTTGTGAATTAATATGTTCTCTGTTCTAGAGAAAGTTCTGTATGTGCTTGAGAAAAATGTATATTCGCTGTTTGGTGGAATGTTCTGTATATGTGTGTCAGGTCCATTTGGTCTATAATATTGCTTAAGTCTTCCGTTTTCTTATGTTCTTCAATCTGGATGTTCTGTGCGTTATTGGAAGTAATTATTGGGGTATTGATGTTTCCTTCTATTATTATATAACTGCGTATTTATTTCTTTTATGTTTTTTTTATTATACTTTAAGTTCTAGGGTACATGTTCACAACGTGCAGGTTTGTTACATATGTATACATGTGCCATGTTGGTGTGCTGAACCCATTAACTTGTCATTTATATTAGGTATATCTCCTAATGCTATCCCTCCCCCCTCCCCCCACCCCACAACAGGCCCTGGTGTGTGATATTCCCCTTCCTGTGTCCAAGTGTTCTCATTGTTCAATTCCCACCTATGAGTGAGAACATGCGGTGTTTGGTTTTTTGTCCTTGCGATAGTTTACTGAGAATGATGGTTTCCAGCTTCATCCATGTCCCTACAAAGGACGTGAACTCATCATGTTTTATGGCTGCATAGTAGTCCATGGTGTATATGTGCCACATTTTCTTAATCCAGTCTATCATTGTTGGACATTTGGGTTGGTTCCAAGTCTTTGCTATTGTAAGTAGTGCTGCAATAAACATACATGTGCATGTGTCTTTATAGCAGCATGATTTATATTCCTTTGGGTATATACCCAGTAATGGAATGGCTGGGTCAAATGGTATTTCTAGTTCTAGATCCCTGAGGAATCGCCACACTGACTTCCACAATGGTTGAACTAGTTTACAGTCCCACCAACAGTGTACAAGTGTTCCTATTTCTCCACATCCTCTCCAGCATCTGTTGTTTCCTGACTTTTTAATGATCACCATTCTAACTGGTATGAGATGATATCTCATTGTGGTTTTGATTTGCATTTCTCTGATGGCCAGTGATGATGAGCATTTTTTCATGTGTCTGTTGGCTGCATAAATGTCTTCTTTTGGGAAGTGTCTGTTCATATCTTTTGCCCACTTTTTGATGGGGTTTTTTTCTTGTAAATTTGTTTCAGTTCTTTATAGATTCTGGATATTAGCCCTTTGTCAGATGAGTAGATTGCAAAAATTTTCTCCTATTCTGTAGGTTGCCTGTTCACTCTGATGGTAGTTTCTTTTGCTGTGCAGAAACTCTTTAGTTTAATTAGATCCCATTTGTCAACTTTGGCTTTTGTTGTCATTGTTTTTGGTGTTTTAGACATGAAGTCCTTGCCCATGCCTATCCTGTTTGCAGATGACATGATTGTATATCTAGAAAACCTCATTGTCTCAGCCCCATGTCTTCTTAAACTGATAAGCAACTTCAGCAAAGTCTCAGGATACAAAATCAATGTGCAAAAATCATAAGCGTTCTTATACACCAATAACAGACAAACAGAGAGCCAAATCATGAGTGAACTCCCATTCACAATTGCTTCAAAGAGAAAAAAATACCTAGGAATCCAACTTACAAGGGATGTGAAGGACCTCTTCAAGGAGAACTACAAACCACTGCTCAATGAAATAAAAGAGGATACAAACAAATGAAAGAACATTCCATGCTCATGGATAGGAAGAATCAATATCGTGAAAATGGCCATACTGCCCAACGTAATTTACAGATTCAATGCCATCCCCAAAAAAGAGCCTGCATTGCCAAGACAATCCTAAGCCAAAAGAACAAAGCTGCAGACATCACGCTACCTGACTCCTAACTGTACTACAAGGCTCCAGTAACAAAAACAGCACGGTGCTGGTACCAAAACAGAGATATGGACCAATGGAACAGAACAGAGCCCTCAGAAATAATACCACACATCTACAACTATCTGATCTTTGACAAAGCTGACAAAAACAAGAAATGGGGAAAGGATTCCCTATTTAACAAATGGTGCTGGGAAAACTGGCTAGCCATATGTAGAAAGCTGAAACTGGATCCCTTCCTTACACCTTATACAAAAATTAATTCAAGATGGATTAAAGACTTAAATGTTAGACCCAAAACCATAAAAACCCTAGAAGAAAGCCTAGGCAATACCATTCAGGACATAACTGTGTATTTCTTTCTTGAGTTCTATCAATGTTTGCTCTATGTTTAGGTGCTCTGGTGTTAAGTGCATACATATTTATAATTGCTCTATCATCCTGGCAAGTTGATTCTTTTCTCATTATGTAATGTTCCTCTTTGTCTTTTGTAATATATTTTGACTTAAAGTCTATTTTGTCTGATGTAAGTATAGCTCCTGCTTTCTCTGGGTCATAGTTTGCATGGAATATCTTTTTTTATCTCTTTACTTGCAGCCAATATGTTCCCTTAAAAGTAAAATGAGTTTCCTGTAGCCAGTGTATAGTTGAACTTTGTGCGCAGGTATGTACAACACGCTTTAATCCATTCACCACTTTATGTATGATTGGAGAGTTTAATTCATTTATATTTAAAATAATTACTGATAAGATAGGATTTACTATTGCAATTTTATTAATACTTTTCAGTTAGTCTTGTAGCTCTTTTGCTTGACTTTTTCTCTCTTTCTGTCTTCCATCATGTTTTTTATAATTATATGCTTTGATTCTTTTCTCATTTTATGTACCTCTTATAGGTATGTGTTTTTTCTGATTACCTTATGCTTACAAAAAAAATCTTAGTTATAATGATCTATTTTAAGCTAATAAGAAACTAAGTTCACTGTCATTAAAAATTTACATTTTAACTTCTCCCCTACCTTACACACTTTATGTTGGTGGTGTTGCAATGTATATCTATTCATATTCTGTATCTTTTAGCATATTTTAAAATTATAGTTACTTTAATACTGTTAACTTTTATTCTATAAAGATATACTATAAAAATTATTTACCCATAATCTTTAAAGCAACACAATATTCTGTATTTGTCTATATGTTTACCTTTACAAATGAGTTTCACACATTCTTATGTTGTCATTGTGCTAGTTAGCATCTTTTTACTTTAACTTAAAGAGCTATCTTTAGCATATTTTGTCAGGCAGGTGTACCTCAGCATTTGTTTGTCTGGGAAGTTTTCACCTCTCCATTTTTGAAGGAAACTTTGCTGAGTACAGCAAAAATGGCATCTTTTGGCATCTTTTCTTCAGCACTTACAATACATTATCCCACATTTTTTTGCCCTGCAAGGTTTCTGTTGAAAAATCCACTTACAGTTTATAGATTCCCTTATATATGACAAGTCACTTTTCTCTTGCTGTCATAATTCTCTTTTTGTCTTTGACTTTTGATAATTTGATTATAATGTATCTTGTATATTTCTTTGGGTTAATCTTATCTGGAGCCTCTTGGGGTTCTTGGATCTGAATATCTATTTTCTTTGCCAAGTTTGGAAAGTTCCAGCCATTCCTTTATTTTATTTTATTATTATTATTTTTTTTTTGCATGAGCTTTCTGGTCCTTTCTCTATCTTATTCTTCTTCATAAACTTCATAATGTGTATTTTGGTCTGCCTGATATTGTCCTCTAAGTCCCTTAAGCTTTCTTCACTTTTAAAAATTCTTTTCTTTTTGCTCCTTTGGCCGAATTATTTTCAAGGACTTGTTCTTATGCTTACAATTATTTATTTTGCTCGATCTACACTGCTGTTGAAGAGTGGACTTTTCAATACAGTTATTGTGCTCTACCGTTCCATGATATTCATTTGGTACTTTTAAATATTTTCTAGCTCTTTGTTGAAATTATGACTTTGTTCATGCATTGTTCTCTCGACCTCTGTGAGCATTTTTATGGCAGCTATTTTGAATTCTGTCAAGTAAATCACATAATTCCATTTCATTTGGGTCAGTTTCTGGAGATTTATCTTGTTCTTTTGTTTAAACCATCTTAGCCTGATTTTTCATTTTTGTGAAATAGAAAATTTTCAGCTCTGATGTCTACACATTAGACAATGCAGGTATCTCTCCCAGTCTTCACATACTCTTCTCTTACAAGAGAAAGGCCCCACCCATTAGCCTGGCCAGAGATTCTGGGGGCCTCTATCAACTCTTTCTCTCCCTAAGGGGATTAAGCTTTTATCTACTCACTCTGTGTTGAACTGCAGGGTAGAGTGCTGGACTGTCTACCAGTCCAAACTTTCATCTACATTCTCCCCTTGGTTGCTATACTGTATCAGACTCATCAGAGATCCCAGACTGGCAAGACAGATGCCACTTCTTTGGGCAGCCCCAGAGAAATTGGGGTGCTGAATGAACGTATCAATTTCCCTTCCCAGAAAGTAGCTACGAACTTAGATTTTTTGGTTTACTCCCTCTTTGCCAGGCAAGAGAAGAAACTATGGCCTCTATCAGCCCCAGCCACTATCTTAATTCTCCTTCAGGCATATGCTGTGCTGGTCCCATTGGGATTTTTATGGGGGTCAGTGATATAGGCAGATTATGCCCATAGAACTCACTTCGGCTATTCAGACTTTAGCACATATATATATATACACCATAGAGCAAAAACAGGCATTTGTCATAAAATATATTATTAAGACTAAATTATCTGGTCAAACTTATAGAGTATAGCTTTAAGGCCTCAGAAACACAAAATCATTTTATCATGAAGAATATCCCCAGGACTCAGAAGTTTCTCCCAGGAGCTCTGGTTCCCAGTGACAAGGGCCAAAGTAAAAAATAGAATTTACAAAGTTTGAGCAACACAGGCCTTTGGAGTAAAACTTTCCTGCCCCTAAGGAAATATTTAGTGTTCTGAGAGATAAGAAGAAAGTGCATATAAGTTGTTTTGCATTGGAACTTTGGCAAGATAACTATCTGGGCTGCTTTGAATTCAGTATACCCATTCCTGACAAGTGGCCCTTTTAGATACTGTGTCATGATGTGGGACTGGCTATAGAGGACTGGATATATCAAGTAGGAAGCTATAGCCATTCCAGGATCTGCTAAGAAATTATTATGCTCTTGGGGCTTCCCAGACTTCTGGTAAATATCATTGAATTCTATCATCAATATCTGCCAAATAAACTATTAACGATGGATCTAAGGCCAGAAGCTGAGTGGTGCTCACAGCTTTTCCTTCTCCCGTCTTTGGAGGAGACTCAGGACCATGTCATTTCTCAGGCTCTATGCTGCAGCTGTGGATGGCAGATTTGTTGCCCTTTCTAGACTGGACATTGTACCTCTCTATGGGCTGCTCCTACCAAAGGACCTCCCAGCTTGTTTAGGGAAAATATGACTTGCTTCCTGGGGTGGGTCACCCACTGATTCCTTACCATCCTTTGCATTTTCTACACTGATTTCAGTAACTGGCCTCATCACTCTTATGGGTTTACATGATATAGATATCTGATACAGTTGGGCATGACATTTGCAGTTCACCATTTAGGATCAGGAGGGTGAATTGAAAGAATCCAGCACTACCTCTACAGGTGGCTTCACCAGAAAAATAAGTGGTTCTTTTTCAATTTCAATGGAAAGAGGCTATGGTCTAATGTTTAAAGAAATCGAACCTGGTTAACTATAAGGCCATGCAGAGTGAGGGTGCTGCTTTGCCAGTCATGAGTGCTTATTTAGTTAATCTTGCTGCTGGCTTGCTCAGTTACTAAAGGACCCCCGGCCCAAGCTATGAATGCTGAGCTGGCAGGCGGGAATCAGAGCCAAATTATTCACACTTAGTTTTGCTATTGAATCCTGGGTCCCAATATTAACAGGGGAGAATCTGCTTCCCTAATCATGCAGTTTAAAAATTTCCACAATCTAAGTAGATTCTGTCCTAGAGTCTCATGTCCAGCCCTGTCAGATTTCTGTGTGTTATTCCAGAAAGTATAAGCAATAGGATTCACATTCTTGTTATTGATCTTGCCTGCATAAGTTTCCCCCAATGAATTCTGCTGTAGATCAACTGAGTGGATTTTAGATGGCCAATGTAAACGACCAAATGACCTTTTATCTCAGCCAATTGTTTTCTTTATATCTTGACTATGTGCATGACAAAATTCCCAGGTATGGTTCTGGAAGGTAGTGGGCAAATGCTATTTATTTTCTTAAGGCACAACTTATTAGTTTAAGTCTGGGCTATAGGTGGTGGCAAAACAAGTTCTTTATTCTTAAACAAACTACTGTTTTCTCCTTTTCCTATGCTAGAAGCAAGTTTAAATCCTTTAAGTTATTTTGTATGTCTGGAAAAGTGGTTAATCATACTTGCTTACTGGAGATTTGGAACTATTAATTAGTTTTTACACCATATTAGCAAAATATTTATTTAAAAGGTAAATACCCTAGTGAAGAGGAAAGTACTAAGCATGCCCCTCATAAAAATAAATGCTTCTTGCTTTACTCTTTCAGGCATTTTGCATACATACCAACCAAGCATCTATTTCACTCTTCATTCTTATCTTCAAAAGCAGAGAATCTAAAAACTGAATTCGAAGGCCAAATTAGGAGATACCATGAATTGATAGTCAATATTCTAGGCGATTAAAACTATCAGAACTTACCTATGGTACATAGGGCTTTGCTATGTGATTTATGTGCTGTGTTCCTTTGATATGTACTATTGAGAAAACACCATAAAATATTATAATCAGCAGCCAGTTGCATTTGGGAGCCCAACTATTTACATACCTAGGGTATGTTACTTTCTAAGAAAAAAGGGGAAAGAGAGTTTCAGGTCTCCTCTGACAAACAAGAACAAGTTAGAAATCCCATGGTTTAGGGGATGAGAGTGTATGAATAGATTTTATACAGCTCCATTTTTTGAGTTATATATCCATTGAAAGAGAACTTGCTCTGTAAAATCCCTGTAAGCAATGAACTGTTTATTTTAGAATGAGACTCTAGGGAATAATCTCATAAGAAACACATCTTGCTTTTGTAGAAAACCCAAGAGGATAGTATTCATTAAGCATTATCCCAGCATGGGCAAAAAAAAATGACAACCAATGCAAATATATCAAATAATTGAAAAGGAAATGCTTGATTGCTGGGTAATTTTTTTCTCCTCTGCCTCATGCTCTTTCCCAAATGTATAAATACATCATTCTATGGTATAAACAGATTGATAGTCCTTTCTCTCTCCCTCCTCCTTTTTCCTACACCACTTTTCTCTGATTCCCACCCTACTATCTAAACAAGCAAACCAAAGACAAAAGTCACTACAGATCCTGAAGCTATTTTAAGTTACAAGGCAGGCCTTTTATGTCACACAGTCTCTATCGCATGCTTTGTGAATAATAATTCTTGTTATAGGTTTAACTTGTAATGTTTAACTATGGTATAGGGGCACATCGAGATCAGTTGCAAGGTGTCAGATATTCAAGTGTTTGAATGTTTGACTGTCTTATAAATTACAGTAGATTCAAAGTTATCCCTATAATAATGTCATATTCACTGACTTGTGTTTGCTTTTCAGAGTGAGAGAGAAAGGGTTGGAATTACAACTAGATAAGAGCATTGAGCTAAACTCCAAGCCTATGCAGCAACAAGCAGGGTATCACATATGTGACCTTTATCCATTGGATGTATTAAGGCACTGAGACCATTGTCCTGAATATCCATCCCTTTGCTTTAATGACAATATAGGCATATATTCCTTATTTCTTCTTTTTATATTTTGGGGACCCTCTGAAGATAGCAGAGACAAGCAGCTCCTTCTGTGTGTGTGTTTGTGTGTGTGTGTGTGCGTACGTGTGTGTGTATGTGTGTGTGTGTATAATTCTACTTACCAACCTATGAAGTAGCACAAGAAACATGTATTAGCTCATTTTCATGCTGCTGATAAAGACATAGCCGAAACTGGGAACAAAAAGAGGTTTAATTGGACTTACAGTTCCACATGGCTGGGGAGGCCTCAGACTAATGGCAGGAGGCAAAAGGCAGCACTCCTTACATGGCAGTGGCAAGAGAAAAATGAGGAAGAATCAAAAGTGGAAATCCCTGTTAAACCCATAAGATCTCTAGAGACTTATTCACTATCACGAGAATAGCATGGGAAAGACCGGACCCCATGATTCAATTTCCTCCCCCTGAGTCCCTCCCCCAACACGTGGGAATTCTGGGAAATACAATTCATTGAGATTTCAGTGGGGACACAGCCAAACCATATCATTTCACCCCGGCCTCTCCAAATCCCATGTCCTCACATTTCAAAACCAATCATACCTTCCCAACAGTTGCCCAAAGTCTTCACTCATTTCAGCATTAACCCAATAGTCCACAGTCCAAAGTCTCATCTGAGACAAAGCAAGTCCCTTCCACCTGTGAGTCTGTAAAATCAAAAGCAAGCTAGTTACTTCCTAGATACAATGGAAGTACAGATATTTGGTAAGTACAGGTGTTATAAATGGGAGAAATTGGCCAAAACAAAGGGAATATAGGGCCCATGCAAGTCTGAAAACCAGTGGGGTAGTCAAATTTTAAAGCTCCAAAATGATCTCCTTTGACTCCAGGTCTCACATCCAGGTCATACTGATGCAAAAGGTGTGTTCCCATGGTCTTGGGCAGCTCTTCCCCTGTGGCTTTGCAGGGTACAGTCTCCCTCCTGGCTGCTTTCATGGGCTGGCATTGAGTGTCTGAGGCTTTTCCAGGTACACAGTGCAAGTTGTCAGTGGATCTACCATTCTGAGGCCTGGAGGAAGATGGCCCTCTTCTCACAACTCCACTAGACAGTACCCATGTAGAAACTCTGTGTGGGGGCTCCAACCCCACATTTCTCTTCTGCACTGCCCTAGTAGATGTTCTCCATGAGGGTCCCACCCCTGCAGCAAACTTTTTTCTGGGCATCCACACATTTCCATACGTGTGCAATCTAGGCAGAAGTTCCCAAACCTCAAGTCTTGACTTCTGTGTGCCTGCAGGCTCAACACCACATGGAAGCTGCCAAGGCTTGGGGCTTCCACCCTCTGAAGCCACAGCCCAAGCTCCATATTGGCCCCTTTCAGCCACAGCTTGAGCAGCTGAGACACAGGGCACCAAGTCCCTAGGCTGCACACACCATGGGGACCCTGGGCCCAGCCCACAAAACCACTTTTTCCTCCTGGGCCTCTGGGCCTGTGATGGGAGGGTCTGCTGTGAAGGTCTCTCACATGGTCTGGAGATATTTTCCCCATGGTCTTGGGAATTAATATTAGGCTCCTTACTACTTCTGTAAATCTCTGCAGCTGGCTTGAATTTCACCTCAGAAAATGGGTTTTTCTTTTCTACTGCATTGTCAGGCTGCAAATTTTCTGAACTGTTTCCCTTTTAAAATGGAATGCTTTTAACAGCACCCAAGTGAGCTCTTGTATGCTCTGCTGCTTAGAAATTTCTTCCTCCAGATATCCTAAATCATCTCTCTCAAGTTCAATATTCCACAGATCTCTGGGGCAGGGGCAAAATGCCACTAGTCTGTTTGCTAAAACATATCAAGAGTCACCTTTGCTCCAGTTCCCAACAAGTTCCTCATCTCCATCTGAGACCACCTCAGCCTGGACCTTATTGTTCATATCACTATCAACATTTTTGTCAAAGCCATTCATCAAGTCTCTAGGAGGTTCCAAACTTTCCCACATTTTCCTGTCTTCTGAGCCCTCCAAACTGTTCCAACCTCTGCCTGTTATCCAGTTCCAAAGTCGCTTCCACATTTTCAGGTATCTTTTCAGCAAAGCCCCACTCTCCTTGTACCAATTCACTGTATTAGTTCATTTTCATGCGGCTGATAGAGACATACCCGAACCTGGGAACAAAAAGATGTTTAATTGGATTTACAGTTCCACATGGCTGGGGAGGCCTCAGAATCATGACAGTTGGTGAAAGGCACTTCTTACATGGCAGCAGCAAGAGAAAAATGAGGAACAAGCAAAAGTGGAAACCCCTGATAAACCCATCAGGTCTCGTGAGACTTATTCACTGTCACGAGAATAGCATAGCAAAGGCCGGCCCCCATTATTCAGTTACCTCCCTCTGGGTCCCTCCCACTACACATGGGAATTCTGAGAGATACAATTCAAGTTGAGATTTGGGCAGGGAAACAGCCAAACCATATCAAAAGGCTTGGGCAATAACCATAGAAAGAGAAGATTAGGGCTTCAAGCAAATTTAGGAAGAAGATAATGAATTCTGAAAAATATTTTTGGCAGAATTTAAATGGTAAGAGGTGCTTCTTACACAGATACAATGCTGTGTAAAATAATGAAAATAGCACGCTGGTGATTGGTAGCTCTCAGTAGATAAACACATATTGCCTTCCACTGAAGAGCATAGGCCTTCTTCACTTTCAGAGTAATTATAGGAAAGTTCAGAGGGAGTATGGAGATGCTGAAATAAAGATACCCAATACCCAACATGATGTCATTATACTGGTGGCTCAGAAAGATGGCCAGGTTGAGAAATGGTGATAGCCTTATTATATGTCCACTGAAGGCATCATATTGCATTACAGAAGTATATTTTGGATGGAATTATTTTTACTATGAATAGTGGGGTGGTCGAATCATTTTTCCAGGCAATTTGAGAACCCACATCTTTTAAGTAAATAAACTGCAAGACCTTGATATTTCTATTCCTCTGGCATCTTGCAAGGATTTAACCACTGCAGAAGTAGATGTGGTATTCAAAGAGTCATAAGAGTTACAAATGGAAAAAAAAAATTCAAGCAAGTCATCAACATAATTTACTTGGATCTTATAGGAGAACCTATAGGCACATCCTTTTTATTAAATTCTGTAATTGAGGTATTTCCTGTGGTGTGTGTGATCTCCTACACACATTCCATTTTCTATGAAAAGAGTCAGAAGGAAGGGACAGTACTATGCCTTGTCCTTCTCAAATTTACCCTACTGAATTGCCATAACAGGATTTTGGTCTATAAACTGACCATGAAGTATGACACATTTGACTGAGGTCAAAAAATTTTAATATTTAATGTTCATGTCTGTGTAACTTTATAGCAGAAGGACTGAATCCAAATTAATTGGAAGTTTGTTATTATGAGCTAGGGAGTACATTTTCTGTAAATCAATACTACGGAAAATTGAAAACAACTCTGACAGCTTCCATGGTTAGAACTCTCTGCTGGTCTTCTCTGTCTCCCCTTTCCCCCACTTCTCTTTTTTGTTGAGGTTTCCTATCCAAATTTAGAGATATTTTCTTTACTTATGATACTCACTCATATTACATTTTCTGGAACTGCTCTTTTTAGAAGCTGGGGGGTTCCAGAACATCCTTAAAATTTAAAGTGAAGGAGAAGCAAATGAAAGATAATTGTCCTTTAAGAGATTACCCTTGAAATAAACATATAAAGATGAGAAGCATTGTAACAGTATAGAGACAACAGGTTCCAGGCCTGTAAGATTTTCCTGTACTCTGAATAAAGGTGTTAATGTATACTACTGAAGGGATGTAATAGATGGCAAGGGGATTGATCAGTCATGGACTCATGGGATGAACCAAGCACTAACTCTAGCCACTATTGCCTTGAGCACAAACATGTTTCTCAAGAACACAACATCTGTCTGGTTCAGGTGACAGTAATGACTCTAGGGTGGAGAAAACATATACATACATTTTTCTTGTATTGTTCAAAGGTTTAATTGCTTTGGGGTAATACACTTCACCTATTCTGATCTCATACTTACCAGGCAATCTTCCAATTATAATTTAACTTTCCATAAAGCTTACTTATGAAAAGGTAACATACTGACTTTAGAATGTTACCTGCCCAGTGTTTCTCACAGTTATAGATTAAAGCTTTCATGTTAAATTTAAAAACTGACACCAAGGTTGCAACTAGACCTTCTTTAGTATTGCCTACAGGGGCAATCAGTACAAGTTAGAAAGAGGACCCTAGTGTCTTTCATTTCAGCAAGAAAAATCCTCCTCCTAAACAGAGAATTTTAGCATTCTGGTTTTGAATGCAGAATGCCAATGTTAATGTGAATCTGTTCCCAAGGATGAATTCAGGTCACCCATAGATAAAATCAGGTTTGTTAGCCTTTGAGGCTAAGGTATGCTGACTTCATACTGGCACATTCACTAAGCTAATGTCACTTCTTCTGTAGCTACTTCAACAAGCAACATGCTCTTCCTGGGATTGTTTATACTCTATTACTCAGAAACACTGCTTGGCACAACTTAGAAGGGATCCATTAATTTCAGTGACTCAAATATCTTTCTTGATATTGAATTTTCATACTGCATGATATTCAAACAATAATGATGCTGTGAATGGCATTTGCCCTCAAGCATTTGCTTTCCAGTGAATCCAAGATGTCATAAAAGGATTTGAAATTCCCAAGACTGAATGTAAGATGGAAATAAACATTCTATATCTAATAAACACATCTATTTCGAGGTGCAAAGCAAACATGTAGAGAAATGTAGATTATATTCTCAGTTATGTTTGAGCAAACTGAGATTCACCCATGTTAAATGACTCATCCAAGTTTTAAAGCCACTCTTTCTGATTTCAAACTTTGTGCTTCTGTATTTTTTTTCTTTAGACCTAGATGGAATAATTCAGTTGTGTGGATGGTGCTGGTGGGAAGGTGGTGGGTAAATGCAGGAGGAGAACAAAGTTAAATTTAACAGGTTAAACCTATTGGTGGTACAGTAAATATCTGTTGAGTGCATGGTGTAGTCATTGTGATCTTTGTTCAGTCCTCTATTTTTTTTTCACTTTACAGAACCTTTGAACTTGGCCAAACCTCCACAAACACAGCATTCTGGAAAACAGCTGAATTTTGCCAGCGCTATAACACCTGAACAGTAACAATCAATGAACTATGAATTTATGTACTAAGCCAGCTTCCTCCACTAATGATCATTCTTTCAAAACCACTTGTGTAATCACCCTCAAAGTCCTTAAAAAATACTTCTTTTCCTCTCTTTGGAACTTCCAGCCAAATCTGTGTCTCCCAAATTGCAATTCCTACGACCCCAATACGAACCTCATCTTACTGCTTTGCAGTCTAGTCATCTTTCACAACTTCTTGGTTGACAGTTTTTTATTTAACAAGTTGCTAGTAGTTGCCATCTTTCAAAAAGAGTGAGATTGTGTGTGTGCGTGTGTGTGTGTGTATCAAAATATAAACATTATAGCCATTATTCTAGGGTGTCATATACATAACATTAAGAAGACTAACTTCACCATTATGAAAAATTTGGATTGCAAATCAGATGGAATTGCACAGTTCAGAGAAGTTGTTATTTCTAAATTAGCACATTACTTCAGTCTTAAATTATCATGAGGCTGGTGGTTTGTTTGGGTGTTTAACTGAAAAGAGAAATGAGACAGCTTTGGTTTCATCTTTAAGAAAAGGGAAGTGAAATGAAGTGCTACATGGTGATGTGGGGTTTTTCACAGGCTGAAGAGTAGGGTTTGAAATAACTGTCCCCACAGGTCAGTGAGCAACAATTAATTGGGAAAAGGCGACTGAAAAAGCTAAATGTCACATACCTACAAGTATCCTATCTTTCACAAAGTCAACAAAAGCAGTGAGGAAAGGATTCCCTATTCAATAAATTGTGGTGGGATAGCTGGCTAGCCATATGCAGTATATTAAAACTGGACCCTTTCTTTATACCATATACAAAAATCAACTTAAGATGCATTAAAGTCTTAAATGTAAAACCAAAAACTATAAAAACCCTGGGAGATAATGTAGGAAATACCATTCTTGACACGGCCTGGCAAAGATTTCATGATGGAAACCCTAAAAACAGTTGCAACAAAAGCAAAAATTGACCAATGGGACCTAATTAAACTAAAGAGCTTCTACACAGAAAAAAATCAACAGAGTAAACAAGCAATCTACAGACTAGGAGAATATTTGCAAACAATGCATCTGACAAAGGTCTAATATCCAGAATTTATAGAGAACTTAAACAGATTTACAAACAAAAAGCAAACAACTGCATTAAAAGGTGGGCAAAGGACATAAACGGACACTTTTCAAAAGAGGACGTAACACTTAGCCAACAAGCATATGAAAAAGTGCTCAACATCAGTAATCATTAAACAGACACAAATCAAAACTACAATGAGATACCATCTCACACCAGTCAGAATAGCTATTACTCAAAAGTCAAAAAATAACAGATGATGCTGAGATTGTGGAGAAAAGGAAACCCGTATACACTGTTGGTGGGAATATAACCATTGGAAAGCAGTATGGCGATTCCTCAAAGAGCTAAAAGCAGAACTACCATTCAATCCAGCAATTCCATTACTGGGTATATACCCAGAAAAATATAAATCATCCTACTATAAAGACACATGCATGTAAATGCGCACTGCAGCACTATTCACAACAGCAAAGGCATGGAATCAACCTAAATGTTCATCGATAATAGACTGGAGAAAGTAGTATGTGATGAAGAAGAAGTAGAAACCCTTTGTTGAGGGAACACAGAAAGTCTTCCGGACATAGCATAGAATGCTTCTGAAAGGGGAAACATTTGAGTTCAGGGTTGAACAAAGAATAAAAGGTCTTCATGAATATGAAGATATGCGTGGGTAGGAATGCATTTAATGGAGAGGAGGGAAATGAAAAATAACTTTCTTTAGTTAATCTTCAGAGAAGGTATAATTAAAGATATCAGGGACAAACCATGTGTAGCACATTTAAGAAACTGCAGGAAGTTTAATGTTCCTAGAGTTCTTGCTGCATATGGAAAGATGATGGCTAGAGAGGGAAGATGGAAAGAAACAGGCATTACTCCCAGTGGAAAGGCGTTTTGGCTTGACTGTCAATGTAATAGCATGACTGAAGGTCTTTAAGTCAATCACGTCTTTATTTAGAAATTTGGTTGTGGTTATATTGTGGATGGATTAAATATAGGGAGCTAGAGAAAGTAGAAAGCTATTGAGGAATTCCAGGAGAGAAGGTGTAAAGGCAGAGGATAAAGCATCAGAAGTGGAATTTGAAAAGATTTCTAGGCAGTAGAACTAATAGGACGTGGTGAAAGATTGAATGTAAGAGGTGAGATGAAAGAGCCTAGAATTATTCTCAGCCTTCTTGCATGAATGGCACAATGGAAAAACGTGCCAGTAACTAAAATGGGAGAAAATATGAAAAGCTTGGGAAAAGTCTATGAAAGATACAAATGTATATTTTTGAGGCTGACTTAAAAATAAATGACTATATCTGTTAGTGGAGTCGTTAGTGTGTTGTTTGAATTACCATAGTTATTTGTTTATATGCACAATTTATATTATTTATATCTTGCCAGCTTTTGAAGATAGACATCTTATAAGTGGCTAACTTTCTTTTTATATTATCCACTCAAGTACACACAGTTTTGATGATGATAAAACTATATCTAGGAAAATCAGATACACCCTTAGAGCAGAAAACACCTCCCATTAAGTTTTGAATCTTCGCTTAAAAAGCTTTCAGTTTCTAAATCTTCTCCGTCTTGAAGATGAATGACTGTATTTCAACATTAATCAATTTCAAGCATAGGAGGAAAATAGATTTGTGCATTCTTTGAAGATAACATTGGGAGAGCCGTTTAAACTAGACAATTTCCACTTAGAATAGCACCACGTGTTTAAAATGCAGTCAGACGATGATCTGTTTTTTTGTTTCAGTTCATTCAAGGGTTCCAAGATGAGACTCAGCCACTAAACAGAGTGAAGCATGGACATTTATGATGATATCCTCATTTCCACCTACTGAAATGCAAAGGGACTGGGAAATGCTTTGTTAAATGAGTAATTGTCCAAAGAGTGCTGTACTCATCACCCTCACCCTTCAGGGAAGGGTGAGGTTTCTCCCAGAAAAGGACTAAGGAAATAATAGATGCAATCTTCCGGCCTTTTGGGGCTGATGGACCAGGTCTTTGGTGATTGTGTATCTGTTAACACACCTCCCTACTCAGTGACATATATGTCATCTTTCTTGACTCTTCTATTCAACTTAATCAGATCAGCCAAGGAAAGAATTGAATACTTTATGCCAAATCGCTTCTCTGGCATTTTCTGATTGGAACCCATTTTCTCAACTCCTCTGCCATCCCTTTTTCTTTCCCTAGGTCCACTCTAGTCAGGAGTGGAAAAGTCAAGAAGGGTATGGAATTTTAAATGAGCTTCCTTGCAAAGAAAGTAATTTTGCAAGAATTGGCATTTTGTCCTCATCTTTTTGTTCTTTTGTGTAATGACCTCTCTACTGAAGAGACACAGTCCTCTGGCTTTAAACCGTGAATGAGGGATGATACAGTATGTCTCTTGGCTCATTTGGCTGCCTCTGGATGACCCATTTTATTTTCTGCAAGTACCAGATCTTGCTCAGTATTCCTGACATTGAAATCTACACAACCCCTGTAAAGATCTGTAGACTCTCTTAAACTAAGTAATATGCATTAAAAAGCAAACATAACTTAAAAACATGACTGAGAGGAAGAAGGCAGAAGGAAGCTTAAAGGTTAAACCTAAATTACAAGTTTAAAGTCCTTATTTGGTTGAGTAATGATTTTTTGGCTGTTGAATAAATAGGAGTAAAATTTTCATTTTGTTAATTCTGTGGAAGAATGCCCAAAGCATAGCATAGGATGACAGCTTAAACTATTATACATTTGTTATCAAGAATAATGCATTTCCTGTTTCACCTGGTTTATAAGGACCTTAAAATCAATTTGCCTCTCCTGGAATTAATGCATAACCTTTAATTCTTACTGAAGGTCCTTGAGGGTGAGAAGTTGAGTTTTCTGATGTTGTCTTTTGCTTCTGAGTGAATATGAATACTTGGTAAGAGAAAGAGAAAAGAGTATTCACTGCTCTATGGAAATTTAAGGAAAATATGCAAATGAAAATTTATTTTATTACACAATAAAATGTACTGCAAAAACAAAGCTACAGCAGCTGAACTCGATTTGAAGCAAAGATATGAATATAATAATCATTATTACACTGAATTTGTTCCTCTCCAGGAAGATGCCTTCAATCTATCAGAGTTTCACACTTTGTAGAAAGGATATTAACCCTTTCAGGCTGCTGGCTATCATTTTATTTAACCCTTAGTTCTTTTGAAATAAAAGAAAATGGAAAACATTTACAAACATCACCAAAGGAAGTTATAAGTTATTTTCTCCTGCTTCACCAATTGGGCAAATTTTTATGTTTGCCGATAAAATACTGCCTTATCATATTGCTCAAATTTTTTGATATAATAAAAGTCTTGTCTTTTAATATGTTTATTTAAGAATCGTAGGCTATAAAAGATGGGAGCTGTTTTCTAATCTCAAATCTGCTGAGTCTTTCCTTGTCACAACCTTTCTCTGAAACTCAGCTCCTAGTCTGTAAAAGCAGGTACTTGGGCGACAGAACTGATGCTTTGTTTTCTACCGCTTATTACTTCTAATCATTTTTCCATAAAAATATCAGAGGATAGAAAGGGCAAAAATCTTTGGCCTGTTTGTTTCTAAAACTGATTTAGAGTATGAAAATGCACATTATGTAGATGAAGTATTTGTTATCCTCCATCTTACGTCTGTAGCCTTTGATTATGAGATAATGTCAGATGACACTTTGGACTTTGGAATAGGACTCAGAACACTATAAATCCTTCAAAGGATGTGGAGTTTGGAATAGATAAGGATAGTAAAGGAGTCTGTCTTGGCTAAGCTTCGTAGAGGGAAGATGAAGTAATCAACAGTGTGCATTAGGGTGCACACTAGAAGATCTTACTGGAAGCTGATGGATGAGTGAATGTTGACATTTTTCGTAGAGAAATTGACCTGAAATACAATATTTTTGAAGTATTGTGACATGCAAGGTTTTTACCCTTCAATAAAAATACTTAAAGGCCATAGCTGGTATATGTATGAATATTTAAAAACTGTGATGTGATCTTAATGTCCTGTCTTCTTTTTTTTTTCTTCTCCTACAAGCCATTATTACAAAACACTGGAATCCAGTTTCCAAATCTTTTTCGTACATGTTGAGAATCTCAAAGGAAATAAAATGCACATTTTCTAAGTTCTAACCTCCCTGAAGAAAAGTCATCTGAAAATGTTCTCTTTCTTCTTCTTACTTTGCCAGATTAATATTTTGCTCCATTAAAAGCCAGGACTCTAAGTAAATGGGAGAAAAGAGACAAATCATCCTTAGAGAAGAATTCCAAATAATTTATTTAGATACTGCCCCGATAGGAGATGGAATTTAAACCACCCCCTGCCTGCTTGACTATGGACTGCCCTTGGTAGCTCTCTTCCAAAGAATAGAGTATAGAAAGGAGGAAAAACTAGCTGACAAACTATGTTAATCAAATGATTAAGGACAACATCACTTGTGATAAATCATGTTGATAACGTGTACTACTAATAGGCTGTGATGAGAAGCGTACTTGATCTCTGTGGTATTCTTCCCCCAAAAAACCTGTAATACGAATCTAACCATGGGGAAAATATTACACAAACCCAAATTGAAGGACATTCTACCAATAATTGACCACTACTCCTTAAATCTTTCAATCTCATAAAAAAAATAAAAACAAAGACAAAGAAATTGTCTTAGATCAGATGAGGCTAATAAGACATAATGACTGAATAAACTATACTATTCTAGATGGGATTCTTGACCTTAAATAGGATTCTAGGGGGACAAACATAGGCATTAGTGGAAAAACTAGTGAAATCCAAATTAAGTCTGTAGTATAGTTAATAGTAATGGCCAATATTGGTTTCCTAGTTGTGACAAATGCACCATGGTAATGAAAAATGTTGACAATATGGGAAGTGGGAAAGTGGGTTAACAATATGGGATAGTACTCTGTACCAACTCTGCAACTTTTACATAAATGTAAAACAATTATGAAATTAATATTTATTTAAAAATGGAAGCCTAATTTTTTGGCTCTTTTGATGGCCGTTCCAAGTCTGGTTATTTCTTTAATAATAAAATACAATAAATATTTTTCAATTTTTGCCATTAGCTCATATGCTTTAATGCTTTAAGAATTCAGAGGACATATGTAGAAACATAGTGGAATTGTAAATAATATATTGCTATTTATGACCTACAATGGGTACAATGAGTATGCTAGAAAGGCTTTTAATTTCTTTTTAATTTAAAGGAATAACCATTTTATAGTAAGAAAAAAGTTTGAGTTTGAGGAGTAAAGTTTTAAGGGAAAATTGCAGAATCCTATTTGAATGGCATAAAAAATTCTGCCTACTCAGTTCTTTTCAAACTAGACTTTAATACAATCTGAAACATGAAGGAAAATACTTTGCAGAAAGTCAGACTATGAGCTCAGGAAGTCATAGGACTGAAGTTATTTAGTGTTGACTATGGTGCAGTCAAATAGTATCAGTAGATTAGAGTTATGAACTAAATATTCAGGAATTATTAATAATATAATGTACAGCTTCGTTAGATAATTGGTTTCTAAGCAAATTTTTCTAGCGATAGCGAAATCCACTCAACAAATATGTTGAATATTCTCTACATATAACATATTGTACTAAGCTGTATTTAAGACTTGTAACAATCACATTAGTTTTCATCTCGGTTTTAGATTCTTTAGCTCACCTTAAAGTATATTGGGTTTCTTCATCTGCAGCTTATTTTACCTTGAACCTATTATTCTCACATCTTTAAAAAAATTTTTTTAGATTAATCTTGCTGCATAAGTTACCATGTTTTACCTCATTAGAGAGGAGTGTGGATTTGATGACTTCTCAAATACCAGGATTGTCTTCCATTCTCTTGTGAATTCAACAAGAAAGTAATATTTGCAATTTCTATCATAGAAAAATATATTTAACATGTTGAAACACCATTGTGAAACAATGCTACCAATAGATCAGAATACAACATAACTTCCGAAAGAGCAAAACACATAATTGCTGCAATGTGTAGATAAACTCCAAAACTCATTATCCCCTACACCTCTGTACAATTCTCTAAGTCATAATTGGGATAGAATAAAGAATTGGACAAATGTCAAAATGTCACAAAGTTCAGGCTTACGAAAACATTTGAAAATGGTCACACAGGGCAAAGTTGTGAAGTGTGAATTATGAAAGATATGACTCAAATTTACTTTGGATATTGATAAAAACATATTAATTACAGCAAAGGAAACAGGTAATCTTGGAGAACAATGATTTAGAATCAAATGGTATCTACAGTAAAGCAATACAATTAGATAAAATTTCTTTTCACAAGACAGGTACATTTAGTTGGGCTTACAGAAAGAATCAAAATGTAAAAAACTAGCCCAAGAAAAGAATATAATTCTAAAAGCATCTTATTGCTATAAACTGTAATAGACACTACAGAAAGAGTACATGAATTATTAGATGGCATTTGTTCATTACCTGAGTAAGATTCAAACCCACTGGTCTTTGATTTGGCTGGTTGTAGCAAAGCTCTAAGAATGAGCACTAGTAAATTATACAAGGTGCTTTGTTCAGGGTTTTCAAGGAGGCGCATTGTTCAATTTATAAAAATATTATGTAGAGAAGCAAGATGAGGCATATGTTTCAAAGACAGTCATCAAAAATGTGCTGAAGATTTATGGAAAGCAAATCAAGGTCATCTTTGTGTCTATGCAATGGGAAAAAAATCTCTGCAAAGAGAAACAAAAAGTGAAAGTTTTAAATTATTCATAAAATTGAATGCATTACAAAACCTATTCCCAGAGAACAGCATATGTACATCTATTTTGTAACTAGAAATTGTTGATCATAGCTCTCCAGAAAACACTTTCAAACCATACCCCTTAAATTCAAAGAAATATTGAAGAGCATTGTGTAAAGATCAATGAATAAGTAATTATTTAAGAACTTGATGAATAATATATTGGCTTGCCACCTGCAATTCTATGTATGTCCTACCACAATCTGCAGATAACTTTATTTTGTATAATGCTTCCAATCTCTTATGGGGGAAAAATAAAGGAAATGGTATGGTAACTGACATACACTGAATCCTAACTACCTTAATTTATTACAAATTACAGTTAAGTGAAGCAAGGTTCTGGTAATAGACAATCTGTACAATTAAAATAATAATAGGATATGGATTACTTGTTCGTTATATTTTCTGTTTTAGGTAAAAGCAGTTTATAATTTTTATCAATAATGGAGACAAACTATATGTTAATATCTCATTTGAATATTTCACTGGTTTTCTCTTGTTATAATAAGTAGGATGTCTACATTCTGACTTTCTGGCTGAAATGGCAACATTCAGAATTTGGTAACATTGGCACTGGGTTATCAGATTTCTAGTCCTCTCCTTGAATATGTATTTATATTTATACATACTTTTACATTTCTTCCAGTTTGTCTGAAAGAAAATGGTGTGCTTTTATATGTGTAAATGAAATACAGATTCGTGTTGCTGGAGAATAGAAGACAAGCAGGATTGTTCAGTGGCTAAAAAGAAGGAAGGGCTTTGGAGCAGAGTCTCAAACCTGGCTCCTCATGTGGGAACTTTTTAACCTGGGTCAAGATAACAAACCTCCCCTAAGCTTAGCTTCATCTTTATAAAATAAGAATTATGACAATAATATTAACAACAACAAAATACCCTACCCATAGGGTCATTACAAGAAGTGAGATAATGCATAAAAATTAATAATACATCAATGTTAAGGGTAGCGATTATTATTACATGAGGATGATGGGCTTAAAAGAGATTTGCAAAAGGTATGTGTATTTGCACCTTTGTATATTTAACTTTATTATTAAGAAACAATATGCATACTACATTACATTAGTATAATTGAACACAAGTTTATTTTGCAAATATAGTAATTAGAAAAGTAAAAAATTCTAAAGTATACTCAAATTATTCTTTTCCTTAAAAGAAAAACACATTCCTTAGAAATTGTCAATTTATACACCACAAGTGATGCACATTAAAAAACACTATAATATAGTATTGCATAACATATGTAACAGATCTAATACATTTTTATAAAATTCACCAGTTTTTTTCTCCTTTTTTAAATGGAATTGGATTAGAATTTTTCTAAGATTTCTTCCTGTATTAAGATACTACTACTATGCTATAAATTCCTTAATAGCAATGAGAATAATAAAAAATATTACATTATTGGGAGCTGGTTCTGTTCTCCAAATTGTTACAGAGAGAATAAGACAGAAGAAAGTTCAGAATTATATCCAAAGCCACATGACTAATAAAAGAGGCAGAGCATGGAAGTAAATTGGTCTCCATATGCAAGGCTTTTCCTTTAAGAGGCCATGATTTATGCATCTGTGTGTATTTCTCTATATCCTACCTTTAAGGATCTACAATACAACCTTGAATATAGTATGTGTGTGTGTTTTTTTTCCTCAACTTCTATTTTAAGTTCTAGGGTACATGTACAGAATGTTCAAGTTTGTTACACAGGTGAATGTCTGCCACTGTAATTTGCTGCACAGATCAATCTACCACCTAGGTACTAAGCCCAGCACCCATTAGCTATTCTTCCTAATGCTCTCCCTCCTGCTGCACATCAACAGGCCTCACAATGTGTCCATGTGTTCTCTTCATTCAGCTCCCACTTATAAGTGAGAACATGTGGTATTTGGTTTTCTGTTCCTGCATTAGTTTGCTGAGGATAACAGCTTCTAGCTCCATCCATGTCCCTGCAATGGACATGATCTTGTTCCTTTTTATGGCTGCATAGTATTGTATTCCGTGGTGTATATGTACCACATTTTCTTTATCCAGTCTATCACTGATGGGCATTTGGATTGATCTCATGTCTTTGCTATTGTGAATAGGGCTGCAATGAAAATACACATGAATGTATCTTTATAATATAATTATTTATATTCCTTTGGGTATATATATGTACCCAATAATGAGATTGCTGGGTGAAATGGTGTTTCTGCTTCTAGATCTTTGAGAAATCACCACACTGTCTTTCACAATGGTTGAACTAATTTACATTCCCACCAACAGCGTAGAAGTCTTCCTTTTTCTCCACAACCTTGCCAGCATCTGTTGTTTCTTGACTTTTTAATAATTGCCATTCTGACTGGCATGAGATGGTATCTCATTGTGGTTTTGATTTGCATTTCTCTAATGATCAGTGATGTTGAGCTTTTCTTCATATATTTGTTGGCTGCATGAATGTCTTCTTTTGAGAAGTGTCTGTTCATGTCCTTTGCCCACTTTTTAATGTTTTTTTTGTAAATTTGTTTTGAGGTATGTTACTTCTATACCCAGTTTGTTGAGAGGTTTTATCATAAAGAGATGTTGAAATATATCAAGTGCTTATTCTGCACTCACATGATCATGTTTTTTGTTCTTGATTATGCTAAAATGATGTATCACAGTTATTGATTTGCATATACTGAAACTTCATTAAATCCCTGGGATGAATCCCACCTGATAATAATGAATGATTTTTTTTTTTTTTTACTGTGTTGCTGAATTTAGTTTGCTAGTAATTTGTTGAGGGTTTTTGCATTTATATTCATCAGGAACAGTGGCCTCTAGTTTTTTGTTATTGTTTTGTGCCCTTGTCTGATTTTGATATCAGGATAATGTTGGTGTCAAAGAATGAGTTTGCAAGTATTCCTTCCTCTCCAAATATTTGAATAGTTTGAGTAGAATTGCTGTTAGTTCTTCTTTAAATATTTGATAGAATTTGGCAGTGAAGCTGTCAGGTTTACTTTCAATCTCAGTACCCATTATTTGTCTGTTCAGGTTTTCTATTCCTTTATGGGTCAATCTTGATTGCATGCATCCTGGAATTTAACTATTTCCTTTAGGTTTTCCAATTTGTTGGTATATAATTGTTCATAGTATTCTCTAATGATCTTTTGAATTTCTGTGATACCAATTGTAATGTCTACTTTTTCATCTCTGATTTTATTTATTTAGGTCTTCCCTCTTCTATTGTAACTAGCCTAGCTAAATATTTGTCACTTTTTATGTTTTCCAAAACCGAATTTTTACTTTGTTGATCTTTTTCAATTTTTAGTCTAGTTTTATTTATTTCTGCTCTGATCTCTATTATTTCTTTCCTTCTGCTAATTCTGTTTGAAATTTCTTTTAGTTTTCTATCTGTAATGTCTTGTGATTTCCTGAATTTCCTGTTTTTTTTTTCTTTTTTTGAGATGAAATCTCACTCTATCACCAGGCTGGAGTGCAGTGGCAGTTTGTCCGGAATTTATTCCTTCCAGTGGGTTCTTGGTCTCGCTGACTTCAAGAATGAAGCAGAGGACCTTGCAGTGAGTGTTACAGCTCTTAAAGATGGTATGTCCACAGTTTGTTCCTTCAGATGTTCAGATGTGTCTGGAGTTTCTTCCTTCTGGTGGGTTCATTGTCTCACTGACTTCAGGAGTGAAGCGGCAGACCTTCATAGTGAGTGTTACAGCTCTTAAAGGTGGAGTGTCCGGAGTTGTTTATTCCTCCTGGTGGGTTTGTGGTCTTGCTGACATCAGGAATAAAGCTGCAGACCCTCACAGTGAGTGAGGGTCATAAATGTAGTGTGAGCTCATAAATGTTGTGTGGAACCAAAGAGTGAGCAGTAGCAAGATTTATTGTGAAGAGCAAAAGAACAAAGCTTCCATAGTGTGGAAGGGGACCTGAGCGGGTTGCCACTGCTGGCTCGGGTGGCCAGCTTTTATTCCCTTATTTGGCCCCACCCACGTCCTGCTGATTGGTCCATTTTACAGAGTGCTGATTGGTGCGTTTACCATCCTTTAGCTAGACACAGAGCGTTGATTGGTGCGTTTTTACAGAATGCTGACTGGTGCGTTTACAATCCTTTAGCTAGACACAGAGCGTTGATTGGTGCGTTTTTACAGAATGCTGACTGGTGCGTTTACAATCCTTTAGCTAGACACAGAGCGTTGATTGGTGCGTTTTTACAGAATGCTGACTGGTGCGTTTACAATCCTTTAGCTAGACACAGAGTGCTGATTGGTGCATTTTTACAGAGCACTGATTGCTGCATTTACAATCCCTTTGCTAGACACAAAAGTTCTCCAAGTCCCCACCCGACCCAGAAGCCCAGCTGGCTTCACCTCCCAATCCCCCCTCTAAACAGGACACCCCAACTGCTGCTGGGAATTGGGCGATGACTGCTCTAGCTACTTCCCTCTGGATACGGGTGAAGAAGGGGCCCTGCAGTTGTAGTGTCCTCCAGAGGGGAACTCTCTATGCCAGTGAAAGGGCCAGCAGGTCGGTCCAGGGGTCCTTGGTAGAAGTTGTTAGTTGAGCTCATTTGGTGTTCCATTTGTAAGACATCTGTAGCTTGATGGCCTCGATCCTAGAGGAAGCAAATTTGACATGGAGGTTAAAAATACAGGGCCCAAAGGTGAATAATAGCAAGATGGCTGCCATGGGACCCAGAAAGGAGAGAAGCCATGTTGTCCAACTCCAGTGGTTGGTATAAAAGTTTAAAAGGCATTATCTGATTTCAGAAGCCTTTTCCTGTAAATGCCAGGTGACATCTCATACTATCCCTGACTGCTTAGTGTAAAAGCAACACTCTTCCCCTAAGAAGGTTCAAAGTCCTCCTTTCTCAGCAGTGAGGAGGTCTAGGCCTCAGTGGTTTTGGAGAGTCACTGCTGCCAAAGAGTCTATTTGGGATTGTAGAGTAAGGATAGATTTCATTATTTCTTGCAAACTGTCTGAGAAATCCTTTGAGAGTGTGTGATAGTAGGATAATGAAGTAGATAAACCTGCTATTCCAGTTCCTGTAGCAGTGGCCATTCCTAACCATGTGAGTAGGGGTATTAGTTGTATGGCTCTGCGCTGACAGACTTGAGCTTTGAGGGGTACTGATAGTGTCTGATTTCCATAAGATTAGAAATTAAGATAATACATGTTACACTGTTAACTTTTAGCAAATTTTACTTTTGTTGAAAACCTTGTAAGTTTGGGATTTTAATTTTTCTTTGCTATTAATGAAACCTCGTTCAGCCCATATTAACTTACAATTGGTATAGATGGCTCCTTCCTGATTCTGTAAAGTAAGGTTTGGCTGAGTGCAAACAACTCACACGCTTGAGCAGACCAATTATTAGGCAATTTTCCTAACTCTGCTTCTACAAGAATTTCCTTATCATTTACTAAATACCCATTGTGTCTTTTTCCCTTAATCACCTGGGAGGAACCATCTATCATCCTGTCCTGAAGGGAGTTCCTCCTAGGTCTGGTCGGACCTTTGTATGGTAATTAAGATTTAGGTCCCCTGTTAGGAAACCTGCTGGCTTAAGGATTTTTGACAGGAAGGCCATGGGTGTTCAGTAGCCTCAGTGTTTTTGGGCTATGCCCTTGTTTACACTGACAACAAGGTGGTATCAGAATGTTATAGGGCCATGGAGAAGACCTTCAATTATCAATCATAGGTTTCAAATTTACCCTGGCTTTTAAAGGAATAGGGTACACTGTTTTTTCTTTACTACTTCCATCTCTCTTTCTTTCTCTTTGACTTCTTTGTCTCTCTCTTTCTGACTCCTTGTCTCTTTCTCTTGCTCTCTCTCTCTCTCTGACTTTCTGTCTCTTTCTCTCTTTCCTTTCTGCTGGTCTTTCCCTGCCTCTGCTAGCTGCTTATACTGCTGTTCTTGCCTCTCCTTCTCCTTTTTGATGGCTTTGGCAGTGTAAGGCTGCCACCTCCTTGGGTTTTTACACTGTGTGTAATAACTCCATGATTTCCTTGTGGTATTTAATGGGGGTTCCCCCAGAGGTTAGGAACTCCCTTTCTTTCCATATTGCAGCATGAACATGTAGGATTAGATAAGCATACTTCCTATCTGTAGCAAACTTTCCCAGTTACAACTGAGGAGGTGGGAGAAATACCTGATTATAGGCTGTCCCAGGATTCCTCGGATGGTAACAGAGCTTGAGGATAGCTGTCTGGGACAGGAGATGAACACTGAGAAAGCCACACCAGTGTCCAGAAGGAAGTCAATTTCCTGGCCCTCAATGGTTATACATACCTGGGGCTCAGTGAGAGTGATGACATGAGCTGGCACTTGCCCCAGGCATCCTCAGTCCTGTTGTTGGATCATCTGGTTGGGTGCTTCTGGCCCAGAGAACCTTTGTCCTCTGGGGCAATGTGCATTCTAGTGATTGCCTCAGCATAGTGGACATGGGTGAGGGGGCAGCTTGTTTCTCATTGGACAATCCTTTTTAAAGTGTCCTTGCAAACCACACTGGTAACAAGCCCTACTGGGTGATTGGCCTGCTCCATTTTCTGTCCTCTCTGAACCACCGAGGTTTGTTTGTTTGAGGGCCGTGACTAAGGTTGCGGCCTTTCTCTGGTTTCACTTTTCCTTTTCTGCCTGTTCCTCTTGGTCCCTATTATAGAACACCAAGGTTCCCAGGTTTAATAATGCCTCCAGATTTTGTTCAGGGCCCAGGGCTTGCTTTTGGAGCTTTCTCCTGATATCTGTGGCTGATTGTGTAATAAATTTATCTTTTAGAATCAATTGACCCTCGAGTGAGTCAGGTGACAGGGGAGTATATTTTCTTAAGGTCTCCCATAGCCACTTGAGGAAGGCAAAAGGATTTTCTTCCTTTCCCTGAGTTATGGTGGACATCATTGAATAATTCATGGGTTTTTTCCTAATTCTCCTTAGTCCTTCTAGAACACAAGTCAACAGATGTTTGCGACTCCAGTCCCCATGATCTGAGTTGAGGTCCCAGTGGGGATCCATACTTGGGATGGCTTGCTGACCAGTAGGGTATTTGTCCCTTTCTTTGGCTGTCATTCTATCATTTACTTGACTAAGATATGAGGTATCTCCAAACTCTCAGGCTGCAGCTAAAGCCACATTCTTTTCATTAAAGGCCAGGGTTTGATCTAACAATAGCGTAACATCTCTCCAAGTGAGATTGAAGGTTTGCTCTAGACTCAGTAGGACAGCTATATACCTATCAGGATCATCTGAAAGCTTCCCCAAGTCTGCCTTGATCTGCTTTATATCAGAGAGAGAGAAAAGGGGACATGCACCCAGGTTGGGCCAGATTCCCCTCCCCCTACAGCTTGAACGGGACATAACCGATAGCCTGGGGGTTTTTGTGGTCCTTTGGAGATTTCTTTGCTTGTTTCCTTCTGGGCAGAGGAGATTAGAGGAGGCTTATCATTAATAGGAATGGGAGTTATAGGGAGGCTAGGATATGGGAGTAAGCTGAAAGGTCCTCCTATGGGATGTAAATTGCAAGCTTTGCATAGTAGTGGATTCACCTTCAATGAAAAGAAAGCTTGGACATAAGGTATTTTGCTCCATTTGCCTTCCCTCTTACAGAAAAGGTCAAGCTGCAGGACAGTATTATAATTTATACTTCCCTCAGGTGGCCATTTTTCCCCATCAGAGAGAGAACATTGGGGCCAGGCCATAGTGCAGAAAAAACGAGCTGCCTCTTTTTGAGGGTTTGCAGGTCAAATTGGTTCCAATGGCTTAGGATGCATTTCAAGGGTGAGCCTGTTGATGCCTGAGTGTTTCCTACCTGAAAGACAAAACCACCCATGGTTTTGGTTTGTTTGTTTCTCCCCCTGCCCAAGAACCCGCAACTGTCCCTGGACCCTGCTGATCGGAATAGTTGTGCTCACCAATGCAGCAGCAGAAACACCTCTCACCCAAGAACCTGCAACGGTCCCTGGACCCTGCTGATCAGAATAGAAGTGCTCACTGACACAGCAGCAGAAACACTAGTTTTCCTCCTAGACCACAAGGAGGACTGAAGAAGGTCGGATTTAGTGGCCCTTACCAACACATTCTCGAAAAACTGTTAGAGTCCTAAGCATTCTCCTGTTAGTATTGGGACCTTACCACTGTCCTATAAAGATGTTATGCCCCAAAAATGAAGTGGAGGGCCATACCCTGAGGGAAGGAAGAGATCTCCAGAGTTGGAAGAGTGATGCCTTTTGTCCTCACTTGAATAGGAAGGATATCATTTCTGAGGCTCCCCATATCCTAGCTTCAGGAATAGCCTTTGTTAGGCCTGCTTGTCTGAGGAGGGATCCTAAAAGGATAGTTGGTCTCCCCATCCAACAGGGCTTTGGGCAAAAATTATGTCTTTCTGATTGGTGACCCCAGGTGCCTAAGGAAGAGACTAGAGCCCTGGAGTTTATACTGGAAATCATTCTTATAGGAGAAACTGGAAAAGCACCAGAGACAGGGAGTGGTTTTTAGAAGCAGGACTGACCTCGGAGAAGAGGGGCGAGAGGAAGTTTGTCTGACAAGCATTAGGACCCAGGAGGCAAGGGTCAGGATAGATAGGATAGATGGGCAAGTCTCGCTTGGGCGACATGACTTTAAGAGTTCCGCTCATGGCCGCAGGGTCAACCAACTTGTTGGGACCCCGGAGCTGAACGGCTTTCCTCTCTGTCAACCCTCAGGTCAGCCCAGATGTACAGGAGAAGCAGAAGCTGGTTCCAGGCAAACCAATGCTTCCATCTCTGAAGAGTCAGGGATTGTTAGAGAGCCCTTTCCCAGAAAGCCTGACACCCGTGTCTTTAGTCCAGTGGCTGCGCTAGTCACTTTTAACTGGCCGACAGGTGCCTGGTATTTAGCCCCCAAATTCTAAGGAAAAATAGGACAGAATAGCAAGCTAAAGGGGTCCGATAGTACTCACTGCTTGGTGATTGTCCCATCTGGGTCGCCAAAATGTGCCCCACGTTGGGCGCCAAAATGTGTCCAGAATTTATTCCTTCTGGTGGGTTTTTGGTCTTGCTGACTTCAAGAATGAAGCCATGGACCCTAGCGGTGAGTGTTACAGCTCTTAAAGATGGTGTGTCCGCAGTTTGTTCCTTCAGATGTTCAGATGTGTCCGGAGTGTCTTCCTTCTGGTGGGTTTGTGGTCTCACTGACTTCAGGAGTGAAGCCGCAGACCTTCACAGTGAGTGTCACAGCTGTTAAAGGTGGTGCATTGGAGTTGTTTGTTCCTCCTGGTGTGTTCATGGTCTCGTGGTCTCGCTGCCTTCAGAATGAAGCCGCAGACCCTCGTGGTGAGTGTTAAGCTCATAAAGGTAGTGCGGCCCCAAAGGGTGAGCAGCAGCAAGATTTATTGTGAAGGGCAAAAGAAGAAAGCTTCCACAGCATGGAAGGGGACCCGACTGAGTTGCACTGGCTCAGGTGGCCAGCTTTTATTCCCTTATTTGGCCCCACCCACATCCTGCTGATTGGTCCTTTTTACAAAGTACTAATTGGTGCATTTACAATCCTTTAGCTAGACACAGAGCACTGATTGGTGCGTTTTTACAGAGTGCTGATTGGTGCATTTACAATCCTTTAGCTAGACACAGAGTGCTGACTGGTGCTTTTTTACAGAGTGCTGATTGGTGCATTTACAACCTTTAGCTAGACACAGAGTGCTGATTGTGCATTTACAGTCCTTTAGCTAGACACAGAGTGCTGATTGGTGCATTTTTACAGAGTGTTGATTGGTGCATTTACAATCTTTTAGCTAGACACAGAGCACTGATTGGTGCATTTACATTCTCTTAGCTAGACACAAAAGTTCTTCAAGTCCACACCTGACCCAGAAGCCCAGCTGTCTTCACCTCTCAGCAGGATCTCAGCTCACTGCAACTTTTGCCTCCCGAGTTCAAGCAATTCTCTTGCTTCAGCCTCCTGAGTAGCTGAGACTACAGGTGCATGCCACCACGCCCAGCTAATTTTTGTATTTTTAGTAGAGATGGGGTTTCACCATTTTGGCCAGGATGGTCTCGATCTCCTGACCTTGTGATCCACCAGCCTCGGCCTCCCAAAGTGCTGGGATTACAGGCATGAGCCACTGCACCTGGCCAATTTTCTGAATTTCTTTAAGAGGTTTATTCTGAATCCTCTATCTGACATTTAATAGATTGTCTGGGTTCATTAGAGGAGCTTTGTTGGTTTCTTTTGGTGGTGTCATATTTCTCTGAGTTTTCATAATTCTTGCATCTTTATGTTGATACCTACAAATTTGAGAAAACAGACACTTATTCCAGTTTTTCTGGGTGTTCCTTGGTGGTGTTTATTTATTGCAGACAGAGTCTCACTCCAACATCCAGGCTGGAGTGCAGTGGCACTATCTCAGTTCACTGCAACCTCTGCCTCCCAGGTTCAAGTGATTCTTATGCCTCAGCCTCCCGGGTAGTTGAGATTATAGGCTTGTGCCATGATGCCTGGCTAATTTTTGTATTTTTAGTAGAGACAGGGTTTCAGCATGTTGGCCAGGCTGGTCTTGAACCCCTGACCTCAGATGACCCACCCACATCGGCCTCCCAGTGCTGAGATTACAGGCATAAGCCACTGTGCCCGGCCTGTGGTGGCATTTAACATTTACCACTTAGTATCAACACTTAAACACTGATTTATTTATCCTTCCTGTACTGGGGAAGTCTTATACTGAACATAAACACTTAAATGCTACTCTGGAACTAAATTGCTGGCCTGTAATTGTTTCCAGGTCTGGAGAAGACTTCTAATGAGCACCAGAAACTAAACATTACCTCAGAACTATATTGCTACCCTCCTGTTTTTTCCTAGTCTGGGGAAGATTTAGCAGGTACCAGAACTTAATCTGACTTTTTTACTTGTTCTGGATCAGAGAAAGGCTTCATAAGAGCACCTGGGCTATGTGGAAAATCCAGCCCCAGATTCAGGTCTTCCTGTGGAATATGCCCCCTGCAGCACTTATGGCACTGGCCAGTCTCTTCAATATGGCATTGATATTGATTGGAACACAGAACAGCTTCCAAGATCTGTATGCCAGTCACTATGATCATCACCTCACCTATTGTCCCCAATTTATTCCAGGTGGTTCAGCCCTCCTAACACTTACAGTGATATCTGCGGGATGGGAACAGATTTAGCTTCCCACAAAGACTTTCAGACCAATGTGGAAATTGAACATCCACCTGCAACTCCCTTCTCATACCTCAAAAACTGTGGGTCTAGAGAAATTCTCTGTGAGTGGCATTATGCCAGCTTGAGGGAGGGTGTAGCTAGGCTGAAATGATTATTTCTTTTACTGCTCAGGTCTTCCCTTGATTCTGTAGGCCCAGTGGGTTTTCCTACTGCTCCACTGAGCTCTGGTGAACTCAGGGTAATATTCTTAATCTCTGAATAGTTTCTAAGTGCATTTTTGTGGGAAAAGTAATGCTGGGGGGTCTATTCTGCCACCTTCCTGATGTCACCTCTGGAGAATAATTTTTAACATTTAGATATTTTGTAAACTTCATATAACTTAATTTTAGGATGGTGCAATTAAGAATCCTATGACAAAATTAGGGGCATGAAATCAATTTGTTTAGATACTTAAAAAAATTAATTTGAAAGCCATTAGTTGTAAGATAACTTAGTGGTAAAAACGTCTCTAAATCTCAAGCCAATAACTCTGCATATCATGTCAAAATTCACAGCCTATAACCTCTGTTTTCTTCCTGCTCCCTCCCACACTTTATTACTCTAGCCACTTTTTCCAATGTTTACTTTAATTCTCAGCATCGAGAACATGGAAAGAAAATTAAAATAGTAAGATGGAAATACCTCTAGAATCAGATTGCCATGGACTCTGAAATTGAAATACTAACCACTTAATAGCTAAAAAGAAACACAGAAGTGTTAATAACAAAAATGAAAAATAGTAATTAAGCTGCAATGTGGCTGCAAGTGCAATTCTCATACAAAATTAAAGAAGAAAAGAAAACATTCTCAATGTTATGAAGACAGAAATACCAAGAAAAAGGTTTTTTCTCCTTTTGAACTTTAGTCAGAGAAAGTTAATCTACATTTATGATATTAATCTTTCTGCTTTGGTTTATGTTGAATTTATATTTAATCAGATTTATGGAATGAATAACAATTCTAATGAGAGGGTGGAAGTCTCAGCTGAACAGGCAAACAATGACTGAACACTACTTTCTAAGCAGAATTTGATGACATACATTAAAAAAATCCAGTGTATTTAGGAATTGAATGTGTTGCAATCATTCATGGAAGTCATAATGACTGAGAAGGAAAGACTTAGTTGCAATATTTTGTAAAGAAAAATCTGTTTCTACTTATTAGATTTAAACTAATAGGAATAAAAATTTCGAGATAGCAAAAGCTTAACTCTTTGAAGACAAAATCAGAACGGACCAATTTCACCAAGTTGTCATATAATCACTACTTATTTCATTAATTAAAATGTTCAGGTCTACCATGCCAGACATAAAAGACTACAAAGATATGTAACAAATAATATTTTCTCCATGAAACTTGCATTGTATAAAAGGAATTGAAATCTGATTTTATTCTGTAACAATATGCCCAATTACTGACTGAAGAAAGTGAGCTATAGATACAGGCTATCTGAACTTTGAACTTTGTCTCTATTGATTTCTTAGTGAGACATTTGGGAAATATGATCTAACTGCCATATTGTCATTGAACAGAAGAATGTTTCTATATTGCATTAATTAGTGCTTCTAAAAGGCTTAAATATATATACACACAAATACACTATATTCCTAAAATGAAAGATCATGTACCTATAACTATGATGTGTATATGAATGTATGGATACACACATATATTATGTTCAATATATGTAAAATACATGTATAATATATATGTGAAATATATGTATATGTATATAAACAGAAATGGAGTGGAACAGTTATTTGCACTTTATATGCCAGTGTACAAAAGCATGTTAGTTACTGCCTCTGCTCTTCTCAGCCACATCATTTGAGATATCTGAACGTAGCTCCTAATTTTAGTATGTTCTTATATCAGTTAATCTACTTGTCTACTAGTCAGGTTAAATCTGTGAAAGCATTCCCACACTCCTTAACCTAAAACAAAAAAACAAAAACTTTTTGTTTTCTAAAGGGGTTGCTAACCCTTTAGAAGACAAAATTAAACACTGGAAAAATTGTCAATCATAAAAAATTTAAATGAATTTAAATTGAATCCATAACAATAAATTTGATTGAAAAATACAGGGATACAGCATAGAGAAAAGTTAAATTATAAATAAAATAAAGGTACATGTAGGTTTTATAATATAATACAAATGAATAGAAAAGAGCCTTTTCCTTTATTAGAAAATAATACTAAGTTTGGAATGTTATAACAGGGTTATATGTGTTATGGGCCAAACTTAAGTAAATATTCCTATGTAGGCTAGCAACATATACAAAATTATGATTGTTTAGGAAAGTAAAATTATTTCTTATTTAAAAAACTTGCTTTTATAGAAAACATATAGAAATAATTATTATATAACAACATTTATTGAAGTTGAGTCCTTATAATACAAAATGTGATTGATAAACCCATGAAACATTCAAGCACTTAAAATGAAAACAAACAAAAAATGACTGTAGTTCCTGTCTCTCCCTCTTCTTATCTGTTTAACAATGGCTATGCATATTTCTTACTCCCTTTGAATCTGCTTTTTCCTTTTACAAAATATGTAAAATTATGTTTACTATACAGGATGGAGCAAATAAAGATAATTTATATATGACTAGGTTTAGTGAGCTGCAGTATGAATACATATACACATATACAACCACCTTTATTTGTTGAGCTAAATTAATTTAATGACAAGAGTCATTGCTATAATAAACTAGCATAAGTCAATAAATATTTTCTATTGACAATGAGTGTGTAAGTATAAACTGTACTCATAAATCTCTTAATAATTATCATAGTAGAAACCTGTTTTCCATCCTGAACAACCATTTGAACCTTCTTCTAGCAGGAGACCATGAATTTATTTTGAAAAATGATCTCTTTCTCATTGAATACAGTAGTGATAAAACCATTTATGAAGATATTCCACCTCTTGGCTAGTGTTAGACACATAATCTAAGTTTGACCAGTGAGACACGCTACCAGAAACTTTAGCATTGAACAGTAATTTAAAACAAAACAAGACCCCCTCAAACCTGAAAATAATTGGAATTTCTATGTTTCCAAACTATTGCCCTGAAGAGATTGACCTTTATTTCCTGATACTTGAATCCTCGGCTCTGGCTTTGATAATTTTTTTCCTGTGTTTTCTAATCCCTGGCTTTTCAGCGATTCATCCTCAATTGTGTGAGCCATTTCAAGTTTTCCCCATATATTTCATTTTCAGTTAATTACTAAATTGTTACTTGGCACCAAAGAAGGCACTTGATACAATTATTCTTTTAAATAAAAATCTAATTTATCTCCAGCTTATAGATACATACTTTTTCTACTGTTTACAGCATTAATCAGTTGGGCACACTATGTCAAGTTTGTTTCCTCCAAGTTTTGGGTGCATAAATAAGCAAGCTCTAGGTAATCATTGAGTCAAAAACATGAATAAAGGTATAGAAATTCAGAATTAATTTCTACCTTAGCTTTGCTATACTTTCCATCTCCTCTTATTTTCTACCACTTGAAATTTACCTTTCTGTGGGAAAAAAAGTTGGATAAGAGAAAATGTAGAACTGTAGCTGTGTTCCACTTAGGAATTTGACACTACCTAGAAGATGGAGATAAATAGGTCATCCAACGTAATGCATCTCATTGATACAAGTTTTGATTGTGCTAGTGATCCTAGGCTGTGTGTAAGCCCCTGTCAACATAGTAATTTGTCCTGTGCAGAATATTTCTCATTGTATGCTCTGAGAAGAGGCAGATGACTTAAAGATGAATAAAAGGAAGATACTTTAAGTTATCAAGCAGTCCTTGGGATGAAAGAAAGTATAACTATCCCTTAATTTTATTGATAATGCAGAGAAAGTAACCATATCCAATATAATCTTAAGTAGATGTCAGTATTTTTAACCAATGTTTCCTTGCAAAAATGGTGATTAGGAAACAAAGGTAGTTTGTAGCCACATACTAACACTATCATGTAAACTGTGAAAACTGTAAAGTTGTATTTAATCATTGAATTAATAACTACTTTTTAAGATATGCTTTAAACGGGGTTCCAGTAGAATAATTGATTTAAGTTCCTTCCAGTATTATAAGAAATATAACTGACTTTTCAAATGTTTCAATTGTGGAGACTTAAATAATCCAAGTTGAGAAAATAATTGTCAGTCTTCTTTTTAACATGCTTAGAGAGGTATTTTTCAATAAAAAGAAATATTTTCACGCTAGGGCAGTTACCTCTATTTCTCTGTATTTTCCAGAGTGTCTGATGATACAGTGTAGACTATTGGTAGATGTTCACATCTATTTTTTCACCAGTCTTGTCAATGTACTGAATGGAAAGGTCTGTGTGAAGTTACTTTGATTCCATCTACACACGACTTTCAGAGTAATCCTTTAAGGAAAACTATAGGATGCTGAATAGCAAATAGAGATAACTTCAGAATGCTGCATTTTCTTTCTAAAACTTCTTTTCTTTTTCTTTGAAAATGAGAAAATACCAACCTTGAACATACATTTTATTGAATGTTTATACATCTATGGTTATGAAAGCAAGAACTATTAAAAGGTACCTCATACTGTTCCTTACAAAGAAACTTTTGGATATCTTATAAGATACTATTTAAACTCATTGAAAACATTCCCAACAGAGGAAGTTGAGGAGGGCCTATAAAGAATGATGGGGAAGTACTGTCCTGAAATGTAATTTATTATGCATAATTTGAAGATGGCAAATCACCACATGTAGCACACCAGGCCTACTGGCTTCACAGCACTTGGAAGGTACATGGCATCCTTAACATTTATTTTTGGTGCTGTTAGTATAAAACTGCAGTTTAGCTTCTCAGTTTTTTTTCCCAGTAAGTCAAGGTAGGATTGCTTGTCAAAATGTATCGTGGATGAGGATGAAACAGTAGCAAACCAGTTAGATAAATGGATTAATATACATAATCACTTAAGCATTTTATCACTTGTCAGCAATTTAAACTAATATTTTATATTTGGCATATGATATTGTATCCAAATGCAAGGAAAAAACCACTAGCTTTATTTGCACCAAGTGACTTTTATTTACCCATAGTACTAATCAAAGTCTTAGTATATTTTTCTAAATAGCTATTTGTTTTGAGATGCCAATTAATTTCAAGTGTGAATATTACATGTAGAAATTACATTGTTAGAACCTACTTCAAAACTCAGCCATACACTTATCTTTAGTATAAAGTCTGAGCTATTGTAGTAAGCATTTTCTATACAATTGCCAGTAAGACACCTTCCATTTCCATAAGACCAGTATTGAACGTATATTGTAAAACATTAACAGTCTATTTTTATTTAACTGTTAAGGAGACCTTGTTAAGAGTGTAGATATATTTTCTGAAATTTGTCAACGATTCCACTTATTTTTGAACTAGGAAGGTTAAAGTAAAATAAAGAATGTTACTACAAAAGAGAGTCTTAGCTCTTTCTACATTAGACTTTTAGTCCCATGAAAATTACTTGCATCTTTAGGTCAGTTATTTATTCATTTATTCTGAAAATTAAAAAGATAGTCATAAAACAATGCCTTAAGTTTGGGACACATACCTGTTTTGAAATATAAATGAAATAGTTGGTTATACTATTGAATAATTGCTTATTCCCTACTTAACAAGAGAAATATTGAGAAAGTATTTTTAAGCTGATTTCATATTATATATGAACCTTCCCCTTTTTGGGGAAAATATATTATAATTTTAAATTATGTCATCAAAATCCAAGGAGTTATGCAAAAGTGTCTTAGAAACATAGGAAAGCACTCATGTTTGAAAAACATGTCAAAGATTGTAATTTTTTTTTTTGTCTTTGAGGTATATTTTGATGCATTTTGAAAGCTAAATGATTGTAGCAAAATAAAGCTGAGTTTTCACTGTTTACAAACATCATTCCCCGGACTTCAAAGTATGAGATTGACATATTGTAAATAATAATTCAGCACAGCCCTGCTTCCCATAAATTAGCATTTAAAATGTAACTTTGAAGAAAGGAAGCATTTTAGACATGACTGACTCTTTAAGGGCACATGGCCACAATTTCTAAGATGGAAGAGGTTTCTTAAGGTGAATAGACATAATAGAAGATTCATAGTTTTGGGCCCTCCTGGCCTTCATAGTCTTTGAATAAGTCTCACTGAACCTCATTTTCTGAATTTATAAACTAGAGTTTATCTGTAGATAGAAAAGTCTGAGATCTTTGAGCAGAAGTCAAATAAAATGTGCCATGGGACAGAGAAGAATTATTATTCAGAGAAAATCTTATATTTTTCACATTGCCATTTATCTTTCTCTTCCTTCAATTGATAAGTAACAGAAAGCAGGGGAAATGTTGTTTTCAGCATACAGATGATGTTATTTTGTTGGTGCTAAATTTCTCTTGGCTGTTGGTCCTCTTGATTCTTTTTATTTCTCTCCATTATGTTTCTTACCAAGCAATACAGTGTTAGAAGCCACAGAGGACTATACTTATTATTTTAAAGTTGTATAATGTTGTTTATAGTAATAAATGTGCATGCATGTGGTTAAAAAGCCAGAGCTAAATACGAATTCCTCAAAACAGCAAATCTGTAAAGACTGTCAAGGTATAGTCTTGCTGTGTAAAAATGGTCTTAACTTTATCTTTCTTTAAAAAATCACCTGAAACACCTATGGGAATTGCAAATGTGCAATTCCTATGACCCGTGATTCCACTTCTGGGAATCTACCCTACAAAAAATAGAGTAGATTCCAAGATCTTTGTTTCAGACTGATGAGCAATAGTAAAATATTGTAAAGGATCTAATATCCACCAATAAAGAAATAAATCAGGCCAGCCATGGTGGCTTACGCCTGTAATCTCAGCACTTCGGGATGCCAAGGCAGGTGGATGGTCTGAGGTTACCAGTTCAAGACCAGCCTGTCCAACATGGCAAAACCCCGTCTCTACTAAAAATACAAAATTAGCCAGGCGTGGCCGTGGGTGCCTGTAATCCCAGCTACTTGGGAGGCTAAGGCAGGAGAATCACTTGAACCTGGGAGGCGGAGGTTGCAGTGATCCAAGATCGTGCCACTGCACTCCTAAGACTCCATCTAAAAAAAAAAAAGAAAAAAAAGAAAGAAAGGAATCAATAAAAAGTGATATATATATATATATACACACACACACACACACACACATAAATATTAATGAAATCTACAAACTCATAACAATTAACTATATAGATCAGTGTGGAAACGTGTTTAAAATGTTATGGAGTGAAAACAGTGAATTGTAGAAAATGGTTACCCTTTATACAAATTTTAGAAATACATTTAAGTGTAGATTACTCTGTATGGATTTACACACACACACACACACACACACACACATATACAGTTTTAAGAAAAGGGTGGAAAAACAAATCATAAATATATAATGAAAACTTCTAAACAGGAGTCAAAATTGAATTTGAAGGCGGTAGTCAAGTAAGTTTTACTTTTGCTGCCTGCTAACAATTTCTAGAAGCAACATATTCATGTAATTCTTGTATGATTTTAATAGGTATAATGTAGAATTATATGTGACTGCCTGTGACATAAAATCAGACATTACATGGCTTAAAGAAGGTAGAAGCTAATTTCTCTATCACGTGAAAAGACGTAGGTTACCAGGGCTGGTATGGTGACATTATGGTGTCATCAGGGACCCAGCCATTTAATTTCTTCTCTGCCATTCTCAGAATCCTTATTTAACTCATAATTCAAAATGGTCATTGGAGGTCTCATTGCAATTTCTACATTCTAAACCAGGAATAAGAGACAGAAACCATAAAGATATATCTCCATCCATATTACAACTATGTACAAACCTTCATTTCCATCTCATTAGCCAGATTTAATCATCTGGTCTCCTCCATGCTAGGGCTTGTGGAGATGTGTGACATTCTAGCTGGTCAGATAAGACACAGAGAGAGAATGGGCATAGGAAAGCAATTATATTCCTAGTTAAAGAAAGATAGAAATCAATAGATGGATAGATGATAGACAGATGATAGATAATAGATAAGGATATACATGCAAAAGTGAACAGTAGTTAAATTTGTGTGGGGAAATATGGATGATTATATTTCTTTATATTTTTTATATTTAAGATATTCTCTTCTACTTCAAAAGATATTAAATTTGGTATTTTTTTAAAAAAAGAATTACCAGTCCAACCTTGTTTACAACATTTCACTTACAAAATGTAGATAATATGACCACCTACTATGTATTCCAGAGAAAGTTTTCAGAGAGTCACAGGGGCTTGCAGCAGGAAGCTGTCTGTGACCACCGAATGCCAAGGAGTGGTGGACAGTGACCAACAGTAAATGCTACGGATGTCTTGAGTTCCAAAAGGTGCCTCCAATTAAGGCTGTCTTCTAGGTGTTTCTTTGATTTACATTCCTTTTGAATTTGATGAGCGGGGGAATAGTTACTGTGGCTGAAGAATGCATACTTAAAATTTAAGTCATAGAGTAGATATGATTTAATTAGTTCTAACTGGTCTTACAGCACGTGGTGAAGAGGAAAGTTTAACATTTCTAAAATTTGTTATTCAGGTGCCATTTCCAGGGGAATTTTAGTACATTATTTTGAGCATTAATGAGTGGTGACACTGAGAGAGGGCAATTAGAGCACCACTGGGGATAACCGTGTTTCTCTGAAGCCATTTCTCTAGGGTATATAAGCAGATGGATGGATGGTTGTAAAATCCAGAATCTCATCTCTTCAGTTTCTCCTCTTGTCCCCCAAATACTTCAGGGAAAAGTTAAAAATATACATTGGGATTCTGGATTACTTTTAAATCCTGTTTTTTTGAGAGGTGTTTTTGCTTTAGATGTCTCTCTCGCTTCTCTCTCTCTCTTTCTCTCTCTAACCCTCTTCTTCCCTCTCTCCCTCCCCCATCCCCCATCCCTGCTTTATCCCTTTCAAATAAACTAGAAATTATAGTTAGAGCTAAGCACATTTCCCATCAAATATACTTCCCCACTCTCCTGAAGTTTGTCATACCAGAAAAAAGTATATTTTTTTACACAAAAATAAAGTTAACAAACCTATCCGTTTTCAATGTTATTTTTTTCACTAATTATACTTTGCAAATGCATCTATGTTTATACATGTAGCTACAGCTAGACTATTTGATTTGATTGCTGTTCTTTATTTTGTTAAAAAATGTGTTACTATTTGTCTCTTTCCTGAAATTAGTATATGTAAAATTTGCAGTCTTATCATAAATATTTATGTATGTGTTCTAGTACCCTTTATTGAGCCAGACTCTTGTTTACTATTAGATAGATTATATAATTGAAAATTTGGCATTCTTACAGTAATAGATTTTGACAGCTTTTCAACTATAGTGATATTGTGTAATTAGGATGCTTTTAGGTCTATATGTTGGTGAGGAACCTCACTACAATTTTGCATAATATTTCTGAATTTGATCAATGATACCTTCCATTCTCTTACACAAATATTCCATTATTACATGAATGCTCCCTGTTATTTATAGTCAAAGCCTAGTTTATTGATCCAATGTAGCATGTTGTGTTTTCTTTCCAAGGTCATCTATCTTGATCACTTGAATGAGCATATTTAAATGAGTTTGAGGTGGCAGAGTTAGTATATACTATTCTAAATGTAGAAATATAGGGCATGACCTTCTACAAAACAATATAATCCATTTTACTAGGCAATATTAACTCAAGACATTTACCTGAATAAAATAAATATGTCTTGTTGATACACAGAAACAATAGTATACTCAAACTGTTAAATTTTATATAATCAAATAAAAAACAGGACAATTGTTAAGTAGCAATATGACATCTAGCAATTTAGCCAACTAGCTAAGAAAAGTCTCAAAAATTTTAACTGAAATGCAGATATATGTATATTTTAAACTAAATATGTTAAATAACAAGTTGAAAATTAGTCAATATAATCCTGGTTTTAAAATGAGCGATCTGGAGATATTGAATCCAAATAACTTTCATGAAATATTGATTTAAAACACTTATTGAACTCTCTGTAAATACATATGCAATGCTTAATTACATAGTGGGAAAATACAAAAGAAATAAGAGATATATTATAGGCCCAGAAGGAATCTATGATAAATATGAACACATAATGAACTAACACAATATATTCATCAAGTATGCACTGACATTACAAAAACCCGGTAAAATTTTCTGTTACACTGATTTATTGGTATTAGCTCCTTTATCTGAAGTAATTTCTAACTAACTGAAGTACTGAAATGGAGATTATGTTTAATGTAAGCGTTTTAATATAAGCCATATACAAAAGAAAACATACTTCCTAAACAGAACATATTCTGCACAATTTTACTTTCTTATTATATTTGCTGTAATGAAATAACTTTTCTTCCTCCTTTTATGATTTTAATGCATCTGCTCTTATTTCCCCATCACAAGGGGTGCTGAGGACAAACTGCCGGAGTGTGTTCCCTACACTGTGCCACACAGAGGTGAAGATGTTAAAACGCATTACATTGAAGGGTGGAGCTTTTTAGAACTAATTACCCGTGGTTCAAAAAGTTGGGGAAGCAATAAAGCACAATTAAATAGCTATACTTGCTTTAGAATCCTTCACAGCTTTGAATATTAAAATCTTCAAGATGAATATTGTTTGAAATATTTCACCAGGCTAGGCGCAGTGGCTCATGCCTGTAATCCTAGCACTTTGGGAGGCTGAGGCGGGTGGATCACTTGAGGTCAGGAGTTCAAGACCAGCCTGGCCAACATGGTGAAAGCCCGTCTCTGCTAAAAATACAAAAATTAGCCGGGCGTGGTAGCATGTGCCTGTAATCCCAGTTACTCAGGAGGCTGAGGCAAGAGAATCGCTTGAAGCTGGGAGGCAGAGGTTGCAGTGAGCTGAGATCTGGCCACTCCACTCCAGCCTGGGTGACAGAGCGAGACTCTGTCTCAAAAAAAAAAAAAAAAAAAAAAAAAAAAAAGAAATATTTCACCAAATTTATTAGATCATAAAATGCCTGTTGGTATCTCGAAGGCACTGGTGTTCCAGAAAATGCAATTTGGGAAACATTCTGCTTGCCCCCACTTATGCACATGTGATTTATCTCACCAATTTGACTCATATGTGTGTAAGCATCTTTAAATCAAGAAAAAAAAGTAGACCACCAGAGTTACTGGTATTCAGAAAAAGAACCATTTAGAGTAAGCCTATTTAGCTCCATCTTTTTAGTCTGAAGGTGTGGTAATAACAGCTAACACTGAGGTGGTAGTTATAATGCTCCAGACTCATACTAAGAGATGTATGAGTATTAAAACTAATGTAATAATCAAAACCATCTTTTGAAATGGATTTTGTAATTATTCCTATTGTAGTGATAGGGTCACTGAGGCACAGAGATGTTTAGTGACTTGCAAAAGTTCACACAGCTAGTAAGTGATGGAACCAAGTTTCCAATCCAGGCAGTCTGTCCTCAGAATCCATGTGCTTTACTCCTACTTCTTCTCTTAAGAATGACTAGAGAGGCCGGGTGCAGTGACTCACATCTGTAATTTCAGCACTTTGAGGGGCTGAGGTGGGAGGATCACTTGACCTCAGGAGTTCTAGACTGGGCTGGAGAACATAGCAAGACCTTGCCTCTACAAAAAAATCCAAAAATAAATTAGCCAGACATGATGGTGCATGCATTTGGTCCCAGCCACTTGAGAGGCTGAGGAGGAAGAATGGCTTGAGCATGGGAGGTCAAGGTTGCAGTGAACCAAGATTGTGGCACTGCACTCCAGCCTGGGCAACAGAGCAAGATCCTGTTTCAAAAACAAACAAACAAACAAACAAACAAAAAACAAAATGATTACAGACTTATTCAGAAGCTTTTGAGGACACTGGGTTGGCTTTAAGAGCACCTGTGAAGAGGTAATAATGACAACATATGATTTATTGGTCATCTATGGATAAGCGTTAGCTGTTGGGCAAAATATTTTACAAATTGTCTTGTTTAATCCTCATACCAACTCTCTAGCTCAGGTACAGAAAATAAAGAAAAGAGTTCAGAGAGACATACAGTTTATTTTTAGTATGTAGTGCCTCCCTGTGTGTGGGGGCATCTTTTCTGCTTCTTCAGCCAGCACCTTGCTTTTCAGTTGCTATTTGCTAAACCTCAGCCAACATAGTACCATTTATTTAAGATTGTTTAGAAAATATTCCTCTGAGGGGTACTTCCAATTTGGTAGTGGCCTCCTGAAAACCATAAACTTTCTATGGTCCAAAGAAATCAAGCTATAATGGGCTCAGAAGGGAAGAAGAGAGAGGAGTACATTCACTGAGGTTAATAGATTGGGGAAGGGGCAGGAACACCCTTTAAAATCACAGTTTAGGTAGCTTTATTTTGTTCTTTTCCAGTTAATGTGTTGCCAGGGCTGTAATGAGACAATAAACAATCTAACAAAGGAGACAGTAAAAACATTTTCTATTTTTTGATTTTGTTTCTCCTCTTATTTCCCAAGAAGGAAGAATAGAATTGTATTGTAATATTCTGCCCCCAATATATGTATAATATATGTATAATATATGTATATGTGTGCATTTATGTGTTTGTGTGTGTGTATGTGTGTGTGTGTATATATATATATTTTCCAGTTAAGTAGGTATTGTTTCTGTAATTTACAAATTAGAAAACAGAGACTCATTTTTCCAAGATCTGATAGCTAATAAATGTTAGGTAAAGGTGGAATTAAATCACTTAAAACTTGCTTAAGAAAGGGGATGTTGGCCAGGCACAGTGGCTCATGCCTATAATCCCAGCACTTTCAGAGGCCAGGGTGGGAAGATCACTCAAGGTCAGGAGTTTAAGACCAGTCTGGACAACATAGTGAGACCTCATCTCTATAAAACATTAAAAAAAAATCAGCTGGGGATGGTTATGCACTTGTAGTCCTGGCTACTTGGGAGGCTGTGGCAGGAGAATTGCTTGAGCCCAGGAGTTTGAACCTGCAGTGAGCTGTGATCCAGCCACTGCACCCCAGCCTGGGCAACAGAGTGAGACTTTGTCTCAAAAAAAAAAAAAAAGGAAGAATGGAAGGAGAGAGGAAGGGAAGAAAGGGAGAAAAAGGGAGAAAGGAAGGCAGAAGGAAGGAAGGAGGGAGGGAGGAAGGAAGGAAGGAAGGAAGGAAGGAAGGAAGGAAGGAAGGAAGGAAGGAAGGAAAGGGGCCAAGTTGTAGGTTTATAGGTAGGGTACATGAGTAAATAGCACTTCAGGCAAATGAGACAAGGGCTGAAGGAACACGCAATAAATTTTGTGGGCTAAAACGGTAACTACTTGTCCTAAAAAGACGGGAGACGTGAAAGATAGCAGCTAGAAAACTATCTCAAATTCCAGGCAACAGATTTTTAAGACTTGAACTAAGTTACTGTTAGTAGAATTAAAGTAAGAACAGATTCCAGAAATAGTTTAGAGAAAGAGTTAACAAAGTTTAATGACCTACTGTGAAAAAGAGGAAAGAGTCAGAAATCATGAACCAAAGTAAATTAATCTGAAAGAGAAAAAGGAAGAACATGTTGACAACATTTAAAGAGATCCCCAACTTTCACAGGCAGAGGACAAAAGACGAATGTCATTCCCAACATCTGACTGAATGAATGACAGAGTTATAAATGAGTCTAAATTCACAGCATGGCAAATATAGCAGCTCTCCTTTACCTGGAATCTATACAGAGTCACCTGAGGCAGATGCCTTGCAAGATGGTGTGCATCGTCCTTTACATCTGTGTTCATTTCCCTTATTGGCTTTAGGAAATTGTTTAAATTATTCTAAGTCCTTTGCATTTTTATATAAATTTCCTAATCTGCTTGCCAATTTCTACCAAAATTCTGCCTTTATATTGAATCTATAGATCAATTTGGAGAGAGTGGACATCTTAATATTGAGTCTTCCAATCCAAGAATATGGCATATAACTTCTCTCAGCAATATTTTGTGATTTTTTGATTCAAGATCTTGAACATCATTTTTAAAATGTGTTCCTAGAAATGTCATGTTTTTATAAATAGTATCATTTAAAATTTTCAATTTCCTAGTATAAAGAAATATAATTAATGATTGTATATTGACTTTATATCATCTGCCTATGCTGACTTTGCTTACTAAATCTGTAATTGTTTTTTGTAGAGTCCTCAGGGCTTTCTGTTTAAACAAGCATGCTATCTGTGGATGAAAACAGATGTTCTCCTCTTTTCCCAATAACACTGCTGTATTTCTGTGCCTAAAGCTCTCAACACAATATTGACTATAAGAAGGTGGAGTAGACAACATTTCATAGTTCCCAGTCTTACAGAATAATCATTCAATATTTCACCACTAAGTATAATATTAGCTGTAGGGTTTTTGTAGATGTCTATTACCAAATTAAGGAAATTATCCTATTTTCCAAGTGTGCTGATAATGTTTTTTTAAACATAAGGTTGTTGAATTTTGTCAAAGGTTTTTTCTTTATCTATTGAGTTGGTCATGAGTTTTCTCCTACACTCTATTAATTTAGTGAATTACTTTATTTTTATTTTTATTTATTGAGACAGTTTTTCTCTCTCTATTGACCAGGCTGGAATGCAGTAGTGCAATTATGCCTCACTGCAGCCTTGATCTCCCAGGCTCAAGTGATCCTCCCACTTCAGCCTCCCAAGTAGCTGGGACCACAGGTGGGCACCACCGCACCCAACTAATTTTTTATTTTTTGTAGATACAGGATCAACCTATGTTGTCCAGGCTGGTTTCAAACTCCTGGGCTCCCACCTTGGCCTCCCAAAGTGCTAGGATTACAGGTATAAGCCACGGTGCCTGACCTGAATTACATTATTTATTTTCATTTTTTGAACAAATTTTGCAGTCCTGGAATAATCACCACATGATCACATTGTGTTTTCTTTTATATTCTAACTTTTTGTTAAGAATTTTTGCATCTGTGTTGATGAGGGTATTAGTCTCTGATTACATATATTATCTTGATTAAATTTTATTGTCAGGATTGTCTCAGCATTGTACAATAGGTTAGGAAGCATCCTTCTTTTGTCTATTTTCTAAATGGGGTTTTGTAAGATTGATATTATTTCTTCTTTGAATGGCTGACAAATTTGACTATGCAAACCTGAGTCTGGAGATTCCATTGAGGTTGGGGTTTTAATTATACATTTAATTAGTTTAATAGATAGAATGTTATTCTGACTGTTTATTTCATTTTGAGTCAGTTTTGGTAACTTGGAGTGAGATGTTAAGGGGTGCAGAATAAAGGCCTTTTTTTTTTTTTTTTTTTTTTTTTGAGATGGAGTCTCGCCCTGGAATGCAGTGGCGTGATCTCGGCTCACTGCAACCTCCGCCTCCTGGCTTCAAGTGATTATCCTGCCTCAGCCTCCCAAGTAGCTGGGATTACAGGCACCCGCCACCACGCCCAGCTAATTTTTTGTATTTTTAGTAGAGACGGGGTTTCACTATGTTGGCCAGGCTGGTCTCAAACTCCTGACCTCATGATCCGCCTGCCTCAGCCTTCCAAAGTGCTGGGATTACAGGTGTGAGCCACTGCACCTGACCAGAATAAAGGCTAAGGGAGAGTTTACTGACAGGTAAAATTCTACTATGATTCATGATTTCATATCTTACCACACATACCTGGGGTCAGTCCTCATATGTTGCAGTATGCTGAGAAGAAGCCCATGCATAGTGTTCATTCCCATCCTTATGACTGCTCCACTCATAGACCTATCACAGACCTGTCATGCATCATCAGCAGAGGGGATGCTGAGGAGGAGGCTAACTGAGCCCCACAGGACTCTCTCCATCTGCTTATTGTGTTTCCTCTGTGGTGGAGGTAGATGTCTCTGGTGGGTATTGAAGGATGAAAGGAAGATTTGTATACATTGTGCCCATTCTCATAGATATACCGATATGCTTAATTCCCAAAAGTTTTTCTCTAATTTTCCAACCTTCTTCTTTCCAGGCCTTTAACCAACTAGCCAAGTCATTGAATATTGCTCAGAATTTCATTGTCATTCATATTTCCATCCACTTCTACTCCATGTCAACAATTAGGTGTATAGCTCACTTGTCTGACTACTGAGCAGAGTTTTCCTTTTTTATTTCAGGGCTACTCCTGAGTATAGCTGGAGTTCAACCGCAATCCGTGTTTTACTTTACAATGAAAGGAGGCAACCTGTCCTGAGCAAGACCTGAGTATTTTTATTCATTGGTCAAACTGTTCATAGGGAACTTCCCAAAAGGCCATAGGACTTGACCTGAAGGAGACCTGTGTATGTATGCTGCAACAGAGGTCTGTGGTTTGGGTTTCTTGAACACTTTGTTGTTGAAACTAATTTGTGCACTTTGGACCTGCTTGGGCCCAATCCCAAATGTTTAATTTTCATCTCATAAGCCTATTGGAGAAACTCTGTGAGCCAGTATAGAACACACGTCTCAGAGATAGCTCACTCGTGAGATGATCAAGCTGAGCTATTTAGGTACCAGCTCCTGTAAGACACTGGTTGAGGGCTCTTCCTATGGGATGTTAATTTCCAGGTACTTGTAGCCTGCTGCACAAGTGAACAAAGAAGGCTTCAATATGCGGAGAAAGCTCTCAAGCAAAGAAATACTGTTTCTCACAGTCAGAAGTTGGTGTAACTGAGAATCAGACATGTTAATTAATATGTTATGTAATATTGGATATTAGGGATAATCTTATGGATTATCCCAGTTCCAATGACAAATAACACAAAAGGGCTTGCAAGAAAATATTTCATAGCAGCCATTCTGCTCACCTAATTACAATCATTGTGATCAATTTCTTAAGTATTTTCTGAGAGTCATTAATGAGTTTACAGGCATACATCCATTCATATGCATTTTATAACTCTATTTTCAATCATTTTAGTTTTGCCAATCTAAAAGGAAAAAATAGTTTTCTTTCTATATTTTTATTTTTATTTTTTATTTTTAGAAACAGAGACTTGCTCTCTCACCTAGAAAAGAGTGCAGTGTTGCAATCATAGCTCACGTAACCTCGGACTCCTGAGCTCAAGGGATTTTCCTGCCTGGCCTCCCCAGTAGCTATGACTACAGGCACATGCCATCACACACAGCTAATTTTTAAATTTTTTGTAGAGACAGGTCTTCCTATATTGCCTAGGCTGGTCTCAAACTCCTAATCTCAAGCACCTTGGCCTCTCAAAACTCTGGAATCACAGGCATAAACCACCATGCCCACTCAGTAGTGTCTCCATTTTTATTTTTCATTTATCTTCTTTGAGTGAGATAAACCATCTTTCCAGATATTTATGAGCTACTTTAATTTACCTCTCTGTGAATTATTGTCATATTCTCTGTGTATTTTCTACTTTTTCCTGGTCTTTTTACAAATTGTTGAATGTTTTCTATATTAAATTATCCTGTTATTATGTAATTACCAATTTTTCCTTTATGCAAGTGTTTTGCCATATTGAATGCTTGATTTATACATTGTTCAATTTATTGATCTTTTCTTTATATAACATTGAAGAATTTCCTCATTTTGTGACTCAAAAAAAGTTTCCATGTTTTCTTCTATTACTTTCTTGTTCATATTTCTTATATAAATATTTGAAATATTTATTTTTGCATAAAGTATGCTATCAAACTATCCTAATACCATTTATTAAAATTCATATTCTTCCATAAATTTGAAATATATTTTTTACCATATTTTAAGTTCCTGCATGTAGTTCTCATCTATTTTTAGATTCAACAGTGTACTTTGAGAGCCTGTCTATATTATGGCATTTTTAATTTTTAAAAGCTTAAATTTTTTATTATTACAGAAAGCATAAGAATCAACTTGCAGGCCTTAAAGCATATGTTTTCTAAAAAAAATAAAAACAAAAAACAAACTTTATCATCCTCTCATCATCTGTAATTAAATGAGAACTTATCATATTAGGCATAGACTTTTTAATAAAGGGACTGAAGCAATAGGCCAGATAGTAGACTTTCTAGAAGGTAAAGATTTTGTTACAAATAAGTTTTACCATTAACATCTCTTATATAAAACTGTAGTTTTCGCATTGCATAATGTATTTTCTTATATATGCAGTCTAAAAGTAAGACAAGTTAACAACTCAAAAATTAAAGCTGAAGTTTATTGCCTTTAGCCTCCTAAGTCATATAATTTCATCTGGCCTCATTTATTTCTTACAGCGAATAATTTAATATGATTAAAATAGAAAGTAGATATAAAGTAAAATACTATAATAAGTTTCATTGAATTTTCAATCTCCAATACAGGGGAGACACTTTGGTTGTAATTGTAGCAGATTGTTCATTATATACCTGAAAATCTTTTCTTCCCATCTTATCTGCTAAGACCTGATTTTTCAAAGGTGGAAATCCCTTGATCTCAGGGAATGTACTCCTTTTTCCAGCCCCAGAGGCCAAATCCTGTTCAGTCTAAATGTGTCACTGTTATATCAGTCTATTTTTCTGGTCTAGGAGTGACCATTGTGATGTAAAGAGAGTCAGCTAGGGGGCATTCCCTTTCCCAGTAAGAGAATGCTTACTAGCACCACCTTTTCTCATTCTTCCTGTTTTGAACTAAGGCATGATGCCTGAAGTTATGGTAGCTGACCTGCACTCTGAGAGAAGGGCCCTGAAGATTGCAAAATGGTCATTGTGGTCTCAGAGACAACATTATTAACCTACTGAATTAATCACTATACGCTATAAACAATAGCTTTGGAGAAATTCATTTGTGCTTCTTCCTTTTTTTTTCTTTCTTTCTTTTTTTTTTTTTTTAAAGAGATGAAGTCTTGCTCTGTCATCCAGCCTGGAGTATAGTGACCTGATCATAGTTCACTGTAACCTCAAAGCCTGGGCTCCAGCAATGCCTGTGTCTCAGAATCCTGAGTAACTAGGACTACAGGTGCACACCACCACACTTGGCTAATTTTTTTAATTTGTGGGGAGATAGGGTCTTGCTATGTTGCCCAGGCTGGTCTCTAATTCCTGGCCTCAAGTGATCCTCCCACCTAAGCCTCCCAAAGCACTGGGATTGCAGGTGTGAGTCACCACATGCCTGACCTGTGCATGTTCCTAATTTGATATATTACCTTATTTAAGTGTATATACCAGTGGATTTATTATGAAAATATCTCAAACAGTGCCTTCCACAATCTTCAAAAATTTGATGCCAACTCTTGTAGATTCTGTCAGCACAGAGCACAGATCTCCCTGTTGTTTAAAGTATTTAAGATCTGTGCTAAGCTGCCTCTAGCATTGCCCTCAATGATTCTTGCCTCCTGATATGTATGCCCTTGTGTAATCCCTTTGTAGAGAATAAAATGCAGCAGAGGTGATGGGTTGTCATTTCTGAGATCAGGTTACAAAAAGACTGTGGCTTGCCTCTTGGGTGATCTCTCTCACTCACTCCTTGTGCTATGCTGTGAGCAACCTTATGGGCTCCCCACGGAGCCAGGAACTTGCTTTTCTGGCCAATAGCCTGCAAGGACCTGAGGCCTTCCAACACTTACATGTCTGAGCTTGAAAGCAGATCCTCTGCCAGTAGAGCCTTAGGATGATTACAATCTAGCCTACACCTTGATTGCAGCCAGGGATTTTCTGTTTCATGTGCAAAAGTAGGAAAATCATGAAAAATGTGACACAGCTGCCACTCATTAGTGTCGTCATTCACCGCTTAGTCTTCTTTTACTCTCTGTCTCATTTGGTATGTAGTGGTTATTCATTAGCGCACAGACAAATATCCTTTACCCTCTAATTCCATCTCATCTACCTTAATTTGTCTGTTAAAATTTTGCTTGCACTAAACACAATTGTAATGAAAGTAAAATATTTTCTTCCATCTAGTGATAGTCTTTAAATAGTTGGTGATTATTATAATACATTCATTCACCTTTCAAGAATTTCTTTCTTTTTCCCACAGAGAGATGCACATTTAGCAATAACAGCTAAATGGAGTGCAATAAAATTATGTGGGAAGGATTTCAATTTCATAGTAGAATGGAAAAATTACTATGAAATATTTAAAGTTTAGTTCTCATCCTAGGACATAAACGTGCTAGTTATTAAACTATTGTTTTTAAGCAACAAAGTCACCCTTCATACTTAAGAGATCAAGTGCACTGTCTGATCATTGACTTGGGGTTTTGCACATTGGCATACTTCCGGGGTCTTGAGCCTCTTCTGCCTTGATTCTTCCCTTAGGATGGGCTTTCCACATGCACAGTGGCCTGCTAGACCTTGGGAGGGGCTTCATGCGCAATGTGTTTACTGGAGTTGTACGCATGCTCACTTCGGGCATTCTTCCCTTACCAGTCTAGCATTCCTACAGAAAGGTTATATACCAGTTAAACTTCCCATTCTGCCTCTTAGAGCACACGGGTGAGTCCACTGGCTCAACTCCTGAGATCTTATCAGGAAGCTGCTGGTCACCAGTTTCAGGTGTTTCTATCTATTGGCAGACTGCCTTTCCTTGGCCCCGGCTGCGACCAATTGTTATTTTAGGGAGACAGCTTAACAACTGCCTGACGGGTGCTTGATGGTCACCTGACCTTCCTGGTGTGGGGCCGGGAGCCTGATTACCTACCTACTATAAGAGTGCTTCCTCCAAACTGCAAGCTTCTGATAACCAAACCTCTTCCCTTTGGTCACTGAGAGGTAAGGCTGTTGGCTACTTCTTGCAATTATTATTATTAATCGATTATCTAACTCAGCATTCTCTATCTCCCTTCATTTTCTAACATCATTTTAGCTAATTTACTATATATAGAATTTTCTGTTTTAAAAATAACTGCTTTGGTTTCTATTTTCCTTACCTGGACTGTGGCTAGCTTCATAATAGAAGGATTTCAAATCTGTAGTACAATAGTAACATTAAGGGAGGAGACCACCCCTCATATTGTCTTATGCCCAGTTTCTGCCTCCAAAGAAAGAATAAAAACTGAAAGGCAGAAATGAAATCCATAGGCAGACAGCCCGGTGCTGCGCCCTGGGCCTGGTTAAAGATCGACCTCTGACCTAACGGTTATGTTATCTATAGATTCCAGATACTGTATGGAAAAGCACTGTGAAAATTCCTGTCCTATTGTGTTCCATTCTGATTACCAGTGCATGCAGCCCCTAGTCACGTACCCCCTGCTTGCTCAATCGATCACGACCCTCTCACGTGGACCCCCTTAGAGTTGCAAGCCCTTAAAAGGGACAGGAATTGCTCACTCCTGGAGCTCGGTTTTTGGAGACGTGAGTCTTGCCAAAGCTCCCGGCCGAATAAAGCCCTTCTTTCTTTAACTCGGTGTCTGAGGGGTTTTGTCTGTGGCTTGTCCTGCTACAACATGAGGCTAAAGAATAGGTTTTATTAACTTTGTGTTTTATGTTGATTGTTTTGAATTGTGTTTTGAATACTCATTATTGGTCTTAGAACACAAATGTCCATAATGACAACCTCTTCTAAAGGAAATCCTTAAATAGGCTTAATATTAGTTGGCAATGAGCCATTTCCTCAGGTTTTTCCTGGTTCAGGGTAGATCTCTAAACTCCAGTAACCCACCCCTGTCTCTGAATTTGTATTTGCCTTAATTACTATGTTCTGTAATTTGACAGTTCTTATACCCTGTATTCTTTCTGCTATATCATTTTTTTCCCAAATATGATTATAAGCTCCTTATGGATAATGAATTCTTTACCTTCTATTGTATTTGTCATAAAACCTAGCTACATTTGTGAACTTTAACTTTATTTGACAAAAATTTGTTAATAAATTTTGTAATGCACTATCTTTTGTTTATAAAAAATATTTCTTGTAAAGACAGGAAAAAAGAATGTGGTAGGAGCGGAGGAATAAAAAGAGAAAAGAGCTAATAAATGCTGATAAATAGATTACAATGTGTTGACTTAATAAGAGCTTTGTATTCAATTAGTATTATTAATAAAAACTGTGTTGTTGATTATTTTCTAATTATCAAGTTCAGCACTTGGTAAATATTTGATGAATTATTGTTATCTTTTAACTTATTTTAAGTTCAGGGGTATGTGTGCAGGTTTGTTTTAGAGGTAAACTTGTGTCATGGGGATTTGTTTCATAGATTATTTCATCACCCATGTATTAAGCCTGGTATCCATTAGTTAATAGTTATTTTTCCTGATCCCCACACCCTCCTCCCACACTCCACCCTGTTAGGCCCCAGTGTGTGTTGTTCCCCTCTTTATGTCCATGTGTTCTCATCATTCAGCTCCCACTTATAAGTGAGAACATTCAGTATTTGGTTTTCTGTTCCCGCATTACTTTGCTAAGGATAATGGCCTCCAGCTCCACCCATATTCCTGCAAAGGACATTATCTTATTTTTTCATGGCTTCATAGCATTCCATGGTGTATATGTACCATTTTTAAAAAATTCAGCCTACCATTGATGGCCATTTAAGTTGATTCCATGTCTGCTTTTGTGAAGAGTGGAACAATGAACATACACGTCCATGTGTCTTTATGATAGAATGATTTATATTCCTTTGGGTATATACCCAGCAATGGATTGCTGGGCCAAATGGTATTTCTGTTTTTAGGTCTTGAAGGAATTGCCACACTGTTTTCAATAGTGGTTGAACTAATTTACACTCCCACCAACAGTGTGTAAGAGTTCCCTTTTCTCCAAAACCTTAGCAGCCATCTGTTAATTTTTGACTTTTTATTAATAGCCATTCTGACAGATGTGAGATGGTATCTCATTGTGGTTTTAATTTGCATTTCTCTAATGATCAATGATGCTGAGCTTTTTTCATATGCTTGTTGGCCTCATGTATGTCTTCTTTTGAAATGTGTCTGTTTATGTCCTTTTCTCACTTTTTGAATGGGGTTGTATGTTTTTTCTTTTAAATTTGTTTGTTTCTTATGGACCTTTGTTGGATGAATATTTTGCAAAAATTTTCTCCCTTTCTGTAGGTTGCCTGTTTACTCTGTTGATAGTTTCTTTTGCTGTGCAGAAGCTCTTTAGTTTAATACATCCCATTTGTCAATTTTTGCTTATGTTGCAATTACTTTTGGCGTCTTCATCATGAAATCTTTGCCTGTTCCTTTGTCCACAATGGTATTGCCTAGCTTATCTTCTAGGGTTTTTATAGTTTTGGGTTTTAGATTTAAGTCTTTAATCCATCTTGAGTTAATGTTTGTATATGATGTAAGGATGGAGTTCAGTTTCAATCTTCTCTATATGGCTAGCCAGTTATCCCAGCACCATTTATTCACTAGGGAGTCCTTACCCCATTGCTTGTTTTTGTCAGATTTGTCAAAGATCAGATAGTGGTAAGTGTGTGGCCTTATTATCGGGCTCTCTGTTCTGTTCCATTGGTCTACATGTCTGTTTGTGTACTAGTACCATGCTGTTTTGGTTACTGTAGCTCTGTAGCATAGTTCGAAGTTGGGTAGCATGATGCCTCTAGGTTTGCTCTTTTTGCTTAGGATTGCCTTGGCTATTTGGGCTCCTTTTTGGTTCCATATGAATTTTAAAATAGTTTTTCTAGTTCTGTGAAGAATGTCACTAGCAGCTGAATAGGAATAGCATTGAATCTATAAATTGTTTTGGGCAGTATGGTCATTTTAATGATATTGATTTCTCTCATCCATAAGCATGGAATGTTTTTCATTTGTTTGTATCATTTCTGATTTCTTTGAGCAGTGATTTGTAGTTCTCCTTGTAGACATCATTCACCTCCCTGGTTAGCTGTATTCCTAGGTACTTTATTATTTTTGTGTCTATTGTTAATTGGATTGCATTCCTGATTTGGCTCTCGGCTTGACTGTTGTTGGTGTATAAGCATGCTACTAATTTTTGTACATTGATATTGTATGCTAAGAATACACTGAAGTTGTTTATCAGTTTAAGGAGCTTTTGGACCAAGACTATAGGATTTTCTAGATGTAGGATCATGTCATTTACAAACAAGGATAATTTGACTTTCTCTCTATTTGGATACCTTTTATTTTTATCTCTTGCCTGATTCCTTTGGCCAGGACTCAATAATATGTTAAATAGGAGTGGTGAGAGAGGACATCCTTGTCACGTTCTGGTTTTCAAGGGGGATGCTTCCAGCTTTTGCCCATTCGGTGCAATGTTGGCTGTGGGTTTGTCATAGATGGCTCTGATTATTTTGAGGTATGATCCTTTAATACCTAGTTTATTCAGAGTTTCCAAGATGAAGTATGTTGAATTTTATCTAAAGCCTTTTCTGCAACCATAGAGATAATCATGTGTTTTTTTTTTGTCTTTAGTTCTATTTACGTAATGAATCTCATTTATTGATTTGTATATGTTAAACTAATCTTGCATCCCAGGGATAAGACCTACTTGATCATGATTGATAAGCTTTTCGATGTGCTGCTGGATTCAGTATGCTAGTATTTTGTTGAGGATTTTTGCATCGATGTTCATCAAGGCTTTTTGTTTGAAATTTTCTTTTTTTGGTGTGTTTCTTCCAGGTTTTGGTATCAGGAGGATGCTGGCCTCCTAGAGTGAGTTACAAAGGAGCTCCTTGCTCTCATTTTTTTGGTTAGTTTGAGTAGGAATTGTACCAGCTCTTCGATGTACTTCTGGTAGAATTCAGCTGTGAATCCATGTGATCAATTTTTTTTTTTTTTAATAAACAAAAATAATACTGCTTCAGGTGGCCTGGAGGCCCTCCTCATAGCTCCTGCACTGGTGAATCATAACTGACTGGCAGAGAGTTCCTGTGGGGAGGCTCCCATGCCACATACCAGCCTGCCTCCTCCCTCCCCACACTGCAGCTTACCCTGAGCCCATGGCAACTCCCATCACTTTGCCAGTCCCATCACTTTGCCAGTGTATATGTGCACAGGCACAACATACCAGTATCTATGGGACACAGCTAAGGTAGTCTTAGAGGGAAACTTAGAGCACTAAATGCCCACATCAAAAAGAAAGATCCCAGTTTAACAAGCTAACATCATAACTAAAATAACTAGAGAAGTAAGAGGAAACCAACCCCCAACCTAGCAGAAGACAAAAAATAACCAAAAGTCAGAGATGAACTGAAGGAGATTGAGACCTGAAAAACATTCAGAAGATCAAAGAATCCAGGAGTTGGATTTTTGAAAAAAGTTAATAAAATAGGTGGATTGCTAGGTAGCATAATAAAGAAGAAAAGTGAGAAGATCCAAATAAACACAATTAGAAACAACAAAGGGGATATTACCCACTGACCTCACAAAAATATAAATAACTATCAGAGAATATTATAAACACCTCTATGCTCATAAACTCATAAACTAGAAAATCTAGAAGAAATTGATAAATTTATAAAAATGTAATGAATAACTGAAAGATTATTTTTTCTAATTCATATGTTTTACTTACTGTAATAAAATAAAATAAATGCTCACTTGCCTATACTGTATGTATTGCATCACTTTTAACATTATTTATTATAATTGATAAAAATTTTATGTATTAGGCACATGTGCAACATATTGTTTTGAAATATGTATATATTGCTAAATGGCTAAATCAAGTTAATTAAGATATATATTATTTCACATACTTTTTTTTTGTAATGAGAACACTTACAATCTACTGTCTTAGCAATTTCAAGATACAGTACATTGTTATTATATGTATGTATGGCCTTCTCTGGCTGTGCTTTGTTACAGACACTCCTGCACCAACCCTCTGGGCTCCATACCGTGGACTTGTTGCCCCTACCACTAAAATTGAATGTCTGTGGTAGTCAAGGGGGTCTCCTCCTGCCAGGACTCCAGAGGCCTGTGGTAACAGTGATCATATTCCAGAGACCCTTTCTCCTTACCATGTTAACTCACCCATTCACCTGGAGTAGTTGGGGACCAGGAACAAGTCCCATTGTGAGGTAGCCCTTGCCAGGTTCCCAGCTTCCTTCCTCTTCAGCCCAGCTTCTATATCTTCCTTTTATGCACTCTCCATAATCAGGTTATGAAAATAAATAAGGAAAATAAATCTTGGGGCCCCAAAATCACTAAGCTAAAGGGAAAAGTCAAGCTGGGAACTGCTTAGAGCAAACCTGCTTCCTATTCCATTCAAAGTCACCCCTCTGCTCACTGAGATAAATGCACATCTGATTGCCTCCTTTGGAGAGGCTAATCAGAAAATCAAAAGAATGCAACCGTTTATCTCTTATCTACCTATGACCTGAAAGCCTCCTCCCCACTTTGAGTTGTCCCACCTTTGCTTCGAGTTGTCCCGCCTTTCCAGATGAATCAATGTTCATCTTACATATGTTGATTGATGTCTCATGTCTCCCTAAAATGTGTAAAACCAAACTGTGCTCTGACCACCTTGGGCACATGTCCTCAGAACCCCCTGAGGATGTGTCATGGGCATGCATCCTCAACCTTGACAAAATAAACTTCCTAATTAATATCTTTCTCAGATATTTGGGGTTCATAAGGTCAAGTATAATAAGACTAAAACTTATTTTGTTAATCAGTTGTTAATCAGTTCCACTATGATTTGTCCTCAGTAAAAATGGGGATCTGGGGAGGAAAAATTGTTTTAAAAGAAAACTATAGTACACATTTTACAAATTCTAGCATTGTCCATTATTTTTAAGTTTTTATTATTTGTCTACAATTTGGACTAAATCCTCAATTCTTTTCTGGCTACAAGTCTCCAAACTAATGTTTTAAATTTTTCCTCCCATTTTTCTCACTTAAAATCACTAGAAATTAATACTCAGCTTTTCTTGAACCATGCAAATTAAAGCTAGATAATTTGACAAAAACTTTGAGAAAAATCACCACAGCAACACATACAAACATCCTTCAAGCTTGCTGATTTATGGACTACACACAAAGTTCATTTGAAGACCTTTCTGGATTTGAATAACACTCCAGAAAAAAATCTATTTGATTGTCACTAAAATCTAAAGATGTTTCAGAGACTCTTTAAAAGAACTTGTATATAGAATATTCCAGACATTAACTTTTGTTTTTCTTCTGTTTCCATAAAAATGCCTCTTATATAGGATATGTTTGCCTGCATCCTATATAGAGGCCTAACCCATCTGCAGTGCCACATCCTGAAACAGGACTAAGCTATTCTCAGGGCTAAGAGAATTCAAGAAAATATGGGAATTCAAGAAAATATGGGACAACATATTTAAATGTTATCTTTTCTGCTTATTTCGATTTGTTTTTCCATTCCTTTGGTTACCTCGATCAAACAACCTCTAACCCAAATCTCTCCAAAGCTATCAACTTGGCTGTTAGTATGTGAAACTTTTTAAAGGTTCAAAGTGGGAACGGAAGGATATCAAAATATTTTACTCTCAAACATGTTTCCTTGACATATTTTGAGATGGCTGTTCAGAAATCCAACAAACAGAAGTAGCCCTGTTAAGCTATCTTTGGTGGGTGAGATTTGCATCTGTAGAAAATCTGCATTGGTGCAGCCAGGCCTTCTCTTATAGGGATTTATGGAAGATTAATTGAGATTCCGACACCTTTAAAAGTCTGAGACAAATATTTACCATCTATTCTCTTTGAGAGCTGCTACCTGTGAGGTTTCATTTACATAACAAAACTACCTTTGCTAGCCAGCCCGCCTCTGCTCTCCCTCCCATAATTTTTGTGCTGCTATAACCTGATTTACCACCATAACCTGTTTTTGGCCCTGTTCTGAGTCCTCATTTTTTCTGTAAACTTAAGTTGTTATATAAGCTTATGCACCCCATTGTGAGTGTTTCAGGTAATCATTCCGTGATTCTCTCTTACATGCACATTAATAGGTTTGTGTACCTTTTCTTCAATTAATCTTATGTGAGTTGGCTTTTCAGCAAACCTTCACAGGGCAAACAGAAAGGTTTCCCTTGGCCCCTACAGCACCTCTGTTGAAAAGGAGCTGGCTATAAGTGTGTGTATTTATTTCTAGCTATTCTGTTCTGCTGGTCTATGTGTCTGTTTTATGCCAGTTTTTGTTACTATAGGTTTGTGTTATATTTTGAAGTCAGGTGGTTTGATGCCTCCAGATTTGTCCTTTTTGCTCAGGATTGCTTTAGCTATCTGGGGTCTTATGTGGTTTCATACAAATTTTAGGGTTTTTTTCTATTTCTGTGAAAAATGTCATTGGAATTTTGATAAGGATTACATTGAACCTTCAGATGACTTTGCTTAATATGAATGTTTTCACAACCTTCTTTAAATATATGCACATGGGATATTTTTCTATTTATTGGTGTCTTCTTCGATGTTTTTCATCAATGTTTTAGAGTTTTCAGTTTATACAGGTCTTCTACTTAGTTGAATTTTTTTCTAATTTCAGGATTTTCTTTTTTGGTAGCTAATGTAAATGGATTGGTTTCCTTGATTTGTTTTTCAGATAATTTGTTGTTAGTATAAACAAATATGATTGATTTTTATCTGTTGATTTATATTCTGCAACTTCCATTAATTTGTTAGTTTTAACACTTTTTTGGTGAAATCTTTAGGGTTTTCTATTTGTAAGATCATGTCATCTGCAAACAGGAACAATTTTCCTTCTTTCTTTCAAATTTGGATGCTTTTTGTTTCATTTCTTATTACTCTGGCTAATACTTCCAGTACAATGTTGACTAGAATTGGCAAGAGTGAACATCCTTGTCTTGTACCTGATCCTCAAGGAACAACTTTCAACTTTACATCATTGAGAATAATTTTAGCTGTGGGTCTGTCATATATGGCCTTTACTGTGTTGAGGTACATTCCTTCTACACTAATTTGTTGAGAGTTTCTGTGATGAAAAGATGTTACTTTTGTGAAATACTTTCCCTTCATCTGTTGAGATAATATGGTTTTTGGCTCTCATTCTGTTAATGATATATATATCACATTTATTCATTTATATGTGTGGAACTGTTTTTGCATCCCATGGATAAGTCCTACTTGGCCATGATGGATTATCTTTCTAATGTGCTATTGAATTAAGTTTGAAAGTGTTTGTCTTGGATCTTGGCATGTATGTTTATCAGGATATTGACTTGTAATTTTCTTTTCTTGCAGTGTCTGTGTTTGACTTTGACATTAGGCAAATGCTGACCTCATAGATGCAGTTTGGAAATATTTCCTCTCAAGTTTTTTGGAAGAATTTGAGAAGGATTGTTGTTAATTCTTCTTTAAATATTTGGTAGAATTGTCCTGTGAAGCCATCTGGTGAAAAATTTTTTATTACTCTATTCATTCTCTTTAGTCATTATTAGTCTGTTCAGATTTTCTCTTTCTTTTTTATTTGGTCTTGGTGATTGCCTATATTTTATTTAAAGCCACTAAAAATTAATATTACTTTTTTACATATTTAAAAAACTGGAGCATATAGAATTGTTCTCAGGTCACATAGCTAGTCACCAACAAAGTCAAAAATTACACTCAAGCTTTCTTAAAGTTTCTCATAGATGGCATATCTTATGTCTCAGTATCTGAACGAATGAATAGTTTATGTCATATCTTGACACTGGAAAAAAATTTGTTGATTCAACAATTCTTTCTGTTTTTAGAGGTTACTGAGGTTACTCAATTTCTTGCCCAGTCATTAGAGAGATACTGTTCAAGTTTCCCAACAGATACTTCAAGTCTTTGATCTCTAGCCAATGACTTAACCCTTCTCAGTCAGAATTTCATCATATGAAAAATACACTTAACAGTAACTTCCTTGCAAAATTTTTAAAAGACAAAATGAAATTATGCAAATTCAATTCAGCTAATACTTGACAGGTATTTTCCATATGCAGACACTTAATGCAAAGTGCCTCCCTACAACACAATGCCCAGCACATAGTTACCACTCAAAAATCAACACATTTCGGCTCACCTGTGTGTTCAACTTAAAAATACTTTTTATACACCGAAGTTGCAGTCTATTATATTTCCACTTAGAAGAAAACTCTTTAACTTAATCTATGTAAGATAGAAATGCATCAAAATGTCTATTAATCTAAATGTTCTTTAGAATCTTTTATCCCTTTGGCCGTTTTATTGTATATACACATAATTTTTATGATATGCAAAATGTTAGCCTTTGTTTAAGACAGCAGTTTTCTCATTAAACATTTGAGTTGTAGGAGAGTTGAAAATAGAGAACAATGTAGTATAGACAAAAGGATTTAGATCCTGACATCAACTTGCGGAAAATACAGTACCTGTATTATTGAGCGTGGGGTGTTTTATAATACCAAAGTGATTGGATTCCTATGTAGACATGTCTGCATTAACTGGAAAAGATCTACATCTTCCCAGGGGTTTTAAATCCTTTGAAAAATATTTTTAGCATCAATTCTAAGTTCCTGTAACAAAGTAGAGTGGCTTAAATAGGATAGAAGTGTATTTCTTTCATATGACAATCTGGCTGGTCTAGGTCAGTGGGACAGCTCTGCTCTACAAGGATGTCTGATAACCAGGCTCCTTGCATCTTAGTTGTTCTATTCTCTTTGTTTGCAGTTGTAAGCTGGTTGCTAGTTTTCTGAATTCCAGCTTATGGAAAATAGGAAAGCAAGTCCAAGGCAAGTATTTTACTTGTAACAAGGGATGCCAAAGTTGTACTTACAATTTCCATTCCATTTTGCGGGGGGAACTTAGTCACATAAATGCATACAGCTGCAAGGGAATTATATTCCGTTATGACCACAAAATGGCATAACGGGGCTCAACATGACAAAATTCTTAGTTCTTTTAAGATTTATTTTGAGATTTAGTATCATATGTTTTAAAAATATATAAATACTCACTTTTTAGGGTATAAGACTCTATAAATATGGATATGTAACATTTATACATTTATTAATTTACAACCATCAGTTTCTCATAGAAACTTGGTATATTTGTTGACTATGAGTGTGATTTTGTTTTCTCTTTGTTATTCTGTCAATATATGGTCTATCTCTTTCCAGGAAATACGTTAGTGCATGCAATTTCATAAATATTATATGTTCTTGTTGGGTTGGTTCCCTCTTTATTAATTTTCTGGCCTAAATACTATTGTTGTCTTATTCATATTACCCCACAAAACTTTCTTTTAGTTAGTACTTACTAAAGTACCTCTCTTTTAAACTGTATATGAATCACCATGTATATAGAGAAGAGGCAGGGCCCTCTTGCCTGGAAAGATATCACTTTGCATTTTTCTGATTATCATGGTTGACTTTGGTGCTATGGCTGTAGCTCACTTTTTAATGTCTTCACTGGCTGTTCCAAGTTAACGTTGAGCTCAAAGCAAGTTTTGGGAATGTATTAGTGATTAATAACTTTTTTTACACTTTTCTGTAAGGATAAGAACTTTATGAGAATATAAGGATAGCTGTAATTGTACCTGGAATAACCAATTCTACAGTCACAAATATTTGTGACTTTTTATATGTTGAGAATATTTTGAAAGTCATTGACAAAGATGATGCTCTCTGATATAAACCATTGTCCAGCCCCCTGATCTCTAAATAAACCTTGAAATCTGAATTTTGTTTCCCTGATTCCATTAAAATTGCTCTAAATATGTAAACCATTTAGGAGTCAATTGATGGAATTTTACTTGAACTAGATGAAATCTTTGGGAATTTCTATGTCATCTTCCTGGAACTTGTATAGTGGATCCTGTTTGCATCCTTAGGTCTTCCTAAAATTAAGCAATTTCATGGCTTTAATAAAACAGCATTCTCCTTATAATTTTCTTGTCTGTTAATGGTACATTCTTTCATCTTCTTTGAGGCCTCCTACTCTAGGTCAAATTCTGTAAGCTCAGACAAGGTTAGAGCTTTGATCTTCTTTTATTTGTACATGTTTATCATTAGTTGTCTATTCACCCTCACGATTTAGCTATCATTCTGAGCAGATGTTTTACAAAATTAATTTACAGACACAGCTTTTCTCTAGATTACTTATTCTTGAATGCCAAACTAGGGCCCAACATTTCTACTGACACTTGACACTCAACACAGTCAACACTTCCTTTTGCTTTCTTCTTTTCATTTCATTACTCATTTCTATCAATTCTTCATTTGAAGTATGCTTTTTTTTTTTTTTTGCTGAAACAGTGTGCTGGTGGTCAACATAATTTAATTAATTTTAAAGATGGTAGAGCATGACTTGAGTTCTTGTCATTGTTATTAATACTAATTTTCCTTTTCTGCAACAGACATGCTTGTAACCACCAGTTCTGTAGCATTTTAGACCAATTAATTAAGTAGTGGAAACTAAAATACAGTTATTTTAAAAGGCTAGTTAACAATGTCTCATTGTGTACTTACTGTTATAGTTACTGAAAGTAAACCTGTAGTTAAGCACAAAAAATGAAATATTCATACCTTATTTAATCATAGGGCAACAACGGTGCTTACCTTTAGGACCTAGTCTCTTTTGAGTTTGCAGTGTCTATGCTAGAGAGAGCCATGAAATGATGAAATATAATTTTTAAAAGGCACATGTATTCTAAATGTAAATATTAGTAAGGGGTAAACATTAATTATGATTAAGTGTTTTTTGAAATGAAGATATTTTGGCATCTAATATGTAGACTGAAGTCGTTGAGAATAAGTTCTTAAATTGTCTCCTTTTCTTTCCTTTGTTAATTTCCTTACAGTAGCCTATGGCTTTTTTTCTCTGCAATATCTGTTTTCTATGGTATCCATTTATGATAAAACTATTAGCAGAGCAGAAGGTGACTGTGTCCTTAACAAACTGGCTGTTAACTTTTTGAGAGTTTATTTTTGTCTATCCTTACAACATCTGGTTATCAATTTGTAACTTATTTAGAGCCTTCAATTTATGTGCATTGTGTCCTCTATTTAAAGGTGAGAACATATGCTTATTAGTTTTACCCATTTGCCAGTGGTATTTAACATATAAAAGCATTTTGCAATGTTTTAGAAGTATTGCCAGTATGTCAAAAGCTTTAAAAGTTGTTTAATATTTTTTGAGGCAACCATCCTCACCTACTGCATTTTCCCATATTGCCTATTAAATACACCAGCCATCTGGAATCATTGTTGTGTCCAAGAAATCATTTTAATATAATCTTACAATTTAGTTGGTTAATAATCCATTAAGCATCATGGTATTGAAAAAATAATTTTACTGGTTAACATTTTAGAGAGAAGCAGGCTTCATATAAATTTTAGCTATTGGCCACCAGGCCCTAGATTTATCAGAAAATAGTTTGAGTGTCTTCATAGTTACACAGATATATACTTATTGAAAGGAAATGTACTAATAGATATAAAATATAGCATGTCCTGATAAGAAGCACGGTTAAGAAAAAATAAAAGATAAATTAGTAATGTAAATCAAGCATTCAAAAACTTTAGGATTCTGCCAAAATAGCTAAGAATGAAGTCATAAATTGAGATGCTTTAAAATAAAATGTATAAATCTTCTGCCTTGCATTTTTGGGTTTAAAAATCTATAAGTTATTTCAGGCATTTTAAAATATTCGTAGCTTTGATTATAAATCAAACCAAAATTGAATACATTAGTAGAACTGGGTTGTAATCTGGGCTTTGTTACTAAAAAGCATAATTTTTCTGGGTCTCAGTTTCTTTCCTCATTCAGAAAATGACAGGGTGAGTCAGAGGTCATAGAAGAGCAGTCTGTGATTTTCTAGTATGTGAATCCAAATGTCTCTCTGTTCAGCAAACATCACTCTCTGTTTATTTATGCTAGATGATAATCCCGAAGATATTACGATTATCTCAACAGCCTCTTTTAAGCTAGAATTTTGCAGTTTTAAATGTTGTGCATACATCCATGTGATCATGTGAGACATTAAGAAACTTCAGCCAAAAAAGCAAGATTCTGGTTGCCTGAAACTTGACACTTGTCCTATTAAGCATTTATATCAGCCCTTTCCCCTCCCTCCCAGTTGTGGCCATGTTGGTAGCTTTCCCTGTACATTCCTAGATTGGTAGTCCTTAACATAGGCTTTAGTCAGGTACCATACAAGAAAAACTCTAGCTAATGGAAATGTTCATTTCTCTTTGAGTAAAAATAATCAATGGCCTCTAAAAGCAACAGAATTTTAATAGAGAGGTGGAGGACTTTTCGCAGATAAGTGATTCACCCATTAACAGTATGTCCTTGATATCATTTCCAGATACATACTTTCTTGAATTTGGCAACTTGCAGATGTTTCAAGGGGATGCCATCAGCAGACTTGTCCTTTTGATACACAGTAGTTCCAGAATGTCCTGCATATATTATCACATGACTTAATCAAAGTCTGTAAATTTCAGGAGGCGAAGAGTAGATCCATATATTATGACTTTGATGTCACTTTGATAAATATTGCTGGCTGTGACAATCATTCTATTCTTTGGGGATGGACTAAATGCAGGTGCTGTGATTCAGGAATATAATCAGTATCCTCAATATCAGTCACTGCAAGTCACCCATAATTTATTCTGACTCACTTAATTTGTATGAGGTGCCCATCAGAATGTAAGCTCTGGACATATTTTGATGTATGTACATTTTCTAGCTCCTGAGTCACCTGTTGAAATAAACAAAATAAAATATTTATTTAAAGTTCCCTATGTTTGTGAAGGGTGTCCCATTTTGCAAAGTGGTTTTGCTGAATCGACCTGTCTCCTTAAATATTCACAGTAGCTCTCAGAGATGCACTGAAATATTGTTCACATTTTATAAATGAAGATACCAATGCTCAGAAAGAACAAGTGGCTCAGCCATCATAGCTCCTGAGTGACAGTGCAACCCCTTTCTGATGCCCATCCCAACATTCCTTCTATCACATCTCCTTCAGCAAAGCATATCAATGAACCCTTCACATAAACGAAGTATAGAGAAAATGGCTCTCAAAATATTAGTGTACATTGAAATCACCCAGAGGGTTTGTTCTAAATGCTTCATTATTTCCCAGCCTCTAAAGATAATGATTTAAAACGTTTTGGATAGGTACTAGAATTGACATTAAATAAATACTTCTGGATATTCTATGGCAAGAGGGTAGTAAATTACACAATGTCAAATTCTGATTTATAAAAGCGTACCCCAAATCTTTACTAGTTTAAAAAAATAGCTCATACAAGAGAATATATTATTTGAGTAGAACAGGAATACCTATCTTGGGTAAGTTTTATGCCTATGTGTGTAGTCTTGAGTTTCATATGAAAAACACAAGTCAGTTTAATTAACAAAGAGTTTATGCTATCTCTCGATTTCATTACTTCATGACCTCAAGTAGCAGAGGCAATACTCTTGCTTGAAGCACATTCTTGAATGCCTGAAATTAAATAGAATATATTTGAACCAAAATTCCTATTCTCTTTCTTTTTCTTCTTACTCCTTCCTCACTGTGAATAAGCAGGTGTTAAAAAAGGAGATTTACAGTAGGATTTAAAATAACAATCTTTTAGAAGTGTAATTAAAAATGGAAAATCACAGCATGTTTCTATATTCCTGATGTATAAAGTATAAATATTTCAGAGAAATTCTGTTTCGTTACTAAAACATTGTAACAAAAATAGGAAAGTAGTAAAAATAGTAAAAAAAAAAAAAAAAAAAAGGAGGAAACATAGAGTGTTAGTTCTCCCTAGCGCTCTCATCACTATTGGTCTATCCACTGTGTCCTGAGCTAGAAGCAGGAAGAGAAATGCAAAGTGAGTGAGTGTTTGTGTGTGTGTGTGTGTGTGTGTGTGTGTGTGTGTGTGTGTATGAAACTGCTGCTACCAGAAAATGAAAAAAATAAATCTCCATTTTATTGAGAATATTGAATCTTTTATTCCTTTGCTTGTGGTAAGTAAAGAAATGACCTGTGTAATATACTTTCTCTGCCCAAATTAATCAAAGCTCCAAAAACCTAAGTGTTAAAAATAGAGGGCGTGCAGTGTCCCACTTCCAGCATGAAAAATCAGGAGCTCCATGGGCCTGTTCCCCAGTGCAACTGCTACAAATTATCTGGAAAACAAAACAAAAACAACCATTTAAAATTTCTGGAAATGACCTTAAAAGCATAAAGCAAATAAAGAAATATTTATTCAAGAAAATCTACTAAAACTCAATAAAAACGGTGAGAGCCCACGGTATTTGAACCAACGCTTACACCTTCAGGTCAGCCATCACTCTGGTGGGCACAAAGGGCCCTCTCTCCTGCCAGCTATCAGTTAGAGTGCTATGTTCTGAGGAGGTACAGGACATCAGCATTTGTCATCCTACCGAAGCCACCTGTTGCTGAAGCTAAGTTCTAGGTGAATGCAGATGAGACGTGAGGGCTCTCTTCTTCTACTCAGCTTCCACTCAGCTCCCACTCAGAGGACAGAGGCTGTATCTTAGGCATGGCATTGCTGAGAATATGGGGCCCAAATCACCTTGGCTGTGGTTCACGGGTGGGGTTCAATGCTAAGAGAAACGAGCTGAAGAGACCTGGGGCTCCCTTCATTTACCAACTGCTCAGCTTCTAAAGTAGGGGTAACTCAGAAATATAGCATTGTCTTCTTCCCCAGCACAAGAATATAGGCTCAGAGATTTTGCCTGGGGGAAGAAGCAAAACTGAGAGCTCTACATTTCTCCCTAATGGAATTGACTTCTTTTGCAACAGTGTGTGGAGAAGTTCAAGTGTAAGGGCAGTCTCAAAAACAGTGGAAGTTATGGCGAAAGACCATTGGGAGGACACTGATATTGAAGATATAAGCTAAACCATAGGCCAGCTAGTTCCCCAGTAACAGGGAAGGAGACAATTAGGAAGCACACACTAGGGGTCTCAAACACTATCCTGGGGAACTAACCCTTCCAAAGTCTGAATTGCATTGGCTAAATCTGTGAAGCAAATTATGCCCCAGGACGTTTAAAAAAAAAACAATCCAACAATCTGTGGGCAATCAGTGGGGGTTTAAAAATTGTTTGTGATCAGGGTACTGAGAGAGTCAAAGAGAGCTCTGCAAAAACTATTTTCATCCCAGAGTAACTGTGAATTAACACAGGCTGCACTCCCTGAGAAGCAACATCAGAGGATTCACCTTCACACTGGTTAGGGAAAATAGACTCAACTAAAATAATCCACACAGTCACTAAGTAAGTATACAAGTAAATAACAATAGCAAGACTTGGAGGGAAGAACCAGTATCCAGACTTGTACAATATGTTATCTAACATGTCCAGTTTCCAACCAAAAATTTAGAAGGCATGTAAAGAAACAGGATATTTTGACTCTAGAGAAAAAGCAAGCAATAGGAACTATCCATGACAGCAAACAGATGTTGGATTAACAGAAAAAGACTTCAAAGTAGCCATTATAAATATGTTCAGAGAACTAAAGGAAACAGTGATTAAGAAATAAAGTATGATGACCATGTCATTTCAAATATAGCATATCAATAAAGAGAGACAGACATTCTAAGAAAGAATCAAATGCAAACGCTGGGGTTAAAAAGTATAATAACCAAAATTAAAAATTCACTAATGGGTACAACAGTAATTTTGAACAGCAGAAGAAAAATTGCAAATTTGAAGAATGGTTGATAGAGATTAGGCATGTGAAGAAGAGCCTATGAGAAGAATGAAGAAAAATGAAAAGAGCAATAGAGAAATGTGGGATACCATTAGGTGTACAACATACATGTAATGCGAGTAAAAGGAGGAAAGAGAGAAAGAAAAAAAATTAGAAGAAATGGTTAAGAACCAAATTTATTGAAAAACATTTATATACACTGCCAGGAAACTCAATGACTTCAAGTGGAATAAACTCAAAGAGATCCAAAAATAACACGCCATAGTAAAAATGCTGAAAGTCAAAGTCAAGGAGAAAATCTCAAATACAGCAAGAGAGAAATACCTCACTACTTGCAAGGGAACGCTGTTAAAATTAAGGGCTAACTTTTAGCTGAAGCAAAGAAAGCCAGAATGCAGTGGGCTAATCTATTTAAAGTTCTCAAGGAACAAATGTGTCAACCAAGCACCCTATAGCTAACAAAGCTATCTTTCAAAAATGAAAATGAAATAAAACCATCCCAGAAAAACAATAACTGAGAGAGTCTGTAGCTTGCAGACTCACTTTACAGGAAATACTAAAGGAAATTCTTCAGGCTTTTTAAAAGGAGATAACCTCAGAAATTAGTTAATATGCAGATGAAAAAACAAAGAGTGCTGGTAAGATCCTATAAATGCATATTTTTTCTTTTCTTCTCTTAACTATTTTTAAAAGTAATTGTATAACACTCTCTTTACACACACATACTTTGTATATAGTATATATAGGCACTATAGATAGACAACTATAGATTAAGAGACAGGGAGAAAGAGAGAAAGGGAGAGAGAATTACTAGACCTATAACATAGAAACGTAATATATTTACCAATAATAGTACAAAGGAGGTAGGTAAGAGCAATGCTGTATTAGGCAAAGGAAATGACTCCTAATAGAGAATATGACTCCAAACTCCATTGAGGTATTGCTACTCATAAGAGGACATTAGCTGCAGGGGTCTGCCCTCAGATCCTGACCCAAACGACAGATGAGTAAAACGTACACTGACACACAGATACTCTGTTTTGCCAGTCCTGCTGTGTCCGCCAACTGTACAGCAAGAGAGGTTTTTCACTGTGGTTGGCCCTGAGCAACTCGCACTCCAGGCATTTATTTAGTGTACAATTAACAACAGAAGCTTCGAGTAAACAGACTTGAGGATAATTAACATGGTTAAGAGAGTAGTTCTATGAATGATTCAAGTTCAGGTACCAAGGTTTAAAGTAAATACCATTAGGGGGCAATTTCTCTGGTTGACCTCCCCCACTCAACCCCTCACCCCCGCCCCCCACCCCCCAGAGGGCCATCTGGCTCAAAGGTTAGTTAATGGAGGTAGCGTAAACCGACTTAGTAACTGGGGAAGCCTCTGTTGTCCCTAGTATTTACTCTATGACCTAATGCTCTAAGGTAAGAACCTGCTGCCTTCAGCCTGTTCAATTATTACAGGCTATGTAACCTTTCAGCCTTCCAAAATGTTTGTGACTATTTCTTATAACTTTCCCTAATATTTTCTTTTAATATTTCTGCCACCATCCTGAGTGAATCCCAACACTCCATAAGAACAAATGAAGATCAACAGAATGACATGTAAGAAGGTTAATATAACAAAAAATATAAATATATACTCACTATCCTTTACTTCCCTTAGCACCATTAAGACATTAAATTATGTAATGATTATCACACTGTAGTTAGAATTATAACAATTATAGATTTATTTATACCAATAATCCCTCCACAGTAGAAGAAAAAAGGAATAGAATAACATTTCTATATCTCACTGGAATTGAATTAGTAAAACTGAAGCTGCTTCTAATATGTTCAGATGTATATAGTAAATCTTCGAGCAATTACTAACAGCTGAAAAGATACAGTGAAAAGAAATCCTCTAAAAAGTTAAAATGCTGCTATACAAAACACTCCCTTAAAGCAAACCTGTGAAGAAGTAATAGAGGAAGGAAAAGGACAAGAGCTCTGTAAAGTTAAAAGTAAAATGGCAGATGTAAATTCAGTCATATAAATAATAACATTAAGTGTGTATGAATTAAATAAAAAAGTAGACATTGTCAGATTGGAAAACAATACAATATCCAACTGCATGCTATCTTTAGATTCAAAGATACAAAGAGATTGAAAGTAAACTGATGGGAAAAGATAAATTGCATGAACAGTAGTGACAAGAACGCTGGAATAACTATACTAACATAAGATGAAATAGACTTAAAATAAAAAATGTTAATAGAGATAAGGGGAAACACATTCTAATAACAAAAAGAGCAATCCAGCAGGAAGATATAAAAAATAAACAACCATATATGCATCTAACAATAAAACACAAAAATGAATACACAAAAACTGACAGAAAGAGAAAAATAAAACAATTCAACAATAGAGTCTTCAATATCTCACTTCAATAATGAATAGAAAAACCCAGCAACTGCAGAATATGCATTCTTCTCCAGTGCTCATGGAATATTATCTAGCATACAACATTTGCTAGGCCATAAATCAAATCTCAATAAATTTAAATGGGTAGAAATAATACGAGCTTTGTTCTCTGGTCACAATAGGATGAAATTAAAAACCAGCAATAGAAATTTCAGAAAAATTATTAAAAATGTGAAAATTAGACAACACATTCCTAAATGACCAATGCATCAAAGTAGAGATGGAAAGGAAAAAAAGGAAATTCTTAAGATGCTTGGAAATGAAGATGATACAACATACCAAAAACTTATAGGATGCAGTAAAACGCAGCCTGGAGGGAAATTTACAGTTGTAAATGCCCATATTAAAAATTAAAAGAATCCCAGGTCAATAGCCTATCCTTCCACCTTGAGAAAATGGGAAAAAAGAACAGATTATACCCAAAGCAAATAAAAGAAAGAAAAATAATAAATATCAGAAAGGAAATTAATGAAATACAGAGTAGAAAAAACATAAAAGAAATATGAATGAAACTGATTCTAGTTCTTTGAAATGATTAAGAAATTTGACAAACCTTTAGTAAGTTTAATCAAGAAAAAAAGAAGACTCAATTCCTAGGATCAGAAATAAAAGGGGGACATGATTACTGACCTTACAAAAAGGAATGATTAAGGAATACTATGAACATTTGTGTGCCAAAACATTAGATAAATTAGAAGAAATGAGCACATTTCTAGAAAGACACAAACCACTGCTTCAACAAGAAATCGATAACCTGAATAGACTTGTGATACAACAATAAAGAGATTAAATTAGTAATTTTAAAAACTTCCCACAATAAAAAGCCCAGGCTTAGAAGGCCGGATTTCAAAGTGAAAAGACAAAGGCATGAATACCTGGAGGCAGAGACCATTGGGAGCCATAGTAGATTTTGTCCACCACAAAGTTTATCACTTTACAGTACTGCTGCTTCTATGGCATAAGAAGAATAAAAGGGACATTGTTAAGTTGGCCTCTGGAAGTCATCTCCAGAGTTCAGTAGGACCTTTCAGCTGCATCTCAGGTCACAGCATGTTTTCTTTTTCTTTCTTTGCTTGTATTTTGTTTGTTTTTGGTTTTGCCCTTGACACTTGACAAAGCTAATACATAAGAAAGGTCCACATTTTCTGAGCCTATGTGGATATTTATCTTGATAACCTGTCAAGGAATAACCAGAACAAAGAATCCGATGATAGCTATGATTTCCTTTAGATGAAAGCTAATGTGGAGAAGAGGCATCTGCTTATAATCAGATAGTTCCAAAAACAGCACCACAATTATCAATATCATGTCCTGCTTTGTGTTGTTGTTATATTTAGATTTGCTTCTCATGGATGTTCCTCTTGTCTCCCCACCTAAACTATAAGCCAGTTACACCTTTTCTCGTTTTTTAAAGTTCATAGAATAATACCTTAAGTCTACTAGGCCCTCCAATATTTATCAAACATCTTTCTGTGAGTTAGGCCTATAAAATCCCCCTTGGTATGTTGTCTTCCAAGGTAGACTTTTCGTAAGTCAGACTTCTGCGCTCCAGATAAATTTGCATGAGAAATGTTGAAGCTACACTTAAGAAGAATTAATTGTTCAAAACGTGTTGGTCTGTTTCTTACCTAGAGATGAGCCTCAAATATATTTTACCTCACTTATTTTCACCTGATTTTATTATTTCATTTTGTTTTTCCTGGTGCATACTTAGTAGCTCACTGAGTTTTGCTATGTTTGTCTCTAGAGTGATAAAACCATCATCAGATCCATAAAGTATAAAAATATATACAAATCTGGTAGCTGATACCATGAATTTACCCATCCATCTCAAACTCTGAGGACACTATCTGAGGTCAACTTTGTTGTAAGGCAGAAATGTTTTCTTTGAAATATTTGCAAAGTTTTTCTTTTAAAATATGACTCAAATTGATCCCCAAATTTAAAGTCTTGAATACCTATACTGGTTCAAAAATGTCAGGTTAACAAGAAATATAACTTTGTTCTTTTCTGTAACTCGACTTAATTTCTATCTCAAATACCTATCTTACTTAGAGAGAATAAATTTGTTATAGATCAATGTAAGGTGCCTTCTTTCCCAGTCTTTTGCTTACATAATGCTATGTCTATTGGGATGGGCAATGAGGATAGAGTTGGGATCTTCTCCAAGATAGCATCTTTTCCATGAGAATCCATATAAAAATGCCCTTCCATTTTTTGAGTAGAATGAGTAGATTTCATCAAACCAGTGTTCCTGCTGAAAAGCAGAAAGGGCTAGATATGTTATAAACATAATGTTTTAAATATATAAGAGCCATAGAAGCAATGATGGACTTCAATTCTGAAAGAAGGCCTTTCTGGAATGAGCTGATGTTGCTGGTCATTTTCTTCTCCATGGGTATTTGCCACTTCTCAGTATAGACCAAAGTTTGTGCCTGACTTACTCAGAGAGACTCTGTGGAAGAAAAGAGAGAACCATGCATGAGATTCTGAGGTTGAGTTGGCTGGCATAACAGATAAGGAACTTGACATGTTCAAGAGTCAGAGCGCAGTTTCCCCATGGTGAATTTGCTGAGTTTTGAGGCTGCATACAGGAGCAAGGGGGCTATGCTGATAGCTGCTAAAAGGTAGATCCATGTCTCTCATTTCATGGTGCTTAAGAGACAAAGTTCCATAAGAAGGCCCTTCCTAAAATAAACAGCTGATCTCCCTCTTAAGACAAAACATACCAGATTTTAAAGTTTCAGGAGATAATGTAATTTCAGTCAAAATCACAGGGTCGTTGTTGTTGTTGAAATTGGCAAATTTCTTCTAAAACTTATGTGGAATTTTACATGAAATAGAAATAGAAATATAAATTATCCTGCAATATTATAGAATATTATATGAAAGTTTACATGGAATCACTAAGCCAGAGAAAAGAAGAGAAGAAAGAGGAAAAGGAGGAGAAAGGAAAAGGAAGAGAAAGAGGCCAAGAAAAAGGAGAAGATAGTTAGAATACTTACTCCTACTAGATAGGAAACTAACTATAAAACTGCAGTAATTAAAAAGGCTTAGTATTGATACAAGCAGAAAGAAACAAAAGAGAATTTAGAAAGGACTTCTACATACACAGCCACATATAAATTCATTATTTCAATTCATTGTGGACGAAATAATCTTTCCAATATGGAAGATCAAGTGAATATATATGTAGAAAAAAACAAACCTTGACCCTAGTCACAGCTACTCAGGAGGCTGAGGCAGGAGAATTGCTCGAACCTGGGAGGCAGAGGCTGCAGTGAGCCAAGATCATGCCACTGCACTCCAGTCTGGGCGACAGAGCGAGACTCCATCCCAGAAAAAAAATAATAATAATAAGAGAATATTGTTATTAACTTGAACAAAAAAAATTTTAAACAGGATAAAAAGAGGACTAATCATAAAAGAAAATATTGATAAATTTGTTCATCAAAAGGTAACATTTTTGTAAAAAGGTAAGCAATAATACATATATAGAAATCATAGTCACAATATATACATCTGACTTAGAACTCATCTGGAGTACATAAAAAACCTAGATACCATTAAGAAAAAGATATCCAACTTTCTTTGGTTTTTGTTGTTTTTAAATTGTTTTTATTGAGATAAAAATAATAAAACATAAAATTGAGTATTAATATATTAACCATTTAAATTGTTAAATTTAGTGTGTCTTTGTGTATTCACAGTCTTGGTATGACAATCATCACTACTTGGCAACCATTACCACTACCAAGTAGCAGAACAATTTTTTCACTTTAAAAAGAAACTGCACACGCATTCAGCAGTCACATCTCTTTCTCTAATCCTTTAGCCATTGGCAACTACTATTTCACTTTTTTTCCTATTTGTCTATTCTGGTAATTTCATACAAATATAATAATACAATGAGTGTCTTTTTGTGTTTGCTTTTTCTCATTGAGAATGTTATTATTATTAATGCATGTTTTGGCACCTATCAGCACTTTATTTCTTTTTAAGACCGAATAATATTCCATTTTATGAATATACCATACTTTCTTTATCTGGTATTCATTGATAGATATTTGGGCTATTTTCACTTTTTGGTTATTAATAACAATGCTTCCATAAATATTTGTACACAACTTTTTATGTGGACATAAGTTTTGTTAGTTTTTTAACTTCTATGTTAGGTTTGGGGGTACATGTGAAGATATGTTATACAAACATGTAACAAACATACATAGGTAAACGTATGTCATGGGGATTTGTTGTACATAGTATTTCATCACCCAGGTATTAAGCCCAGTACCCAATAGTTATCTTTTCTGCTTCCGTCCCTCTTCCCACCTTCCCCCCTCAAGTAGACACCAGTGTCTGTTGTTTCCTTCTTTGCATTCATAAATTGTTATGATTTAGCTCCTACTTATAAGTGAGAACATGCAGTATTTGGTTTTCTGTGTTAGTTTGCTAAGGATAATAGTCTTTAGGTCCATCCGTGTTCCCGCAAAAGACATGATCTCATTGTTATGGCTGCATAGTATTTCATGGTAAGGCAGAAAAGAAAAATTTCTTTGAAAATAACGGGAACAAAGATAGAACATACCAGAATCTCTGGGACATAGCTAAGACAATGTTAAGAGGGAAATTGATAGCACTAAATGCCCACATCAAAAAGCTAGAATGACTGCAAATTAACAACCTAACTTCACAATGGAAAGAATTAGAGAAGCAAGAAAAAAATCAACCCCAAAGCTAGCAGAAAACAAAAAATAGCAAAAATCAGGGATGAACTGAAGGAAATCAAGTCACAAATAAAACCATTCAAAAGATCAATTAATCCAGGAATTGGATTCTTGAAAAAATTAATAAAATAGGCCACTAACTAGACTAAAAAAAAAGAGAAAAGATCCAGATAAAACAATTAGAAATGATGAACAGATGTTACTACTGACCCCACAGAAATAAAAACAACCATCAGAAACTACTACAAACACCTCTATGCACACAAACTAGAAAACCTAGAAGAGATGGATAAATTCCTGGACACATACACCCTCCCAAAACTAAGCCAGGAAGAAACTGATTCACTGGACAGACCAATATGAACTCCAGAACTGAATTAATAATAAATACACTACCAACCAAAAAAAGCCCCGAACCTGATGTGTTCACAGCTGAATGCTACTGGACATACAAAGAAGAGCTGGTACCATTCCTACAGAAGCTATGTCAAAATATTGAGGAGGATGCACTACTACCCAACGCATTCTATGTGGCCAGTATCATCTTGACACCCAAAACTGGCAGAAACACAACAAAAAGAGAAAACTTCAGGCCAACAATCTTGATGAACATCAATGCGAAAATCCTCAACAACATACTTGCAAACTGAATCCAACAGCACTTCGAAAAGCTAATCCACCATGATAAAGTAGGCTTCATTGATGGGATGAAAGTTTGGTTCAACATATGCAAATCAATAAATGTGATTCATCACATAAACAGAACTAGAGACAAAATCCACGATTATCACAATAGATGCAGAAAAAGCTTTCAATACAATTCAACATCCCTTCATGTTAAAAACTATCAATAAACTAAGTATTGAAGGAACATACATCAGAATAGTAAGAGTCATCTGTCATCTATGTCAAACCCACAGCCAACATTATACTGAATGGGCAAAAGCTAAAAGCATTCCCATTGACAACTGACACAAGACAAGGATGCCCTCTCTCACCACTCATATTCAACAGAGTATTAGAAGTCCTAGTCAGAACAATTAGGCAAGAGAAGGAAATAAAGGGCATCCAAATAGGAAGAGAGGATGTCAAACAATCTCTGTTTGCAGATGACATGATTCTATATCTAGAAACCCCATAGTCTCAGCCCTAAAGCTCCTCCATCTTATAAACAACTTCAGCAAAGTTGCAGGATACAAAACCAATGTATGAAAATCACTAGCATTTGTATACGCCAACAACAGCAAAATTGAGAGCCAAATCATAAAGGCAGTCCCATTCACAATTGCCACAAAAAGAATAAAATATCTAGGAATACAGCTAACCTGGGAGGTGAAAAATCTGTACAATGAGAATTGCAAAACGCTCCTCAAAAAATCAGAGAAGACACAAACAAATGGAAAAATGTCCCATTCTCATGTACAGGAAGACCCAATATCATTAAAATGACTATATTGACCAAAACAATTTACAGATTCAATGCTATTACTATCAAACTACTAATGACATTCTTCACAGAACTAGAAAAACGTATTCCAAAAATAATATGGAACCAAAAAAGCCCCAAAAAGCCAAAGCAATCCTAAACCAAAGAACAAAGCTGGAGGCATCACGTTACTCAACTTCAAACTACACTACAAGGCTACAGTAACCAAAACAGCATGGTAATGGTACAAAAACAGGCACAAAGACCAATGGAACAAAATGGACAGCCCAGAAGTAAGGTTGTACATCTAAGATCATCTGATCTTTGACAAAGCTGACCAAAGACAACAATGGGGAAAAGACTGTTATTCAATAAATGGTGCTGGGATAACTGGCTAGCCATATGCAGATGACTGAAGCTGGACCCCTTCCTTACACCATATACAAAAATCAACTCAAGGTGAATTAAAGACTTAAATGTAAAACCCAAAATTATAAAAACCCTGGAAGACAACCTAGGCAATACCATCCTGGACATAGGAACAGTCAAAGATTTTATGACAAAGGCACCAAAAGCAATCACAACAAAGGCAAAAATTGACAAGTGGGATCTAATTAAACTTAAGAGCTTCTGCACAGCAAAACCAAAACAAAAAACAAAATGAACAAACAAAAAACTATCAACAGTAAACAACCTACAGAATGGGAGAAAATATTTGCAAACCATGCATCTGACAAAGGTCTAATATCCAGCATCTATAAGGAACTTAAGCAAATTTACAAGCGAAAAACAATCCTGTTACAAAGTGGGCAAAGGAAATGAACAGGCACTTCTCAAAAGAAGACATACATGCAGCCAACATGCACATGAAAAAGAGCTCAATATCACTGATCATTAGAGAAATGCAAATCAAAACCACAATGAAATACCATCTCGCACCACTCAGAATGGCTGTTATTGAGAAGTCAAAAAATAACAGATGCTGGTGAGATTGCTGAGAAAAGGGAACACTTACTCACTGTTGGTGGGAGTGTAAATTAGTTCAACCATTGTGTCAAGCAGTATGGCGATTCCTCAAACAGCTAAAAGCAGAACTACCATTTGACTCAGCAATCTCATTACTGGGTATATACCCAGAAGAACATAAATCATTCTACCATAAAGACACGTGCACATGAATGTTCACTGCAGCACTCTTCACAATAGCAAAGGCATGGAATCAACCTAAATCCCCATCAATGACAGATTGGCCAATTTTTTTAATAATGGCAAAAGATTAATAGGCATTTCCCAAATAAGGTATCTAAATTGTTACAAGTATATAAATTATTCAACATCATTATTCATTGGTGAAATGAAAATTAAAATGGCAATGAGATACAATTAACATCCCAAACACACTGATTAAAATGAAAAACACAGACAATAACAAGTGTTAACAAGGGATTTAGAGTACCTGGAAAGCTGGATACATTGCCAACAAGATGTAAATTTGTAAGCACTTTGGAAAACTACTAGGCAGAATTAAAAATAAATGTATATGTATTTTAGACCTCCAAATTTCACTCCTGTGTATATACTCAAGAAAATGAATGCATTTTTCTACTAGCAGACATCTATAATAGTTTTCTTTGCAGCTTTATACATGATAGCCCTAAAATGAAAACAACTCTATTATCATCAAAATGTAAAAATAAATAGTGGTTTAGTGGTACAAGGGCAGAGTATACAACAATCAAAAAGAATAATCTTTTGAAGCAGAGAGCAACGTGTTATAGCCATCACCAACTGCTATACACAACACCACAGATTAATCTCTTAGACATCATAAATATGAAATAAAAGAAACCAGACACTTCCAGCCAGCCATACATCTGATTCTATTTAGATGAAATTCAAAAACACACAAACCTGTTCTATGGCAATAGAGGTCAGAATGTGGGTATCTTTTAGGGAGATGGTGTAGAATATCACCTTCAATGAAGCACGAGAAAGCACAATGCACTAATGAAAATGATTCATATCATGATCTGGATGGTGGGTGCCCAGGTTAATACATAGTTACAACCCCATAGTAAATCCCCTCCATTGCCTTGCTTGGTGTTTGGTTGTTCATACAGGACATTCGTGAAGCCTTAGTATTATCCATAAGATCCCTTTAGGTCCTGAAACACTCTTCTATTTCCTTACATGTGAGTGGGTTACATGAGAATCATTCCTGCCAGAGGTGTGCAAGACACTGAGAGGCCACCCTAGTAGACCCTCTGGTACCAGTGGAGCATGTCCAGGTTCTTAGCATTTCGAACAAAGAATTGGTGCAAACAAAGCAATGAAAGAAAAGCACAGATTTATTAAACAAAAGTACACTCCAAAGAATGGGAGCAGGCTGCGGCAAGTGGCTCAAAAACACTGGTTACAGAATTTTCTGGGGTTTAAATATCCTCTAGAGGTTTCCCATTGGTTACTCGGCATACACCCTATGCAAATGAAGAGGATGTTTCCTGACATAGCTGAAGTGAAGTTACAAAGTTATTTACTTGGGTGTAGAAAGTTGGGCTTTTTCCCTTTGATTTAGTTCTTTAGTTCTTAGGTTCCCTGCCTCCAGACTCTATTCTCCTGCCTCAAGTCTACGTGTAACAACAACTCGTAGCTATTTTCTGGCTTTTTCAGCCTCACTGCATGCTTCACCTAGGGTACAGGGTCCAGGGCCCCCCAGTGAGGGATTCCTTAATGATCACACACTCATGGCTTTTCCTCTTCCTCTCTGCCCTCTTGCTTTCCACAGGGATTCCATTTATACTCTCCAAGTGATAATCCTTTTCCACTTGTGCACTATTCTTCCAAATCTATTGCCTATGCCTTGAGTGCTTTTCATTTTGTTAAGTTCTAGAATTTAAAATTTTAAAGGCCTTTATTTTTGCTGTCGTATCCTTTCACTAAACAAAAGAAGTAGTCTAGTTTCTGAATGCAGTGAAGAGACATGAGATATAGGAAAATATGTAAATTTTCTAAGTATATATTCTAATAGATAACTACTAAAAAGTTCATTCATTTTATTTATGTAAATAGACATTTTCAAAACATTTATTCATGGTCAAGATTTTATATTTGAACTTTAAATTAAATGCCCCTGTAATTTTATGTCAAACAACTATCCAGTGTTTGATTTCACATTTGTAAAAATGTGTGCACAGCATATAGATAGATAGATAGATACTTTGCTCTAAATAAAATAGTTGATTCATTTTTCTTAAAGTGGCTATATCACCTTACTTCCCCTAGTACTTGTGTGTTAATCTTAAAGCAGAGATGAACATACAAGTCAGGACAGAACTGACATGTGAGCTCCTGCATTAGGACTGGACATGGAGAAGCCACTTTTCATGATACCAGCAATGACTTAGCAGTTGAGAAAGATAACCCTGAAGGAGCTATCCAAGTATCTCTTGACTTACAGATTTCTGGGCTGGGATGCTGCATGGCTTTTACTTAGGCCCTCTAGAAGATTAGGGCCACATACCATAAGGTAGTAAAGTAGTATATAGTATCTAGGGATTCTAGATATTAATGAAAATGTATTTACCCAAGTAGAAGTGTCTAGGGATACTAGATCTAGTAGTATCTAAAGTAGTAGTAGTATCTATGGATACTAGATATTAATGCAAATGTATTTACCCAAGTATCTCATTGACTTAACAGAACCTAGGACTGGGATGTAGGGTGCCTTTTACTATGTTATGCATGCAGATATAAGTACCATGAAGAAAAGACTACTAGATATGTACCAAAATTTGTTTTCTCTTTCTTTTGGGCAAATAGACTACATTCTAGAGCCTCTCTTATTTTCAATGAACTAGGTGCTAGTCAAGGGAATGTTACAAAAAGTAACAATGGTCATTTCTGGGTGTGTCCCCCAAAAATGCTCCCTTATACATTTCTCCATACTATGCCCCCTTTGTGGACAACCACCAGCTGGGAGGAAGATGACCCCCAAGGCAACTTTTAAGCCAAGTATTGAAAAGCCACAGAGCTTCAGGCAGCCTAGCCACCAGAATAATTTTGTTAAACAGAGACCTCCCACTAACAAGGTACATGAACTAGTCTTTTGCAAGAACACAAGTGCACTTCTATTGTATTTGTGCCTTTACATTTTCAAGTCTTTTTAAACCTACTCCTAGCATTACCCTAACTGATTCAAGTGGAAAGAGTAATGGTGTAATGATGAGAAAAATCTGCACTCTCAGCCTAGGTTTACCATTGTCTGCCTCTGAGTGGTGATGAACAAAACACATTACCCTTAGGGTGGGAATTTTATTGTTATATAACGAAGGTAATAGACCAGTTATCTAGACCCTTCCTTGTCATTTCCACATTGTAGATGGGAGATTTTATTAAATTGGTGACAAGCCATCTTTGTATTCTAATGCAAAGAGATTATGGTATTTGCTATTTGTCATCAGTCAGCAGCTACATGTACATTTTTTAAAAAATAAAAAGTAAATTCCTAATAATCTTATAGGGATATTATCTACTACTATTATTTTGAATTTCAAACAACTGCCTGATATACAAGTTCACTCACTTGTACTGGCTCTTTTTCTAAATGACTAAGGCCTGCATCATATTCATATATATATAAATATATATATATATACTCAAATAAGTGAGAAAGTTGTACATATTTATCCAAAGTATAGCAGCAAGAAGTTGTGACCAGTCTGAAGGTGTTGCTTCCATCCTGCACTGTTCATTACAATAAGGAAAAATGTGCTTTCGAGCAAAGTATTTGTATGCCTGGCCTCTGTGAAAAGGGCTTTTTCTTTCTTTTAAAAGTTTGAGTGAAAATGATTTTACCACTTTTGAGTTATGTGAGGATCCCAAAATAATAAAAATTGCTCAAATCTTCTTTGGCTTATGTTACAAAAAAATCAGAAAGACATAATTCCACTCTTTGAAATATGGGTTTTCTCTATGTATTATCTAAGTAACTGCAGTGGGTACAAAAATGCATGCGTGTTTACTAGAGCTGGATTGACCCAATTTTAGGCTTCTTCCTGTTCTCTGGGAAGATTTTCAATGGGTTTATGTTACTTTTGACACTTATGCACTTGACACAGTCTCAATATAATCCTTTCACTTAAAACATCAATCTGATGGATAATCTTAAGTAATCAGCATTGTTTAGAATATAGTAAATGTTTTGTGTTCAATTGTTCTTCAAAATAATCCTTGCTATAAAACAGAAAAGCTAACATATTCATGTTTTATAAATTGTGATGTGTCCTTGATTAAAAAGCAAACAAACCAAAACACTGCAAATAGTAGAAGAGGAACTGATGACTTTTATTCAAAGCACACCTAGTTGACTGCTCAGTGAGGTAGCATTACTGGTAAATGAACTTTACTGCCTACACTTTTCCATTACTTTCATTTTTCAGAATTACTACGTTTTTCTCTTCTCATGCCACTTTGGACAACTCACTAAGGACAATTGGTCATTTTTTTACTGTGTAAGTCATTCAATCTTATAGCATTCAGAAATGCTTTTAACTCTCTTCCATTTGTATACCTGACAAATACAAAGTTTGCAGAACTACTAAAATCTGAAGAATAGAATGATGCTGAGTATATGTAATAGAATAAATTACTCTGGTCCCCCTGTACAGTGTTAATTATTTCAACCAATAGAAGCAGGGGAATAACTTTCTTATATTTGCTCATATCAGAAATGACAAAATATGTAGATAACATACATTTTTTACTCCAATGCTTTCTAATTAAGATCAAGTAGATAAATGTCTACAAATCTTTGGTCAGTATTGGTTTTTTAAATAAAAATTGGGAAAATGAGTCATCCTTCCAAATAGTTTTTGCTATTCTCCTACATCAGTCCAAATAAAATTTATTAAAAATAATTTTTATCATTCAGGTCAAATTTTGCATTTTTAACTTTTTTCTTTTTTCTTGAGACAGAATTTTGCTCTTGTCACCCAGGCTGAAGTGCAATGGCACGATCTCGGCTCACTGCAATGATCTCGGCTCACCGCAACCTCTGCCTCCCGGTTTCAAGCAATTCTCCTGCCTCAGCCTCCCGAGTAGCTGGGATTACAGGCATGTGCCAACATGCCTAGCTAATTTTGGAATTTTTTTTTTTTTTTAGTAGAAACGGGGTTTCTCCATGCTGGTCAGGCTGGTCTCGAACTCCTGACTTCAGGTGATCTGCCCACCCCAGCCTCCCAAACTGCTGGGATTACAGGCGTGAGCCACTGTGCCCCACCCATTTTTGGCTTCTTAATCTCTCTCCTTGAGTTTGAGTTAAATAAAACATATCTCAACTTCAGAGAAAAAATCAGTCCTGTAAATTTATCACTTGCTCTAGTCTCAAAAGAATATTCACTTTGCCCAATATTATGGTGGAGGGAGAAGATGAAAAAAATACTTGAAAGCACAGTAATATTTATAAACTGGAAATTCATACAAATGCCATTGTGCATTCAATTTTCTGTAGATGATAATATATGAAGAGGATAGTCAGGGCTTTAAAGCCTTCTGTAGACAGAAAATAACTACAGCTGTACTAGAAGAAGAATAGAAGAAATCAATGAACAATTTTTTGAATTCTCTTGGCTGGTGAGGAAAGCCTATCTTTAACTGTCAGAACTATTGTCACCAGATTGAAGGGTAGCAATAAGTTGAGGCAACAAGTTGCTTCCTACTAGTTTATAAGTTATTAGATAAGCTGCTTTAAAGAAATATTTAGTGGATTCCTTTTATGGGATGACAATTTATTATTACTAACTCCATCAAACAGAATATTTCCCCTTCACTCTGCACTCTGTAGCTCTCCACAAACTCCATAAGAGAAAGCAAATGGAAATCATTCCTTCCTAAAAGTCTGGAAGTCACATTACCATCAGTCACAGCCATGTGGCAAATGTTCCCAGAGAAGGAGGAATTAAACAAGATGAGAAAGTGTATTGCTTCAGGCTCTGGACTAGATCATTTGCAAGTTCCATAGCAAAGTAACTTAAAATAATTTTCACCAAAACTTTTAAATATGTCATGTGACTTTTATAATCTACATACTTTTGTATATTTTTGTTCTTGTATAAATGTTAGTATTTAATTTTAAACTAGATTTTTAATTATAAAAGCAATATATAAACATGCCAACACAATCAAATAGCACAGGAATATAACATTGAAAATCTGTCTTTCTATCCCTATGATTACCAGTTTCTCTTTCGAAAGATAATGGCTGCCATCAGGCTCTTTTTTTTTTTTTTGTATATTTGCCAAAATATGTTTATGTAAATACAGACATGTGGGTTGCATTTGTATGAATAATTTTAAATTAAAACAACCATGCTCTGTGTACTCCTATTAATCTTGCTTTTATTAGTTATGTTTTAAGAATAACTTGTACACACAGTTACTTTCAAATGAATCTCTCTCTGTGTGTACATACAAATACATACATATAACTATGTAAATGTTTAATAAAAGTTGTCTAAAAGTTGATAAGTGGATTAACATAAGATGCCCAGACTTCAGTTAACTTCGTTTGTCATATTTTTCAACTAGAAGATACACAACTTGTATATTGCTTTTATAATTAAAAATTCATGAAACACTGGGTAGATCATAGATTTTAAAATCAGAAGACATGTTTAGATTCTGGCCTCAACAGTATACGTTTGACATTGGGTAAGTCATATAACTTGTTCAGTATTCTCATCCCTCTCTCTCTTTATCCTTATTTAATAATGCCATGTTTCTAAGGACAAATCCAAATACTAATTCCTCAATAAATGTGTCATTAGGTCCACAATCCCTCTTCTTTATCTGTTCTCCTCTTGTGCCTTAAAGATATACCCTATAATTTAGCACCTAAAAATAAATAACGATACTACAGAACTATTTTCTTAGCTGTCATATTTTTCAGACTACTTTTAATATTGTTGGCTAGCCCAGAGATCATTAAAACATCTACTGTCTGAATGACCATTGAATGACTTAATTATAATTAAATCAGTGAATTGAATTAATTCAGCCATGAGAACACCTGTTGACATATCTACCAACATAGTCAAATGAATCCATTCCAAAAGATGGTTTTCGGTCTGAAAATCACTGCTCCTTTTACTGCATTTCTAGTGCACAATTCTAAATACAAGTGGGAGGGTTAGGTGCAATCTCTGAAGTAAATATAGAACTAATTTGATTTTTATTCTACCCTCTATAACCGTATTTCTCTATTAAAAAATTCAGTGCACTGATACAGCCTCAATTATTTGCTAGTGGATGGTGCTCTGGTTTGAATCACTCTTAAACCTGAAGCCTTTTTATAAGTTTAGTTGCAGAACCACTATTGCTCCAAGTGGAAGCACATCCATAAGATCCCTTTAGGTCCTGAAACACTCCTATTTCATTACATGTGAGTGGGTTACACAAGAATCATTCCTGCCAGAGGTGTGGAAGACAATGAGAGGCCACCCCAGACCCTCTGTTACCAGTGGAGTGTGTCCTGCTTCGTAGCATTTTGAACAGAGAATTGGTCAAAAGGCACAAACAAAATAGTTAAAGAAAAACGCAGATTTATTGAAAGAAAAGTACACTCCATAGAATGGGAACGTGCTCAAGCAAACGGCTCAAGAGCGCTGGTTACAGAATTTTCTGGGGTTTAAATATCCTGTAGAGGTTTCCCATTGATTTGGCATACACCCTAGGCAGATGAAGAGGATGTTTCCTGCCATAGCTGAAGTTACAAAGTTATTTACTTGGGCTTAGAAAGTTGGGGTTTTTCTGTTTGATTTAGTTCTTTAGTCCTTAGGTTCCCTGCCTCCAGACCATATTCCCATATTCTCCTGCCTCGCCTCTACTTGTAAAAACAACTTGTAGCTGTTTTCTGGCTTTTTCAACCTCACTTCATGCTTCACTTAGGGGGCAGGGTCCAGGGCCCCCTTCACACTTCTGGGTCAGTTTCAGAAGGATGGATGGATGGATGGATGGATGGATAGATAGATCTATATTTAAATATAGATTTATAGGTTATGAAAGCATTAATGCAGAAGTTAAAAAAGCCATTATATTCTCTGTTTTGTGCTTCAGATATATTCTCTTTTTGTGCTTCAAATAATAAAAAGGGTATTCTTTACCTTAATCTAGACTGAGAATGAGCAAACCTATATCAGTAATTTCCACTGGATGGTAATATATTCTAGAAGTGTAAAGTTTTCTTTAATAAAATTCAGAAAATATATTTATAAAACAATAGTTTGCTAAATATTTACAATCATACCTGAAAATTAGTGAAAAGCTGACAACAAGCAGCTTAATGATATTTTGCCTTAGAAAGCATATGACTATATATGCATGATTTAAACAAATTTATCGTGCATTATTGTATGGTCCTAGCTGGTCCTGCAGCTCAAAGGAAATGCCATCAGTAGATATTACACTGAAGTGTGGGCTTAAAAGACATTCCTCTGGCCGGGCATGGTGGCTCACACCTGTAATCCCAGCACTTTGGGAGGCCAAGGCAGGCAGATCACCTGAGGTCAGGAGTTCAAGACCAGCCTGACCAACATGGAGAAACCCCATCTCTACTAAAAATACAAAATTAGCTGGGGTGGTGGTGCATGCCTGTAATCCCAGCTACTCAGGAGGCTGAGGCAGGAGAATCGCTTCAACCTGGGACTTGGAGACTGCGGTGAGCTGAGATTGCACCATTGCACTCCAGCCTGGGCAACAAGAGCGAAACTCTGTCTTAAAAAAAAAAAAAAAAAAAGACAGTCCTCATTCTCTCAAGTTCCCTCAAGACAAGGTAATTCTTGTTTTAATGCTGAATAACTTAATTGCCTAGGTATTGGGTTTTTGATGGGAAATCAATAAAGTTCTCAGTAACAATGTTATTCTTTCTAATAGGTTGGGTATATTTATGTTTAGGATATATATGGTAATTGTACCTATATCTATCTACATCATAGGTTTATTAATAAAGATTAGATGAGTTTAATTTATAGTAACTGACACATGGTAAAATCTCATGAAACTGTTGTTAAAATGATGTTGTTGATGATGATGATGCTTTGAGATGAAGTTAATTAGTTGCTTTGTAGTATCCCTTGCTTTTTCAGAATCAAATTATACTCCATTGAAATGTGTTAAGAAACCACAATAGAAATTATTACTTTATGATCTAGAAATATATTTAACCATCCTATACAGGTAGCACAGCCCAAAAAGTACTCCTCTCTAGTTTAGAGGCTCCTGATTTGGTATTAGGGTAGAAATATTACTAATTTTCCATCAGAGCCATTTCCCATGGTCTAGAATAGAGCCTTGAATTTCCAGAAATCTTGCTCCCCAACTCAGATGGTTTCCACTGTCATTTAATCATTGCAGAGGCTCTGATTGTGAGTAGTGGTAATGAGTGAAAGCAGAAACAGAATTTTCTCCAGTGATTTCCTTATTATGTTCTTTCTGTTTGTGGATAAGAGGCAAATGAAGAACCTCAAAAAAGCCGTATTATTTGGGGATCTAATGTTAAAATAAAAAGCTGCAGCCTATAATATATTCTACCTTCAATGGGCAGCTGCTGCCATGCAAGTAAGAACAATATTGCAGCACAGCTTAAGTTCAAGTGGCTTGTCAAAGCACGTGTGGTGTTCCGAAGACTTAAAAGGAGCTTCACTACACACACAAAGTTCCTGTCTAGTTATTTTTTTACATCCTTTGAACCTGCAGCTGCTTAAACTTTAAAGTGACAGGCAGCTAACTCAAATTCAGCAGGAGTAGTCTTTGAAAACAGCCCTTTTCTGATGATGTTCAATTCAGAAGCAGTTCAGTGTGGGTCTAAAACTGGCCTGTAAATGTGAAGAGGGATATAAAATTTAAAAAGCAGCTAACAGCACATAACCCACATGAAACAGGGGCATTAACTGACAAATGTCCTTTTCTTATAGAGATTGAAATCCAAATGACCTAGGAATAGTCTGGACATAGAGCAGGGAACTTCCACTCACTTGAGTGTTAAAAACAAGGTAAGAGAAGGGAAAAACCCTAGGTGTCTATTTTCCTAAGCAGAGTGGTAATTGATGGGTTATTGCTGTAGTTTTTATTGCTGTTGTTGTTTATAAGATTGTTTAATTTCTGTAAAGACACGAATCAAGTGACCAGTTGAATCAGGGCTTTACAAACTGTGGTGTGAATAGCAGACAAACCTAGTGCCCATAAGCAAACTGTAACCACTCTTGATACCAGCACAGAAGTTGAGAATAAACTTTTTTTTTAACACATGCTTATAGTGATTTGACATTTCTATATTATGTAAGCTCTTGACCAATGCACTTATCTCATTGAGTAGAGTATAATATATTTCAGGTGTTTTTCAACATTTGTGATGCAAGCTGTGTGTACTGGTCATATGTGATAAAAACATTTATCTGTTCATGACAGGATGACAGATTTGAAGTAATAAAAAGTAAAATTAACAAACCTGGTACTTCACTAAGGTAGGTTCAAAAGCGCTGATCTAAATGATATGAGGGACTTTTTTACCGGAAGCCACTTTACCACAGACTGATATGGTTCCATTATTTGCTTTTTTGCATTATTATGTTAAGGCATTTGAGGCTCCAAAAACAAATTATTTATGGAAGGGGTCATATAGATACTCCATTGTGCAGTTTATATAACCCGTCCTTCAAGATTAAAGGATTTATTCCCCCAGCTGCTGGCAATGTTGACAGCTAACAGCTGGCAGCCTAGTATTCTCTCCTGATGTTTGCCCTTAGCTGAAAAAGAGCTGCGTCATCTGATAACACGTCCCCTTCTCAGCAGCAGTATGCCTCTAATAGCTGTTTTATGTGGGAGTAAAACAGTCTGGCCCCATTGCCCCAGTTTGAGACAACTCTTCAGGACCATCCCAGCTCCAGATCTCCTTGTAGCATCGGCTGAAGCCTTGCTGTGGCTGCATCCCAGCCTAAACTTTGCCTGGGCCCAGTTTTGTTTCCTTCACATTCCCACAGCTGTTGATCTTAATAGTACTTCCCAATAAACTTCCTGCCTGCAAATTTCACATTAGAAGCTGCTTCCTGAAGAAACCAAGCTATGACCAGAGTAACACAATAATTTTTTTCAAAGATGTTTTTATTTTGGTTTCATTAATCAAGATTGCCTTAATAGAGAATAAAGCCATGAAATAATGGAAAACTGAGCCTGGAGAAAGGAAAGTGATTTCAGCAGTGTGGGGCTCTCTGGTAGTTGTCGGGGCTAGAAGCCAGAGCCCAGGCTGCCAGGGGCAGGAGTGAGGCGGGGAAGACAGAAGAGCACAGGACCTTAATTTGTATAGGAAGGAATACTCCAGATACATTTTCCTCCTTCAGTGCCAGGGATAATTTATATATCCACAAATTAAAACACAACTCCATTTTCCCATTGTAGTGTTCTCCCTGGGATTTTAGAGCTTGTAGTGGTTCAGTGCTGATATGTAATACTGAGTGCTCACAAAGCACTACCTTCTGTTTTTAATTATAATATGTAATCTAAGAGACTAGAATTGGGTGCACTAAAATGATTTTTATTCCAAAGGGCACAAAAGCATCCCTTCACATTTTTAAAATCTTTAACCATAATTGAGTGCATCTTATCACATTGCTATGGCCACACCTGAAATGTCTCAATTTCATAATGCCCTAGCTGCTCTCACATTGAGCCATCTACTAACCTTCTCCAGGGAACTCTAGTCATATTTTTGTTTACTTCCCTGCTATTCCAATTGCAGTCTTCCAACAAGCAGCATCGGCATCACTTGGGAGCTTGTTAGAAATTCAGATTCTCAGGCCCTTCCCAGACTTACTAAATCAGAACCTGTTGTTTAGAAAGATTCTCAGGTATTTTTTATGCACACTGGTGCCTGAGAAGCATTGCTCTATGTGACAGAAATTATCTGGAGCTGTGCATTTTGCAGCTTGCATGGTTCTACACAACAACTCTGATATTAGAGGCAAGTTCGGCGATGCTACCTTTGTCATTTACACCAACCAACTATGACAGTCCTTACTTCACGTTAGAAAGTTGGAGGATGGAACTGAAGCCACAATGATTAAAAAAAAAAACTGTTCCAAAAAAGTAATTAAAAAGACAAAATGACCCCAAAAATTAATAAGTAAAGACAAAATACCATATGATACATACACCAAAAGGAAAACAGCAGTTTATGAGGACTCAGTCTAAGCTCTCTAAAATGACCTACAAGAATGAACCTGCATAATTGGGCCCCTATTTCTCTTTTCATCTTTATCTTTGGCCACCTCCCACCTCTATTGAATACACACACACACACGCATCTAAATGCCAGGCTGGTCTCTCTTCATTTTCATCTTGATCATTGCATGAGTTCTCTCTTTCTGAAATACTCCTTCTTTCATCTAAACAAATTATATTTTTTCAAAAATTTTAGCTAGATTTGTATTTGAAAAGAGGGGCATACACATCACACAATATTTTGACAGTAGAAAAAGCATACAGTAAAAATAATCGCCCTTCCAGTTTATCCCAGGTTGTCAGGCCTGTTCCCCAGAGACAACTAACATACCACCTTCTCATGTTTCCTACAGAAATATTCTACATATTGTAACACATCAATATCTCTAGTTTTAAAACACACATAAGAGTATGTATCAAACCAATTCTTTGCTTGGCCTTAGTCCGTGATAGCACCTGCATATGTCATTCAACTCTCCCAGTGCTGCCAAATATCAGGTTGGAAGGAAGAGCCTCAGGCTATTCAGCCAGGCCCTTACTATATGATGACTCTTCAATGAAGTGAGTACAAACCTTTGTAGAGTAAAATACAATCAGCTTCGCATCATCTCTTTTTATAAATTGATTTTGTCAAACACTGAGTGCTGTCCAGCTCTCCTTTACCCACCATGGCCTCCTGGACACCCAGCTCCATCCCCTGGACTCAGGGAGACACTGCCCTCCAGCTGGGCTCCTGCTCCCTGGAAACTCTCCAGGAAGTGAGCTGTGGCCATCATGGGGTTTACTTCATCCGTTCCCCTCAGAGGGATTGCTGCCTTGCACTGCCTGATGTCCATAGTCTGAAAACCCTTCATAACACATTTTCCCAGTTTTTAAGTGTTTCAGGTAGGAGGATAAATCCAGTTCCTGTTACTCCATCTCAGGCAGAAGTAGAAGTATCATTTTTTAAAAAATTTATATTTTTATTTCAAATTTCGTATTTGATATTATTTCTTTCATAAAGCCTTCTGAGGTTCCAACAGTACCCTGCATTTCTTCTATGTTGTTGTACAATATAATGAATGTCTGATTCCTTAGGCTACAAACCTTGGTTTAGCACTATATCCAGCACCCAACATAGTGGCTGAGTACGTCTTGATTGAGAAAACAAATAAATAGTATAATATAAATGGTTTTATTTGTTATCTATTGCAAAAAGAAATTATCACAAACCTAGTAGCTTAAAATAACACATACTTATTATCATAGTGTTCACATGTCCAGGAGCCCAGGCATAGCTTAGTGGTATCTTCTGTAAGGCTGCAATCAAGGTGTTGGCCAGGGATGAGTTCTCATCTGGAGACTCAACCAGGGAAGAATCTGCTTCTAAGTTTTCTGTAGTAGTTGCTGACAGAATTTGTTTCCTTGCAGTTATGTAATTCATGGCAGCTTGCTTTTTCAAATCCAGTAATGGAGAGAGAGACTCTGGCAGGATGAGTATCCTACTCTTCAGCATCTGTGCACACATAACCATATACATCTCATTATCTTTGTCGCATTCTTTTGGTTAGAAGCAAGTTGCAGGTCTTGCTCAGATACAAAAGGAGGGAATGACACAAGGTGTGATTATAAGGAGGTGGGACAATGCATGCCTCCTTAAAGTCAGTCCACTACAATAGGTATTGTTAAAGTTTGTTGTTGTTGTTTTTGCTATCTTCTTCTTCTTCTTTCTTCTTTCTTCTTTCTTCTTTCTTCTTCTTCTTCTTTTTCTTTTTTTTTTTTTTTTTTTTTTTTGAGGTAGAGCCTCGCTCTGTTGCCCAGGCTGGAATGCAGTGGCATGATCTCTGCTTACTGCAACCTCTGCCTCCCCAGTTCCAGCGATTCTCCTCCTTCAGCACCCCCAGTATCTGGGATTACAGGCATGTGCCATCATGCCCAGCTAATTTTTGTATTTTTAGTAGACATTGGGTTTTGCCATGTTGGCCAGGCTGGTCTTGAACTCCTGACCTCAGGTGATCCAACTGTCTTGGCCTCCCAAAGTGATGGGATTACAGGTGTGAGCCACTGCACCTTGCCTAGTTGGTGTTTTTTTCTAATTTATTTAAAATTAAAATATTAAACTTCTTCAATATGAGATTCAAATAGTGGCCTATAAAACTTTTGTAGTGAGATTTGCCACATAGTTTTCTCAAATATTTTTCCTTTGCATTAAACCACTGCAGTTAGATTACTTGCCTTTGAATAAACCCAACTTTCTATCTCAAGATGCTCCTGTATTCCACAAGAAAACACTGCTTGCCTGGCAGATGGATATAACATATTTATCTTCCTGATGTGAGTCTTCAAATATGTTTTTCATTTCTGCTAACCTTAGTCAATAATCCAGTTGTTTGCTAAGCTGAAAATGTAAAGCTTGTTGGCAGCTCCATGTAATTCTCATACATTTTTTTTTCACCTCAGTAGTTTTATTTTTCTCACACTCCTCTGACTGTTTCTAAAGAATTGGCAATACCCTGTCAGGCACCTGTGTCTTTCAAAAGGGGAGAATTTCAAATTTGCCTCTAGCAAAGTTACACATTTTCCACCTGTTGTACAAGTAAACATCTTGCATATATGTAAAAATAGTATAAGTCCTCTATGAAGTCCATATTAGCAATACACCCCTTTGAAAAATAAGAATCATGTCTAGTTATTTCTTTAGCAGAATGATATGTACTAAGATAAAGATAAAATATAGAAAGGTTTTTGATTATTATTTAAAAAAATTCTTATTCACTCTCTGGTAACATGGTGAATATTTATTCAGCCCGCTTGCATCTTTCCAATGAGCTCACTATTTCACATTCATGACTTATTTATGTGTGGGTGTGTGTGTATGCTTTATCTTTCCTTCCCAGCTTACGCTGGTTTCACAAACAACAGCTTGAATGGGATTTGTGGTTGTTATTGTCGAGGCAGTAATCACTAGTGTAACAATATTTTTTAAAAGACAAGAAATTATTGCCAGTTCAACCCAAATTATGTTTGTCGGATGCAGATGAGCCATAATCCTGTGGACTCCCTGATAGTGAGGAGTTCTGTCCATCTCTGTGCTTTTCACTCTTGATGCTGATATCACGCAAATCAATTGTATGGTAGTCATACAATTCCCAATATTCGTGGGAAACATTGCTTGTTTCCTGTGGATGGTTCATCCTTCATTAAATATAATTTAAGTGCTCATATATTCCCAAATTTTATCTTTCATCAGTTCTCTATCCTTGGATTCAGATGTAAATGGACACTTGCCCTACTTCCATTTTCACCTGGATCTCTCACAGGAAAAGCAAACTCTAACTATACAAATTCCATTTCTTATAATTTTTTACCAAAGCTATTCCTCCTTCTTTATTTGCTTTACAATTTATGGCACCATTACCCAGCCAGACAATTAAGAAGCAAATCCTGGAGGCATCTATTACTCTATCCTCTCCCACATGTACTCTACCTAATCCATCATCAAGACTTGCAAATCTTATCTCCTGAGTATCTACAATGTATTCACTTCTATTCACCTCTAATATTGTGGTTCTACTTCAGACTTTGGTCATCATGTGTCTGGATAAAACTGCAATTACTTTTTAACTGATCTCTCTCTTTCTGCCCAGTGTTGTTCTTCCCAGACTGACTCTCCCTAGCAACAAGAGGTAAGGCACTACACAAAATTGCCATGTAACCCCCAATCTCCTTTAACTCTTTCACCTAATATATAAAGTATAAGCTTCATAGTATGACATAAGACATATAGTACAATCTCACCCTAATTACATTTCTAGCCTTTTTCTCATTACTTCCTTCTGACTCTATGATTCAGTATCATTTATACTGCTGCTATCAACCATAATAAAGAAGGTATTCAAGGTTGAAAGTATACCTGGTACCAGATATGTAGAGACACAGACTAGGAAGCTGTGAATATATCCACTGGAGGAGAATAATAAGGTATAGCATCTCTCTAGATAGCTTCCATTGTTGAGACCTTAGAGAGAGGTAGATGTTTGAGGATAGAGTTCTTCCTATCAAGAGATTAAATGGGAATAAAGGAAAGCCAGGTCCACTTGTCAGTTCCTTGGGTTTAGCAAGTGCCAATAAAAAAAAAAAATAGAAGTTCATTATCTTATTAACATTTTTGTAATTTTTCAAAGAAATTTACAAATATTTTTTACAAGTATTTACATTCATCCTCCCTGGGATTCCAGCCAGGTAATAAGGATTCTTGCTCCCACTTCTGAAATTATCAGGCTAGCCACGCTTGGTAATGTGTAATTAATCTCAAGAAAATGGTGAAAATTATTTAGGCAAGAAGCAATCATTATTTGAGTCACCCAAGCCTTATTGTTGCAATCTTACACTTCTATTTCCCTCTAATTCTCCTGATGCTTAAGTTTCATTGAATCATTTAAGTCCTGACTGAATATCTTGTTTCACCAGTTAACTTATTGTGTTCTTCAGTATGTTCTCTGACCTCAATCACTGTTGGCTGTTCCCTTTAACTTAAACACACCCTAACCATTGTTGTTTTCTCTTCATTCTACATCTATTATTGCTGTATCTTAATTTTATAATAAAGATGCATCCTTGGGTTCCAGGAATGCAGTAGACTCACCTAATACAGCCTTTTCCAATGCTATAATCATATAGAAATGCTAGAGAGAATAAAATAATACTATGAGCATTAAAAAAAAAGAAAATGGAACTGTATCAATAAACAGAAATGGAAAGAGAACTCAGAGACAAATGATCAGAAAAAGGCACACACACATGTGCATGTACCTTATACACTCTATGGAGAGACGGGGCTTTGGGATCCTCACATGTTGGGGTGTGGAAATTGATACCTTTGTCATCTACCTCTGAGATGACAATCCTCTCTGGAAAGATAAGAAAAACATCATCTCATACTGGCCCAGGGAAAGAGCAGGGAAGCTTGTCTCTCACTGAAGTTCCAAGGTGTATTACCAAGTGTCCTCTGAGAAATAAAAATGCCAGGCCTACACCACTTGCAAATATAGATCTGAATTCACTTTAACTATGTGGCACAGGCATCCCCAAAGCGAAGTACTGTTGAAACTACTGAGAAAGTAGTAGTAGCAAAATGTAACATCACTTACTTGTGTATAAACACACAAAAACCATAAATGGATTTTTAATGTGATGACACACAACAAAAATATTACTAAGCATATAAGGAAATTGAAATTCATGAGAGTTACTAGAAAAAAAGAAAAGAATTAAGAAGTCACAAATTAGAAACAACATAAAAAAGTAAAATAGAGTTAATTATGTTTAAACTCATCACAGACACAAAAATAGGAGAAAATAACAAAAGCAAAATATGGGAAAAGAAGACTGAAAAAAGTAGACCTCTAAATAAAATAATATATATATTAAAAAGCAGACTCAATAAATGGATTGAACGCAGCTGAAGAATCAATGAAATTGAAGATATATTTAAAGAGATAAAACAACGGAACAAGTGTTGAGGATAAAGGATATGAAATAAATTGGAAAGGGGTTCCTTTTTAAAAATAGACATTCCAGATGTAAGAATAAAAAGAATGGGGTAGAAACAAAGAGATAGTGACTGAGAATATTCTGGAATTGGAGAAAGACACATATCTTTATACTGAAGAAGATTACTGAGTGACAACTGGAATGAATAAAAATAAATTTGCAACTACATCCAATGTTAGAAAACTGCAGATAACCAAAAAAAAGAGAGAAAATATTAAGAAGTATCTCAATTTTTAAAACATGCTTCCTACAAATTAATTAATTATTGACCTTACATGAGGCTTTTCCAAAATAATAACATAGGTCAGATGACCAAATAGCATATTTTCATCTCATCACTTTACTGAGGCATTAAACTATCAATTTAAAATTTTAGACCAAGTTGAATTCTCACTCAAGAGTATAATTAAATAAGCAGACTGTATGATCACTATCATAAATCTTATACAATAATTTTACATCATAAAGTTTTCAACCTATAGCTACTACCCAACCCCTACTCCAAATATACACATACAACCACAGAGGCATAAAAATTAGATGATTTGAAGATATGCTTCAATAAGAACAAAACTGAACCCAGAAGGAAGTGGAAAAGTATAAAAGTCTATGAGGCCAGGCGCTATGGCTCACGCCTGTAATCGCAGCCCTTTGGGAGGCCGAGGTGGGTGGTCACCTGAGGTCAAAAGTTCAAGACCAGCCTGGCCAACATGGTGAAATCTCGTCTTTACTAAAAATACAAAAATTAGCCAGGTGTGGTAGCAGGCATCTGTAGTCACAGCCACTTGGGACGCTTAGGCAGGAGAATAGCTTGAACTAGGGAGGTGGAGGTTTCAGTGAGCTGAGATCATGCCACTGCACTCCAACCTGGGCAACAGAGTGAGACTCAGTCTCAGGAAAAATAAATCAATAATGAGCAGATGAGTCAGTAAACTTGGGGAAATCTATGTAATGCTTTACTATAAAACAATAATTATAAATGTACGTGATTTATAAAGTAAAATTTAAATATGGCAATACAATATAGAAGGTGGGCAGGTGATCAAAGTTCAAATATTAAAACTATGTTGATCTTTATGTAGAAAGAAATAAGTGCAGGCATATAAATAAATGATGTAATATGAGTTGATTATTTTTACCCAATAAACTAGAGGCATTCTAGGATTAGATAAAACAATACAAATTTACCTAAGTGTTCTTTTTATAAGATATATCTAAACCTAATATCCCAGAAAAGGAAAAACTTTAAAGATAGACAATTTTTATGGTATCAGTAAAACCTCATACCTTTGCAAAAAGAAAGAGAAAACCCTGAGAATAGCACTATTAATACCAGATGAAATAGTGTTTAGAAACTCCTTGGCAAATGGCTGACTCTAGGACTGGAACAGGAATCATACAAGATGAGCCAGGAGCATCTCGTGGTGCCAGAAATTAAGAAAATAAACCTAAAACAAAAACAAAACCTCACAAAGTAACAAAATAAATAAAACAGTTTTGAATTGTTACCTAAAGTATAAAATAAATATCTATGAACTCATAAAATGACTAAGTAAACAGGGAGTATACTCAGCCCTCAAGAAGGGAAAACATAACTTCCTAATCCTTAAGTATGGGCTGTACATAGTGACTTTCTTCCAAAGACTGTGATGTAGAAAGCGGGGCAAGGAAGGTAACTGTACAGTGGAAAATTCTGACAAACACAACCTGGGCCAAATGATCAAGGTCAGTATCAACAGTCGGAAATCCTGTTGATACCATGTACTCTTGATATGATGTGATGACAATGGCACTTTGTTTCCAAGATCTTCCTTCCCAAAACCCGTAACCCCAGTCTTATCATGAAAAATATCAGACAAATTCCAATAGGGTAACATGCCACCATATACCTGACTAGTACTCCTCAAAACTGTCAAGGTCATCAAAATTAAGGAAAAATTAGAGAAACGGTTACAGCCAAAGGATCCTGAAGAGATATGACAACTATATGCAATGCAGTGTCCTGGATGGGATTCTGGAGCAGAAGAAGTATATTAAGAAAAAGTACAGCAACTTTATTAAGCTATGGACTTCAGATAATAATAATATATCAATATTAGTTTATTAACTGTAACCTATCATATCATGCTAACCTAAAATGTTCATAATAGGGAAAACTAGGTGTGGGGTATATAGAGACTCTGTTCTATCTTCCCAATTTTAATTTTTGTAAATCTAAAACTATTTTTAAATATCTATTAAGAATGCTTCTGAAGCAAACATAGCAAATGTTTTCTTTTGTTAAACCTGATGGTTGATTATATGGCTATATTTAATACTACTTGCTATACTTCTGGAGGTTTTGTGGAACAATTTTATAATTCTTTCTAAATAAAATTTTTATTTCATCAACTTCTAATTTTCTGAGGACTGACTGTGTATGCAAATACTATACTGCTACGTCTTAGAATGTTCTAGGTTCCTCCCGTTCATTTTCTGAATAGTATTCAAAATTTGTGCCTGATTATCAAAACTCATAACAAAAATTATTTAACCACTTTCACAAATTTTCACATTCTAAGCATCCATGGAAGCTTTATGTAAAAATGAACATGAAATATTTATATTCATTTAGCAGAAATACTAATAATTCAATTAACTAAAAAGTCAACATGTCTCAAAAAGTGATTAAAGTGTAGCATTTTGAAAATTTAAATAGTTTAGGTAATACTAAAGAAATGGAAAGATCATAAAATATTTTATAAGATTACTATATTTCCAAAAATCCTTTATGACTGTTATCTTTCTTAAAATTAGCACATAATTACCTAAAATGGCCATATACTTTGGTTAACTCAACACCCCGTATATTGGTAAGAGTTGTCCAAAGAAATAAAAATAGAATGTGCATGTGTGTGTGTGTGTGTGTGTATGTGTAGACAGATAGATGTGGGGGAGAGGGTATTAATTATAAGGAATTGGCCCACGTGGTTATGGAGGCTGAGAAGTCCCAAGATCTTCAGTCAGCAAGCTGGAGACCCTGGAGAGCTGGTGTGGTTCCAGTGCGAGTCTGCAAATCTGAGAACCAGGGAGCTGATGGTGTGGATCTAGCACCACACTCCTGCCACCTGATTTTATCTGTATTCTCCCAAGTTACATAGGTCACTGTGTCTATCTCCTGTTGTTCTTTCCTAACTCTCCTTCCTCTCAGTTGATTCTGACTTACTCTCATATTTCTTAAATCTAATGATGAGAATAATAAGAAAATTAACCATAAAAGAAAAGATAATATGTATTGAAATATATCCCAACCCCCATAACTAAAATGAAACACACCAAAAACAGAATCTCACAGCCTGCCAAATGAGAGATTAGTCATGTATCACTGTTATTAATTGCGATAATGTTTCTTTCCTGGAATTAAGCAGAAATCAACTCCTGAAAAATATTGCCAAAACAACTATACCTAGAAAATTTCCCAACTGACCCCAATAGACCACCTAACACCAGCCTACCAAACCACCCCCACTTTGCAGTCCTACCACAACTCTGATTAGACAGAAGACCAGTCTTATAAATATTCTTTATTGATAACTAGTCATAGACCTCAAGCCAGTTTCAGCCAGCTTATAAAGACTGCACACAAACTGTCTTCGTGCCCTAGAGTTCACCTCTTGACAGAAAGAGCCCAAATCCACCTCATTTTAATGCCAAAACCCAACCCTGAAAGTAAACACAGAATGTATGTTAAATATATGTTTACCCACTGCACATGTGCCCGGCTTCCCTCATAAATATGCATAGCTTTTCCCCAGCCCTGCTTAATATGTACGTAAACACATAAACCATCTTCTCCCTCCCTTCTCTTCGGAGCATGCACATTTGGTTCTCCCTAGAAGCTGCTATACCCAATCTGCGAATTGTTTCTCCCTTTGAAAATAAAGTCTTCCTTTTTTCTTCCTTCATGGATCTTATAGTCTTTTGTTAACATAATCTAAGGTAAACTAGATCCTAACATATATTGCCAGGTGGAAACCATTGAACAAGTCAGACCAAAAAAAATCATATTTGTGGTTGTTTTCTTCCCCCATCAAACAGAGCCTTCCTTTGAATGGAAATTTCCTCTCTATTGTCTTGGACTATGATTTATTTCTTACTAGTGCTATGCAATGGTTTTGAACATTGGACTTAATTTCTGTTTAAAATTTCCCATGAAGTTTTCATCTCAGAAGCCTTCAAGTACATACAAAAATCCATGAAGCAATCAACTATAGTATTTGGTATTCCAAGAGCTACATTCTAGAAATACAAACACAAGAAGATACAGAAATGTTTATGATGAGTTTCATAGAGCTGGCATCATAGCAACAGCTAATAGAATGAATAAAATTGAAGTTATATATCTGTCAATTCTCAGGAACCTTACACACAGTTATAGGACAAAGAGAGCCAACTCATCCATTTTGTCAAGACATTATCTAGCCCATCCCACTGGTTTTAGGAGAGTGTATCTACGACATTCTAGAGTGATAGTTTTCTGCCCTATTCAGCTGTGTCTTCTGATACTGGGCAACTCATAGTTGCAAATTATTTACTCTCAGTAAAAGGAGCTCCTTAGCTTTCACTGATAAAATGAATCATATTTCTTATACTTACATGACCTTGAACTCAGTTCATTTTTCTTCATAGGGGACCTGTATGCGTTTTCCTAGAAACTGGGCATATTTGTTCGCTTGTCAGACATAATGTGACATAACAAGAACTATATATTTTGTCCCATTTTATTTCCTGGCATACAGCTTTTCAAACCCTTAGGAACTCCCAGGTGATAACCTGTATTTTTGTATGCTAATGAGATGGCTGGTACCTGGGGGATCCTGGATAGCCTCCTTATGGGGGCTGGTTGCTAAGGTGACCAGTCATGTGATTCAGGCATTGAAACTTTCAGCCTCACCCTCACTCCAACATTCTGGGAGGAGATGGGCTGAAGGTTGAGTTAAGCACCAACGACCAATTATTTAATCAATTATGCCTATGTGATTAAGCCTCTATCCCATCAAAACTTAAAGAGGTTCAGAGAGCTTCCAGGCTGTTGAATACGTGGAGGTGCTGAAAGGGTGGCATATTCAGAGAGGGAATGGCATCTCCACCTCTCCCCACCTACGTTGCCCTAGGCATTTCTTCCTTCTAGCTGTTCCTAAATTGTTTAATATTATAATAACCTGGTAATCTAATAAGTAAATAGTTTTCCTGAGTTTTTGAGACATTCTTGCAAATAATTGAATCCAAGGAGAGGGAGGTGGGAACCTCTGACTTCAAGCCCATCAGTCATAAGCACAGGTGATAATCTGGACTTGTACTGGTTTCTGAAGTGGAGGTTGGGAGAAGCCTTTGGGACTGAACCCCTAATCTATGGTATTTGTGCTAATGCCAGATCTTGTCAGAATTGAATTAAACTGTAGGACATACAGCTGGTGTTGGAGGTATGGTCAGTGTGGGGAAAAAGCCACACATTTAGTCATAGATGTAGTCTATATTGAGTGACAGTATAGAGAAAAGTGGTTTGGCTTTTCTACACACACAGGAAGAGAGAAGAGTTGTGTACTATGCTCTTCCTACCATATGTCCTTTGGAATTTGGATGAATTCTGATATTTTATCTCTGCCATTTAATGTTTATGCTGATTTAATCTTAATTTACTTATATATATATATATATGACATCTTATTTAATGAAGATGTTGCTATAATATTGGGTATAAATTCTAAACTATAAGTGATATAATACCTGAAAACAACCATCAAATAAAGAAATTGTAATACAGATGCCTCTCTGCTTTTGATGATATTACATCCCCATAAACCCAGGGAAAATTGAAAATATTGTAAGTTGAAAATACATTTGATACACCTAACTTACAAAACATCATAGCTTAGCCTAGCCTACTTTAAAAGTGCTCAAAATACTTACTTACATAAGCCTACAGTTGCACAAAATCATCTAACACAAAGCCTATTTTATTTATTATTTTTTTTAAAAAAATTAGTTTTTTGAGACGGAGTCTCACTCTGTCACCAGGCTGGAGTGCAGCGGCATGATCTCCACTCACTGCAACCTCTGCCTCCTGGGTTCAAGTGATTCTCCTGCCTCAGCCTCCTGACTAGCTGGGACTACAGGTGCACGCCACCACGCCTAGCTAATTTTTGTATTTTTAGTAGAGACAGGGTTTCACCATCTTGCCCAAGATGGTCTCAATCTCTTCACATCATGATCTGCCTGCCTCGGCCTCCCAAAGTGCTGGGATTACAGGCATGAGCCACAGCGCCCAGCCACCTATTTTATAATAAAGTGTTGAATATATCATATAATTACTGAATACTGTACCAAAAGTGAAAAACAGAATGGTTGTATGGATACAAATTAAAAATTTGAAGTATGGCTTCTGCCTATTGCTTTTGCAACATTGTAAAGTGGGAAAATCAGAAGTCAAACCACTGAAAGTTAGAGACTATCTGTACAGGCTTATAAAATGTTAGAGTTAGAAGAGACCCTAGATATCATCTAAGCCTCCTTTTTCATAAGTAAATAAACTAAGACTCAAAGGGCTGTAGTGGTTTGCCCACGGCCAGAAAGCTAGTTAAGAATGAGTAGAATCCTGGCCTGTTGACTCCTATCATGCTTTCCAGGACACTGCATTGTATATACTCAAGCTTATACCTCAGAACTTCTTAAGAAAAGAGAAGAAACTGGCCAGGCACGGTGGCTCATGTCTGTAATCCCAACACCTTGGGAGGCCACGGAAGGCAGACCACTTGAGGTCTGGAGTTCAAGACCAGCCTAGCCAACATGGTGAAAACCCGTCACTACTAAAAATACAAAAAATTAACCAGGCGTGGTGGCCTGTGCCTATAATCCCAGCTACTGAGGAGGCCGAGACAGGAGAATCGCTTGAACCTTGGAGACAGAGGTTATGGTGAGCCAAGATTGCGCTACTGCACTCAAGGCTGGGCCACAGAGCGAGACTCCATCACCGCCCCCCGCCACAGAAAAAGGAAACTTAATAAAGTATGAAGCCGATCTATAGAATTGCGTTAGTGCCTTTTGTCTATGTTTTCTTTCATTTTTGCAAATTAGTGATACAATTAGCCCAATGATAAGATGAAATTTGAATTAATGTCTAATTAGGGGAATTAGCTTGATTGGCTGTCTACCCAATGACAAAGTTGCTCTGAGCTATATAGATAGAACTATGTTGTTTGCCCTCCCTGGGCCACCACAAAAATCGCCACCCTTACCAATCTGGGACGAGGTTCAGCTTTGGCTTCTTCTGGGTTCAGATATGTTTAAAATGTTATTTTAGAATTTATCTATTATCCAGAAACCATTAATAGGCTAACTCTCAAGGAGAATGTGCTAACAATTGTCTGTGAGGCTACATTCAGCTAAATAAACATAAACACCATTCCACTTTCTGTAAATAGAATTAATGAATTTTACCATTTTGAAAATTTGGTTTTTAAAAAGTCAGAATAGACACCAACTTGCCAACCTGCAATTCTCACCTAACCTCATGGGAGATATTTATGTTTTTATTATTTTTCTACCTTTGTAACAGAATGTTGATATTAGTAATATACAAGCAATTTTTTTAAGAGGTGATTAGTTATCATTTGGAAAAATGAACCAATGAATGATCATAAAAGATGGAATTTACATGTACTTTACGTAGATTAATGCAATAATTTAATCCAATGTTTAAAATGCATTTGTTTGTGCAGTAGTAACTATGAAGAATGTTCTTTAAATGCACTTTTTAATTGTATTTTTCTATTGTCCTCTCCCTATGAATTTCTCCTGTGGATCTACAATATCTGCATGTTCCAATTTCTAAATAGTTCATTGGAAAATTTTCTAAGCCCAGAAATTATTTCAGTTTCTGTCTTAGGTTGAGTTAGACTCTATTGGTAATTATGTGATCACAGTTTCTTAATACAGACTTTCTTCATGGTTCAGTTGTGAATTAATGTTTAACTCACCAAATTGTTCAGGACATGAATTCTCTTTTTATGAAGTTGTCAATAAATCAAGGACACTGTGTAGAAACTTCTAAGGGAGACATTTTTTCCAGTAATATAATTCTAGTATGGTATAGGGCTTAAATTTATAGTCACATGGGAAACATAACTGTGGGAATACAATACTGTTATATAATGTTATCTTTCGTGTAAGTACATATTTTCCAGCTGGGTGCAACTTAGGAGAGTTTGATATTTATGATCACCTAGGTTTGAAGTGGAGCTGGACATTACAGTTGTGGAGAAATAAAAATAGGGTGTTCAAGTAATTTCACGGTATCAGAATAATCACATGCAAAACAAACACATGTTTTAGTATTGGTGTCAACAAAACATTAGGAACCTACCCATAAAGAAGTAGTTTAAACTTTAATAGGTATTCTGGAATGCAGTCCCCACCCTCACCCCTCCCCACAGTGAAGAAACACAACAGATCCCTAATATCCAACAGAGCACATAAACACAGTGATTTGAGAACATGGACTCTGAAGACAGATTCAAATCCTGGCTTCACCACTACATACTATCTATATGACTTTAATCAAATTACCTAAACTTTCTAAACCTTAGTTTTTACATCTATAAAAGGGGAATAATATAAATTTCTTAAAGGTTAATTTAAGCTTAAAATTAGTGACAACCTAAAGTTTTCCTCATAATGCCTGAGGTGTTCAATACATTTCAATACATACACAATGACACAGTGCCTCCTATCATATTTGAATACATTAATCACATTTATTTGGATTAATGTATTCAAGTATGATAGAAGACACTATCATTATTCCTCTGATCATTTCAATTGATTAAGTGCAGTTAAAGCATTTGGGATCCCTAAAAAGTTGTAAAACATAACTTATTGGAAATATAAGGGGTCAACAACAGTACAGAATCTCCTCAAAGAATCTGTAAATCACAAAAAAAAAAAACAAAAAAAACCTCCAAAAACAAAAATAAAATATAAACTTGAGATTCTCACAGCACTTCCCTCGAAGTGTGGGTGGGTAGTTTTCTCCAGAAAGAGCCACTTGCATAATATTTATTTTCTTGAGAAAATAATTACTTTGACAGGCATCTTTACATCTAAACTGAAATATACCATTATTCAATATCACTGAATGAGTAATAGAGTACTAATAATATGAATGGTAATGACATTTTACTAATGAAAAATTTATCATTTTTATGAGACTTTCATGTTATTTACTTCATTTGATACTCAGGAGTGATCTTCAATTCCATCAACTATAAAAATGAATAAGAAATCTGGCCAAAGTAATACAGTTTGAAAATAGCATGACTCAAACCTTCATCTCTTTTTATATTCATAAATGCCTCAGGTATAATTATCCTACTGGACAGAATGGGTGACTGCTGCTTATAAACAGATGGAAAACAAGACATATGTCAAGCAGTAAAACATTATATGACTCCAGTAATTATTTCAATAATAATTTTCTATCATGTAAAAAAAATCACTGAGTGATAACCTTAATGATAGCAGATAAAATGACATAATAGTAATAGTATACTTTAGGGGTCAGAAAGTGGATTTGAAATCTCACTTTCCCTTTCCATAATGGTGTCAACACTTGCTGAATGCCCACAATGGGCAAGGCCTGTGCCACACACTAAGGTTATATGAATAAAGAATAAGAACAGGTTCTCTACCCTAAAGGAGTGCACAATCTGGCAGAGGAAGCAGATCCCAAACAGATTATTTTAATAAAATATGGTAATTACTAAGATAGAAACATAGTCTGAGCATTAGCCCAACAGAAAGAATATTTACCCAACCTAGGGACTTGAAGAAGGCTTCTGGGAGGAAATAGGCTGGAATTAAGCCCAAGTCTGAGTGAGCATTGTCCAGGTGAAGACAGATGGGAAGGATGTTCCTGCATTAATCAATGTATGTAAGCATAAATCACATGACGCATTTAGAAAAAAGAAAACTTATACTGCCAAAATATAAGCAATAAGGCAGAGTATGGAGGAATGGGACTGGAGAAATAAACAGGGCTCAGTAATAAAATTACTTTTTTGTCAAACTTTTATGCTCAATACTGACTGTGAGGGGAAGTCCATGAAACAACTATAGCAGAGGAATATCAAGGTTAAACCTTTGGCTTCTGTTGATCACTCTAGCCACTATGTGAAGAGGGGATTTAAAGATTCAAATCTAGATGAAGGGAGGCTAGTTGGTAGTATGGAAGTGAACTGGAAGCATTATTGCAATAGTCACTCCAGAAGATGGGACAGATATGGACTAGGGCAATAGGTACAAGAATGGGAAAATATAAACACATTAAAAATATTTAGGAGGTCACTGCAGAATTTAGTGTGTGCGTATACATATATATATATGCGTATATATGTGTAAAAATATGTATACACATATATATGTATATATATGTATACACACACACACTATATATATACATGGGCGTGTGTGTTTGAAAAAGGAAGTGGGAAGAATTAAACTTTAGATTTCTTTCTTAAATGATGTTTAGTGAAGACAGTAGGGATATTGCTACAAAATGAGTTGTTTTTATCAGTTCAATTTTGAGGTAGATAGGAACCATAAAAAGAGGTTTTTATTAGAAAATAGCTGCATAATTGAGTCTGAATCTCAGTATAGATGTCAAGTCTGAAAATTTGAATATAATTTGTATATTAGGTGAAAAGTAAATCCATAAAGCAATAAGACATAAAAATTAACACCCTGCAAAATATAAGCTGTGCTCCTATGCTGATTATTGCTGTTATGAATTTGTAATTTTTACTAACATGAATTTTGTATGTTTTCCTAAAAGTTTCTCACTTTTTTTCCCAATTCTCTTGGCCTAGAATCAGTGATACCCAGTAGCAATGAGCGCACCCAGCACCTGGTTCTTGTTTTCTAAATACCATTCTTCAGTAAAAGGAAACAGAGCCCCTGGGAGGGGTGGCTGATTCTAAGATTGGAGCAGGGAGAATAGCAGATGAGTCTGGAGCATAATTGTATTGGCAGAAGTTAAGGAAGTACTTAAGAGAATAAATAACAATGCTATTAAAATTACCTAAGGAATAAAATAAATATTGATAAGTGCATACTGAGATAGAGGAGTAAATAAATGAATAAATGGGGAGAAGAGACAAAACCTTTCTTGCGGAAGCATTCCAAATAATACAAGTATATACCCCATCCAAGTAAAGAAAATTAATTTTCCTCTCTTGGAGTGATTCATTTCCAAAGAAGAGAGTATGACAAGGGAAAAATAAACAATAACAAGTTGTATAGTGGGGCAAACCTGGTGGATACCAACTTAACCAAGCTCTTAAGGTTAACATCACTAGTGGAAAGACACAATGGTATCAGATACCCTCTGATGCAATGAGAAGTGCCCTTTCCCCCTATAATATTCTTCCCCCAAGTAATTACCCAATCTAATCATAAGAAAATATCACACACATCTAAATTTAAGGACATTCCACAAAATGACCAGTGCTCTTTGGAACTGTCAAGGTTTTAAAAACCAGGCAAGACTGAGAAACCATAACAGATCGAAGGATATTATGACACCACAGTCTCCTCTATGTTATCTGTCTGCCATAAATGACAAAATTTAATCTGGTATTCTGAAATTGGATCCTGGAAGAGAAAAACAACATTAATGGAAAAATTGGTGAAACCCAAGCAAGTCCCTAGTTTAGGTGATAGTATTGTACTAATGTTGATTTCTTAGTTTTGACAAATGTAACAGGATTATGTTAGATCATAACATTATGGGAATCTTGATGAGTATTTATTTTTACCATGGTTAGTTTGAGATGAAAATAAAGAAATACTTGTGACAACTAGGTCAGTGGGCTACACAATCCACAGGTTACTTGGAAAAAGCAGACTTCTTCCAACTTTCTCTGGCATACATCATTTCCATAACTTGGTTTATAGAATGTAGAAAGAAAATTCTAGAGGGAGTTTTATAGAAAGGAGCACAGGGAAACTCTAAGAATAATTACTAATTGTTTTGCTGAAAGATTGTTTCATAATTAAGGTGTATGACTATCTAATACCTTGCCTTGAGGAAGTTAAAAGCATTTTGCCAATGTAGTTAAAAACACAATTACTACCAAATAAAATAGTAATCCCGGTAATGAATTGTGGGTTTCATATAGATAATAATCTGTCTTTTCCATCTAAAAGACTGGTAACATTACAAAGCAATGTCTAACCAAGGAGGGTAAACGGAGTGATTCAATTATTCATCCATTTCATATTTATTCATTCACTCAACGAAAATGTTTTTTAGTGTTTATTATGTTCCAAGCACCATGGTAGGTTTTAGTCATCACAGTCAGAATGTACTAAATAGCCTTTTTCTATTACGATTTAAAAAAATACCATTTAGATTGGATAATGCATCCACAAGCAACACAGATGCTAGTGTACTTGCAACTCTGACCCTTAGTTTGAAAAATCTGCTTAGAAATTTTCCTACAAAGGGAGCACTTTGTTCTCGTTTTCTTCTCAGTGGTACCTCTAAGTAAATCTAGGGCCTTTATGTATGTCCAGAGACATACATGAATAATCATTTCTAATTAATTTTATGTAGACCTCATTTTTCAAAACATGGCTTCCTATCATCCCAAATGGCTCATCATAAATTATTTAGAGTTACATAGAACATTGACTCTGAATAAAATGAAAATAAAGTTGGCTCTCTTCAGTAGAGTAGCTAAGAGGTATCATCTGCTATTGATTGCTTCTAAAATATTAAGGAACCCTATTCCCAAAATACATGAATGGAATCAAATTAGGCAAAGAATACAATCATTTTTCCTGGTAAAAATGACTGTTGTTTCAAAAGCTATTGCATGCACTGAGGGAAAAATTTAAACCTTTCATTTAAAAGCATACTTTTTATGTTGATTCTTATTCTTGGGCATGACTGTTTGTGCCCATTTGTGAAGAAAACACAATTAAAATAATGCATAAAAATAATTAAAATAATCCAAGTAACCTGAGAAAAGACATGGAGGGATTATTTACTACAGAAGCATTTTTCCTATTCGTTGTTTATGTTCAGAGAAAGAATAGAATCAAAGTATCAAACATGACTAGTTAGTGCTATATGTAAGGGATGCAAACATCACGTTGATCAATGCTCTGCTATCAGAACGAGGATACTAAGGTAAATTATTGTTCAGGTACTGCCCAAAAACAAACAAGTAAATGTTAACTAGGTCAAACTGGGGTACATTTATATTTCAGAATTCATTTTGAAAAAATATCTGAAAAAATTAATTTATTCTATTAAGTAACCACAGCCTGGGACACTACTAGAATATGTAAAAAAATACAATATCAACTGTATTTTGGGTCTATGGCTTAGAAAGAAAAAGTTCAATTTGGAATGCATGTATATATTTTCTACTAATATATGTAGTAATTAGACATATACATATTTATATATGCATACATAGAATTATGTAAGTAATAATCCTATGAATATTATCCCTTTTTAGGAATTAAAGTCTATGAAAATGAAATTAGTCTTTTGCTATATTTAAATAACCTATAGTATTTAAATTGGCATTCAGAAAATAACATCTGAAAATAAAACTGTCAATCATAAATTACTTAAATTAAAAATAAGCTTTTAGTTTTATTAAATTTTTAATTTATTATTAAATTTTATTATTTAAATTTATTATATATTATATATTATATATATTATATATATTATATATTATATATATTATATATATTATATATTATATATATTATATATTATATATTTATATATAATATATATCTAATATATATATTAGATATAATATATATCTAATATATATATATTTTATATATATAATATATCTCTAATATATATATTTTATATGTATATAATATATCTCTAATATATATATATTTTATATGTATATAATATATCTCTAATATATATATTTTTTATATATAATATATCTCTAATATATATATTTTATATATATAATATATATCTAATATATATAATATATATATTAGATATATATAAAATATATATGATATATTTATTATATATATAATATATAATATATAATATATATATTATATTATATACATATATATTATATACAATATATATTATATATATTTTATATACATTATATATTATATATATTTTATATACAATATATATTATATATTTTATATACAATATATATTATATATATTTTATATTTTTATATACAATATATATTATATATATTTTATATATAATATATATTATATATATTTTATATAATATATATTATATATATTTTATATATAATATATATTATATAAATTATATATAATATATATTATAATAAATTATAATATTTTTTATATATATAATATGTATTTTATATATAATATATTATAATATATATTTTATATATAATATATTATAATATATATTTTATATATAATATATTATAATATATATTTTATATTATAATATATTATAATATATATTTTATATATAATATATTATAATATATATTTTATATATAATATATTATAATATATATTTTATATATAATATATTATAATATATATATTATAATATATATTTTATATATAATATATTATCATATATATATTAAATATATATTTTATATATAATATATTATAATATATATATTATAATATATATTTTATATATAATATATTATAATATATATATTATAATATATATTTTATATATAATATATTATAATATATATTTTATATATAATATATTATAATATATATTTTATATATAATATATTATAATATATATTTTATATATAATATAATATATATTTTATATATAATATATTATAATATATATTTTATATATAATATATTATAATATATATTTTATATATAATATATTATAATATATATTTTATATATAATATATTATAATATATATTTTATATATAATATATTATAATATATATTTTATATATAATATATTATAATATATATTTTATATATAATATATTATAATATATATTTTATATATAATATATTAATTAAATTTATTAATTTATTAATTATTAATATTTATTATATTATTAATTAATAATATATAAATTATTAATATATATTAACTAATATATATTAATTAAATTTATTATAATAAATTATAATAAAATTTATTAAATTTTATTATAATTATTAAAAATTATTAAATTTTAGTTTTATTAAATTAAATTACTTAAATTAAAAATAAGCTTGTTCTCCTCACAAGCCTTCAGCTTAAAAGAACAAAATTGATGTATCCACATTGAAACTGTTCTTGTACAACCATCTTCCCTTTTGATTTAAGCTTTAATGAACAGTATTGGCATGTAAAAAGGCCTAAAAGGCTAGGATAACATTGAATAGATTATCAACAAATAATTTCAATAAATATGAAGGAAGAACAAATATTTTAACATTGAATACCTTTTTAGAGGAAAATTGAAAATATTTGTAGGTCTAGTATTGTGAAAGTCAATAGTAAATCCTCTTAAGAGATTGTTTTTATTATTTTTATTCTCTGAGTATGAAATATCTTTGGAGAAAATCCATAATCTGGCACTATAGAGAGATATTTCATAGCTGAAAGCTGGGAAGAAAAAGCTATACTGTTATAATTTTGGAATGATGCCAACCTCTCCTAAAATACACAACTATAGTGCTATTTCCCCAACCTCCCTTTTTTCTCCTAGGAACTCATTTGTTCTTTCTTAAAATCTGTTTGATGAGCATCAATTTTACAAAGTCTGGAAATGTACTTTCCAAGTGAAAATATTCTAGAATACTTCCTTAAAAAACAGAAGCTAAAAATCTAGTGAGCAGCTTTAATCCAGTAAAGTGCACAAGGGCCTAAACTCAGGGAAGAGGCTATTTGACATTTTTGCACATTCCGTTTATCAACTCTCTGGGGTCTGGAAGTGAAGGGAGATTTTGAGTAACTCAACTCAACAAAGGATTATTAAAAAGTCAAAACAAATGGAGCAAATCACTGAGGATTCACAATATTCATTTTGATACATATAATACACAGCTTCTAAAAGAAATACGATGGCAAGTAACACATTACCAACAAATTACTAATGACTATCTTTGATAATATATTTGTGCTGCCTCATAAATTTTACTGGAGCAGGACAAAGGACACTGAAACCCTGAATTGAAGTATGCTTCCAGGATCAATTTGCACCTAGGTCTTGCTTTCTAATATCATTCTCCAAGAAAAGGAACCAGGGCTCCTTGGTGAACTGGCTGATTCTAGGACTGGAGTCGAGATGACAAGATAAACCTGGGCCTCTTGTAGTGCCAGAAAGTAAAGTCGTGCTAAAGAAAAAAACCAAAACCTGAAAAACCCTCCTTGATGAGAGTGTGGCAAAGAGGCACACGAGCCAATGGAAATCACTCCCAGTAGTCAGAGCTAGACCCATTAGAGCAACAGAAAAGTGATGAATTATAATCCAAGATTTAAAATAAATATCCATGAGTCCATGCTTACATAAATAAATTATCAAATAAATTACAAAGTGGGAGAAAAACAAAAATCCTATGCCAAAGAATTCCAAATAATTTATGTAGATACTCTGCCTTAAAGGAGGGAGAACATATCACTACTCATTAGGTGAAGGCTGTGTATAGGGACTTCCTTCCAGCGAGTATAATATATAAAGGGGATGAATAAAGTAACTTTATAGCCGAGAATTCTGAAAGCACTCCCTCAACCAGGTGACCAAGGTCAAGACCAGCAGTCATAAATCATATTGATAGCATGTACCCTTGATAAGATATGATGAAAGTGTCATTTTACCTCTGTGATTTTCTTTGCAAAAACCCATAACTCCAGTCTAATCATAAGAAAAACATCAGACAAAACCCAAATTGGGGGTCATTCTACAAAACACATGATGAGTACACCTCAAAACGGACATCAACATAATCAAAAACAAAAAAGTCTGAGAAACGTCAAAGCTAAGAAAGCCCAAGGAAACCTGATGGCTAAACGTAATGAGGGATCTTGAATGATATCTTGTAATAGAAAAAGGATGTTACGTAAAAATTGAGGAAATTTGAATAAACCATAGACTTATTTAATAAAAATATATCAATATTGGTTCATTAATTATAAGAAATGTGTCATACTAATGTAAAAATGTTCATAATGGGGAAACTAAGTGTGAGGGTATATGAAAACTATATTCTCAATTGTCTTTTGTAAATCTAAACTGTACTACCCTTTTAATTTTTTCTGTAAATCTAAATCTGTTCTAAAAAATAAAGTCGGCCAGGTGCGGTGGCTCACACCTGTAATCCCAGCACTTTGGGAGGCCAAGATGGGTGGATCACCTGAGGTCATGAGTTCAAGACCATCCTGGTCAACATAGCGAAACCCCATCTCTACTAAAAAGTACAAAAATTAGCCGGTCATGGTGGCAGACGCCTGTAATCCCAGCTACTCGGGAGGCCAAGGCAGCAAAATCACTTGAACCCAGGAGGCAGAGGTTGCAGTGAGCTAAGATCGTGTCACTGTACTCCAGTCTGGGCAACAGACACTCTAGCCGTGGCAACAGAGTGAGACTCCGTCTCAAAAAAAAAAAAAGTCTTTTATTAAAAAATAGGATTCCTGGAGTAGTCCACAATAAAAAGATGAATAAATGTGAAACTTAGAACAAATAAAAGTTCAGAAAAAGCCGCTTAGTATTGCAGAAGACGCATGGAAGAGAAATGTTTATACCTAGAATTGTGAGTGTTGGCAGAATTTTATGTATTTATTTTGTATTTACTCCTCATTTCTAATATATTTAGATGTAAATTGTGAGAAGAAATCTGGCATTAGATTAAATCAAGGCTTCAATTGTGGGGACCACACAAACTTTTACATGTTATTTAACTTATCTGGTCCTCAATTTTCTGAGAGGGTGGAATAGCGCACTTATGAAATTCTCTAAAACTGTAATATTTTATATTCTAAATTGTTTGATAGACATTATTCTTGGTTTGAAAAATTATTTTCTGGCCTGAATCTAGTAATGTAATTTGGGCATATTATATATAATCTTTTTAACTCTGTTTTAAGCTTCTTTGTTATTATATTTCTCCATTAAAATAACATTTATAGTGCCAAATATGGTTCATAAAGTAGTTGAACTTCATATGATGCTTTAGCAGAAAAGGTTTTGCTTAATGAAGAAATAAAACAAAACACATTTTATTGCTATGTCAGTGAGAATTATAAGTGGCTGAATACAAAATCAGTTTCCATATATTCACCTCAAGCTGTGAGTGCAAAAAGTAATGTTGTTGAGTTAAAATTTTTCACTGCAATAAGACTCGATGACAAAGTACAACAGGCTACTCATTTATTCAAAAGAGATATATACCAAGAGATTGTGAATTCTCAAATCAATAAGTGCAATTTTAGCATACTTACCTTGTAATATTACATAAAATATAATTGAAAATTTTAAGTAACATGTTGTGCCTTCAATAATTTCTATGGATAAGATTAAATGCATTTATACAGCAATTAAAATAAGTTTTTACTAAAATTACACACTATATGGCAATCAATTCTTTTCATTATTAACATTCACTTCGAGCTTACCTGAATCTGTCAATCTGAAATGGTGATGATAACAAATGTTGCTGCACTCTTTGTGTAATCAGATCTACTTTACATATGACAATGATGAAGATGTGTTCTGCTGAGTAGGATTAAATCAGTTTACAATTGAGAAAGTTCTTTCTAATATTTTTGTGGACCCTCAGTAAAAACCTCACAAAATTCTGACAATGAGTAAGTGAAATGTATAGGACACATTTATAAATGACAGATTGTTTCTTAAATAACACTATGAATTCAATTCTTACAGGACCATGTGTAGTTCCAAATCTTCCTGCTCACCCCCCTTTCCCCTCAACCTATTGGATACTTATTCTGGATATAGATGTACCTTTCCTTCTCACAATGCTTATACACTTACCATATTTATAGGCTTACTGAATGATTTATCCACTATCATGTTGAATCCTGCCTGCTATGTATGCACTGCAGCTCAAATATTGCTTTTGATCAAGAAGCAACTGAAAAAAAAACTATATTGTTTTACTTTGTTTATAATAAAATATACACACTTTAAAAGTACAATTTAATGAGTTTAGACAAATGCATACGCCTTTATAACTATGACTACAGTTAACATATGGATGAGTACCATCACTCCCAAAAGAGTCCTTAATGTCCTTTCTTAATCCCTACCCTAACCTCTGTAGCTCCAGGCAAACACTGCTCTACTTTCTACAAATATATATTAAATTTGTCTTTCCTGGATTTTCATATACGTGGAAGCATACAGCATGTAATCTTTTGCTTCCTCCTTTTTTATTTATTCATAATGTAATTCTTGGGATACATTCATGTTGTTAAATGTGTCAGTAGTTTATTACTTTATATTGCTGAGTAGGATTCCATTCCATTTTATTCCATTCCACAATTTGTTTATTCATTCTCTAATTGTCAGAAATGTAAGTCATTTCCAGTTACTGGCTCTTACAAAAAAATTGCAGTAAACATTTTTGTGCATTTTGTAGATATATGTTTTTGTTCTTCTTGAGCAATGCATAAATTTGGCATTGTTATGTCAAAGTTAAGAGCATGTTTGATTTTGCAAGAAACTGCCAAAACTTTTTCAGGAATAACAGTATCATTTTTCATTTCCACGTACAGGATATGAGAGGGCTAGTTGTTCCGAATACTCACCAATAGGTGTTTTTGTCAGTATGTTTAATATTAGCTGTTTTAATAGGTGTTAAATCATATTTCATTTTCAATTCACATTTTCCTAATGATGTTAAGCATCTTATTGGCCATTCTTACATATCCTTTTGTGAAAGTGCCTATTTAAGTCTTTTGCCTGTTTAAGAAATTGGATGGTTAGTCTTCAGTTGTAAGAGTTCTTTATATATTTTGGATAGAGGTTTTTTGACAGGTATATTCACTGCAAGTATTTGTTTTCCAATCTATGGGTTTCCCCCTCATTTTAATAATGTTGTCTTTTGGACAACAAAAGTTTTAATTTTTATGATCCTAATTTGATCAATTTGTATGGATTTTGCTTTGTGTCTATGAAATAAATTTTACTTACTCTAAAGATGCAAAGACATTTTACGTTTTCTTATATAACTTTAGAAGTCTTTATGTTTAGATCTATTATCTACCTTCATTTAGTTTTTGTTTGTAGTAATAGATAAGTATAGAATTTCATTTATATGTGACTATCTAGTTGTCCTAGTAATTTTTATTGAAATTGCTGTCCTTTCCCCATCAAATTACTTTGGTACCTTTGTCAAAAATTAATTTACCATATAAACATGAGGCTATTTCTAAATTCTCTTAAAATTTATCTATATGTCTTTTTGTCAAAGATGCACTATTTTTATTCCTTTAGTTTTACAGCAAACCTTGAAATACAAATTTGTTCTCTTTTAAAATTGTTTAGATATTTTAGATTTTTTGCATGTCCGTGTATGTTTTAGAATCAAGTTTTCAATTTCTTTGAAACGATCTTCTATGATTTTGATTGGAACTTTCTTAGAAACAACTAGAAAGCAACATAAGTGAGATAACATGCTCACGCTGGTGGGATCACTGATTTTACCATGGATCCAACATGCAGAAGCAACTGGACAGATAGAATGGTGACAAAGCTGGGTGAAGACAAAGCCTTCATGCCTTGTATTGTGACCTACAAGTTTTAGTTTATATCCTTAAAAAAATCTGAACACTTTGTCCCATGGCCAGAAGAAGATATGTGTCCTGGAAACAAGGGTGGAACTGGAAGTGACCTGTATAACTTGTGATTCTCATCTATGCATCTTTCGGCTCAAGTTGGTTGTGAATAGTAGTTTTCAAGGGAGTTGTGCTTTTACTGAGGGACACAACTATCACCAAATCAAATTGGAAATTGAGGCTTCCATCAGGCCAAGTGAAGTGCCTTCTCATCCTGAACCAATAGACAAAGAAGAGACTACTGTACTATCTGGGATGATGGATCCCAACCATTAAGGGGAATTATGATTTCTGCTCCACAGCAGGAACAAGAAAAAGTATACGTCTAGAACCCAAAGGATGCTTTCAGGCACCCCTAATTACTTGCTCAGACCTTTGTGAATGAAGATCTTGTTCACCCAACAAGTGAAGAACCATTAATAGTGGCATTCATACTGAGGGGAAGAAACAGAATGAGTCATGGCAGAAAAAAAGCCATTTGCAAGGTATTTATGGCATTGAGTAATGGCACTGGGTATTTTCCATTACCCAAGAACGCAGTAGCTAAATATATCTATCATCTGTCATCCATTCATCTATCTACATACACACACACACACACACACACACACGCACACACACACACACAATTTTCCTGCTTTCCCTCTCCCTCTCCGTTTCTCCATTAATAGTTTATACAAGGTGTTATACTGATCTTTAAGTTACATATTGTGACTGATCAAGTAAAGACGTAAGCATCACTCAAAAATGGATGGGGTTACTTACAGCAATTTTTTTTTCATTTTCATTTCTGTGGATCTCTATTTGTGTGATGAACAGTTGCACCATGTTGTTTTGACAATTTAGATATGCGCATAAGAGTGTATAAAGAAGTCAGGAAGTTAAGCATGGACCAGACTAGACCAGATTGATGCCCAGTATCATCCCTACCTTTCTAAGCTTTTCTGTTGCCCCCAGGATTTTTATAAATGTTACATTTCTGGACAGCTCATATCTAAGCCTATTATTACATTTCTAAGATTCTCTTAAAGAAATGGCCCCTAGCGAGAGTCAGTGGCACAATAGTTGAAAGACAGAAAAGAATCTCTTACCTGTTGCAATTGTTGTCAGGGGATTAGGCAAAGGCAAATAGTAAGCCAGTTTTCTTTCTGAGACACCCCAACATCTGCAAGAAGCTGGGATCATTCATGGTGGCATCCTTCTGATTTCTATATTTACTGATTCCCCAAAGGCTGGCAGTGGCCTCAACGAATTTTGTTTTTAACCTTTCCAGCTATTCTCTAAGTCTTGTATTCATATCTTTGGATGGAGAGATGACAGAAATGGGGTGTGATATGGGCTTTTCACGTTCTGATACCGTTCAATTTTTTAATCTGGGTGCTGCAGAGATAAGTGTGTTCACATTAAGAAAATCCATTGAGCTGTACAGTTACAATATGTATGCTGTACAGTTACAATATGTATACTGTATGAATATATATTATACTTCAATTAAAAGTTATTAGCACAATTTCTGCTCAAAAGACAGAATAACTTCTATCATTCTAGCTGATATCTGACTGATACACAAATATAAATCAATACATGTGAACTATATTATTGCTTCAAATCTCTTCCATGAGCCTTTCTACATAAATTTAGTCACCTGTATTCTGTGAAGTATGACAAGCTTTGCTTTTTCTGTGGAAGTTGCCTGAAGACATACACTTTCTCTTTCTTTAGCACTTTTGTGAAAGTATTTACCATTTCTGACTTTTTAACCTTTATTCTCATGTTAGTATTCATTACACAGTCCCCAAAATTTTACTGTCTCCAGCATGAGCTGACAGTAATGTTGAGATCCTCATCCTGATTTTCCTGGTGGAGGTGGATATTCAATATATCTCATACACTGTGAAATAGGTTACAACACCCTCACTGAGAAGATGAGGGATATGATAATATTAAAGGAAGATGTAAAATTAATATTCATCTGCACAAAAAGTAAACTTTATTCAAGGTTGAGGATATTCTTCATAATGATTTAAGTTTCTGGGAAATAAGTCATTTCTTCATTATTGGTACAAAGTTCTGCAGCCCTATAAAGAGTGGTCCCATGACCCAATCTTTTTTATGAGATAATTAACATATAAGTCAGAAGGTTTTATCCTTGCCTCCTCATTCTCTAAGGTTTTTGAACCAGTAGAGCCATCCTGGCTTACTCATTGATTGTGTAGCATTGCCATGAAGTGGAAAGGTCAGTCAGCTCCTGTTCACTAATCTTTGAAGTTTATTACTCTTTGGAAATCTATGTTTATAAAGACATTTTCTTCCATTATAAGCCTTCTTCATCTGTACTGTATACATCACCTAACTCATAAATCTTCTCTTCCATAGTCTTGTTCAGCTTGAGAGGAAATATTTCTGCAATAATCAGTGATCAATAATAAGTGATCTAATCTGTAACTTCAATGCAGAAAACTCATTCTTGGCTGGGTTCTATGGCTCATGCCTGTAATCCCAACACTTTGCAAGGCCTACGTGGGTGGATCACTTGAGCCCAGGAGTTCAAGACCACCCTGGGCAACATAGTTAGACCCCGTATCTACTAAAAATATAAACATTAGCCGGGCGTGGTGATGCATGCCTGTAGTCGGGATGCTGAGGCTGGTGGATCATTTGAGCTCAGGAAGCAGAGGTGGCAGTGAGCCAAGATCATGCCACTGTACTCCAGTCTGGGTGACAGACTGAGACTGTCAAAAAAAAAAAAAAAAGAGAAAGAAAGAAAAAAAGGGAAAACTTTTCTTACCATAATTACAATCATTTAAAAAAAATTCAATTGCCCTTTTCCCTGTTTCTTATTGAAAAATAATTATGTGAATCGATATTCAGTTAAATCACCTTTTATCTTTATACAACTTTATTTTATTTTATTTTATTTTATTTATTTATTTTTGAGACAGAGTCTTGCTCTGTCACCCAGGCTGGAGTGCAGTGGCACAATCTCGGCTCACTGCAACCTCCATCTCCCAGGTTCAAGCAATTCTCCTGCCTCAGCCTCCTGAGTAACTGGGATTACAGGTGCATGCTACCATGCCCAGATAATTTTTGTATTTTTGGTAGAGTCAGGGTTTTACCATGTTGGCCAGGCTTGTTTCCAACTACTGACCTCAGGTGATCCGCCCCCCTCGGCCTCCCAAAATGCTGGGATTACAGGTGTGAGTCACCGTGCCCGGCCACACCTTTATTTTTAAAAGTCAACTATAATTTCCATTTTGACTAAACCTTTTATTCTTCCTGCCTGGAGCCATTGGTGAAAGATTTTATCCCTAATCTTTTTCCATATTTCCTACAGGAAAGAATAAATGGTGAAAGCCGGACTGTTAAGGTTCACAGCCTGTCTCTGCCACTTAATTGGTTACATTTATTAGTTAATATATTTAAGCCACACTTTTCTTAGCTTTCTGACAGATTTTCATTTTCTGGCTTAGAACAGTCACTGCTTTAGACCTTTTTGCTTTCCGTATTAGCCAATTTCTCTTGGGGACTATTTCTTACTGATAGACTTATCACTTCAAAAGAGTTCATTGGATGTCCAGCATCAAATACAGAACAACGGAATCATCCTAAAATGGATAGGCTATGTGGCCTGCTAGTTTCAGTTACCAGCTAAGAGACCTGTCCCGCTACAGGCCTCAGAGTGTACGTAATTCAAAGGCATAATTCAAGAAAATGATCTATACATACATGTTACCTTCAGACTTACAATTTCATTGTCATGAACACAGAGGTTCAATTCATTTCTGTAAGTCTACTATAATTCTAGATTTTAAGGTAGATCTTATTTTTAATTTTCCTAAAAGGAATGTAAATTCATAAACATATTCATGTAATTTTTCAAATATTGCAGAAAGCTAAAAAAGGAAAAATAAAAGAAAATAACTTCTTCCAGAAATGTTTATGCATGATGTATTTTAATATTATATATGTATGATGCATGTAGGTGTGTGTATATATGTATATAGAAACATATTATGTATGTGTATGTGTATGTGTGTATATATATATACATTATTGAAAGCCTATGAGAAAATTGCAAAAATAAACTGCTGAAATCATAGCTTCTTGAGAAAATACACAGGCACTAATGAAAATTATAAGTGTTCATTTGGGTGAGCCTCTAAAGAAAGAAATAATTTACTGAAATAAATTTACAGTATGTCATCATATCTATTTAAGGAAGTATTTAATATAGGTGAAATTATTATAATCTCAGAAGAACTTGTGTTCTCCTTTCTCTTCCTGTGCCAACTGTCTGGACAAATGAGCCACCTTTATCCTCAAATAAGATGATTTGCAACATTCGTTTAAATTTAAATATAACATTTCCTTCCTTGAAGTAGATTCAAAAGAAAGAAAGGACTCAGGGATTTTTAAGCAAGATGGTTGACTTTGTCTGGCTTTGTGTCTGACTAACTCAAATCTAGATTATATGCCCCATCCCAGGGGCTGTTGTCAATTTCAAAGATAAAAGATCTGTTTGGAGGATAAAAACAATTTGGATAATGTTAAAAATGCACAGCCTTCCTTCCAAACCCTACTTATTTGCTGTATTTAATTATTATTAATTTTTATGAAGAACAGGTGAAATGTAATTTTTCGTATTTTGTTCCTCTTATGCACATTAGTCTCCTATATAAGGGTCTTAGGATGCCATTAGGAGATTCTGATTGGATCACTGAAGTATAACATTTTGAAAATAAAAGACTGGTCACTGCTCCAAAATGGCATAGCTCCCACAATTTTTATAGGTGGAAAGCCTGGACAAAATGTGTATTTCCTTTTCAAAACTCCATATTACATACACAAAAATTTATCAACACAAAAAATATCAAATGCTTTCTTTAACTTCTATGTATAATAAGGCATCTAGAAAAGGACATGAAAAAATGCTGGAGAAAGATAAACCTAGATTATTAATATGATACAGTGTAAGCAAAATATAGATGGGTAACAAGACTCAGTGTTGAGTATGAATCTCTGGATCTGGATCTTTGGTGGACAGTGGTAAAGGCAAGTTTGAGACATTGAATAGGACATAAACTTAGAAGACTGGTGGATGTGTCAACCCTGACTGGAATATGACTGAGTACAAAGAAGGAAACTAAGAATAGGTATCTCTTGGGACTTGGTTTAGGATAATGAGCAGTGAGGAGAATGGGGAAATAAGTAGGTGTAAAGTGTTTCAGGATAGAGCTCACTCGTTTTGGATGATGACTACACAGAATTCTCAGGCATAGATCTTGATAAATAGCTCTCAAATAAATAAAATTTGGTATGTAAATTCAATAGAATGATCTGTTTAGGTGCTGGTGAAGCATACTTGTCTATTTCATCTATCTATTAATTTACTCATCTCTTAATTAATTTTGATAATATTATATGTTTAATGCCATAACTTCTATGTATGAATCCTGCAAATACAGAGGAAAAAACCCAAGCACATATGAGCTTATAGACAAAAACCATTAGTAATATGCCATTATATAATTATCAATTATTATATGTAATAGAAAAGAAAATAATTGTATGCTATGAGATGCTATAATAGGGTATAGAAATTTAGAGTAAGGTATCAGGGAGGGCTTATTGGAGGAAGGGTCATTGAAACTGAGATTTGGGGATGTAACTGTCCACGAAATATTTTGGGAGAAGAGGTTTACAGGTAAAGAGAACTACAGGTCCAAAGCCACTGAGTCAGGAAAAGGCTTGCAAACTTTTCAGAAACAAAAGTTCAGTGAGGCATTTGTATTGTGAGTAACAGTGAGGTAGATCAACTGGGAAGAACCTTGTAGATTATCTTTAAAATGGTACATTTTATCCTGTGTGCAAGTAAAAATCACGTGTAGTTTTAGAAATGAAAGTGCTGTGATCTGATTTATGTTTTATTGATATGCTCTGGCTGCTCTAAGCTGAATAGATGGATATTAGAGGTCAAGAGTAGAAATGCAATAGCAGATGTCTAGAGTTGATGTTGGCAAGGATGAGGATAGTATCAATGGGAAACAGAGGTAAATAGACAGATTCCATGGCATGTCAGGCTGCTAAAAGCATTAGAAAAGCCTTCAGACCCATGGGGCCAGGAATGAGATGGGCCTGCCTGGCAGGCTGGGCAGCAACAGCTATGGCGACTGGCTAGAAGACATAGTTAATTTTACATCATGTTGCGATCTAAGAAATAAAGGAAATAATGGCTCTCTACATTGCCAACACCTATCTATGCCAGAAGAACAGCTGGCATCTGTCTAGCCTTAACTTTATGAATTCTAGCTAAATACTTGAAATCATAGCATTAGTAATCTAGTTTAGTTAAATCATTGATCACTGGTAAATTAGAATGCTGACAGCCAGTCTGGGAACCTATCCACATTTATAAAGTTGTTTCTTTGGAGAAAAGAGCATGGCACATTGAAAGAAACAGGGCCCATATGAGGTAGAAAGGTGTCGAGAAGAATCCACTATGCAGTTAGAGAAAGAGAAGATCCAAATGGAGCTGTTCTATCACAGATGAATGTGAATTGCAAACAAATGACTTAAACATTTTATAAAAACATTTTAAATTAAAAACATTTTTAACGATGTCATTTAAGATTTATTTCTAATTTTACAACAGAGAAGAAACTCTTGCAAATATCAGATAGAAAAATTCTGATATAATTAAAGTTTGAGAGAAGAATTTAAAAAAAGGGTAAGGGTGAGAATTAGGGATAAGACAAGAGACCACCTTGAACAGATATCAATTCCATAGTTAGTAGTTGAAAATCTAGATTATTCTTATTAAAATCAGGACAACATAAGAATGCAAGCTATCTCATGAAAATTAGCATCACTCTATAAATAGTAGTTACTTTAATATCAGAGAAAAATGATTTAAATATACAAAAGTAGAAAAGTTGGTACTTATCCTAATTGTATATCTCTCCATCTGAAAATCCAAAAGAATTGCCTGATTATGAAAACAAAAAAGGATTGAGTAAAGTGGCTAGTTAAAAATTAATACAGCTTTAAAAAATATAGCAAAGACAAGTGTAAAATATATTATTTATTCATTCAGCCATACATCCAAAATGTCAAAGTAACTTAAAAAATATTTTTGTTTGTACATATAAAATGTCCATATTATATTGTTTCCTAAAAACTCAAGTAAATTTAATATGATATTTTTGAAAAATAAGCATAATTCAAAGAAGTTTTATGTGTCCTGAAATGTCTAATAGACCCCATATTAAAATTTTTAATAGTTTCTCTTTCTGATGAATGTAATGAAGAGTTGTGTGAGGAGTTATTATATCTTATAAAATTATCCATTGTTTTCCCACAGCTATATGTCCCATTTATTTAAAAATGCTTGAAAAATCAAACTACTACTTAATATTCTTCTCAGGGCATTATATTTTTGATAAAAGAATGTTACACATTTTAATTACATTTTAAACAAATTTCAGATTTTCTAATACAATGTAAAAAATACCACTTGCCTGTGTAAAAAGGGAAATATGAGTTTTGCTTCTTGAATTTTCCACCATATCTACTTTAAGAATTCAAATCCAATATGCATTTTTTCAAACTTCTATGAAAAAAGTTATTATTTTGCTGCAATTATTGATATAATATTTATAGTCTTTACAAAACAACATTTTAAATGTTTTTAAAAATTATGGGAAATGTTCAGCTATTCTGTGGAAAAACATGATATAAACACAGAAAGAGAAATAGTTGGCTGCCTCTATAGGTCTTCCCATTTCTACAACAGACAATATAATATCGATTGCCCAAATTAGTTACATTATTTTTTAATTTATCTATGAGTAAAAGACTGAAATTGCTTCAGATAAATGAGTCTATGTCATAGTGATCTATACAAAAATATCTGCAAGCTTTAGAACTATCAAAACATTTGCAAGTCTATGGTCACCAAAAGGATTTTGATTTGTAGATGTATATACCTTCAACTAAATTACCTCGCTTAACTGAACATAATGTAATGATAGTAATTTTCATTGCCTCTCACTTTGCCTTTTTTTTTTCTAACTTGCATTGCACTAACTCTTAGTTCAATTGTTGTGGCTTCAGAATCAGCTAAACAATAAAAACTACACATTTCTATGAAATGGGGGCAGAAACTTCAATTCAGAATTCCATATTATTTAAATAAAGAAATAATCCTAAAAAACTGTTTAGCTATTGTCGGTAGATAAAATTTAATCCAATCTGTCTTTTTGACCATTAGATAATAGGTATTTTTCATAATATTGGTTCTTAAACAAGATAAGATTCCCAAACTATCTTCGCATACATCTTATAAATGATTGAATCCATATAAATTAAGAGACTGGTAAAAGAGAAGAATAAAAATATACTATTCCCTGGTTGGTGTAGACGAAAAAAGAGAGCAGAATTAGACAAGGTTTTTGCATAATGGTCACACTCCTCAAATCTAATAATACATATTGTTAACACTTAGTCTGTAGAAAACAAAACTTTAATTCAGGTTAATATTTATTAGTCATAAATAAACTAATAAATATAACAGGACCCTTCTATCACATACTACTGCTGTGATCTTCAGCAAAAAATTTTACCTCTCTCAATTTCAGCTCCTTCACTTTGTAAAAATGTGGATAATGGCATTTCTTTTATAGAGCATGGGATGATTAAACATGATCAAGCACATGAAAAGTTTAACCAATCAACTGTCAGACCAAAGATGGAGGAAAATGCAATAAATGAAGTTTCCTTGCTCACTCATGAGGGTATTGAGTGATGGAGGACTTAATGCAATTTTACATTCCCAGAAGAAAATGTATACCCAATGAAGAAAATGTGAATAAGTATATTTCTGGAGGGAAAGGGAATGAATTAGAACCTCATGTTCAGGCAGAATCTTTTACACAGTGTTTTTAGAAGTAGGTAGCTATTAGATTGATTGTTTGGCAGATAGGTCAGAAACAAACTTGCCAAACAAAGATTAAAGGTTTTTTTTTTTTTTTAAATCCCCAAATCACTTAAGTCAAATATCATTTGGCCCTACAAATTGCACCTAAAACCAAAAAGACATTGGCTGCCTAAGTATTCAGTGTATTTCTGTTTTCTCTCAATCTTTTATGCCTAACCATGCATATTTTAAAAATTTGTATATATGCATGATGTCCAAGTGCAATTTTGCTACATTGATATATTTTGTTGTGGTAATGTTAGGGCCTTCAGTGCATCCATCACTGGAGCAACATACATTGTAACCACCAAGTAACCTCCCATAATGCAAAGCCCACCCCTATTTTTAAGCTGACTTATTATAATTATCAAACTTGAAATTCTTAGGGCTTTTCTTAAATGAAAAGATAAACAGATCAACCGATTAATATTTAAAATTGCTTTTTGATATGGTCAGAACTGCAGGGGAAATTTATCATCTTTGACAGATAGTAAAGAAAGAATACAATCAGTAATGATATGAAAAAGCAGAATTTTTTCTCGAAAGACATTGGGAAAAAGAGGTAAAGGATTCTCTAAAATTGAGGCAGCCAAAAAGGAATGAGAGAAGAGACTTACAGAAGGGGACAATAAAGGACAAGGAAACAAGAAAGAATACCAGAAAAACAAAAGTCTGTCTGACATGGCTGCCTGCAGCCTGAGCAGGGGACAGGGAGGGTTAAGGTAAGGACAGAGCAAAAGGCACAGAAGAACGCATCAAGTGACTCTTGGAATTACCCTGGCCCCAGTGAAACCCAAAGCCAAGTGATAGAGCAGGTGTATTTAAGGTAGTCCAGAGAACTTAAAAAAATGGAGAAGGAACTGGATATCAAAACATTTTGTGATGCTGTAATGAGATCTCTGCCTTAGTGGATACATGCCCTAAGGGATACAATGCAAGTCCTGTTATCTGAAACAGGTTGAATTAAAGAGGAAAATCTACCTGAATCCCCTGTGAGAAAACACTTATAAGATCACATCATTTATATCATGGTTACAATTTTTGCAAATTCTGTGTTTTGTTTTATGACTCAGTAACCCACTAAACAGAGGTACTTGAAATTAATTAGAGGCAAGGTATTTGTTTGCATATAATTGTGTTTTGTTTGTTTGTTTGTTTTTAGTCTGTAAGACCTGATGATTCCACAGTTTCTTTGTCTAAATCTAGCCAGCTGTGGATTCAGAAATCCCTCAGATAACTGGACCATCCAGTTGGGGCATTTACATAGCTTGCATAAAGCACCTGGGTAATTGGCCCTTTTGCATCAGACAACTTAAGGAAAAGGAGTAAAAACAGGAAATAGATACCCTTGGCTGCCTCCCATAGTGACTAGATTTTTGCTGCTGTCTGCCTAGCGTGCTGTTAGTTTGTGTTCCCTGTCATACTAAATCAGAAAATGTTTGCCACTCACCATGAAACATTTTATTTAGGAATGCGGATTTGTGCAGTTTGGCATTAACAAAAAGAACCATTGTTAGCAAATAGCCTAATATTTTTCAAGAGGGGAAAGAAATAGAACAAAGCACCTAAGCAGCCTCGATTTTTCTTTGCAAACTGAAGCTATCATGTTTTATTTTGATAAATGATGCTAATGAGGCTTGGGGACTTTTACAGGTGTATAATTCCTCATTTCACTACACGATTGTTTCTATTTTCCGTTGAAGCACCCGATGCTTTTGAACACAGTTTGTTGGCCTACTTTCCCTCATCATCGTTTTTGGCATCATATATTTAGAAATTGAATAATCAAAGGTAAAACTACCCCCAAATTCTCTTTTATCCCATAGTGCCTCTCATCATTAATTTTACTGTTGCAGAGAGTTAGTGAAGCCAGCGAATTTGTTTTTCCCTAGACAGCCAAAACGGATGTGAACTGGTTCCTTTTATATTAGATTCCATGTTTTTGGGGTGGATCTCCTACACTGGCTTACTGGAAGAAATGGAAGATTTGAAAAAAATATATAATAGGTAATTATATCCTATCAGTGTCATTTGGTCATGATGAATGTTACTTCTTGAAACTGCACAATTTACCAGGTTGTGACAGAGACATTTTACAAGGTCCTATTAGTAAATCAATCTGCAGAGTTGGAATACATAACATCTAGGAGTACCATCAACATAGTCTTGACCTTAAAAGTTAGTTGCCTTACAGGAAGTCACGGCTTGCCCCAATCTTATCCTCTTCATCTTGAAGAGTCAGGGACTGGATCAGTAAAGGTTAGATTTAACTAACTCTCCATAGTCAGGGATTTTTCCAAAAAGTAACCAAAAGTATGGACTTGGAGTGAGGTAGGGGTTGGTTCCTTTTCCTTTGGTGTTTGCACCTCTTGGTCCAACGGAAAATGACCTTCACAATACTCACAAGTTAACGGCTACTCACTAGGGCCACAACTGATCTCTTAAATGTGCATCTTTATGTTATTTATGAGGGACTATAGAAATATCTCCACTAATTTTAAAAATTCAAATAGTTAACATCATTAAAATGGTGAAAACACCCATATTTTCTTTCCTGCCCTCTGTCACCAAAGAAAAACATTTGGAATATATCCTTTCAGAAATGTTTTAAGGCATACATCAACATTCTGCTATAAATAGCACCATAATGGCCAACTTCTAAGCCATATTTAGGGTAATAATCTACTCAGCCTTTCCTTGATCTTCTAATAGATTTATTTTATGACTGTCAAATTTTCTCATTCCAAATAGAAATAAGATTACCCTGTCAACAAATATACAGCCTATGTAGGCTGCTGCAATGAAGTGTAGACTGTTACTTTTCAACTACATTCTAACATAGATTATATGCAGCCTCAGGGGTAAGACTGAAAAGTATAGTGATAGAATGTTGTCTCTATTATATTACCTGTGCCATGGCTTATTTTGTTTATCTGTATAAGATTAGGGACAATTTGATATATAAAGTGAAATTTCTTATTAGATCCTTTAGTAGCAGCATTTTACAGAATCACAGAACAAGAAAGAATTTCAACAATCATGTAATACAACCTCTTCCTTTTGCAAATATGAATGCTGAGATGCAGAGAAGTAAAGAGACTTGTCCAAGGTTCAGTAGTGACTGATCTGAGGTCAGCACACACAGCCCAGGTTATGTCCAATTACATGCTATTGTCTGAGATGAGTTAACAACTTTTGAAACCAATCTTTGGCTATAGTATTTTCTGTATTTTTTTTTGTGAACCTGCTTTTTCCTCTTTTATTTCTAAATTAAGGCTCCATAAATTTACTTTATTTCCATAGCAGCTCTTGCCATCATGCGAAAGATCAAGTTCTTCCTACAACAGATCTTAGATTGTTAATGGTAAATCTTTTCTACAAATCCTATGAAATTGCATTTCTACTATGCTAATTCCCTTGCTGGCATACTAGTATTAGTTCATTCTAATCCTATACTTGTCTCTTATTTTTATAATTCTACCAACTCCCCTTTGTCCCATTGTCCAAATGGTACATGAAATTAGCTCACAGGTTTTATGAAATTCATTTCTTCACAAATTCAACGACTTTAACTTTCTTCAAAAATCTTTATTATCTAATATTTGCCAAGCAACAAATGTATGTCATTTTAGGAAATGCAATTCTACTTGATAGCCATTTTCTTAATGTCTCCATATGTTTCTAGCTTCAGACACCACATGAAGTGGCATTCTTTATTTAAACAGACATCAGCACTTAAATGATAATGCTTGGTGTTTTTCTATGTAGAGGTCACAAGAAAGAAAACTTTTAAAGACCTCATGAAAGGTTCCAGAATATCCTGAGAGGATTTAAAATTATTAAAGCTTTCTTCTCCAACTGTGGGAACTGGGTGACATTATTGGGCTGAGGTCACTTTGAATAGGGACTCCAAGAAAGAGCTCGGTATACTATTGTTCTACCAAGTAAGACCTTGGCATTTTGTTTCTCAGACTGTTAAAAGATCTACTCTAAAAAGACTGGAAAGTAAAGGCATCTATATTTTATTATTGTCTGTCACAGACCTTTTCTTCCAGACCTGGCTATATTTTTGTACTGTTTGCTAACAAATGATGGAGGCCCAAAGTGTAATAAAGAATGACGGAATGTAAATCTCTGTTTTTCTTATCTCTTGCCTTTAATCATGAATATTTTATCCACATATAATGTCACAATTGATATGCTCAAGGCAGCTGCAGACACCAAACCCCTTTCCAGACAATTGTACTAAATTGCAAATAACTTGATAACAGTTGTTTTTGTCCTTAACCATATTAATTTTAATTTCTCAGCTGTGCATCCTGATTCTCTGTAACTGCTTTTAAAAACTTAAATTTTGGCAGTGATTTTGAGTTCTGTCCCTTAATTAATAAAAGTGTTTATCATTCAGTTAGTCATCAGCATACACTTCTGATTTTGAACCTTCAAAACTCATCAAGTAATTCCTCTCCCCAGTCCTAACGCAAGTAACAAACTGGTTGGTTTCATCTATATTAGATGGGATTTGGATAGTTTTGGCTTTCTTTAGGAACAACTCTGTCTTTGTCTGCTTGGCTCCAGCATCAGTTATCTCCAACAGATTCAAGATGCTCTTAATCAGGGCTATAATGATCTGGAAGATAGGGAACAGAAACGTGAACTATGTATCAAAAATCATGATTAAGAAATCTTCGGTGCTATTTTCTTTTCAGTTTATTATTTATTCAAGTAGAATATAAAATCCAGGGAGTGAAAATGTTTACTGGTATCTTTTCTACTAATAATATAATCATTTTAGAATCCAGTTTATGAGCCCATATTTATATCTTTCATTTCCTGGAAAGTATATATATTTTAACATAAAGCAATATTAGTGAAAACTGAAGAGTAAGAAAAAATGTTTCCACAATATGTGTGGATTCTCCAAGGTATAAAAAATATTAGAGACTGATGGAACTCTTGGAAATGTGAGGAAAGGTGGAAGGAAAAGATCAAGAGACCACATATGCATAAAATAAATATGGCTCTAGAAGAGGAGAGACAGAGCAAGATAATAAATCTGAGGGAGAAGGGGTATGGTATTGCTGCTCTTTCTGTGAGCTCAATTTCTCCGTAGAAATGTAAACAAGAATATAAGTCCAGAAAATATTTTGCTTCTCATTTTCTCTTTTCTTCCTATCCTTCTTTTTTCTTCAAACATATTACAGATTAGTTTTCAAAGTAATTTTCTCCAAAATCTATTTGGAATAAGCATGAGAATCTGAGCATGTAAAACCAGGAGAGATGGAATAGAAATTTATCATTAATGATTTGGAAAGAAACCAAAAAACAAAACAAAAGAAGAAAAAAGATACAATCCACGCTTATTTATCAATTTGACAACTATTTTATTGAGGTCCTACTTGTGCTAAACATTGTCTGGTTCCCTGAACATCTCAAGGTTCATAGTCCCTTGTCCTTTCCCCCAAGGAATATGTAGTCTAAAAGGAAGACTCCTATTATTAAAGTCTATAACAGAGAGATGTATTGATTATGGTGATGGTAAGGAGGAGAGATGAAGTTTTCTTGAATAGATCAGAGAGAATAAATATCATAAAAGACCCGTGGTAGATATTACATGGGAATGGGAGGTAGAAGGTAGAAGGAAAGGGAAAGGAAATTACAGAATTTATTTCTGTTGATACCTATAATTCTATAAGTTCTTTCTCCAAGAACACCTGCAAAATAGGCAAAGCCATAAACAACTTAAAAGATCTCGAGTATTTCTTGAATGTGGAATCTGAATGGGGTCTGAAGTAAGATGAGACTAAAGAAGTATTCAGGGGCCAAGTAATAAAAAACCTTGTCCAGCATACCAAAAGTTGGTGATTTGAGTAATGGGAATAATTGGTCATTTTAAGCAAGCAAGTCAGAATTATGCCTTAGAAAATTCTCTTAGGCTGCATTGTGGAGCATAGAAAATAAGAGTAGATCTTATTAGGAAACATATCACTCTTAAGATAGTATGACAATTTCAAAGTGAAAAATGGTGATTTCAACTAAGATATTGCTATGGTTTGGAAATAAATGGACAGAACCAACAAACAATTAGGAGTTAATATGATAGGACTTGTTGATTGGTCAATCTGGGTGACCAAAAAAGGTGATGACACAAAGATGATAGAATAGGAGAGGGTACCCTCCATTCCCACACAAAAAGCCATACAAATAGCTGTCCACAACCCAAAATGGCCCAGAGAGCGTTTGAAGGCCCATTACAATCTGTAGCTGTACAGTGGAGCAAAAAAAGAAAAAAAATTAAGAAAACCTACTTGGAAAAGATTACTGCTGAGACTGTCATATCTGAGATACCAGAATATGACTAGGGGCAAAGAAGCAAGGTGGAGGATATCAGTATCAGCTATGCAGTGGGAACCACCTTGGCTTCCAGCAGCCTACTCCACAGAGGACACCAGCATGTTTTGCCACTGAGGTAACTAAAAACCACAGCCACCAAGGAACTCCAGAGAGGTATAAATGGCTGCACACCTCTCCCCCACTCAGGAAGTGGCTAGTGTTGAACTGCTTCAGGAAAGGAACTTCTATCTTTTCCAACCCAATGCATGCCCTGACCCTGGAGCCATAATGCCCTGTGAGTGCTTACACTTTCAACCAAAGCTCCATGGTTATCCTGGGCTGATTTTGAACCTTCAAAACTCATCAAGTAATTCCTCTCCCCAGTCCTAACGCAAGTAACAAACTGGTTGGTTTCATCTATATTAGATGGGATTTGGATAGTTTTGGCTTTCTTTAGGAACAACTCTGTCTTTGTCTGCTTGGCTCCAGCATCAGTTATCTCCAACAGATTCAAGATGTTCATCAGGGATATTGGCCTAAGATTTCCTTTTTTTGTTGTGTCTCTGCCAGGTTTTGGTATCAGGATGATGCTGGCTTCATGAAATGAGGGAGGACTCCCTCTTTTTCTCTTGTTTAAAATAGTTTCAGAAGGAATAGTACCAGCTCCTCTTGTACCTCTGGTAGAATTCAGCTGCAAATCCGATCACAAAATAATAAGAGCTATTTATGACAAACCCACAGCCAATATCATACTGAATGGGCAAAAGCTGGAAGCATTCCCTTTGAAAACCGGCACAAGAGAAGGATGCTCTCTCTCATCATTCCTATTCAACATAGTATTGGAAGTTATGGCCAGGGCAATCAGGCAAGAGAAAGAAATAAAGGGTATTCAAATAGGAAGAAAGAAAGTCAAATTATCCCTGTTTGCAGATAACATGAAGCTGATAAGCAACTTCAGCAAAGTCTCAGGATACAAAATCAACGTGCAAAAATCACAAGCATTCCTATACACCAATAATAGACAAACAGAGAGTCAAATCATGAGTGAACTCCCATTCACAATTGCTACAAAGAAAATAAAATACCTAGGAATACAACTTACAAGGGATGTGAAGGACCTCTTCAAGAAGAACTACAAACTACTGCTCAAGGAAATAAGAGAGGATGCAAACAAATGCAAAAACATTTCATGCTCATGGATAGAAAGAATCATTATTATGAAAATAGCCATACTGCCCCAAGTAATTTAGAGATTCAATGTTATCCCCATCAAGCTACCATTGACTTCCTTCAGAGAATTAGAAAAAACTACTTTAAATTTCATATGGAACCAAAAAAGAGCCCGAATAGCCAAGAAAATCCCAAGCAAAAAGAACAAAATTGGATGCATCACGCTTCCTGACTTTAAACTATACTGCAAGGCTACAGTAACCAAAACAGCATGGTACCGGTACCAAAATAGACATGTAGACCAATGGAACAGAATGGAACAGAACAGAGGCCTCAGAAATAACACTACACATCTACAACCATCTGATCTTTGACAAATCTGACAAAAACAAGCAATGGGGAAAGGATTCCCCTATTTAATAAATGGTTTTGGGAAAACTGGGTAGCCATATGCAGAAATCTGAAACTGGACCCCTTCCTTACACCTTATACAAACATTAACTCAAGATAGATTAAAGATTTAAATGTGAGACCTAAAACTATAAAAACCCTAGAAGAAAACCTAGGCAATACCATTCAGGACATAGGCATGGGCAAAGACTTCATGGCTAAAACACCAAAACCAATGGCAACAAAAGCCAAAATTGGCAAATGCATTCTAATTAAACTAAAGAGCTTCTGCACAGCAAAAGAAACTATCATCAGAGTGAACAGGCAACCTACAGAATGGGAAAAAGTGTTTGCAGTCTATCCATGTGACAAAGGGCTAATATCCAGAATCTACAAAGAACTTAAACAAATTTACAAGAAAAAAACAACCCCATCAAAAAGTGGGCAAAGTATATAAATAGACGCTTTTCAAAAGAAAACATTTATGTGGCCAACAAACATATGAAAAAAAGCTCATCATCACTGATCATTAGAGAAATGCAAATCAAAACCACAATGAGATACCATATCATGCCAGTTAGAATAACCATCATTAAAAGGTCAGGAAACAACAGATGCTGGAGAGGATGTGGAGATATACAATGTACAGAGATGTAAACTGTGACATTAAAAATACAAACTGTGGGAAGATTGTGGAAAAAAATTGTTTTTAAAAATGTGATAAAATTTAAGTTGTTATCAGCTTAAAATAGCTTGTTATAACAATAAGATATTTTAGAGAACAATGAACAGAATGTTGGGATTAAGTTTTAGCCTATCAATAATTACTTTGAATGTAAGTGGATTAAATTCTTCAATAAAAAAACAGTGACTGCATGGATAAGTGGTTTTTTAAAGACCCAATTATATGCTGCCTACAAGAAACTTACTTTACCCCTATGAATCCACATGATTAAAAGTGAAAACATCAGAAAGATATTCAATACAAATTGAAACCAAATGAGAGTAGGGAGAGCTATATTTAAAGTAGACTGTAAATGAAAAACTGTAAAATGACAGACAAAGAGGATAATTTATAATGATAAGGGGATCAATTCATTAAGAAAACATAATAATTGTAAATTTATATGCACCAAATATCAGAGCAATTAAATATATAAAGCAAGTATCTATAGATTTGAAAATAAAGATAGATTATAATACAATAATAATATAGGACCTCAATATCTCACTTTCATCAATGAACAGATCATCCAGACAGAATATCAATAGGAGCACTTTGAGTATGAACTATAAATTTACAGCAAATGGACCTGAAAAACATACACAGAACATTTCATTCAACAGCAGGAAAATATACATTTTTCTCAATCATACACCGAAACTTCTCCAGTATATAGATCTTATGTTAGGCTACAAAACAACTCTTAACAAATTTAAGAAGATTGAAATAATATCAAATATCTCTTCTGACCACAGCAGTACAAAACTAGAAATTAATAATGAGGGAATTTAGGAAAATTAACAAATCTGTGAAAATTAAACAACATACTCCTAAACAATCAATGACGTAAAGAAAAAATTCAAACAGACATTAAAAATTATTTAAGACAAACTAAAATGGAAACACAACATTGAAATGTATGCAATGCAGCAAAAGCAGTTGTAAAAGGGTAATTTGAAGTAATAAATACCTTCATTGAAAAAGAAGAAAGGTCCCCAAAAAACAATCTTACTTGACACCTCAAGGATTTAGAAAAAAAAGCAGAAAAAAATAAACACAAAGTTATGAGAAGATAGAAAATAATAAAGATCAGGACAGAACTAAATGAAATAGATTTATTTATTGATCTATTGTTTTATAGTTTACAGTGTACAGTTTTTTTACTTCCTTGATTAAATTTATTCCTAAATATTTTATCTAGAAAATACTACAGAAAACATCAATGAAACTAAGGTTTGGGTTTTTTGACAATATAAACAAAATCAGTAAACATTTACTGAAACCAATAAGAAAAAAGAGAACTCATTATCTTATATATAGAAAATGCTAAGGAATTTATCAAAAGACTCTTAGAATTAAGAAACAAATTCAGTAAAGTTTCAGCAAACCAAATAAATTTACAAAAATTAGTAGCACGTCTGTACACTAACAACAAACTATCCACTAAAGAAATCAGAAAACAATCCCATTTTCATTCATTACAAAAAATAAATTAAAATACTTAGAAATAAATTTAATCAAAGAGATGAAAGACCTGTACACTGAAAACTATAAATCATTGATGAAAGACATTGAAGAACACGCAAATAAATAGAAAAATATCCTGTGTTTATGAAATGGAAGAATTAATATTATTAAAATGTGTATACTACCCAAAGTGATCTAAAAATTCAGTGCAATTCCTATCAAAATTCCACTGACAATTCTCATAGAAATAGAAAAACAATCTAAAATTTGTATGGAACCACAATAGATCCTAAGTAGCTAAAGCAGTCTTGAACAAAAAGAACAAAGCTAAAGGCATCACACTACCTGACTGTAAAACACACTACAAAACTATAGAAATCAAAATAACATGGAGCTGGCATTAAAAAAGACATAAACCAATGGAACAGAATAGAGAGCCAGAAATAAATCCACACATTTACAATCAATTGATTTTTTAGAAAGATGTCAATGCTTCTACACAACAAAACATCAAGTAACAGAGTGAAGAGACTACTTATGGATTAGGAGAAAATTTTTGCAAGCCATATGTCCAATATGGGGTTAATATCTAACATATACAATCATGTGCCACATAATACATTTCAGTCAATGACAAACTGCATATAGGACAGTGGTCCCATAAGAGTGTACCCTATTTCTACTGTATCTTTTAAATGTTTAGATATATTTAGATACACAAATACTTAACATTGTGTGACAATTTTCTACTGTATTAGTCCGTTTTCATGCTGCTGATAAAGACATACCTGAGACTGGGAAGAGAAAGAGGTTTAGTGGACTTACAGTTCCACATGGCTGGGGAGGCCTCACAATCATGGTGGAAGACAAGGATGAGCAAGTCATGTCTTACATGGATGGTGGCAGTCAAAGAGAGAGCTTGTGGAGGGAAATTCCCATTTTTAAAACCATCAGATCTCATGAGACTTCTTCACTATCAGGAGAACAGCATGGGAAAGACCCCCACACCCACCCACATGATTCAATTACCTCCCACTAGTTCCTCTCAGGACACGTGGGAATTGTGGGAGTTACAATTCAAGATGACATTTGGGTAGGGACACAGCCAAACCATATCATCTACTGTAATCAGTATAGTAATGTGCTGTAAATATTTGTAGTCTAGGAACAATAGGCTATATCATATAGCTTAGGTGTGTAGTAGGCTGTAACATCTAGGTTTGAGTAAGTACCTTCTGTGATGTTCACAAAACAACAAAGTTGCCTAACAATGCAGTTTTCAGAATCTATCCTCATTGTTAAGTGATGCATGACTGTATGAGGAACTCAAACACCTCTATAGAAAGATAATCTGATTTAAAAATGGTTCAATGATTTTAATAGACATTTCTCAAATGAAGACATACAGATGGCCAACAGATACATGAAAAATATGTTCAATATCACTAATTATCAGAGAAATGTTACTTAAAAATACAATGAGATATTACCTCACACATGTCAGAGTGGCTAATATCAAAAAGACAAAATATTACAAGTATTGGTGAGGATTTGGAGAAAACGGAATCCTTACACACTGTTGGTGAGAATATAAATTATTATAGCCTTTGTAGCATGCAGTATGAAGATTCCTCGAAAAACTAAATATAGAATTACCATATAATTCACCAATCTCACTTCTGTATCTTCACCTAAATGATTTGAAATCAGTTTGTCAAAGAGATGCCCGCACTCTCATGTCTACTGCAGCACTACTCACAATAGCCAGGAGGTGGAAAAATCTAAATGTCCATCGACAGATGAATGGATAATAAAAATGTCATGCATGTACACAGTGGACCACTGTTCAGATTTTTCAAAGAAAACAATTTTGTTCTTTGCAGCAACATGGATGGAACTGGACAACATTACTCTATGTGAAATAAGCCAGACACAGGAGGACAAATAGAGCATATTCTCATATATGGAAATCTAAAAACAATTATATTCAAAGCAGCAGAGTGGACTGGTGGCTACCCAGAGGCTGATGGGTTTGGAGATGATGGTTAAAGAGTGTAAAGCCTTCATTCAACAGGAATATGATTTTTTTCTTTCTATATATTGCACAGCATGGTGAATATGGTAATAATAATGTATTGCTGAGTTAAAAATTTCAAAGGAAGTCAATTTCAAATGTTCTAATTTCAAATTAAATTGATTTTATTATTCCACATAGTATTTATAAATCATAACATCACTTTGTAATACATATATATAATACACAACTATAACTTAGCAATTGACAATAAGAAGTAAAAATTAATAAAAAAGAAAGCCAAAAACACACAATGGTGAAAGAACAGCTTCTTCAAAAACGGTGAGGGGAAAAATATATATCCATATACAGAAGAATGAAAAAAAAATCTCATTTCTCACCATCTACAAAAATCAATTCAAAATGGATTAAACATTTAAATGTAAGACCTGAAAATGCTAAAAAAAAAAAAAAAAAAAAAAACTAGAATAGATAAATGGAAAAAACTTTATAACATTTGCCTGTGCAAGTGATTTTTTGGATATCATCCCAAAAGCACACAGTCAACAAAAGCAAAAAAATAGACAAATGAGATTATATCAAATTAAAATGCTTTGGCAAAGGGAACAATCAACACAGTAAAGAGACAACCTGTGGAGTGGGAGAATATATTTGCAAACCATACAGCAGATAGGTGTCAATGTCCAAAACATATAAGAAACTCAAGCAACTTAATAGTAAGAAGACAAATATTCTGATTTAAAAGTGAACAAAGGAACTGAATAGACATTTCTCAAAAGAAGGAATATGAATGGCCAGCAGCTATATAGAAAAGAGTTAAACATCACTAATCATCAGGAGAATTCAAATTAAAACCACAATGAAATGTCAGCTCACACCAGTTAGAATGGCTTTTATCAACAAGATGAAAGATAAACGTTGGTGAGAATGGGGAGAAAATGGAACCCTCGAATATTGCTGGTGGGAATACAAGTTAATACAGCCATTATGGGAATAGGAACAGCTCCAGTGTACAGCTCCCAGCATGAGCAACACAGAAGATGGGTGATTTCTGCATTTCCATCTGAGGTACCGGGTTCATCTCACTAGGGAGTGCCAGACAGTGGGCGCAGGACAGTGGGTGCAGTGCACCGTGTGCAAGCCAAAGCAGGACGAGGCATTGCCTCACTCGGGAAGTGCAAGGGGTCACGGAGTTCCCTTTCCTAGTCAAAGAAAGGGGTGACAGACAGCACCTGGAAAATCGGGTCACTCCCACCCTAATACTGTGCTTTTCCGACGGGCTTAAAAAATGGCACACCAGGAGATTATATCCCACACATGGCTCGGAGGGTCCTATGCCCATGGAGTCTCGCTCATTGCTAGCACAGCAGTCTGAGATCAAACTGCAAGGTGGCAGTGAGGCTGGGGGAGGGGCGCCCACCATTGCCCAGGCTTGCTTAGGTAAACAAAGCAGCCAGGAAGTTCTAACTGGGTGGAGCCCACCACAGGTCAAGGAGGCCTGCCTGCCTCTGTAGGCTGCACCTCTGGGAACAGGGCACAGACAAACAAAAAGACAGCAGTAACCTCTGCAGACTTAAATGTCCCTGTCTGACAGCTTTGAAGAGAGCAGTGGTTCTCCCAGTACGCAGCTGGAGATCTGAGAACGGGCAGACTGCCTCCTCAAGTGGGTCGCTGACCCCTGACCCCTGAGCAGCCTAACTGCAAGGCACCTCCCAGAAGGGGCAGACTGACACCTCACACGGCCGGGTACTCCTCTGGGACAAAACTTCCAAAGGAACGATCAGACAGCAGCATTCGCGGTTCACGAAAATCTGCTGTTCTGCTGCCACTGCTGCTGATACCCAGGAAAACAGGGTCTGCAGTGGACCTCTAGCAAACTCCAACAGACCTGCAGCTGAGGGTCCTGTCTGTTAGAAGGAAAACTAACAAACAGAAAGGACATCCACACCAAAAACCCATCTGTACATCACCATCATCAAAGACCAAAAGTAGATAAAACCACAAAGATGGGGAAAAAACAGAGCAGAAAAACTGGAAACTCTAAAAAGCAGAGCGCTTCTCCTCCTCCAAAGGAGCGCAGTTCCTCACCAGCAATGGAACAAAGCTGGACGGAAAATGACTTTGATGAGATGAGGGAAGAAGGCTTCAGATGATCAAACTACTCCGAGCTACAGGAGGAAATTCAAACCAAAGGCAAAGAAGTTAAAAACTTTGAAAAAAATTTAGACAAATGTATAACTAGAATAACCAATACAGAGAAGTGCTTAAAGGAGTTGATGGAGCTGAAAGCCAAGGCTCGAGAACTACGTGAAGAATGCAGAAGCCTCAGGAGCTGATGTGATCAACCAGAAGAAAGGGTATCAGTGATGGAAGATGAAATGAATGAAATGAAGCGAGAAGGGAAGTTTAGAGAAAAATGAATAAAAAGAAATGAACAAAGCCTCCAAGAAATATGGGACTATGTGAAAAGACCAAATCTATGTCTGATTGGTGTACCTGAAAGTGACGGGGAGAATGCAGCCAAGTTGAAAAACACTCTGCAGGGTATTATCCAGGATAACTTCCCCAATCTAGCAAGACAGGCCAACATTCAGATTCAGGAAATACAGAGAATGCCACAAAGATACTCCTCGAGAAGAGCAACTCCAAGACTTGTCAGATTCACCAAAGTTGAAATGAAGGAAAAAATGTTAAGGGCAGCCAGAGAGAAAGGTCGGGTTACCCACAAAGGGAAGCCCATCAGACTAACAGCGGATCTCTCGGCAGAAACTCTACAAGCCAGAAGAGAGTGGGGGCCAATATTCAACCTACTTAAAGAAAAGAATTTTCAACCCAGAATTTCATATCCAGCCAAACTAAGCTTCATAAGTGAAGGAGAAATAAAATACTTTACAGACAAGCAAATGCTGAGAGATTTTGTCACCACCAGGCCTGCCCAAAAAGAGCTCCTGAAGGAAGCACTAAACATGGAAAGGAACAACTGGTAGCAGCCACTGCAAAATCATGCCAAATTGTAAAGACCATCGATACTAGGAAGAAACTGCATCAACTAACGAGCAAAATGACCAGCTAACATCATAATGACAGGATCAAATTCACACATAACGATATTAACTTTAAATGTAAATGGACTAAATGCTCCAATTAAAAGACACAGACTGGCAAATTGGATAAAGAGTCAAGACCCTTCAGTGTGCTGTATTCAGTAAACCCATCTCACGTGCAGAGACACACATAGGCTCAAAATAAAAGGATGGAGGAACATCTACCAAGCAAATGGAAAACAAAAAAAGGCAGGGGTTGCAATCCTAGTCTCTGATAAAACAGACTTTAAATCAACAAAGATCAAAAGAGACAAAGAAGGTCATTACGTAATGGTAAAGGGATCAATTCAACAAGAAGAGCTAACTATCCTAAATATATATGCACCCAATACAGGAGCACCCAGATTCATAAAGCAAGTCCTGAGTGACCTACAAAGAGACTTAGACTCCCACACAATAATAATGGGAGACTTTAACACCCCATTGTCAACATTAGACAGATCAATGAGACAGAAAGTCAACAAGGATACCCAGGAATTGAACTCAGCTCTGCACCAAACGGACCTAATATACATCTACAGAAATCTCCACCCCAAATCAACAGAATATACATTTTTTTCAGCACCACACCACACCTATTCCAAAATTGACCGCATAGTTAGAAGTAGAGCTCTCCTCAGCAAATGTAAAAGAACAGAAATTAAAACAAACTGTCTCTCAGACCACAGTGCAATCAAACTAGAACTCAGGATTAAGAAACTCACTCAAAACTGCTCAACTACATGGAAACTGAACAACCTGCTCCTGAATGACTACTGGGTACATAAGGAAATGAAGGCAGACATAAAGATGTTCTTTGAAACCAATGAGAACAAGGACACAACATACCAGAATCTCTTGGACACATTCAAAGCAGTGTGTAGAGGGAAATTTACAGCATTAAATGCCCACAAGAGAAAGCAGGAAAGGTCCAAAATTGACCCCCTAACATCACAATTAAAAGAACTAGAAAAGTAAGAGCAAACACATTCAAAAGCTAGCAGAAGGCAAGAAATAACTAAAATCAGAGCAGAACTGAAGGAAATAGAGACACAAAAAGCCCTTCAAAAAATTAATGAATCCAGGAGCTGGTTTTTTGAAAGGATCAACAAAATTGATAGACCGCTAGCAAGACTAATAAAGAAGAAAAGAGAGAAGAATCAAATAGACGCAAGAAAAGATGATAAAGGGGATATCACCACCAATCCCACAGAAATACAAAGTACTATCAGAGAATACTACAAACACCTCTACGCAAATAAACTAGAAAATCTAGAAGAAATGGATAAATTCCTCAACACATACACCCTCCCAACACTAAACCAGGAATAAGTTGAATCTCTGAATGGACCAATAACAGGCTCTGAAATTGTGGCAATAATCAATAGCTTACCAACTAAAAGAGTCCAGGACCAGATGGATTCACAGCTGAATTCTACCAGAGGTAGAAGGAGGAACTGGTACCATTCCTTCTGAAACTATTCCAATCAATAGAAAAAGAGGGAATCCTCCCTAACTCATTTTATGAGGCCAGCATCATCCTGATACCAAAGCCGGCCAGAGACACAACCAAAAAAGAGGATTTTAGACCAATATCCTTGATGAACATTGATGCAAAAATCCTCAATAAAATACTGGCAAACTGAATCCAGCAGCACATCAAAAAGCTTATCCACCATGATCAAGTGGGCTTCATCCCTGGGATGCAAGGCTGGTTCAATATACGCAAATCAATAAATGTAATCCAGCATATAAACAGAACCAAAGACAAAAACCACATGATTATCTCAATAGATGCAGAAAAGGCCTTTGACAAAATTCAACAACAATTCATGCTAAAAACTCTCAATAAATTAGGTATTGATGGGATGTATTTCAAAATAATAAGAGCTATCTATGACAGACCCACAGCCAATATCATACTGAATGGGCAAAAACTGGAAGCATTCCCTTTGAAAACTGGCACAAGACAGGGATGCCCTCTCTCACCACTCCTATTCAACATAGTGTTGGAAGTTCTGGCCAGGGCAATTAGGCAGGAGAAGGAAATAAAAGGTATTCAATTAAGAAAAGAGGAAGTCAAATTGTCCCTGTTTGCAGATGACATGATTGTATATCTAGAAAACCCCATTGTCTCAGCCCAAAATCTCCTTAAGCTGATAAGCAACTTCAGCAAACTCTCAGGATATAAAATCAATGTACAAAAATCACAAGCATTCTTATACACCAATAACAGAAAAACAGAGAGCCAAATCATGAGTGAACTCCCATTCACAATTGCTTCAAAGAGAATAAAATACCTAGGAATCCAACTTAAAGGGACATGAAGGACCTCTTCAAGGAGAACTAGAAACCACTGCTCAATGAAATAAAAGAGGATACAAACAAATGGAAGAACATTCCATGGCCATGGGTAGGAAGAATCAATATCATGAAAATGGCCATACTGCCCAAGGTAATTTATAGATTCAATGCCATCCCCATCAAGCTACCAATGACTTTCTTCACAGAATTGGAAAAAACTACTTTAAAGTTCATATGGAACCAAAAAAGAGCCCGCATTGCCAAGTCAATCCTAAGCCAAAAGAACAAAGCTGGAGGCATCATGCTACCTGACTTCAAACTATACTACAAGGCTACAGTAACAAAAATAGCATGGTACTGGTACCAAAACAGAGATATAGATCAATGGAACAAAACAGAGCCCTCAGAAATAATGCCGTATATCTACTACTATCTGATCTTTGACAAACCTGACAAAAACAAGCAATGGGGAAAGGATTCCCTATTTAATAAATGGTGCTGGGAAAACTGGCTAGCCATATGTAGAAAGCTGAAACTGGATCCCTTCCTTACACCTTATACAAAAATTAATTCAAGATGGATTAAAGACTTAAACGTTAGACCTAAAACCATAAAAACCCTAGAAGAAAACCTAGGCATTACCATTCAGGACATAGGCATGAGCAAGGACTTCATGTCTAAAACACCAAAAGCAATGGCAACAAAAGCCAAAATTGACAAGTGGGATCTAATTAAACTAAAGAGCTTCTGCACAGCAAAAGAAACTACCATCGAAGTGAACAGGCAACCTACAAAATGGGAGAAAATTTTCGCAACCTACTCATCTGACAAAGGGCTAATATCCAGAATCTACAATGAACTCAAACAAATTTACAAGAAAAAAACAACCCCATTAAAAAGTGGGCGAAGGACATGAACAGACACTTCTCAAAAGAAGAAATTTATGCAGCCAAAAAACACATGAAAAAATTCTCACCATCACTGGCCATCAGAGAAATGCAAATCAAAACCACAATGAGATACCATCTCACACCAGTTAGAATGGCATTCATTAAAAAGTCAGGAAACAACAGGTGCTGGAGAGGATGTGGAGAAAAAGGAACACTTTTACGTGGTTGGTGGGACTGTAAACTAGTTCAACCATTGTGGAAGTCAGTGTGGCGATTCCTCAGGGATCTAGAACTAGAAATACCATTTGACCTAGACATCCCATTACTGGGTATATACCCAAAGGACTATAAATCATGCTGCTATAAAGACACATTCACATGCATGTTTATTGCAGCACTATTCACAATAGCAAAGACTTGGATCCAACCCAAATGTCCAACAATGATAGACTGGATTAAGAAAATGTGGCACATATACACCATGGAATACTATGCAGCCATAAAAAATGATGAGTTCATGTCCTTTGTAGGGACATGGATGAAATTGGAAATCATCATTCTCAGTAAACTATCGCAAGGACAAAAAACCAAACACCGCATATTCTCACTCATAGGTGGGAATTGAACAATGAGAACACATGGACACAGGAAGGGGAACATCACACTCTGGGGACTGTTGTGGGGTGGGGGGAGGGGGGAGGGATAGCACTGGGAGATATACCTAATGCTAAGTGACGAGTTAATGGGTGCAGCACACCAGTATGGCACATGTATACATATGTAACTAACCTGCACATTGTGCACATGTACCCTAAAACTTAAAGTATAATAATCATAAAATTAAAAAAAAATAAAATAAATAAAAAAGGAAGTTTTATTGGAACACACACAAAAAATACAGCCATTATGGAAAATGGACTTAAGGTTCCTCAAACAATTAAAAATGTAACTACCATATGATCTAGCAATCCTAGTACTTAGTATATATCCAAAGGATATAAAATCAGTATGTTGAAAGGATATCTGCATTCCTATGTTTGCTGCAGCACTATTCACAATAGCTAAGATATAGAGTCAATCTAAGTGTTCATAAATGAATAAATGGGTAAAGAAAACACGGTGTAAAAATGCAGTACATATATATATAATATAATACACACACACACACACACACACACAGTGAAATACAATTAGCCTTAAAAAAACAAGACAGTCCTGTTAGTTGCAATAGTATGAATGATCCTAAAGAATGTCAAGTTAACTAGCCCAGGCACAGAAAGACAAATACCATTTGATCCCACTTATATGTAGAGTCAAAAAAAGTAGAACTAATGGAAACAAAGAGTAAAATGGTAGTTACCAGAGGTTGCAGAGTGGGAGATGTTGGTCAAAGAACACAAAATTTCAGTTAGGAGGAATAATTTCAAGCGACAGATTGTACATCTTGGTGAGTATAGTTAATAACAATATATTGTAAACTTGGAAATTCCTAAGAGAGTACACTTTAAATGTTCTCACCACAAAAAAATAATGTGTTTGAGGTAATGCATACATTAAATAGCTTGATCTGGCCACAAAATATAAAAATATCAAACATCCTATTGTATGCCATAATAAAAATTGAGAAACTAAGGATAAGAATAAATCAAACATAATTAAGAAGATTATTGACTTGAGAAACTTGGTGGCTAGTGGTTCTATGTCCTAAAATAGAGATAACAATGAAAGGAGTATATTTAGCAGGCAAGAGTCTCATATGGACTATAAGCTGTACTCACAGCTGTACTCACAGAAATATTCAGATATTTCTGTGGAGACTATGGTACCATCAGGCGTCTGCTAAAACAGTGAAGACACCTCCTCCCTCATTTTTTTGTTTTGGTGTAGGGATTTTCAAAGGGAGTTTTGGAAGTCTGTCTGATAATCTAGGCATAATCAAATGTTTTGGCTGTTAATGTCATGTTGTGATTTATCCCCTGATTGTCGAAACCTAGCAAGACAAAGGTTACAAATTGAATGGATGAAAATCATAGCTGGCCATTAATGAAATTAGAATGTAAGAAAATAGCATGCTACTAAACCTAGTATAATGTCTACTATATAATATCTCCCTCTGAAATTTTTGTTAAATCTAACTACAGCCTCAGTGTCCATGTTTCTTGAAAGAGCTGTTTCAAATTACTGGATTTTAATCCCCTCAAAAAACATTATCCATAATTATACCCAGACATCAGTAATATCATAATTTCTTTCTTGTACATTATTTGACTTCTGTCCTAAGGACAGAATTGGAGACATGGATTGGAGTAAACCATGGCCTGTTCGGGAAATGCAGCAACTCTGGCTGGGAGTGTGGAGGTGATCCTAGGAAGGGAAGGCAGTGGATAAAGGGTTCCTATGGAGCCACATATCACAGTGGGCAACTGGAACTAAAACCCAAGAGAAAATTCTGGAAATGTGCCAAACATGTGCCTCAAATTTAACACAATTCAAGAAGCCAGGAGTCATTGTTTGGGGAATGCTAAGAAGGAGGGAGAGGAGGATTAATTTCTTGATATTTTCAGTTTCAGCAGAGAATGATAAGAGCCCTCAGGCACAGATGATGTTACTGACAATTGTCAAGCAGCTTGAAAGATTTGAGGGGTGTCGGCAGGACATAGTCAGCATCAGCCTCAAATACCCCTTAGTTATAGTCTGCTCTGTCAGCCCCTGCTGCTGCTTTCCAATTTCCTAGAAATATGTGACACATTTGGTTGGAGACAGTGTTGGAATAGAAAGAGAGATGGATGATAATGAGGGCACACATTGGAATGTTTTTGACCAACGTACCCATGCTACCAATTTGTGCCTTTCTTCTCAGCAGATTAAAACTGAATTTAGTTGAGTCTTGTGCCTAGTGTTGGTCCTTTGCAGTCCTCTGACAAACACAGGGTGTGGTCTATGGCCTTCTCAATTTCCCTTTGGCTTTCTTTTCTACCACTGGAAACCCTATTTACCTGAACCCTGAGTACCAAGTGCCCTTATACTGTCCTCTGGTTGCCATTAAGTTTTTTCCACAGACCTAAACATCTTAGACTTCCCAATGCTCTGAGATTACATTGTTTCATGCCTTCCTCCCTCCTATTCAATCTCCTATTCTGTCAGTGCCTCAACTAAGAAACAATAGAACAAACTGAATGATACTAAAGTGCACATAAAAAGACACGTATATTAATTCCAAACATCTACAAATTAATTCAAAGCCATTAATCTCTCAGATCATAGGAGAGCAGTGTGACAAGCCAGGGAGAGAGATATTTAAGGGGACAGAAGTTTTCCTAGCACCTCTCAAAACATCCTGTGAACTCATAATTCATACATTCAAATCTGATTCTATCTACTCATATTCTGATCTATGAAAATGTCCTAGGATAGAATTTCAGGTTGTTAAATGCAGACTCTGGTGCTCTCCATTCTAGAACAATACCATTTAGATAATTTATTTCTTTGTGAAATATTATTATATTCCAGCAGTGCACTCTGGTGAAACTAGCCTTTTAAAATGCTAATTATTCATTTCAAAATGATCCCTGGGTTCCAGTTTGCCTGAGAGTGTATTTCCTAGGAGGAGTAACAAATTCTATGCATGAGTTTTGCCGAATCAGTGCAGCGTACGTAATGCTCAGTAACTTAACCCTCAATTTTCCAATCTCTTCTGAAAAGGCAGAAAGAGCTTCACAATTATATGTACTGTCAATGAGGGACAGCTCCTGGAACTCGCACTCCTCCCTGACCTCTGCCATCTTCCTGCTCACCTCTTGTTTCTCCCCCACAGAAATGGTGTCATCTTTCCATTTGTAATATTTCTCTGTCAATTTTTCTTTTAAGAAAGCATTAAAAAAGGATGACTAAGAGGAACACCAAACATTTTAGGGCAATAAAACTTACTCTGTATGATACTATAATGGTGGATACACGTCATTACACACTTGCCAAGAGAATGTACAGCACGGAGAGTGAACTCCAATGTTCACTCCTTAGTTAATCATAATGCATCAATATTGATTCTTCTATTGTAACAAATATACTACACAAATTCAAGATGTTAAAAATAAGGGAAGTTGAGGTAGTTGCTGAGAAGGTTTTTTGTTTGTTTTGTTTTTTTCTGAAGCATCATTTCTCAGTTTAATTCCTTATTGAATATCAGCAAGTTTTAGAGGTCAAACAAGATAAAATATCTAAGTTATTTATTGCAATAATTCACATTACCTTTTTGGAAAGATACAAAATATATCAGGATATGTCCAGTCTCTTACTGTAAGGCAAGAGGAAAATTTTTATCCTTGCAACTTTATTTGTATTAATTTTCTCTTTTGTAAAGAACTCCATTCCTTTAGACATTAGTAATGAGAAATAATTTGTGGAATCGAACACATGGTAAAAATTCATTTTATTTAATAATGGCACAATATACCAGCTAGGAGCCTTTCTCTAGTGACAGACAACTTGTTTAAAGAATAGCTTATCTTTAAACATCCTGTTTATATCCTCTCTATACTTAATGTCTCTATTTACAAAACAGAGAAATCCATACGGCCTGTCATAGTACTGCATTTGTTGTGATAATTAAATGAGATATGTTGAGCACAGTTTCAGGCACAGCATAGACATAAATGTAAAATATTTATCTAATATAATTATTATATTATCATAACGTCACATAGCATTTGGTTATTCATGCTTGAAAGATACAAAGATACTCTTTTCTATGACAATGTGCTAATTAAAGACATACATCTGTGTTCTGCCACCCCTTAGCAGTAAATAACAACTGTCATCATTTCCAAAGAAATACATGTGAAATGTTAGTGATAACTAAACAGCGTACTCATAAACTGGTCACAGTACATCATTTTATCCAGCATTTCCACAGTTGTGAACTAGCATAATGTAATATGCTAGTGATACATCCTGGGAAATCCACCAACCTATTAGAGACTTGCTGTGTAATCATTTAATTATTTCTTTTAACAAATATATACAGTACTTCCTCTATGCCAATCACCATTCTAAAAGCCGGAATGCAGCAGCAGCAAGATGTAAACAATTCTACCCTCATGAAATTTATAATCCAGAAAGAAAGGGAGACAATAAAAATTAATTATTTAATTACAATTGTGATGAGCCATTAAAGTACAGAATTTGAATAGGGTAAATAATAAGGGGTGCTAACCTCTCTGAAAGGGTAATGTGGTTAGGCAAAACTTAGCCCCATAAAATGTACTTTAAAATTCACTACTTCATTAAATCATGTTAAAATAATAATTTTCAAGTTTGGCACTTACTACCTTTATGATTTTTGGCTAAGTTACTTAAATACCTCTGGCCTCAATTCTCTTGTTTATAAAACAGAGATAATAATATTTATTTAAGTGGACACTGTGATGACTAGGAAAGAAAGTGTGCAAATTACTGGCCAATAGTAAATATTGAGTATCTATTTACATCTTAAAAACATAGCTGTTGTCTACTCTTAGTATCTGACATTTAGATGTAAAAATATTGGATGTTATTGTAATCAATCTAAACTTTATAAATGTTTAATTTCTAGGTAATTGTAGTTTATATTTTCTCATGCTGAATAGGAGTGTGACATTTGTGTGTATGCACATGTGTGTGCATGCACATTTTGGGGTGACTTCTGCTTCACTGATTGTAGAAGGAGATTCCAAAATTATTGAATCTTATACAACTTTCACCATTGTAAATGAATTATTATATAGCAATGAAGTGAAACTGGACTAAACTATTGAACATGAAGACCTGGTTGATTCTGAGACACACACACTCCCTGAGACACTGGTCAAGTGTCACCTATGTACAAATATGGAGCATTGGCATCCTAACGTGGAAAAGTGATGCATGATTCCAAAGCAGTTGTGAGTATATCCAAAGGCAGCAAGGCTCTCTCTTAATGTAAAGATGGCCAGGCGCGGTGGCTCACGCCTATAATCCCAGCATTTTGGGAGGCCAAGACGGGTGGATTACAAGGTCAGGAGATCGAGACCATCCTGGCTAACACGGTGAAACCCCATCTCTACTAAAAATACAGAAGATTAGCCGGGTGTGGTGGCACGTGCCTGTCATCTCAGCTACTCGGGAGGCTGAGGCAGGAAAATCACTTGAACCCAGAAGGTGGAAGTTGCAGTGAGCAGAGATCGTGCCACTGCACTCCAGCCTGGGCGACAGAGTGAGACTCCATCTCAAAAAAAAAGAAAAAAGAAAAAAAATTCCATGAAAGGTATATACATTTATCCCTTTTCCAACAATTCTCTCTCTGTAGATTTAAGACAGCCCACAAAGTTTTGTTGTTGTTATTTTGATAATGACATCCCTTTAGGATTCTCAATTTATAGAAAAATGGGGGAAAATATTTTCCCCAGGGTCAGTTATACGTCTGTAAGTGCACTCACAACTTTTAGAGAAATGACAGAAAATTTCTCTGGCTGTAGGGTTTAAACAGTTGTCATGTCTTTAATTATGATATTTAGAAAATAATTTGAAAAAAATTGAAAATGACTTTTCTAGAAAAGGCCTATATAAAATAGAATTGTTAAATGCAAGCTCTATCACGGTTGCTGCAGGCAGAGGGAGATTATGCTGAAGCAAGGATGCAGGTTAGTGTTGATTTCACCTGGAGAGCCATCAGCCACCTTTGCTTTGCCCCATTTTCAATCCCTGCATCACAGCCTTCCCTTTACTGGCAAATATTTTCAGACAGATTTTGAAAGCAAGCTGAGTGAAAGTGGATTACAATTCAGTCTGTCCCCAATTTTCTGATTCACAGAAATTTAACACAGAAATGTGTCAAAGTGATGTTAGAGCAGAAAATGTCAAATAATAATGAAAATAGTTTTTAAAAGTGATCATTGAACCTGTTGAGAGGAAAGGTCTGATTAAGAATCGCACAAAATATAAATCTAGTTTCTTTGGAAGAGATATGCGGGGGACAGAAATTGGAAATTACTCAGTTAATGGAAAATAAAAATAAAAATGTAGTATATTTTCATTTCAGTTTGATCCTTGAGAGCTTCATTGACGTAGACACTCCTTGGCTTCCTGCAGAGTTAGATCATTTACATCCTTCTTCTTAACATCTTTTGCCGGCTAACCATTTCAAAATTACAGCTAAATTGAAAGCACTGTCTGTTATTTGCTGTATACTGGAACTCAGATCTCCCCTTGGAGAGCTCTAAGCTCATTCAATGAGGCATAGCGCTTAATTTCATTTGCAGAGTTTCTGCTACTCAACTTTCCACAAATTAAATGAGATCATTCATTGCTTCCCTTATAGGCTAATGGGACTTATATTGTTTGTCCACATTTAATGTCCTAATGTCTCAGTTTCATAGTTTAATGTTTAATAACAAATCAGTGATGGAATTGAACGTACTGTAAAATAGAAATCCTTAAGTTTATTACTTTCCTGTGGCTCTGTGGAACCTTAGACCTCTTCTAGCTCAGAGAGTTGCAAACAGATACCTACAGGGGCCAGGAAGGCTATCAATATGTGAACTGAACTTGAAATAAGAGAATAGAGCGGATTGGGTTCTATGATGACTTGAAGAAAAAGTTTGCTATTTTAAGGAATGAAAATAAGCATCAAGAAAAAATATGTACAGCACACATTCAATTCTATGGATAAAATTTGTCCTAAAGCTCACAAGTTTTGTAATTTGGTCTTACCTACCTTTCCTATGCTATACTTTAGGAAATAACCAAGGAGCAAAAGTGATTTAATTAATTACCAAATTCATTTATGATTCCCAGTATAGTGTTTGAACAACTACACCAACACGGTCTCTGTACTTGGGATGAATTGCACACATTTATCATTGTGACCTGATACAAGAAGACAATGTGAACGTTAAAGGAAAATAAAGACTGACATTGGATTAAGGTAAAGAGAAAAACAGCAGGAATCAGTGTGCATAGTATATTAAATAAGCAAAATAAGTAATTGAAAGTTGATCATTCATAAGGGTTGTCAGGAGAGCCACTGTAGTTTAGATGATTCAACTAATTAAAGTAGAAGTGTCCACTATAAAATGAGAACAGACAAGCCAGTAGGAGTATAAGACAGACTGAAAATTACAGTCTTTGTTTTTTTCTATCTTGGTTTTAAGCCTAAGACTAAATGGCAGGCATTTTTAAGCAGCCAAACTACAAACTAAACTGGCAGTCAGAAAGTATATTTATATACTGTATGTGGCTTTGGTAATTATTTGGAGTATGATGCTTCTTTATGAATTCAGAATTTGGAAAATAATGATACAGCACTTCCATAAATTATTATAAACAGTGAAAATTATTTGGAGACATAGGAAAACACAATTTTCTGTTTCTTGTGAAGGAGAAAAGGCAAATCCAAGCTTGCCAGCTCATGTGAGCAAGATTAGAAAAAAGAGCAATGATCCTGGGAATACATTATGTTTATGCCTACAGGATGATTTTATGACGTTAGTTCTTGTGTGAAATTATGCCAATTCCTGGTATTCAGTAAAAAGGAAAAACATGCTAATAAAATAAGCTGTTTCATATATTGTTGTTTTCATGTTCTGGGTTTCACTAAGAGCTAAGACACTTCTTAGAATATTAATACTTTTTGAATACAGATTCACAATTATCTTTGTTTCTTTAGAAATAATTTACCCTTTTGGCCAGCGTAATGCACTAAAAAATATGTAACTAAACTAAAAAATATGTAAAACACTTTGCATGGGTGACATTTAGCTAGGGTTTTCAAATTTGTCATTTTTAACTCCAGGATATGTTCTGAACGATATGTTTCAGTTGTCTTACAAAAATCGTTTTATCGAATGAAAAAAACAAGCAGGAAAATCTCTTTCATATCTGGCACTGTAAAAAGAAACTTTCTGGGCACAGATTCATTGTTTATGAATAACCAGACCTATCTAAAATCAGGAACTCTTTTTTTATGTGAAACTGAAGAAAGTAAATGAGGTGCTATTCCTTTGTAAAGCTAGGTGAAGTGGATCAGATTAGCAGGTGTAATTTAGATGATTCAGCTAATTAAGGAAAACGTGTTTTATATGAAAGGAATATTTCGCATGAAAGAAACAGGTAAGATTGAAGGACTTAGGCAGGGCTGAAAGCATAAGTCGTAGTGTCAATATATCCTTTGGAACAGGGGTCCCGAAACCCTGGTCCACAGACCGGTACCAGTCCATGGCTTGTTAGGAACTGGCCACACAGCAGGAGAGCGGCAGGAGACCTAGTAAAGCTTCATCGTTATTTACAGCCACTGCCCATCACTCACATTACCGCCTGAGCTCCGCCTCCTGTCAGATCAGCGGGGCATTAGATTCTTATAGGAGTGTGAGCCCTATTGTGAACTGCACATGATGCAAGGGATCTAGGTTGTATGCTCCTTATGAGACTGTAACTAACACCCTATCATCTGAGGTGGAGCAGTTTCATACCAAAACCATCCTCCCACCCCCACCCGACTCGTGGAAAAATTGTCTTCCGCAAAATCTGTCCCTGGTGTCAAAAAGGTGGGAACTGCCGTTTTAGAAGATGGTTCAGATGGAAAAAAGAGGCTACATGTTCGTCTGTCCCAGAAGTAAACTGCCAGAGAGCTGACCTAATATTCAGAGATTTTAAAAGCTTCTCAAAGCACTTGATATCATGAATAATGGGGAGGATAGTGATTTTAATAGATTTAGTACCTACATTTTAATATTTGAATATAAACTGAAAACTAACTTTTAAACAGAGTGATGACTGTGACCTCAAAGAATGCAAAACTGGGAAAAAATATGATGTTTAGAGAAATTTTGATACTAGATGCTCTGTTAGAACTTAGCAACATTTACTGGTTAATTTTGTTTCTGGTAATACTTGCATGCCAAAGATGATTTTCTAGGGTAACTCTTTTCTGTTCTTCTAATGAGTCAATTGTTTAATAGGCCAAGCTCTCTTTCTTGCTCTTTAGCTGGACAAAATTACTTGGTGAGGTAGCACATTGAAAACTGTATTATCCAGTCTCACATACTCCTAAAAGACTTTTCATGCATCCTTTCTGCACTTTTCCCTTGGTGAAGTGAGTTTCACTACTGAGAAAGTAATCAAATGCTAAATCATGAAATTAGTTATCCACGGATTTAAACCTTCTACAGAATACTCGCATTTTCAAATATTATGTTTAAGTCAAATGGCTTCTTAATTGTTAGCATAAGTACAGAAATCAAGAAAACACATGTATTTTTAGAGGGGAGTGGGGACTTGCTTGTTCTGGGACACCATACTTCATTATAAAATTTCCAGAAGAAATGAAATCTGTGAATTGGCATAAGTAATTAAAAATATTTCTAAACTCTGCCCAATAGATTGTTTTGTATTTTTTTATTTTAAATTTATTATAAATGTATGCATAAATTTACAGTGGATTGTAAACTCTTTGAAGTCAGGTTTTGCATTTTATTTCCCACAGTAGACCCATTCCTAGCACAGTGCCTGGTAGCTAGACTGTATTGATAAATATTTTCTAAATAAAATAATAAATATGCTCTATAGAAAACAATGAGTTTTGGATCAATACTTATATGATTTTCTAAATCATGAATTTCTAGGCTTTATTATCTTAATTCGATGCTAAGTTATAAAGACATGGTGTACACAGTAATTTACTGGCTTTTCTAGGGCATTCCCTAAAACTAAGTTTCTGTATAGTTCAAGTGACAGAAACATCATACTTGGTAGAGAAAAATCACCTTAATTTTTGTATAACCCCTGAGGAAACCGCAGACTAAAAAATAGATATTCTTGACCTCTTCAATGACCCCCATAATAATTTGAAATACCATGGTCATAATTCAATCACATACCTTCTTGAGTGATATCTGATTATAATAATGGTACTTGCTTTATGTTCTAAGATAAGATTTGGTTTTCTTCTAGGTTTAATAGTCCACATTTATCTCTAGGAATATGATATGAAAAAATAAAAATGTTAAAAAGCCAACAATTATTAATTAAGTGCCTATGCTAGGTGCACCGAGACTACAAAAGAACTTGTACTCTAGTCCTTTAGGATTTTGTAATATGATGGGAAAACCAAGAGGTGTGTGTATGTGTGTGTACGCGCATGCACGTGCATGTGTGTGTACATGTATGTGTTGTTAATGAAAATACTAGGATATACATTAAGCGATAAACAAAAGACCCATAAAAAAGAAGTCAGATATAGCAAGTATAGCTTCTTAATCTACATCACTTTTCTGCTTTTAAATTCTAGTAGATACAACTCATCCCATGATACTGGAGTGGAATCTAAGAATTGTTCTTTGATTCTCAAAAGACGTTAATAGTCTTCAACATAGTTTAGGCAGGAAAAATTGTTTGCAGGCAATAAAAATCTACTCAGCCAAAGATGAAAGGATTTATTATTTTAAAAATGTATATTTTTAAATTTTAAAGAAATACAGAACAACTAAATGTCAGTAAGCCTGGAAAACAACAGAGCTCTAGGGAGTTCAGCTGCAGGAGTTCATGGACTTTTACTCTAATGATCTTCTATTACCTCAGCTAGCAACTTATTAAGTTTCTGCATATCTTAGTTCAAATTCTCAAAAGGGAATCTGATTAATTCAGATTAGTTTATGGATTAGTTCCTCTGGGGTTGGATAGCTTCTCTTGGCTCAATCAGCCATGTCAGGGGAATGACATTGCTAATGAAGGATAAACAACAGGAAACAAGATATTTCTCTAGTAGAGATATTTATGATGCTGGTCCATATTTATTTACATGTAAATGTATAATATAAAACAAACTACATGGATATTAATAAAATGTAATTACCTTATTCTAAGACAGTATATTTATAAGCACATTGTTGTTTTTACTTCTGTATATTCAACACAGAAGTAAGCCAAAAAATTGCTTAAGTCAAACCCCTGGTGATACAGTTTAAATGTCTGTCCCCTCCAAATTTCATGTTGAAATGTGATACCCATTGTTGGAGGTAGGGCCTGGTGGGACGTGTTTGGGTCATGGGAGTGGATCCCTCTTGAATGGCTTGGTGCTATCCTTCAGTAATGAATGAGTTCTCACTCTATCACTTCATGCAAGTGCTGGTTGTTTAAAAGAGCCTGGCACCATCTCCCCTTTCTTTTGTTCCTTCTCTTGCCATGTGATATGCTGACTCCCCCTTTGCCATGACTGTCAGCTTCCTGAGGCCTTACCAGAAGCTGAGAAGATGCTGGTGCCATGTTTGTACAGCCTGCAGAACTGTGAACCAAATAAACCTCTTTTCTTTATAAATTACCCAGCCTCAGATATTCCTTTATAGCAACACAGTTAGACTAACACACCGGGTATCCTTCTTGACTGGTTCCCTTAATTTTCCTACACTTCTGATCAGTCACCAAATCCCTGTTTCTCTATGCCCTAAATGACATTATATTGAAATCACCTTTCCATAAGTGATACTTTTCTGCCATATTATATAATCCATGGAGTAATTGATTTATATTTGGCTTTTTCATCTCTGGTATCTAGCACAATGCTTAGCACCATTAGCCCTGACTGACTGCAGCTTTGTGAGATCTGAACACAGGGAATTTTGCTAAACTGTATCCCCGAAACTGTGAGATAATAAATGTGTGTTATTTTAAGCTTCTAAGTTTGTGGTAATAATTGCTAGGCAACAATAGATAATTAACACAGTCAACTTTTTTCTTTCTGCATAAGATTTTTAAAAATAATGACAAAGTCTCATTTTAAATTCTAAATCTATGGTTTTATTTTCTACAATGTAGTATTGACTGCACGTAGAACACAAAAACGGTGGAATGAGTCAACAAGATGAGGACAGTTGTGGGTAAATCCTTAAAATTTTTCTTTCGATTCTTTTTTTTGCCTCTCCACCATTGTCTAGGACTGATGTTGTAGGTTATAACCCTAAACTGTTTCAGTTAAAAAAAACCTTGTTGTTTTAGTTAGGAATCATTACTGAATCACTGTTTAGCTTCTACATCACACTTCTGCAGTTTTTAATCTTTTCTATAAGATGCCCTGAAAGTATCAGGTGCCCTGTTTTTGTTTCAAATCCAGATCCACCTACCATAGGTACTTCCTTATTCCAGGAACAGAAGCAGCATTATATTCCCACTTATAAAGTAGTAGATAGTATGGTTCCAAATCTGCAAAGTTTTGTATTGATATAACAGAGATGATTCAAAATTATAGTTTCCTCTTGACATTTCAGGGACCATGATATCCTGAAATATCTAAGAGATGCTGAAATCTGGAAGAAACCCACTCTAACCAGCTGGAGTAATGGGGTGTGTGGGAAAATGAATTTTACCACCCATATACTCCAACGAAATTACAAAACTGCATAAGGCATGATGAAATAAAACTGGAGAAGTAGTAGTCTAATGTGTAAAAAACTTTCCTGATTATTCATTCATCACTGTCATATCAGAGCAGGAGCTTCTGAAACCATGCATTGGCCTCTCCTCATCAGGAGATAATAATCTTACAGGTGGCTGAGTTCTTCCTCTTTCTCTGCTCCTGGAGTTACCTAAGTCCACATATGCATCAGGTCTCCACACTCTTCTGGAATTTTTGCCTCTGGGATTGCCAGGAACCCCTCAGACAGCCTTAAAATAAGGCTGAGGCTTTGAGGCATCATCATGAGAGGCCTTGAGCTTTGTGATAAGCTGTCTCAGAACACCCAGGAGAGCATTTAGCTGTTAAAAGCAAGACAGTCAAGTAATTGAAAATTGATCAAAATGGAGTAATTCTCTACTCAGAGTAAGCCTAGACTGCATAAGACAAGGAAGCAGAGGACATGTACTTTAAATTAAGAACCCTAGTCTAGCAAGAGATATTGTGTTGACACTAAGATTTCAATTTGTGTATGTGTAAGCAACTCTGCTTTTATATGTGAGATAATCTTTGTTTTAAAGAAAAAGGATCTGCTTCCTTAAAAAGAAGTTTGGGTGCTATGGTTCATAAAACACATTTTACACATTTATTGAATTTTCAAATGTGTTAAGATATCTTAGGGTATCAAGAATTATTATTTGGAAGGAGACCTGCAAACAAACAAAAACATTAAATACTTTATTGTAAACACAATGATTTTATTGTAAAAGGTAAAAAAACTTGTAGCTAAATAATTTGCCAGAGTGTATATTTCTAACAAGAAGGACAGAATGACTCCATGAACTTATCTATATATGCAACTAAAAGTTCCAAAAATTATCTATTTTAAAGCCAATAATAATTATTTTTCTAAATAGTGTCAAGCTTATAAAGAAATTCAACTTTGTCTTCATGATAGAACATAAGCAGGAAATAAATAATTGCCTAAGGTTAGAGGTATTTAAAAAAGTATTTGATAATTTTAATGTTTTTCTATTTTTTTGAAATATGTCAAGTTTGTTTTAGAGATTTAAAAAGGCAACTTTGGGTAAAGTCTTAAGAAGAGGTAAAATATATAATGAAACAGAAATGTAATGTTTAATTTAAAAAATAATTTTATGATTATTTTCGCATAATGATAAATGCAGTTACTACACACAGAATTATTAATTTGTGTCATGCACTCTTTTTTCTGACTAATTTTTCATTTGTGTACCAAAATCAATAGCTAAACATTTATATAAATATAAGATAAAACACAAAAGAGAAAATGTGACTATCAGCATGTAACAATTATAAAATCTAGTGTTTTCTATGAATGAGTTTTAATGAAAGGGATAATCTAAATTTTTCTTATTGTATAAAAATTGTATTTGAAATATCTAGGACAGTTTCAAGGTATAAGTCATATATATTTTTGCAACAGTGCTTTAATAATTTAATTACTTTCTTCTTGATACATTCTGTTTTTATTTATCTAATATTTCAATTGACTTTTAGATTAAATTTGTACAACATTTTAGTAATAGATATATTGAAATTTTTCATTAGACTAGCTATAATTCAAAAGGGTTCTAGTTATGTATTTGCAGAATCATGAAATGCAAAATAGGATCTCAGGCAAATTTTCAAAAATCATTTTTGTATGTAGAGTGACTTACTAATATAGCATTTCAAGGTACTAGATATCTTCCTCAAAATCACCCTGGAATAAAATAAAGAATTGAAAGATACTAAATGATAATACTATCCGGGAATTAAATGTATAAATTTGCTAGCCTTGGCATAATAGTGCACAGCAAGATATATTAAGGCTGTAAGGGAATATTATGTCTTATAAAAAGAAAATGAGATTTAAGGTTATTAAAGTGAGAAAGATAAATATCAAAACAGATTTTGCAAAGTAAAAATTTAATTGCATATGTGAAAACATGTAGATTTTAATGTTGTTTTAAACTGAATATAGAGGACAATTGTTTTGCCCAGCCTGAATTCATACATATGAATCTTATGCCCATAACCAAGCATGTAACCATGGCGGATAGACCAGATGGTGGCTAAATAAAACACTTATACAGGGCTTTGGAGATTAAATTGCTGATTTTTTTTTCTTGCCACATCTCATAAAGTAGACCAATAGAGGTGATTTCTACCACTCTCCATCACAATCTAAATATCAACACCTAAAAATGACACTTTCTAAGAGTATAGAACTGTCATCTGTTGGAATGGTAACACCTTGAATTTGAAATAAACTGCAACAAATCATACATCCAATAAATACTTCCGTAGTGACACCGAATGAGTTATAAGTGACTTTAAAACCAAAGTAAATTGAGTATATATACCTATTATAATGCATACTAGAAGCAGAAATATCTATACAGGAAACACTGAACTAAATTCAGTAGTTTTATTTTTATTAATTAAATTTTTAGTAGTTTTATTTTTAATATTAACATCATTTTATCATTATTTTTGGATTATTATACAAACAATATGTATTCATTTTGTTAGAAATATTTTCACTATAAGTAAACAGTAGAATAATTACTGAATCAATGAAAATTAAATATAAACACCACAGTGTTAGAAGTAAGTGGAAATATTAATAGGAAGCATACTTTTTTTTAAAAAACTAGGTGTTTATTTTGAAACTTTGTACACTGAAATGACCTAGGAACTCAGTGACCCCAACAAACATAAACCTAATATGTAACCTCAGTTCTTACATTATGATTTCTAATACAAACCATTCTCAGAAGAACTCAAGGTTCTGTGAGCAATGGAAATGTCATGATTGGGTAAATGAAGATGCAAGGTAGGTCTGGGTAGGATATTGTAAAGTGGCCAAAAGAAAGTATGCTTTAAACAATTGATAGCATTATGTCAAGGGGACATAGGAATCCTATTAAAAAGGCTACTGTTGGCCAATATTTTGAAAATATGGACATTACCCAACATAATAAAACTGCAACTGCTTAAAACATATTGAAGATATTAACATCAATGAGTTCATAAAGAAAATATAAATATATTTGAATAAAATAAGTTTCTGTGGAGTCTTATTTACTTATGTTGATTTTATCTAGTCATTATTTTACCTTTCATTCTAAACTAAAAAAACCCCATGGATCCCTGAATTGGTCCAACCTGCTTCAGCAAGAGAAGCATGTACTTTTTCTGGAGGAAAGTTTCCCAAATTTTAGGGTCACAAGGCTACTACAATTAAGATGAAATGACAACAAACACAGAATACTGAATACATAAGAAGGCAATATGTGCACGAGTAAGCAAAAGTAAGCAACAGCCATTTATATATTAAGAATGTTTGAAGAAATAATAGATGTAATTGCAAAGTTGAGAACACACAAAGCCACAAAGCTTAACAGATACATTTTTTCTAAAATAAAGTGTCTAGAAACAGTTTTAGTGGTGGAAAGTTCAATGTGCATAGTAAAATCCCAGGAATAAATTAAATGGAATTTAAATTTTAAAATGTATAAGCCCTGGTATGATAGATGACAAATGAAATAAGAAAATAACAACAACAAAAAAAAAACATAAAAAGCAAGAGGGGAGAAAAAAATAGGAAAAGCAGAGCAATAATAGATTAAATGTAAAGTAATTTATTCAAGACCCAATAATTGCACTAAATGCAAATGGCAAAAATGTGAGTTAAAGATGAAGCTTGCCAAATTGATTTTTTTATCGCTGTTTATAGTTGTGGTAAACATGATGACTAGACAAAGGTGTTAATGTTTTAGTCCCCAAACCTATCACTATGTTAACTTACATGGCACAAGAAACAGGTGGTTAAGGATATTGAATTGAGTAGATTATCTTGGAATATCCAAGTGCACCCAATGTAAATGCAGGACTGTAATAAAACAGACTCAGGAAGGTCAGAGTCAGAGAAGGAGATATGACAACTAAAGGGAGGTAACAATGAGAGAGAGAGATTAATTTGAGGTTGCTACTGCTGGCTTTGGGTATGGAGACAGGGGCACAGCCAAGGAATACAACCATCCCATTAACTCTGTAAAAGATAATCATGTGGAATCTCCATTTCTTGTTTGTTTGTTTTATAACTTACAGTATGTAACTGCCTCACCTCTGTTAGTCATATTAAGATAATGGGCTAACCATCCTAATCCAAATATAAACTAGACTGGAGTTGTGATAGGGTATTTTAAATCTCTCTCAACTGCCTCCTCAACTCTGAAAGACTGAGAGATGAAGTACTGCCTTCAAGAGTTTCTGTCCCAGATCTCTAAATTCTAGTTTCATGCAATTTCAAAATCCAGTAAATGTCCAAAGAGAAAAGCCGACTGTGAGCTTAAGAACTCCATTTCCTGTGGGAGATCTTTACTTCCTACATACCAGGAAACTACATTTCACTCTGAGATTTAGACACTATTGACCTAAATCTCTAGCTTCTCACCTACTCCCAGAACCCAGCAAATTCCCATGGAGAAGAGTGGCCATGTGGGAGGCCCTTCAACTTTCTAGTTTTTAACCCCAGCCCCACATTATTGTTAAAATTTTCCTGGCTCCCTTTTGCTCGGGTACAGGAGCATGGGTTAATCTATGTCCTCAGCCAGAATTGACAGACAAAAAACAACAACCAAGAAACAACTTGTGATTGTCAGCTCACCTGGGGAAGGCTCTCATCTCCCTGGAATGGTTGCCTATCCAGTCTTTATATTTTTTACATATATTTGTGATTTTTTAAAATCAAATATCTGGTCTAATTGTTACAGAAATTGGCCTTCTGTGAGTTAGTATATCCTGCCCAAAAGCAGCAGTCCCTGGGCTGTCCAGATATTGTTTCTAGTAAAAACAGAGTTTTATTTTAAATCTTCAGTGTGTCTTTTTGCTTTCACAGCATGAGAGTACTGATAAAAAATAAATAAAATAATACCAGGTCTATACCTGAGCTACAGCCTGCAAAAACTTAAAGCAGAAATAGCTATACAGGAAGATTTAGGAAAGCATCTGAATGGGAACTGAAAAAATAGGAACATTAGGCAAGTATGGTGTTTAAGAAAGCAAGAGAATGAGACTATGAGGTTACTGTTGTGTTGACTTGACTAGGTCCTCATACCCAGGTTTTGGTCAAACACCAGTCTAGAAGTTGCTGTAAGGGTATATTTTATGTATGTTTAACATTTAAATCAGTAGACTTTGAGTGAAGCAGATTATTCTCCATAATTTGAGTGAGCCTTGCCCACTCAGTTCAAGACTTCTAGACCTCCAAGGAAGAAGGAATTCTCTTTCTCTCTCTTTTTCCCTTTTCTAGATGAATGGCTGGATAGATAGATAAGTGTATATCCTACTGCTTCTGTATCTCTGGAAAACTCTAATACAGAAATAGTACAGATAGAAACAGAACATTCTTGAATCCTGTTGTAAAAAATCAAGTAAAATAAAAACACAAAATGGCCATATAACATAGATGTCAATTGTGGTCCTTGGTAAGAGCAGTTTTGGTGGAATGTTGGGGAAAACAGCCTGGGTAGAGAGGGTTGAAGGAAAAAATAATGAAGGTAAGTGGAGATTTTGACTATAACATAATAAATAAACACTATAAATAATGTCTTCCCTTTTTGGTATTTATTCAATGCATGTTTATTTTCTTCAGTAAACTTTTGCTTGGGAAGAGTAGGCCACATCTCTAATGCCACACAGCTCCTAATACATTGATTTGAAGAGTCTAGGTGCTATTTAGTATTTGTAAATAAAACATTGTATGATTTTTTACCCCAAAATGAATAATACTAGTAATTGGTAAGAAGAAAGGTTTTTTAAGGTTTGGATAAGGGTGGCACAGGGGGAACCTGTACAACACACATGAAAGTTTGTTTGAGAACAGTACAGAAACTATTACCTGCTGTGTTAGGCTGAATAATAGTCCCTAAAAATATCCATGTTCTAATTCCCAGAATGTGTGAATGTTACATTATATGGGACTTTGCTGAAGTGATCAAGAATCTTGAGATGGGGAGATATTTCTGGATTATCTCAGAAGCCCTACATGCAAGCACAAATGTCTTATAAGAGAGAGACAGAAGGAGACTTTACCAGAGAGGACAAGGCAGAGAGAGGATGGAGCAGAGAACAATTTGAAAATGTTGTGCTTCTGGCCTTGAAGGAAGGTGCCCTGAGCCAAGGAATACAAGGAATGCAGTTTTAGAAGCTGGGAAAGGAGAGGAAACAGATTCTTCTTAACAGCCTCTAGAAGGGGAATGGCTCTGCTAACCCCTTGCTCTTGGCTCCCTAAGACTCATTTGTACATCTGGCCTCCAAACTGTAAAATAATAAATTTCTTTTGTTTTAAGCCACTACATTTGTTCTAGCAGCAATGCTAAAACACCCACCTTCCTGGTATAGAGGATTCACTCCCTGAAGACTTAGAACAAGATTTGATTAGTTATGTGGGGTGGAAGGGGTTTGAGTACCAGTACTCTAGACTTTTCATAGTTTTAAATGCCTGGGTTTTATGCTGTGAGTCATGGGGAGAATTAGTAGTTTTTGCATGGAAAGTTAACTGGCCAAAGAGTGTTCTAGGACATATTTTCCTGGTAGCAGAAAGAGAAAGAAAATGAACATTGAAGTCTTGATAAGCAGCAGGATGAATCCATGTTTGGCTTGATAAGGATTTAGATAATAGTAGAAGTAACATAAAAGGAGAAAGTAATTGCTGAAAGGAATTCTCCAAAGTTGGAATTATCATGATGACAACTTCTACTCTTGAATTAAATAACTGAGTATAAAGATTTAAAAAAAATTTTTAAGCTACAGTTGTTGGGAAGACCAGATGAACCATGAATTCATTTGACATTCCACATGTAAAGGTCCAGTAGAAACAGATATCTGAAATAAGCCTAATAAATTAAGGCTACGCATGGATCTGTCTGCATGATTGAAGCCCAGACAACAGATAAGCTGTCTTAGAAAGAGAGACCAAAGGCACAAACAGAGGTTTAAAAGTTGATGTAGAAGGTGAGAGGAATAACTAAAAATGAAGAACAGCTTGGGGAATATATCTTATAGTAGAGAAATTTTCTGCTGTATGATTTCTACTTCAGTCTGACAGCCTAGATGTACATCAGATTTCTTACGGTAAGAAATCATATATGTTTTATTTTTATGATTCCCTCCATTTAGGTCACAAATGCTTTCAGACTTCCTAGTTTTAAGAACTCCACATCTGCTGGTATGAAGTATTTCCTTCTTCAGGCAGGGTCTTTAAATTAACTGCGTTGCTAATAAATTTTAGCCTGACTCAGTCAAAATTGTGAGCTAAAATGTTGGTCTTTGGTAATCTTAACCTTATCATTTATGCCTTGGGAGCCCAAAGCTTATGCATTTTGCTTAGATCCCTGTATGCAAACTTTTAGTCAGAGATTACTGTTAATACTGTGTTGCTTCTCCCAGTATCTTTGCATTTTGTTTGGAACAAGTCACCTGTTGATTTTAATTTTAGAATTCAGGCAGACCACGGGAAAAAACCCAGTTTCTTCATTTCTTCTTTCTATTGTCCCTTTTTCTTTTTCTTTGTTTTCCATTTTTCTCTTTTCCTTTCTACTTAATGGGATAAAAAAGTGGCGTTTCCAACTTCCTCAATCAAGACTCCATAATTGGTCAAGTCAGGCAACTCTACTAAGGTTGAGTTCAGATCTGGAGTCAACAGAAGACAGAGTGAAGCTCCATTGACTATCATTCCATTTACTAAAATACAAGTGTTATTTTAATTGTGAAACTGCCAGTCGAGTAAGGTGCAAAACAAATCACCGTGAAGTTGAATGCATTTTTTGTGTTCTGCTTGAGCAAAAATAGAACAACAGATGGCCATAAATTTAGGGAAGCTTAATGAATTGGCAAGTTATGACATAAAGTAAGTTGGAATTGGGTAACTTAAATGGCTATTAACAAAGGAGGAAAAATCTTCAAAAATGTTATTTTTTTTTGGAAAATAGAACACATTATAATTTAGATTATCTGTTTTCTTTTATCATTCTTTCATTGATACGTTTAGTTTAAGATCAGTTTCAGATAAGCATACTGCCCCTCAGCTCTACAATTTTACCTTGAAAAGGCACAACCGTATGTCCTTTGAAGCCAGAATCTTGGAAAGTTCAAGGTTTATAATAAACTTACCACAGACAAGGAGAGCCTCTAGGCAGAGAATATGTTCCCCAGAAAATAGGATTGAGTCATATAAATTCCTACTGAAGTTTGCTCTATATGCTGGAACAATTACAAAGTGTAGGAATTTTATAAGTAAATATGAGGTACATAGAGAAGGTGAGAGAGAATTTTGGGTGAATTTGAGAGATTTGTGGGTAGAAGGAGCTTAATCCCTCTTACCATATTTTTAAAATTTCATTTTCTCACATTAAGAATGTATTTATTGACGGGATTAATCCAATACATACATAGACTGGAAGAATGCCTAATAGTTATTCTATAAAATATTTTTGGCAAGTCACTGTACCTTCCTCCACAACCAACCAACAGCAGGTTTTTCACAGTGAGAATATACAGTATTATATTAATAAAAAATTATCAAAAACTGTTGGGGAATACTGATCTATTCCTGAAACTATGCCAAATAGATGTTAACCCTTTCAATGCAAAGAATTCACAGGTGAATCAGTAGAGAACATTCTGCTTTTTACATCAGGACTATATGTTAATGCATTTATTTTAAGCATAGACACTTTGCATTACTTAGAAATTAGTATGAGTGATTCAAATGCCTGAAAATTTACAAATCATTCTTCAAAATTATTTTTAAAATAAAAGCAATTAGGCTGCATCACAAAACAGTTCATGTGGTTCTAAGAGCAGCACAAAAATGTAAGGACTATGAGCTTCGATAAGACAAGAATTACAAATTGTTTATAGAATACTATAAAACAGAGGTTAGCTTGAATTTGTGAGAGGCAATTCAGTGACATAGCAAGGCTGGAATTCAAGTTATGGAAGGGTAAAGAGAAAATGCAAGCAAATAATTATGGACAATCAGCTACATTGCTCTTTCAATAAGCTTATCTTTTTTTTAAGAGAATGAGACATAAAAAGAGGGAAGATCATTAGTAAAATAAGATGTCACTCTATTTTAGATATGCCTAAGATGCCAAGAACACCCTCCTTGGTTGCAACTTGGGGAGGGAGTTTTTTTGCTCTTCATATACAACTTTCATTTTTTTCTTGAGGCCTGTATTTACACATATGCCAACTGTGTTAGGTGCAATAATTGTGAGTTTTGGTAACTATCTTCTGTATCACTTCTGAATGTAGCCACAGTATTTTATAGAATTTATAAAATTTACATTGGAACTATATGTTAATGCACTTATTTATAAATTTATAAAATACTGTGGTTACATTTTATAAATACTGTGGTTACATTCTTTTTATAAATACTGTGGTTACATTCTGAAGTGAAACTGAAGATATCCCAGCTCCAAAAAATGTTCTTGTCAGAATCTTAGACATGTACTTGACTATCCTCTAGAATTTTTAATAAACAAACATCAAAGTGTCATGTATACTCTCAATATTCTTCCCCCTACTAAGATATGGAGCCATTTATAATTTGATTTTAAATGCCCAAACCCCAAAACTTTGTACAACACAATAAGGATATTTATCAGATAATGACTTTCTAATTAAGTATATTGTTTAGGAAAAAAATTAAAATCTCTAATGAACCTACAAAAATAAAAAGAGTAGTTAAGCATAGCCGGAGAGTTTCCAAAAATCTTTTAACTTCTAAAATTAGAAGAAAATAGAATCCTTGCTTTGCTCAACCTACAGCATCAGTTGGATTCAACTGTATGTATTTTTTAAGCCTTATAACAACTTTTTCAATACACATGAGAATGAAAAGAGATTTTTAAAAATATTTCTCTCTTTGATGTCTGGTTTAAAAGACAAGAAAATATCAATAAAGTTTAAAAAACTAAGAATTGCTCAAAACTATAAGGATGCTGGAATACCTAGAAAATATACTAAATAGATTTATTGTATTTAGGCAAAGCTATTTTTAAGAAAAAATTTTAATTTATGTTATTCATTAAAAGATTCAAATAAAAACATGACCCTACAAATAAGCCATTTAAAATATATGTTTTTGACCTTTCACATTCATGGGTCTCTCTAAAATTAATACTATATAATTTAAGAGTTCCTCACCAAACTGTCTTCATGGCTTTGCAATCAGGACCAATAGAGTTGTGTTCTATTCTTGTCTGTCATCTGTTAATTTGTGTTCTAATTGGAAGTCAGTAATTTTTCTCTGAAACTCAGTGTTCTCATTTGAAAAATGGGAAGATAACATGTTTCCTTGAAAAAATTGTTGTGAGAATTTGTCTTAGACTGCCTAGGCTGCCGTAAGAAAATACCACAAACTGGGTGTCTTAAATCACAGAAATTTATTTTCTCACAATTCTGAAGGCTTAAGTCTGAGATCAAAGTGTCAGCTTGGATCAGTTTTTAATAAGGTCTCTCTTCCTGGCTTTCAGTGGTTGCCTTCTTGCTGTGTCCTCACATGGCCTTTCCTCTGTGTGCATGCACTTCCGGTGTCTCTTCCCGTTCTTACAAAGAAACCAGTCCTGTTGAATTAGGGCCCGATTTTGATGACCTCATTTATTCTCAGTTATCTCCTTAAAGGCACTCTTTCCAAGAACAGTCATATTGAGGGGTAGGGCTTCAACCTATGGATTCTAGGGCACACAATTTGGTCCACAACAGTTACTGAATCAGAATCTCTGATAATGGAACTTGGAAATCTACATTTTCAAAAACATCCTGAGAAATTCTTAGGCACACTGAAGTTTGAGATAGAAACTCTACAATTTATAAATGGATTTTGGGGACATATGATTTATATTTTAATGGGCAAAGAAAGTGATGACTTTCTTTCTTTCCCCTGTCCTTTATGGAGTAGCTCCAGTTACCAACAGGAAGAAATATGGTATCATAGAAAAAGTTCAAGATTTTCCGCCGGGTGTGGTGGCTCACGCCTGTAATCCCAGCACTTTGGGAGACCGAGGTGGGTGGATCACTTGAGATCAGGAGTTTGAGACCAGCCTAGCCAACATGGTGAAGCCCCATCTCTACTGAAAATACAAAAATTAGCTGGGCCTGGTGGCAGGCACCTGTAAACCCAGCTACAGCGGAGGCTGAGGCATAAGAATCGCTTGAACCTGGAAGGCAGAGGTTTTAGTGAGCTGAGGTCACGCCACTGCACTCTAGCCTGAGTGACAGAATGAGACTCTGTAAAAAAAAAAAAAAAAAAAAAAAAAGCTCAAGAGTTTGAAGATGTAGGGGGTTCTATCAGAGAAAAATTGCACTCGACAAGTTGAACAGGCAAGAAAGGATTTATTTAAGACATCACTTTAGGGAAGAGAGATTGAAAGCATCTCTGCTGAAACAAAAGTTGGTAGAGTTTTATAGTGGGGTGAACTGGTGGAAAAGTACTGGAGGACATTAGTGGGGAGGTGGTCAGTGTGACTAGGCCATCTGTGTTTACTAATTGACACTTACTGAAGTTGGGCTCTTACCTTCCCATAGAGACTGGGAGATGGGAATGCTATCTTTCTTGATTTTTTTAAAAAATATTTTAATATGACTACATAATAGTTGTATGTTATTTATGGGATACATGTGATGTTTTGACACAAGCCTGCAGTGTGTAATGACTGCATCAGGGTAGGTCCTTGAGAAAACTTTTCTGGGTTATAAAATTGGCAAGAAGCTGGGAGAAGATTCAGAGAGTCAAAAAATTTGCAATCGAAAGTTTTCTAAAGTAGATATTCTAAGGGAGTCAGGGGTCAATAGTAAGAAGTCTGTAAAGTATAGTCAAGCTGCAGAAAATATTAAGGCATTCTTAGCCATTTTGAATACTATCTCTGTCACTAATCCTGTGAACTTGAACGGGTCATTTTCCCTTTATGACCTGGACAATGTGAGATTTTGATTCAGGGCTTCCATTAAAATCACTAATGCTAAAATTCTGTTTCAAAGGCTGTTACTCAGCCATTAGTCACCGTGATTGCCTTACTGATTTTTAAAATATCAAAAATAATTTTGAAATTCTTTGTAAATGTCCTCCTTGTGACTCCGAAACTTTCCCAAGATATAGTCAATGCTTCCAGGATGCTGCTTTAATACTAGGATTATGTCCATCTGATACTAGTTGTTAAATATTCAGAATATCACTCTGGGCTATTGCAATCTACTTAACAGTTAGTTAGAAAGCAATCCTAGTAAAAACATGGCATTAGCAATAAAGACTTCAATAGGACTTCAATATATCTTATTTTCCTAAGAATCTGTACTTGCCACTGCAATTGCTGTATACTCCCAAACAATCTGGTATCAAATGTTTATTTTCCAAATTTTTTTAAAACCTTTTCCCTTATGTTCAGTTAAAGTCAATTGATTTTGGCCCCATGTAAAATATGCAGGAGATCACAAATGAATCAAAATATTAACTGTCTTTTAACATTTCTCAGTCTATTAAAGGAATAGAAATAAGCAATTTATAAAGTGCTGAGAGAATACATGACTAATTCTGGTTGTTGATGGTGAACAGGTTAGAACTATGATGACTAGAAGAATTAAAAGCATTTATATTAGGGTACATTTGTGGATGGTTTGCTTGAATAGAAAAAGAAAATTTAAGAGACCCATTAGAATTTTATTCAAATATTTAAAGATTGTTTGTTCATGTGGAAGAAGGATTAGACTTGTTTTATATGGCCTCAAGGCTTAGAACAGGCTCAAAGGGAAAATTACAGAGATATTTTGGGTTTAATGCAAGAAATATAATTTTTCAAATGAGAGCTTATTCAAAACCCTTGCTTTGGACTTCCACAACTCCTCTGCCAAGCCTTTCAACAATGAATTATAGTCAGAAATTAATTCACTGGAATGTCACACCAAAATATAAGGTCCTGGGGAATAAAAGACTGCATGGGATTTAATTCAATAACTAGTGACTTTTTTCCCAGTTGATTTTGGATCTCATGTGTGTCAAGTTGATGAATTAATAAATACAAGTGAGTCTCTTACAATAATGTGCCAACCCAGTCTGGAGGGCCCATCCACATGTGTATTGTAGGAGAAGTCTAAGCATCTAATAATTGTTGAGACTAGATGATTTAGCACAGCCCAACAGAAATAAGTGTTGTTAAGACGCAATTCCCTAAAAGGTCCTGGTTGACATTCAGTGCATTAGAATCTGAACTTCAGCAACCAGGTAGGTTTACCCAGATCAGATATGTATAACAACACCTGGAGAAAGTTTTTAATTTAAGTCCTAATAAAGATACCAAAGCCTAGCTGAGAATGAATAAACAAATATTCAAGAACAACTACTTGCTATGGATTTATTATGTAGTCAAATATAAATACTATAGTTAGGCTCCAGTATAAACTTGCTGTCTGTGTCTTCATGGGAATGGGCAAAATATCTCACCCCCATCAAATTGAATGGTTGGTGCACTTCTTTATTCTTTAGAGTGGGCCTAGTGCAACTTCTCAAGCCTACTCAGGTGGCAACTAAAAATTAGAGTTGGCACATGAGATGAAAATTATTTTCAAGCTCTTGTCTAAGGAAATACTTTATTGTTGATATAGTGTCTACTACCCTTTCTTTGAAATCTCACTATCTTCATCTGTCTCCCACTGTTACAAGCTTCTAGGATGGGATGATAATGTACTGAAATCAGGTTATTTATCATTATTTCCAAATACTTTGAATATCTGCTAAAGGGATTCCTCAAAATTCACTTTAAAATCAATTATTATTTTTACTAAGTGGTTTATTATTTTAATGCACACACAGATTTCTGGTTTTCTGCTTAGGAACTATACCAATGTTTCTTAAAAATGTCACTCTCTTATTTGTCCATGCTGTTTTCATTTTGTTAAACGAGTCATTTTGTTAAATGAGTCTTTGGAGATGAGAGGGATACATTAACCTTTTCTTGTGGGAAAAACATTTGGACTCAGAAGTAAAAATGGATCCCTCACTGGTCAGAAGCATTGACTCAAAGGCATGCCTCATTTCATGCCATTCATCTTCACTCTCCTGGGCCTCCAAACCCCAAATGTGCCAACAGTAGTCCCATCGCAACATTATGTGGGCATTACAGTTCTACACATCCTTTTCTGTTGGGGATCTTGCTTTTTTAAAAAAACAGAAGTAGCAAAATGATGCTGATTCTTACTTGGTTTCTCATAATTACCGATAATATTTTGTTTAAAATAGTGAGAATCAGCCCTGCCACAACTTGGTCTTGAATGCTCTCATCTTTATATCTAACCAGTCACCTTACATGTTCAATATTCCAGCTGAGTATCACTTCCAGATATGTTCAGCATAGTTATTCAATAGGAGTACTTAATAAAGACAAAATGTCACCCAAACTGTATTTTCTCTCTGTGTTATGTGGAATTTGCCTGACTTTGGTCAGGATATATTTTGTCTATCCAGTTCTCTGTGTCTACTGTTTTTGTCACTCTGTCGTGGAAGGAAATTAAGTTGATTTGACAGGATTTATTTTTCACAGTGCCAAGGAGATTTTACCCAGTAACTCATGATTTTCTAGGTGCTTGAAAATTGATTTTTTGATGATATGTTTCAGTAAGTTTTCAACTAAATACTGATGCTGACAGGTCTGTAATTTCTAAAGTTATCTGTTTTTTAATCTTCCCAGAGTAGAAACAAGAAACACACCAAGATAAGTACTGCATTTAGTCTTTTTAATATAGCAGAATGTCTAAGTCCTTTTTAAGTTCATAGATGTTGAGCTAATTGTTCTTTATTGACTTTGGCAAACTCTTGGAAAAATAATTAAGTCACCAGAATTTGCAGTTCAAAATGTGACCAGTTTATAACATTAGCCTTGTAGTCGAACCTTTATATCACACCCTGTATCGTCTCCAAATACCATATCATAACTGCCCTATATTTTAAGCTTTCAAACAAGATTTCTGAAACCTACAGTTTGAATACTGGCTAAGCACTGCAGTTATTTATATAATTTATGGTCATTTTTATATATGAAAATTCATTGATTAAAGTTGTAAGATTTAATTTATTATATTAAAATGCATTTCTGCTATTGAATTCCTTTATGCAAAAAAATCAACATTGTCTTTAGTAGTATATCACTGAACCCCTTATATATAAAAACCCCAGTTTGGAACAAAGAGCTATTAGATGACCAAATAAGAATCAAATTAGACTCTGCAATTAGAGTCTGCGAAGAGAAAGACTTTACTTATTTGAAATAGTATATAGCTTACTATATGTAAAATAAAATAAAATTATCTCAGAAGCTGTGGTCTCCTATAATTTGTAGAAGATGATAACTGATATCGCTAAGCACTTTTTGGTTGCAAATAACTATACTTAAATACTGCTAATAAAAGCTGACATCCGCTGATCACTTGCTTCATACCAAGCACTATCCTAAGTTCTTTATGAGCGTGATTTCATTTATTTTGTTCATCTCACAACAGTATAGTTAGAACATACTATTATCATCCCAATTTTCAAGTGAGGAAACTAATGTTTGGATATATTAAATAATGCATCTAATGTCATATACTAGTGTTTGAGTAGGAATTTGAAGCCATTTGGTTTGAATCTGGACTCTATGTTCATGATCATTATCCAAAATTCTCAGGTGTCCCAACCCCTCACAAATGACTTTGAATTAAATATTAGGTTTATTTTTATATGTATGGAACCTGACGCACAGTGATAATTAAAGTGTAGCTCAGCCATAGAGTGAGCCATTGGTCACTATGGGTCTTTGGGTTAAAACATACCTTTAAGAATATGTAGGAAAAAAATGATAATAGCTAACTCAGCAGCATTCATTAATTCATCTGCAGCAGATTAACTTGTTCCAAAATAATGAGATAATCTGATTCTGATGGAACATGGAGCAGACAAATTCTTCTAGAACCCGACCTGTTTCTATGTGGGTGTATCCAGGAAGTCAGGATTATTTGGAGAAATCTGGCAGGTCTCTAGGCAGACAAAAGGGAACATCTGGTAGGGACTGGGACATGTAGAAAAAAGGTAAGATTTTCCTAAGAAAAACCACTTCTTTCATAATTTTTTCTACACATACATGCTTCTCTTTGATAGTTTCTGACAGGACACTATTTTGCCTCTCTCTCCCTATTTCTTTTAAGTAATATACATTAAATTAGCATAGAATCACAGCATCATCAACAAATTCAGGCTAGCGCTTAGTGACAGACACTGCTGCTAGAATCTCTAGTTATTCATTTGTTTTTCTAACTAAGAAACAATTTAATCTGGGGCAGCAATGTGCCCAGAGAAAAAATAGTTAATCTCTCAGACTCAAAACACGTAAGTTTGGCTATATATTATATTTTTGGACACTGAAAGATAGTCAGGGACTTCTGGGGAAGAAATTTAACAAAAACAGCATCACCCAAAGAAAGCATCTGGGCAATTCTCCTTTCTTCCTTCGTTCCATTGAGTCAGGTCAGAGAGGACTCGCCAGGGACAAAGCCATGACCCTCAGGGACCCAAGGGCATGAGCCTGCAGCTGACAGCCCCATTCTGAATAAGCATTCAGGCACACAGACCAGGGTGGTTGTTGCAAACCCCTCAGCAGCTGCCTCCTGGCACAACCACCCACTAACATGTGATCTAGCAGACAAATGGAAGCTCTTCTTACCCCACTTCTTAGGCACTCCAACAAGGGTTCTGAATTCTAAAAACAGCAAAAAACATTCAAATTGTTACATATGAAATGCTTTCCTGCACCTTTCTATCTCAGAGATGACAGCTGTCCCTCCTCCACTCTCTCCCCACTCGCCCCCAGACACCTCCCTAAACAATTTCTGTGCCAAGATGAAGAGGATGTCCCAGGCCATGGGGCTTCTGGCCTTGAAGGGCTGCTGCAGTGGAGCCAGGGCACAGGGTAGGTGAGACACAGCAGAGGTTCTGGCCCAGGTCCCTGGCCTCTCCTCCTGCAGGTGGCGTTTATTTATTCAAGGGGAGCAACCATGTTCATTTTCCCAACAATGTGGCACCATATTTTGCTTTCCTCTCCACTTCCTTCTTCCTTGCAGCCTTCTCCCACTGTTTCCAGATGATCACCAGCCAGGCAAGGCCCACCTTGGCTTGCTCTGTCTCTCCTGCTAGTGCATTTTCTCCTTAAAAGCTCCTTTAGCCTGTCCAGATCCACTTGTTTGACCTTTCTGGTTGTCTATCCTACCTGCTTGGGGTTCTTGATGTTGATGAGTCCTTCCATGCCTTTGTGCTTTTGCTGGTAGTCATTTTCTTCATTTTCATTCTCTCATAAGTCTAGATTTCTTCCCCTTTTTGGGGTAAGCCCCATCTCCACCTTCTTCTCCTTGTTATTCTTCTCCATAGCAAGCAATCCTCAAGCAGGTATTGAATTAATGAATGGTGTTGTGTCTTCTCCAGTTCATTAATATTTCTGTTGATGTAGCTAAGTTTTATTTACTTTTTAGTTTTATTTTATTTTATTTTATTTGAGACAGAGTCTTGCTCTGTCACCCAGACTGGAGCATAGTGGTGTGATCTCGGCTCACTGCAACGTCCACCTCCCAGGTTCAAGCGATTCTCCTGCCTCAGCCTCCTGAGTAGCTGGTATTACAGGCACGTGCCACCATGCTGGCTATTTTTTTGTTTTTTAGTAGAGATGGGGTTTCACCGTGTTAGCCAGGATGGTCTCAATCTTCTGACCTCATGATCCTCCCACCTCAGCCTCCCAAACTGCTGGGATTACAGGCATGAGCCACCGTGCCTGGCCCCTAAGTTTTATTTTTTAACTGTGGGTTCATAGGCTTCGGGCATCAGAATCACCTCTTGGTGCTTTCTAAGAAGGCCAGTTCCCAGTTCAAATTCCAGACCTTGAAACTAGCTGAAACTCCCCGAGTGGGCCCTTAAGAATCTGCAGTGCTAAGGACATCTCAGATGATGTTGGTGCACAGAAAAGGTGAGAACCAGAGCATCTGAACAGACTGTAAATCCCTGAAGTCTGGATTTATGTTTTATAATTCTTTGACAGCTCTCAATAGTAAACTCTAAAAGTTTGTTTTTATTTTTATTATTCACACTGAGATTCATATTTGAAATTTCATGAGAGCAAATTTTGCATGCTTCTTTTATTACAGATGTATTCTGTATGTGGGTGTAGCAGAAGCTGATATGACAGATCATCAGCTTTGTCCTAAATAACAGGTATTGTCTGGTACGCAGCCTGCTTGGGATAATCCATGAAATATTTAACAAATTTCTTCTTTTGTTAAATACTAATTACCCATATCCTCCAGACAGTTTTCTGGGACTCTGAGATGGGTCCTTTTACTAAGGATGAGTTTATTTTTCTATAGAATTTGGAAACAAAAGCTGCTTCAATCAGCCTTTAACGAGTAAACTTGTAAGCTGAGTACCTAGCACAAACAGGGGTTATGGTTGAGGGTGCACTTCTCTCTTCCATGACTTACTAAATAATGCAGCTCCCAGAGCTGGCTATGAGAGATTTGGTGTCTTGTAGCTGCTATCTGGCGACGTATGTCCATCATGCTTGATGTTCATTAGTTAGATGAGATCAGTAAGTTAAAGAACTGTTAAATTTGTGTTTTCCTTTAATGGATACGTGACTGTGGTAGCTGAGTCACAGGACAGAAATTTGACAGAAAAAGACATGGCGGTAAGATAAGCTTATTGCAAATATACAACTTCATAAATTCTTCTAATAACTTGTCTTAGCAAGGTGCCTTAGCTGGTTCACTTAATAAATGTGAATGTGGAGATAAAAGAAAGAAAAATAAACAAATGCATTGTTCCTATCTCTTTTTTACATATATGAATTATGCATGCATCCTATTAGTGGGAAATTAAGTAATGTACTATGTTAGCTACATTTTTGGCAGAAAAATTAATTGTTCTGATAAACCTAGCATAGCTGGAGAAGTTAATGTAATTGACAATATATAATAATAAAGCTTTAGTTAAGTTTTTTCCTTAATATTGAAAATGCCATTTCTTTGAATCTCTTAACTAATTTCTTTCACATTCTTATCAGATAGATATTGAGCAACTATCTGCCAAAACTAATTAAAATTTCCCTCCCAGAAAAGATCAATTACTTGCTTTATTTGGAAAAACACTTTCAGTTGTTGTCTTTTGATTTTTTTTCTCTGAAAAAAAAATTGTTGTCTGATAATCTTTCTTAATCACAACAAAAATTCTGAAAGCTTGGTAACAGAAAATGTAACCAAAGCATGAAAATAAGTTAAATTACACTAATATTAGCATTATAAACATAATCCTTGGGATTCTTACCCTTGTCAGAAGGTGCTAGTTTGACATATTTACCTAACCTTAACTTGCTTTCTACAGTTGCAAGACTGAGGATTTCCTTGGCAGAGAATCTGGCTTAGTGACAACATAAATTTGGCAGGTTCTTGGAAACCTTTTGTTTTGTAGTTTGAACCTTCAGCTTGCCGATGCTGATATGCCTCACAATCTTCGTCTGTTCTGTCATCTTATTGGGATCATTAACTACTATTTTGAAGGATGCTAGAATTATATTGCAAAATATTTTCCCCCTTCAGACACATGTTGTAGTTTCCAAAGATGAGAAACCCACTAGAAAAATTTCTATCCAACAATACCTTTTTATTCCATTCTGATGTTTTTTATTCTCAAATTGGCACAGGCTTCATTCTGATTAACAAAAATATTTTAGAATTCTAGTTGGTATTGTACTTGTTGAATTATACCTGAAAAAAATATTTAAAGTCATGTTTAAAGGGCCTCAGAAAATGCTGTGATCTCCAAAGCACACTGGGCCGGAGTATGGTGGGTGTTGGGAAACAGAGCAGGTAGAAATCACAGAAACAATGGGAATGAAAAGAGACATGTGTTGATCTTTCATGAAAAAAGTCAATTGCTTTGTGACTGAAATTATTCTGTGAAACAGCTCTGGCATGCAATCCAGACCCTTTGCAGCCTGCTGTGTTTTCAGAATTTCAAAGCCAACTTTAAAAATTATTGCATAGAGTAAAACAAGGTTAAACACCCTCCTGCAGAGCTTCACCTGCCTGCATCTGAGGAGAGGCTTCCTGTGAATTTCAGTAAAAGGCCTTCCATCCAGGTCCCCACAGCAAATATGTTGAGGCTTCTCAGGTTCCCAGAGCTGAAGTTTGTGTTCTTTTCTGAAATAACCTTTGATGGGTTACTTGACATAGAATGCTACAATTTTGGAGCAATGAAAAATGACATCACTTGCAGTCAGCCTCAGAGATCATTTCATAGAAGATATATATATATATATATAACTTCTATGATATGTTATAATATATGTTTTATATATATATGTATGTGTGTATATATGTATATATGTGTATATATGTATATTTATGTGTATATATGTATATATGTGTATATGTGTATATTTATGTGTGTGTATATACATATATATATATGTATATACACACACACACACACACACACACACAACACCACCAGAGGGAAAAGAGAGGGATCGCATGCTGATTCTAGAGAGGGTTTGCGTGTGCTGTAATTTAAAACAGAGATGACTGCAGTAAACTGACTCTTGGGTTTAAATTACCTTCAGTGGTCATTCTCTGGTAGTGAAAAGTGAGAATATTGGAATTTGATGATATAAATATTAGAGTAACTGGTGGGAAATTTAAAAATATTCCAGAAAAATCCATAATTGTTTTAAAAGGCTTTTTCCTTCTGTGGAAGGAAGAAAACAGTTTAAACCAATGCTGATAAAGATGGCATTTATTTTCTCTTCAAAAATGTAGAAAAGCCAACTGCCTCAATCCCAATACACCAAAAAAATTATTTGCATTTTTAAAAAATACTTTCAGTTCTTGAACATATGCATATATTTTGAAGTCATGCAATACATTCCTTTCTGCGTATCTCTTTACCCAATTTTATATCATATACTGATTTCATTGGTTCTGCATTGTCTTTATATTTACCATTTCACATGGCTACATCATTTCATTGTGTGGCCAGACCATCATTTAGTAAAACATCCCCCTCACTTTGAAGCATTTCCTTTTTTACTATCTATAATGACTATTGAAACTTTGCAAGGCACATTTGCATATATTAAAGAATATTCTTCTATTAAATTATTATTTCTGGGCACATTTTCTTTTTTAGAAATAGAGATCAAAAGTGTCAGTGCCATTGCCAGTCTTGCCATGCTTAAAACTCTTCATTCACTATCATTCTGTAATAATCATAGATTTCTTAGATTTGAACATGTGTTTCAAATTGATACATAACTATGCTTTAAACTTGAAATGCTGTTAGTAGAGAAATGTACCAAAACATGTCCTCAAATACAAGAAACAAGAGTTATGACTTACAAGAAATCTTAGTAAATCAACCATATGAGACTATTTACAAAGCTTGTTTAAAATTAACTTTAGGGATTTTCAGTGGAACAGGGAAGCATTTGGTAGTTTTTCTTCTCCCCAAGACCTAGTCAAAGATAATTTTTCTCTGAGTGGATTGGTATGCTTGACAGGCAAAATTGTGGTCATTCTTTTTGTTTAATGCAATGGGCCACAAACCTAACATTATCATTATAATTAGACATAAACTCAAAGTTACAATAATAGAGGCCGGAGATAATTCTTACAATGACAGAGATCACAAAATATTAGAACACTTTTGTAAACACGCAGTCTTTAATACATGGACAACTTAGCTTTGACCAAGGGTTTCTTTCCTTCCCTTACTTACAAATCCTCTCTCTGAAGACCTCATACTCTTTTATACAAGATAGCAGATCACCTGGCAGGAACGTGAAATAAACTCTTTGGAATCCTAACGTGAATGTCAGCTCCATGTATTTACTAAATCTTGGCAGATTTCCTTTCTTGAGTCCATGTAAGCTATTATTCTCTTTATTAGTGTTTCTCAAAGTATAGATTTCAGGCCACCTTCCTTAAAATCACCTCAGGTACCTATTAAAAATGCACTAATTGAGTTGCTCTTAATATCTACTGAGTTGGAGTGAATCCCAGGGGAGCTATTGCTCCAAGTATTAATTCTAGTATGAGAAGAAAAAATATGTTTATACATATGATGGGTTATAGTGAAAACCTACTTTTTTCAGCATTGTGCCTTTCATTCTAATAATGTTAATTGAGCCCCAATTTTGTGCCAGGCAATGTGTTAGAAGCGAAGGATAAACTACTGAACAAAAACTGGGATGCACCTTGCCAACATAGAATTTTCAAGTTAGGGAACAGACATTAATAAAATAGCTACACAAACAAATGTGTAATTGTAGTTTTGACAATGTGAACAGAGAAGAACATATTTTGAGGGTGCTAAAATAGTGAGCTATATCATCTTTGGTAAGTCAGGAATGCTTCCCTGAGGCAGTCATGCCGTATGCTGAGAACAGAAGGATAAATAACGGATACCAGCAGAACAGGAGAGAGAAGAGTACTTACGCAGAGGGACAGCCTTTGCAAAGGTCCTGTGGCAGGAGAGAAAATAAGAAATGCAAGAGACTAAAAGGACACAGTGATTAAATCCTGGAGAGAGGATGAAGGAGGGGAATCATGGTTGAAAATCTCTGAACTGCCCAAGCCAACTCCTAACAAGGAAAAATGCAGAGTTTACTACTTTAATTAGAAGCAAAACATTTTACGTGCCATATGTGACACTGCAAAACATTTTTATTAAAATGTCCACATTGGTTGTATTATGCCCTGATGCTTCATTTCAGGTCATTGGTTAATCCTGTGGCTTCCATGGCAATTTGCAATTTTTTGTTTCATCCTACCTCAGTCTACCTTGCTACATCTCAGTCTCAATAACTCCACATACTGGTGCTTAACTTAGCAAAGACAACCACCTGATCTAAAGTTGTTTTTGAGGATTGCTCCCCCAGGTGGATAAATAAGGTGGTAGGTGGGTCCCACCATACCCAACAACAGGTCTCTGGATCCATGAACAGAAGTAAATTATATGTAAATCAAAGTTTGCTTTCCTCAATTAGAAAGAAGGGGATGCCATGTCCTGTTGGCAACGTTTGCAGCAGGGTCACTGCCTGCCACCTACGTAGTCCCTTTGGATATTCATTTCAGCTGAATCTTTTTAAAATTAAATGAGTTTTGGAATTGTATTTTAACATACACAGGCGTTACCCTCTGTTCATTCATACCCAGATTCTGACTTAGCATGCAATTCTCTGAATGCTGGGAAAGCCTTCTCATTTTATATACAAATGTTGCAGCTTGTTATGTGGTCTTTAAGAGATGCCAGCTAATTTTTAATAGAATACAAATACCAAAAAATTACTTGTTAAATGTAATAGTGATTAACAGATACTTTTTAAAAACTTGCCAAAGTCATGACTACTACATAGATATACTAAGAAGAAAACAGAGGCTTGCCTTTTACAATTAGTGGATTTTGCTTTATTTCTACATTTATCAAAATGTCTTTAATGGAAGACTGCATCTGTGGATGTTATGAGCAATTTATGCTAAAAGGTTCCCTGGACAAATAAGTTAAGGACAACTTTGAACTACAGTTATATGCCACATAACAACATTTCAGTTAATGGCAGACTGCATATACGGTGGTGGTCCCCTAAGAATATAACGGAGGAAAAACATCCCTATTGCCCAGTATTTACTATACCATGTTTTTATAATTGTTATTTTAGAGCATACTTTTTCTAAAAATATAAAAGATATATGTAAAAGATTGACTGCAAAACAGCCTCAGACAGGGTCTTCAGTGGGTGTTCCAGAAGAAGGCATTATTATCAGTGGAGATGACCGCTCCGTTTCATGTTCATGCCCCTGAAAACCTTCCAGTGGGACAAGATAGTGATATCGGAGGTGAAAGACAGTGATATTGATGATCCTGACCCTGTATAGGCCTAGGCCAATAATGTATATGTCTTAGTTTTTAATAAAAATTTTTAAAAAGTAAAAAAAAAAGAAAAAGTTTATAAAATAAAGATATAAAGAAAAAATTTTCTACAGTTGTACAATGTGTTTAGGATTTTAAGCTAAGTGTTATTAAGAAAGAGTCAAAAAGTTTTAAAAATTAAAAAGTTTATAAAGTAACAAAGCTATAGTAAGTTAAGGTTAATTTGTTATTGAAGAAAGAAAAATCTCTTTTATAAATTTAATGTCACCTATGTATATATAATGTTTATAAAGTCTACAGCAGGAGTGTACAGTAATTTCCTAGGCCTTCACATTTATTCACTGACTAACCCAGAGCAACTTCTAGTCCTGCAAGCTCCATTAATGATAAGTTCCCCATACAGGTATAATACATTTTATCTTTTATACTATATTTTTACTGTACCTTTTCTATGTTTAGATACACAAATACTTACTATTGTGTTATACTGCCTGCAGCATTCAGTACAATAACATGCTGTACAGCTGTTAGCCTAGGAGCAAAGGCTATACCATATTGGCTAGATGTGTAGTAAGCTATACCCTTAAGCTATACCCTCTAGGTTTGTGTAAGTACACTCTGTGATCTTCTCACAATGATGAAATTGACAAACAATACATTGCTCAGAACATTAAGCAACACACTACTGTCCTTGTACTTCTTTCTTTCTGAAAGACTTTTCAAAGCATTTAATAAGGGTGTGCATGTTGTAATTCTCCCAGAATGGGATATCTATTAGGCTTCTTAAACTTATTTTTCCATGTAATTCTTTCTGCACTGTTTCTGAAAAACATTCTGCAAGACTAGCACTCAGTGGCCCTACGGAAGTGTGCCTACTGCCCTGTTGCTGTCATTCCCTGATCAGGGAATATGGGAAGAAGGGTTTCTGTAATCTCATGTCCCATGGCAAAACTGTTGGTAATAGAGGGAATGGTGGCATGCGTCACCATCGACAATACTGAAAACATATCACCGTGACCTACTGTTGGAATTAGAGAGCAGACATCTCATTATGCAAAAGTATTGTAGCAGTCGGGGTCCAATCAGGAAAAAGAAGCCACACGTAAGTTAAACAAAATAAGTTAATATAAAGAATTAACAACTATGATAGAAGAATAGGTATTAGCTACAAAGAAAGTCAATTCACTAGCCTCAGGCTGAGGGAGAGCCACCAAGGAATGACAAACTGGCAAAGGATCCAGACTTTCATGGAGAAGGTGTGGTTCAGCCCATGGGAGAGCAGGAAGCTTTTTGGTTTAGCCAGGCTAGAGCTGACCCAGAGTTTCCAGACTAGCAATAGACCACCTTTCAGAGGCAGGCCAAGCAGATAATCAGCAGCTGGTGGCAAGGCCATGCAGTGGGGGTTGGAACACCTCTCTAGGCAATAGACTTTCAAAGCACATGGGCTATGCAGGGGCTTGCAGAGAGAGAAGCAGATCTGAGTTTATCTCTTAGGACACATGCAGGTGGCATGCAGGATACTCAGGGGCTTATAGAATCAACAACTGCTCCCTATGTGACCCTCCAGACCACAGGCAGCTGTATGGTTTGTTTCCATGAGAAGAGAGCTGTAGAGAAGTTATTTCCTGGCCCAGGCTATAAGATCATTCTATGGCTATAGTTGAACAGGCTCCACAGTGTTCTCATGCTCATGACTGCTGATACCCAGCCCAGGTAGGAAATTTCAGGAAGACTCTTCCTCTTGCAATGTCCCTCCAGTGTTTGCTGAGAAAGCTAAACATTGTGCTCACATTAAATTAGAAGTGCTTAAAGGGATTCAGCTATTTATCAAGGAACATATGTTGAAGGGTGCATTGGAACTGAGAGGTCGTAGATTAAAAACTCACACAGGTATGTTGCTGATTCATAATAGTGGATCTTGCAACAGAATGCATTGCCATCCTATGCCACTGCACAGTGTGAATGCTGGTACTGCTGTCTGTTTCCCACCTTCTCCTACAATTGGAGTAAAACTTGGAGTAGTGACTACCTAATCACTTTTTTATCCATTTAGTTTTTAACATTTTATTTTGAAATAATTATAGATTCATTGGACATAGCAAAGATAGTACAGAGAGATCTTTTGTATGATTTATCTAGTTTCCTTCAGTAATTCCATCTTACATAACTATAGTACATTATAAAAATCAGGAAATTGAAATCGACGCCATATACACTAATAGTACTGTGCCACTTATCACCTATGCAGATTCCTGTAACCACCACAGCAATCAAGACACAGAAGTTTCCTACTACCACACAGATCTCCCTGTGTTACCCCTTTATAGTGAAGCCCACCCCAACACGTCCCATCCATTCACAATCCCTGAGAACCACTAATCTGTTCTGCACATTTGTAATTTTGTCATTTCAAGAATGTTATTGAAACGGTACTTTTATCGTATGTGACCTTTTGAGATTGGCTTTTTTCACTTAGAATAGCACCCTTACATGGATAGCTGAATAATGTTTTTAATCCACCCCACAATCTCTGTCTTTTCATTTTTATGCCTTGGGCATTTACATTTTATGTAATATTTGAAATTATGGGGCTCAAGTCTGAAATTTAAGTTTGTCTTCTCCGTTCCCTCTGTTGTGTGTTTCTCTCTTTCATTTTTCATGTCTTTCTATGAGTTACTTAAATATTTCTTAGAACACATTTTGATTTAGCTATAGTGTTTTGTAACACATCTCAAGTATGATGGATTTTTATTAGTTCCCCTAAATACATGTTATACACATAAAGCTTATCACAGTCTATTGGTATTAGCATTTTACAGTTTGAATGAAGTATAGAAACTTTACCTCCTTTATCCCTTTTCCCTACCTAGTTTATAATATAATTGTGTTGGTTAACTTCTCCACACATATTGAGAATATCAGACATTATACCCCTAGCTTCAACCTTCAATCATAATTTAGAAAATACAAAAGGAGAAAAATAGAATGTATACTATTATTTCTTCATGATTTTCCTCTTTCTATTCTTTCTTCCTTCCTGATATTTCAAGATTCCTTCTTTCATCATTTCCTTTGTCATTCAAGAATACCCCCTAGCCAATTTTTTAGTATAGGTTTACCAGCAACAAATTATTCTTAGTTTTCCTTTGTCTGAGAATGTGTTTATTTTTTCTTCGTTATTGAAAGATCATTTTGTTAGACAAAGAATTTGGAGTTGGCAGTTAGTTTCTTTTAACACTTGAAACATATTGTGCTCTTGCCTTCTGGTCTTCATGGTTTCTGATGAGAAATTTGCTGTCATTCACATTGTTCTTTCTGTATAAGCAAGGTGTCACTTCTTTCTTACTGCTTTTTGGAACTGAGAGGCAATAGATTGAAAACTGACACAGGTATGTTGCTTATTGGTAATGGTGAATTTTGCAGCACAGTGCATTACCGTCCTATGCCACCGCGCAACGTGAATGCTGGTACTATTGTCTTTGTTTCCCACCTTCTACAATTGGAATAAAACTGGGAGTAGCGACTACCAGGATTTTTTTTTTAATTTTGTTTCCTGAAATTAGATTATGATGTGTGTTGGTGGTTATCTTTTGCCAAATTTGGAAAAAATTTATCCATGAATTTTTTGGACTATTTTTTAAGCCCCACTGTCTTTCTCTTTTTCTGGAAATCCAATGGCATGAATTTTAGATCTTTTTTATAGTCCAACTTGTCTCTTAGTTTCTATTCTTTTTTCACTTTATATTCTATGTTTTGTTCAGATTTGATACTTTCTATCATCGTATCTTCAAATTCACTGATCCTTTCCTTTTGCCCTTTTCATTTTGCTAAGTCCATTCAATGAGTTTTTAAATGTTCGTTATTTCTACCTCAATTCTAGAATTTTAATTCGTTTCTTCTTTGCGTCTTCTATTTGTTTGCTAAGGCTTTCCACTTTTTCACTTTTTTTTAAGCATGTTTGTGATTCTTCACTAATGCAATTCTGTAATGGCTACTTAAAAATTCTTGTGAGATAATTGCAACACCTGTATCATGTCAGTGTTGGTGTCTGTTGATTGTTTTCTGCTTTGGTTTAGGTCTTTGGTGGCTCTTAATATGAATGATTTTCAAGTGTATCTTGGACATTTTGTCATTTATGTTGTAAAACTCTGCATATTACTTATGTATTTCTGACCTTTGACTCCCTGAAGAAGGGTGTTCAATGACTGTTTTGTGAAGGTGGGATACTGGGCTCCCCATTATTCCTCCAATGCCATCACCCCTGCTGGCTGGAAAGTTGGGAGGCCCCTCTTTATTGCTCTCCTTGTAGCCTTCACTGACATCATTGCCAGAAGGAAGCCCTCAATACCAGTGGATGATGAAGAAAGTTCTAGTTACCAGCTCTGTCCTCTGACACACAAAGGGAAGAGGAGAAGATCTTGATACCGCTAGGTGGGGTAGAAGTACAGGATCTTCACATGGCTTCCACTGACATCTAGAGGAGCCCCGTCACCATCAAGTGGGAACAAAAATCCTGGCCCCACACTTGGTCTTCTCTAATATGAAAGTAGTTGGAGAGAGAGACAGCAAAGGGCAAAAAGCCAGAAACTTACACTCACCACTCAGCCTTTGCTGATGGGAGTAAGGGTTTAGTTGTGGTTTTTCATGTTGTTTGCCTGGAGTATGGTACTTATGGCCTAGAAGTGTCCTGTCTTTCTAGGCTGACACTTTTCAGCTTATTTGGCTAGAGAAAGCAGGTTTTCCTGGGGAAATTTCATTTTCTTCCCCTCTAGGACTTTCTGAGTTACTGCTTCTTCCCACCACCAGTTCTTTATATATGAAGCAAAAAGAAATCCTGGGAATTCACCGCCTTATTGTTCCTCAGGTCCCAAGGTTCCTAGGCAGTTCGCCTTCTCTCTGCTTTTCAAAGTCCTCATGTTTATTTCATGTGTCCAATTTCTAGGGGTTTTAGCTGTATTTAGTAGGAGAAATTGAGAGAAAGAAGTATGTCTATTCCAACTTGATCCAGAAACAGATGTTCCAAATCAGTTTCAATTATTAGGATTTCCTTTTCTACAGGAGAAAATGGCTTTCCTCCTCAACTTGCCAGTTTTTCTGCCTCTCAGCTTTCCCTTTCCAACTATGTGTGGTTGGCTCCAAAACAATTCTTTCATTAAATAACCTCATGAGGTCACTCCTACCAGCTGTGACAGCGTCTCAACCATTCCCATGTTAATGTGGTCTTTTCTGTCGTCCACATATGAGACACAGACATTAACAGCATATGTTGTTTAAATTCTCAACATATGCTGATCAGTTTTCCAAACAGGTATTCAGATCTTCTTTGATCTACTGTTTTATTGAGATTTTTTATAATAAGTGACTAATTCAAACTTACCAATTGGCAATATTATTAAGGCCAAATTTTCCTGACTGTTCAGTCTATGGCTTTGTGTCTTAAAATACCCACCTTTCGTCTTCCAAGCACTCGCATCTAGGAGGCTGAGGTATAGTATCAATATTTGAGTGATTGAAATGATGTTTTAGCCAGAGATAGAGCTGGGAGTGGATTTAACAGTTATTGGGGTGTTGAATACACACTAGAAGTTTTATACGCATCATCAAATTTATTTCTCAAAATAAAGCCATGATGTATATTTTACCAGTGAAGATTTTTCAAGGTCACACGGTTAGTAAAACCCAACCTGGGACTGAACTTCTGCTGTAAGTATGGAGCTATCCAGCAGTCCATGAAACATTAGTACATCATTACATCAATTTAGTGGGCAGCACACATTATCTTTAAAAGTGAAGGAGTTCGGAGTAGAAAATATCACCAGGCAGTTCACATAATTAGGGAAACTATTGTTTAATGAACACAAAGTTTGTTTCTTGTATATATACATTTATTAATCTAATGTGTGCATTGAGTCCCCGTGCATAAGATATTATTCATAATGTGGCTGGTAGTCAAAGAAATTTGGAGCTATTGTGTTAGGTGACCTTCTGAGACACTTTCTAAGCCTTCATCTGATGTATTGTTTACCAGACCCACTGTGCTGATACTTTTCCAGGAAAATGCCTGATCCTTCAAAAACAAAATTTATTTTGGGTTAGAACAGGAAGTAGCTATTTCTGTGGCAAAAATTAGTGCTAGCATATAATTCTTGCTGCCCATGATTTGTGTGTGTGTGTGTGTGTTTGTGTTTCTGGTAAGAGTACACTTTGCCATTTTTTTTCTTCCTTATCGTACCACAAAACTCTCTAAAACAAGGTGAAATTCCAGTCAGTCTCACAATGAGATGAGAATTGAAAACTCAAAGTACAAAAGATAAACTCCACTGGTTAAGAGGGCAGATCCTGGAGTTCCACAGATGTATTTCAAATCCAGGCTTTGTCACTCAGAATCCTGGGCAAATTACTATTTAATTTTCTTACCTGCAAAATAGTAATAATAGTAGCAACTAACTCTTTGTGATAATGTTAAGATTAAAATGAGGTATACATGTAAAGTCATTATCAAAGTGTTTTGCCTGACAACAAAAACTTAATAACTATTAGCTATTAGTCTACTACTTCTGAAGTAAGACTTTAACAGAAACCAATAATTCCAAAGGAAATTTTGAACTGTTACAGGCAGGAAATGAACCATTTTGCTTTCTTGTTAGACTTTTTAAGTTGCCCTTTTCTTAGAATATACTAAACAATGAAGTAACACTGTTCAAATTTTATATTTTAAATAACTGTTGGCTGATTTTCGATAAAAGGAAAATGGAAGAAAATTGTGTGTTCTTCACTTTTGTTTCTTTATATTCAAACTGCCATGGCTATACAAACCACACCTCTCCATAATCTGTGTAATTCTAATTTAACTTACATAACGTTGTGGGGTGAAGTGAAGAGCCAGAAATTGTGTGGAATTGTATAGGAAAGCTGGATTTCTTTACTAAGACCCAAACCCCAAGAGCTGGTGCTCCTAGAGTATTTTGAGTCTGAAAATGACTCAGACTCCTGAGTGTATCACTGATAAAAGGATTCTTGATATTGCAGGACAACCTGGACCCATCCATGTTCCCAATGCAGAAGGGCTCCCTCAACCTCCTGAGGCAGAAATGGGAATCTTGTGATTATCAGAGAAGTGAGTGTCATCCCAGGGACAGCCATTGTACAATTTTCCAGCCTCAGGAAAGCAAATTGCTTGCGCCTGAAGGAGAGGTAGTATCAGCACCTCAATCTTTGGATCCCACAAGTCTGCCCTACAGTACAGGGGAAGAGATGTGGAGTTCGAAGCCGGAAGAGAAGGATTCTGTGGACAAGAGTAACAACACCAGGGAATATGGTCGGCCAGAAGTGCTGAAGGAGGATTCCCTGAGCAGTCGGCGCAGGATTGAACGCTTTTCCATTGCCCTTGATGAGCTGAGGAGTGTGTTTGAGGCTCCTAAGAGTGGAAACAAACCAGCTGAGTACGGTGGAAAGGTAAGGAGCCATTGATTGAGAGTCTATGTTTACATATGACTTCCTTGCCTAGCCTACCATTTATTACTAAGCATGTAATCTTTCCCCCCGCCAGTATTCTAGACAGATGTCCTGAAGCCGATGTGTAATGCAGTGTGAAATGTGACATCCTCTCCTATTAATTTTCTCTAAGGTCTGCTTCAATGTGGACTTGACTTCCTTTTTCTTCCATAAAAACAATATTGATATGCCCTCTTATGTTGATGTTTCTGTATGTATGTGCCTTATTTCTACAACTACGTTGTAAATTCCTTAGAGGCAGGAACAATTTCTAACCACTCTTTGTGCCTCAAACATTTAACAAATGGTGTTGCTTTTAGCCAAAGCTCCATGAGGATTTATCAGTAATGATGCTGACATGGAATAAATGAAGGCTTTGGAACCACAGTGATCCAGGTTTTAATCCTAAAGCCTGCCATTAACTTCTCTAGCTGAATGACACTTAACCTTAGAAATACAAATGTCTTAATCTGCTACTTTACATGGATCTTATGAAGATTATAGGTAACATTTTAAACACTAAGGGTAGAGTCTGGAATATTTTGTGGTAGGTGATGATCATTCCTCAGTGATTATGGTGTACTATAATGTCACATATAAAATATGTCTATTAGCTAAAGAGGGCATTTAGCCAAATTTAGGAAACAGGATTAGCAACATTATTAACTAAGACCACATTTATACTTTTGCGGTAATTAAAAGCAATTACTATTTCAACTGGAATTACTTGAATTTATTTCACTCATTAGGGCCTGTACATAATAGAAATTATAGTTGAATTTTGCAAAGAATTAATACATGATCTCAGGTTTTCCTTTAGAAAGCAAAGTCCACGCTTTTTTGTTTGTTTGATTGTTTTTTTGTTTTATTTGGTTTTCACCTAATGACAGTTTTATCAGAAAGGTACACAGTCGTATTCTTGTTAATGGATAATTAGCCTTCATAGAAGCCATCACAGAAATAGAATATTTTTGAAAATCAATTATTTTACTAATTCTTGCTTCCAGTTGTCTTATTGGGAAATATGTAGTAAGCCATCCTTCTTGAAAATCAAGTAACTCTAATTTGTTTAATGATAATAAGAGATATGAAGTTATATTTATGAGGTTATGTAGAGACTACAGAATCTCTTAAAACATGCAACCATTTGCTGATCCCTGATTTGAAGATTTTCTTTTTCTATTTCACAGGTGCAATCATTTTTGTTTATACTTTTATATCTTTTAGATGAATGTTTAGGGATTGGGGTACACAACAAAGATAGTTACAATGTCATTTATTTTTTATCTTTGTAAATTAAGAAAAGTAAAGCCACAGAAAATAATTTCCATTCAATCCCTCTTGACTTTACTGTAATAATTTTGAATATTTACCCAAGATAACTGACAAAAGAAATGACCAAGGTAGAAAAAGTCGTCTATATAAATGATGTAATGTAACCTACTCTCATCTGGATGAGATGCAACTGCTTATATACAACAGTAAGATAATAACACATTAATGAGTTTCTGATTTAAATGTGAGATTACTAATATTCAGCATGATAGGTGGTTTGCCATCTAGTAACTATAAAAATAATTATGAAAAGAACCAGATATATTAAAACCACCATTTGCCTTGTAAAAATGAGATTAGTTTAGTATATGTAACATACTGTTTTAAATATCCTAAGGTTCTATGTCATAATATGGTATTTCCATAAATGTATGAAACAAGGTTGATGGATTTAAAAATTTCTTATCCATAGAAGACACATAGTTTTTAGAATCAGTTCACAAAAAAAGTGTTAGGAATGTTTGCAAACTTATTTTCTATATAAATTCTACAACAAAGGGGACGAGGAGAAAAAGAACAAAGAGAGCTCAATGAGGAATTAACTTGTTTTCTCCAAGTGAAGTATTTTGTTATATTATTAGGCATGTAAAAAGAATTCTAGTTCAACCAAATTTAAAATTATATATTTCACCCCATAGCATATTGATTACATACAACTTAATTATTAGTTTTTATAGATGCTTTTTTCTTTCTCATGTGACTACTTTATATTATTTAGTGCTTCATTATAAAGTCATGATATAATATTTATTTGCATAAATCATCTAAAAAATTCTGGCTACTCTATAACTCTGACATTTATGTTTTTTGAGACTACTGAGATATTGGGGATGTGGAAAAAGGTATTCAATATTTATTAAACTTAAAGCAAGGACAGAAAATAATTTCAAATAAGGAAAATCTTTTGTAACTAGTAAATCATCTCAACCATAAGGAACAATAAACTACATTTTAATGTTGCTATGGAAGGAAACCCTTCAGTAGTAGGCACTTGGTTTATAAAATTTGTAAAATAATTGCAGTAAATTGAGAGCTTGTAGAATTTTTAAAGGTATGGAATATCGTGTATATGTACATCTATTTACAAGTAAATAGACATACATAAACATACACATATACACATACATTATGTATACATACATGCATATATAACTATACATTTTAATGTATTTTTATATAATATATGTGTATGTGTATGTATATTTACTTGTAAGTAGATGTACATTACAATAGACATTATAATGTATGTGTATATGTATATGTACACAGTTTTTAATCTAAATATTTTTCAGCAAACAAAGGGGAAATGTACATATTCATTATAATGTGTCTGTTTAAGGAGAGTTTGGTCAGACAAACATTTATTACTAGAAAAAGGGATCTACAGACTCTTAATGTTTTTCTCAAAAGGCCAGGCACAGTGGCTCACACCTGTTTTCCCAGCACTTTGGGAAACCTGAGGCAGGAGAATCACTTGTTGCCAGGGGTTCCAGAACAGCCCAGGCAACCCATAGCAAAACCCTGTCTCTACAAATATTTAAAAACTAGCTGGCTTGGGAGTCTGAGTCAGGAGGATCCCTTGATCCCATGAGCAAGGGGTTGCTATGATTGCACCACTGCATTCCATCCTGGGTGACAGAGTGAGACTCCATCAATAAGCAAACAAACATTATTTTCTATAAGTGTGCAAGGTCATTAAAAAGAGATATCAATACCTAAAACAGTCACTATTTCAGAGTCTTTGTTAAAACAATTTATTCTAACATAATTACAATAGAAAATCAGTGAGAAATTCTTAAAATAATTTTTTCATTTTATAATTTTCCAAAATGAACACAACCTATTGTCATTTCTAAAACACCATGTTAAAACAACTTAGAATGAAGATTTAAACTGAATATTTTCATGCTTATGAGGCAGACTATAATCCAAAGATACAAATTCGTGTAAGCATCCTCTCAAATAAATGACATAGAACATAATTTTAAGAGTTTTTAAGAATTTACAAAAATTTGTTGCAAAATTACAGGTCTTTGAGAGAATGTCACATCCATTTGTAAAACTAAGAAATACCTTGTTATTATGTAATTTGTCAATAGCATTTGCTGTGTAACAAACCACCCCAAAAATAGTGGGGTTAGAACATTAGTGGCTTTACAATTGTTTAGAAGTCTCTGATGAGCTTGGCAGTTCATCTGATCTTGTCTGATGTCACTCATGTGTCTATGGTCAGCTGCAAAGTCAGCGGGAATCTGGCTATTCTAGGATGACAACAGAGCTGGGACAACTCAACTCTGCATCTCTCCTCCTCAGGTAGGTTACCCAGATGTATGGACAGGTCATAGAAGTTTTTTTTTTTTTTTTAATACTCTAAGTTCTAGGGTACATGTGCACAACGTGCAGGTTTGTTACATATGTATACATGTGCCGTGTTGGTGTGCTGCACTCATTAACTCGTCATTTACATTAGGTATATCTCCTAAGGCTATCCCTCCCCCCCTCCCCCCACCCCATGACAGGCCCCAGTGTGTGATGTTCCCCTTCCTGTGTCCAAGTGTTCTCATTGTTCAATTCCCACCTATGAGTGAGAACATGCAGTGTTTGGTTTTTTGTCTTTGCGTTAGTTTGCTGAGAATGATGGTTTCCAGCTTCATCTGTGTCCCTACAAAGGACATGAACTCATCCTTTTTTATGGCTGCATAGTATTCCATGGTGTATATGTGCCACATTTAGTTAATCCAGTGTATCATTGATGGACATTTGCATTGGTTCCAAGTCTTTGCTATTGTGAATAGTGCCGCAGTAAACATATGTGTGCATATGTCTTTATAGCAGCATGATTTATAATCCTTTGGGTGTATACCCAATAATGGGATGGCTGGGTTAAATGGTATGTCTACTTCTAGATCCTTGAGGAATTGCCATACTGTCTTCCACAGTTGTTGAACTAGTTTACAGTCCCACCAACAGTGTAAAAGTGTTCCTATTTCTCTATGTCCTCTCCGGCACCTGTTGTTTCCTGACATTTTAATGATCACCATTCTAACTGGTGTGAGATGGTATCTCATTGTGGTTTTGATTTGCATTTCTCTGATGGCCAGTGATGATGAGCATTTTTTCATGTGTGTGTTGGCTGCATAAATGTCTTCTTTTGAGAAGTGCCTGTTCATATCCTTCGCCCACTTTTTGATGGGGTTGTTTGTTTTTTTCTTGTAAGTTTGTTTGAGTTCTTTGTAGATTCTGGATATTAGCCCTTTGTCAGATGAGTAGATTGCAAAAATTTTCTCCCATTCTGTAGGTTGCCTGTTCACTCTGATGGTAGTTTCTTTTGCTGTGCAGAAGCTCTTTAGTTTAATTAGATCCCATTTGTCAATTTTGGCTTTTGTTGCCACTGCTTTTGGTGTTTTAGACATGAAGTCCTTGCCCATGCCTATGTCCTGAATGGTATAGCCTAGGTTTTCTTCTAGGGTTTTTATGGCTTTAGGTCTGACATTTAACTCTTTAATCCATCTTGAATTAATTTTTCATATAAGGTGTAGGGAAGGGATCCAGTTTCAGATTTCTACATATGACTGGCTAGTTTTCCTAGCACCATTTATTAAATAGGGAATCCTTTCCCCATTTCTTGTTTTTGTCAGGTTTGTCAAAGATCAGATGGTTGTAGATGTGTGCTATTATTTCTGAGGGCTCTGTTCTGTTCCATTGGTCTATATCTCTGTTTTGGTACCAGTACCATGCTGTTTTGGTTACTATAGTCTTGTAGTATAGTTTGAAGTCAGGTAGCGTGATGCCTCCAGCTTTGTTCTTTTGGCTTAGGATTGTCTTGGCAATGTGGGCCCTTTTTTGGTTCCATATGAAGTTTAAAGTAGTTTTTTCCAATTCTGTGAAGAAAGTCATTGGTAGCTTGATGGGGATGGCATTGAATCTATAAATTACCTTGGGCAGTATGGGATTTTCATGATATTGATTCTTCCTATCCACGAGCATGGAATGTTCTTCCATTTGTTTCTGACCTCTTTTATTTCGTTGAACAGTGATTTGTAGTTCTCCTTGAAGAGGTCCTTCACATCCCTTGTAAGTTGGATTCCTAAGTATTTTATTCTCTTTGAAGCAATTGTGAATGGGAGTTCACTCATGATTTGGCTCTCTGTTTGTCTGTTATTGGTGTATAAGAATGCTTGTGATTTTTGCACATTGATTTTGTATCCTGAGACTTTGCTGAAGTTGCTTATCAGCTTAAGGAGATTTTGGGCTGAGACAGTGGGGTTTTCTAGATATACAATCAGGTCATCTGCAAACAGGGATAATTTGACTTCCTCTTTTCCTAATTGAATACCCTTAATTTCTTTCTCTTGCCTGATTGCCCTAGCCAGAACTTCCAACACTATGTTGAATAGGAGTGGTGAGAGAGGGCATCCCTGTCTTGTGCCAGTTTTCAAAGGGAATGCTTCCAGTTTTTGCCCATTTAGTATGATATTGGCTGTGGGTTTGTCATAAATAGCTCTTATTATTTTGAGATACATCCCATCAATACCTAGTTTATTGATTTAGCATGAAGTGCTGTTGAATTTTGTCAAAGGCCTTTTCTGCATCTGTTCAGATAATCATGTGGTTTTTATCTTTGGTTCTGTTTATATGCTGGATTACATTTACTGATTTGCGTATGTTGAACCAGCCTTGCATCCCAGGGATGAAGCCCACTTGATCATGGTGGATAAGCTTTTTGATGTGCTGCTGGATTCGGTTTGCCAGTATTTTACTGAGGATTTAGGCATCAATGTTCATCAGAGATATTGGTCTAAAATTCTCTTTTGTTGTTGTGTCTCTGTCAGACTTTGGTATCGCGATGATGCTGGCCTCATGAAATGAGTTAGGGAGGATTCCCTCTTTTTCTATTGATTGGAATAGTTTCAGAAGGAATGGTACCAGCTTCTCCTTGTACCTCTGGTAGAATTCAGCTGTGAATCAGTCTGGTCCTGGACTTTTTTTGGTTGGTAGGCTATAAATTATTGCCTTAATTTCACAGCCAGTTATTAGTCTATTCAGGGATTCAACTTCTTCCTGGTTTAGTCTTGGGAGGGTGTATGTGTCAAGGAATTTATCTATTTCTTCTAGATTTTCTAGTTTATTTGCATAGAGGTGTTTATAGTATTCTCTGATGGTATTTTGTATTTCTGTGGGATCGGTGGTGATATTCCCTTTATCATTTTTTATGGCATCTATTTGATTCTTCTCTCTTTTCTTCTTTATTAGTCTTGCTGATGGTCTATCAATTTTGTCGATCCTTTCAAAAAACCAGCTCCTGGATTCGTTGATTTTTTGAAGGGTTTTTTGTGTCTCTATTTCCTTCAGTTCTGCTCTGATCCTAGTTATTTCTTGCCTTCTGCTAGCTTTTGAATGTGTTTGCCCTTCCTTCTCTAGTTCTTTCAATTGTGATGTTAGGGTGTCAACTTTAGATTTTTCCTGCTTTCTCTTGTAGGCATTTAGTGCTGTAAATTTCCCTCTACACACTGCTTTGAATGTGTCCCAGAGATTCTGGTATGTTGTGTCTTTGTTCTCATTGGTTTCAAAGAACATCTTTATTTCTGCCTTCATTTCGTTATATACCCAGTAGTCATTCAGGAGCGGGTTGTTCAGTTTCCATGTAGTTGAGCGGTTTTGAGTGAGTTTCTTAATCCTGAGCTCTAGTTTGATTGCACTGTGGTCTGAGAGACAGGTGGTTATAATTTCTGTTCTTTTACATTTGCTGAGGAGTGCTTTACTTCCAACTATGTGGTCAATTTTGGAATAAGTGTGATGTGGTGCTGAGAAAAATGTATATTCTGTTGATTTGGGGTGGAGAGTTCTGTAGATGTCTATTAGGTCCGCTTGTTACAGAGCTGAGTTCAATTCCTGGATATCTTTGTTAACTTTCTGTCTCATTGATCTGTCTAATGTTGACAGTGGGGTTTTAAAGTCTCCCATTATTATTGTGTGGGAGTCTAAGTCTCTTTGTAGGTCACTCAGGACTTGCTTTATGAATCTGGGTGCTCCTGTATTGGGTGCATATATATTTAGAGTAGTTAGCTCTTCTCGTTGAATTGATCCCTTTACCATTACGTAATGGCCTTGTCTCTTTTGAGCTTTGTTGGTTTAAAGTCTGTTTTATCAGAGACTAGGATTGCAACCCCTGCCTTTTTTTGTTTTCCATTTGCTTGGTAGATCTTCCTTCATCCCTTTATTTTGAGCCTATGTGTGTCTCTGCCCATGAGATGGGTCTCCTCAATACAGCAACCTGATGGGTCTTGACTCTTCATCCAATTTTCCAGTCTGTGTCTTTTAATTGGAGCATTTAGCCCATTTCAATTTAAGGTTAATATTGTTATGTGTGAATTTGATCCTGTCATTATGATGTTAGCTGGTTATTTTGCTCATTAGTTGATGCGGTTTCTTCCTAGTATTGATGGTCTTAATAATTTGTCATGTTTTTGCTGTCGCTGGTACTGGTTGTTCCTTTCCATGTTTAGTGCTTCCTTCAGGAGCTCTTTTAGGGCAGGCCTGGTGGTGACAAAATCTCTCAGCATTTGCTTGTCTGTAAAGTATTTTATTTCTCCTTCACTTATGAAGCTTAGTTTGGCTGGATATGAAATTCTGGGTTGAAAATACTTTTCTTTAAGAATGTTGATTTGGCCTCCACTCTCTTCTGGCTTGTAGAGTTTCTGCCGAGAGATCCACTGTTAGTCTGATGGGCTTCACTTTGTGAGTAACCCGACCTTTCTTTCTGTCTGCCCTTAACATTTTTTCCTTCATTTCGACTTTGGTGAATCTGACAATTATGTGTCTTGGAGTTGCTCTTCTCGAGGAGTATCTTTGTGGCATTCTCTGTATTTCCTGAATTTGAATATTGGCCTGCCTTGCTAGGTTGGGGAAGTTCTCCTGGATAATATCCTGCAGAGTGTTTTCCAACTTGGTTCCATTTTCCCCGTCACTTTCAGGTACACCAATCAGACATAGATTTGGTCTTTTCACATAGTCCCATATTTCTTGGAGGCTTTGTTCCTTTCTTTTTACTCTTTTTTCTCTAAACTTCTCTTCTCGCTTCATTTCATTCATTTGTTCTTCAATCACTGATACCCTTTCTTCTAGTTGATCGAATCGGCTATTGAAGCTTGTGCATTCGTCACATAGTTCTCGTGCCATGTTTTTCAGCTCCATCAGGTCATTTAATGACTTCTCTACTTTGGTTATTCTAGTTAGCCATTAGTCTAATCTTTTTTCAAGGTTTTTATCTTCTTTGCAATGGGTTTGAACTTCCTCCTCTAGCTTGGAGAAGTTTGATCGTCTGAAGCCTTCTTCTCTCAACTCGTCAAATTCATTCTCCATCCAGCTTTGTTCTGTTGCTGGCGAGGAGCTGCATTCCTTTGGAGGGGGAGAGGTGCTCTGAGTTTTAGAATTTTCAGCTTTTCTGCTGTTTTTTCCCCATCTTTGTGGTTTTATCTACATTTGGTCTTTGATGATGGTGACATACAGATGGGGATTTGGTGTGGATGTCCTTTCTGTTTGTTAGTTTTCCTTCTAACAGTCAGGACTCTCAGCTGCAGGTCTGTTGGAGTTTGCTGGAGGTCCACTCGAGACCGTTTCCCTGGGTATCAGCAGCAGAGGCTGCAGAACAGTGAGTATTGCTGAACAGCAAATGTTGCTGCCTGATCATTCCTCTGGAAGCTTCGTCTCAGAGGGTTACTCGGCCGTGTGAGGTGTCAATCTGCCCCTACTGGAGGATGCCTCCCAGTCAGGCTACTCAGGGGTCAGGGACCCACTTGAGGAGGCAGTCTATCCATTCTCAGATCTCAAACTCCGTGCTGGGAGAACCACTACTCACTTCAAAGCTGTCAGACAGGGATGTTTAAGTCTGCAGAAGTTTCTGCTGCCTTTTGTTCAGCTATGCTTTGCCCCCCAGAGGTGGAGTCTACAGAGGCAGGCAGGCCTCCTTGAGCTGCGGTGGGCTCCACCCAGTTCGAGCTTCCTGGCCACTTTGTTTACCTACTTAAGCCTCAGCAATGGTGGGCACCCCCCCCCCCCAGCCTCGCTGCTGCCTTGCAGATCAATCTCAGACTGCGGTGCTAGCAATGAGTGAGGCTCCGTGGGCGTGGGACCCTCTGAGCCAGGCATGGGATATAATCTCCTGGGGTGCCATTTGCTCAGCTGGAAATGCAGAAATCACCCATCTTCTGTGTCGCTCACGCTGGGAGCTGTAGACTGGAGCTGTTCCTATTCAGCCATCTTGGAACCGCCCCAGGTCATAGAAGTTTTAAGAGAGAAAGTAGGAACACATGAGGCCTGTGGAGGGCTATATTCAGAATTTGCACATTACTTCTCCATGTTCTATTGATCAAAGTGGCCACAAAGCAAGCCAGATTAAAAGTGTACTGACATAGACTCCACCTCTTGACAGAAGGAAATGCAAATTTGCATTTGCAAAGGGAAATAGATACTAGGAGAAGAATAATTGCAGCCATTTTGCAAACACTCTCCCACAGGTAAGTTTAACTAAATACATGCAAAAATCAGGATCATTTAATGTATCATGAATTAACCATAAACAGTAGAAGGATCCAAGTTGACAAGTATTTGTGGATGAAACTCATGACTTATTCTTCACTTAGATTCAAGTAAGTGACTACTCTGGTGATAGTTATTTTGATAGGCAGAATAACAAAAGTCTCCCAAAGATATTTACATTCTACTCCCCAGAGCATACAAGTATGTTATCCAACATGTCAAAAGGGACGTTACAAATGTGATTAATAATCTTGAAATGCAAAGATTTTCATGAATTATCCCAGATGAAAACTGAGTCTTTATCAGAGGAACACAGGATGTCAGATTGAGAGAGTCGGAGGAGTTATGATGAAAGAAGCAAAGGCTGACATGATGCAGGGCCATGACCCAGAAAATTGATGCAGCCCTTAGGAACTGGAAAACGCAAGGAAATGGATGCTCCCCAAGGGCTTTGGACACCTGGAGTTTAACCTGTGAAATTTATTTCTGAATTTGACTTCTGGAACTCTAAGATAATAAATGTGTGCCATATTTTTTTTGTTTTGTTTTGTTTTTTGAGATGGAGTCTCGCTCTGTCACCCAGGCTGGAGTGCAGCAGTTTGATCTCGGCTCACTGCAAGCTCTGCCTCCCAGGTTTACGCCATTCTCCTGTCTCAGCCTCCCGAGTAGCTGGGACTACAGGTGCCCGCCACCTTGCCCGGCTAATTTTTTGTATTTTTAGTAGAGATGGGATTTCACCATGTTAGCCAGGATGATCTTGATCTCCTGACCTCGAGTGATCCACCTGCCTCAGCCTCCCAAAGTTCTGGGATTACAGGCGTGAGCCAACACACCTGGACTAAACGTGTGCTGTTTTAAGCCACAGTGTTTATGGCAATTTGCTATGGAAGCAATAGGAAGCTAATACAGTTACATTATAGGTCTTTTAAACATTGTTTAAAAATGGTTGGATAATATATGATTGTGGAGTTTTTCTCTATTCTTCCCTGACAAGCATATTTCCATATTTCAAAGTCAGGTCTTTGATTTTTTTCTATTTGTAGTTAGTAGTATGAATGCATATAATATTATGTAATCAAGAAACTTCAGTAAATCATAATGTCTTAGTTTTAATTCATCTGTCTTGATCTTCAGCACATAGTCACCTTAAAGATTGAATTAATCAGAAGAAGAAGTTTATTTGTTTGTTTGTTTTTTAAAAAAAGACATATTAGTCTGGGAGCGGTGGCTCACACCTGTAATCCCAGCACTTTGGGAGGCCGAGGCAGGTGGATCATGAGGTCAGGAGATCGAGACCATCCTGGCTAACACGATGCAACCACGTCTAGACTAAAAATACAAAAAAAAAATTAGCCAGGTGTGGTGGTGGGCGCCTGTGGTCCCAGCTACTTGGGAGGCTGAGGCAGGAGAATGGCATGAATCTGGGAGGTGGAGCTTGCAGTGAGCCGAGATCTGCCACTGCACTCCAGCCTGGGCGACACAGCAAGACTCCGTCTCAAAAAAAAAAAAAAAAAAAAAAAGAAAAAGAAATATTATAAAGGAACCTATGAACACAAAAAGCATGTGGGATACACTTGCTTCAATTCATATTTTCTGCTGTTGGGTGATATAGATTATGTGAAGAATGTATACAGTTTTTAAATAAAATGAACTTAACTCTGGTTGCCCAGTTTAGAATAGATGCAGTGTTTAAGTTAATTTGGAACAGAACAGGAAGGTGAAAGTTCATCCTTCTTCTTTGAAGCTTCCAGTTGCTGTCCATAGGTATTAGAGAATGAGGCCACTAAAAAGCCTCCCTAAAGAATCCTTTCAGCCTCCTGTATGTTCTCACCATTAATAAGGGGGTTGACTTTTCTATTAATTAATCTATTAATCTAATTATTCTATTCATGTCTTTTAGACTCCAAATGGTAAAGCATCTGATCATTACAGTAGATTACTTAATGATTTCCTGTGTTTTCAATGCACACTTATGATCTTCCCCCAAACCACACTCACTGATATAATCAGGTTGAGTTTACCTAATTCTCAATAAATACTGTTTCTATCATTTATTTAGGCCCCAGACTTTTGACAAAGACTATTCAAACATGAGCTGAACTGTATCAAAAATAGGAAGCACCATCACCATATACAAGTTGTACTTCCTTGGGATGCATTGATTTAATCTATTGCATAATTGGAGGCATGGAGAAAACCATGAAGAAAAATGCTAAGGGACCATGAACCTACATGTGCATCAATGATTAAATAGGACATAAATAATTAAAGATGCTATAGTTTTCAGCATATGTGAGTGTCATTCACTCCACTAATCAGAGCCTCTGGTTTTTCATTTAATGACCAATCTGTCCTCTACTTTTTAGTTCTGCATAATATCAGGCATTCAAAAGCATGGCTTACATTTTGGCTTCCACTACATAAAATCATTTCATTAGATGCTAGAATTTATCTTTGCTCCTTAAACCCAGACATGTGGGACTAGGGGATTAATTTATCTCTAATCTCAGAGCAGCAAGCAGTACTTCTTCTCAGGCAGTTACCTCTGTCAGCCCATTCTGACTCCCCATTCCCCACCCTCTCCTCTCATCAGTGTTTCTGAGGTAACTTCTGTCAAGCATGATGTATTTCTGTAAAAGCATTTAACAGGACAGAAGTTATTAGAATCTTGAAAATGATTACTGAAAAATATATGTCTACCAAACTCTCAAAAATATATAGAAAAATTAAAATGCAGCTTAATATTAGTATAGAGAAAAATAAAAAATAAGGATTATTCTCATAGGAAGAGTTTTAGAGATCTTTGAAGAAATAAAATATTTCTCCTTTGCCTGAAAAAATGGCAAATAGTTTTTTATAGAGCTGAAATGTACAGTTTGATAAAAGTGATCATTTTTGGTTAGAGAATGTATTATACAGAATAATAATTTTCTTTTCAGCATGGCATATGAGAACTTAACATTTGATGACAAAAGTTCAGCTGGAAACCTTGGCTCAGCAACTTTCTCATTGTATAAACTCAAATGACTTATTTTAACTCATTAATCCTTAGTTTTCATATCTGTAAAATAAGGAGATTAATACACCACCTAATTTTTCTGAAGACAAATAATGCAACACCTGAAGGAGAAGAGGCATTTAAGAGGCAGCACCTAATGAAATATAAAAAGTAGCACCAAGGTAGCACTACATGAATATTCCTTCTATTTTCGTTCCTCTGTTATCTCTGTAACCCACTATATGTCCTTCAGAGAAAATATTTTATCTCAGTGGACTTCTGTTTTCTCATCTATAAAGGAAGAGACTAACACTCTATGGTTTCTAAAAGTGGAAAGAAGCTTTGGGCAAAGAAGATTTTATACATCTGACAACACCTTCGTCTTGCAGCCTGCAGAGGTCCCACTGAGAAGAGCCCTCACTGAGTAATCTTTTAACATAAGTTACAATCCCATTTTGAGATGATGAGACAAAGAGCTGCAGTTTGTTCAATTATAGTTTTCAAAGCTTTATTAAAACCATAGACAGAGAGAGGACATCAAGAATACCGCGAGGATGGGCCATAATGTTTTATTTCATTTTATGCAGCTTTTTCTTTGTGGTGTAATTTGTTTTTAAAAATAATGTTAGTGTTCTTTTCACCCACTTACATGTTTGCTATTTTACTGCTTCCTGTCCAGTGTTTTATTTTAGTTAGAAAAAGAAATAGCTGGCAAAACTCCCAACTAAACATATTTGCATGGCCTTTAAGACTTTCAGAGGAAACTGCCATCTCTTCCCATTTGTTTGTGGTAGTGATATGTGCAGTCACAATATGACACTGTTAAAAAAAAAAAGCCAGTAACCATACAAGGATGTTAAGCAATATTGACTTGCCTTCCACTGGGAAAACTGCTGTCAGCTCATGGATTGGCATTCTTTGACATTTTACTCAGTAGACTAGTGAGGGTTTTTGCCCTTGTGTTATAAGAATATTGATACTAGCTCTACTGCCCCTGTTAGGAGCCCGATTCTTTTACCCAGCCTATCTTTCTTAGATGTTTATTCAACATTTCTAGTCACTGGTTGAATTAATTTAACAAATACCGTAAGTGACTATTTTTTTCCTTTCCCTGTCCTCCTATGACTGATTTTCATACTCTATCAGGTTCTTTTCAAAAATCTTCTCACAAGCAGAATAATTGTAGAAGATGCCTTCCTACATGAGCTTATCTGATGTTTTTTCATGGTTACAGATTTTTGGCAGGAATACCACAGGAGTGATGCTGTTTTGCCCTTCGCAGTACATCATATCTGGAAATACAGTAAATCAATAAGTCTGATTACTGGTGATACTGTGTGATCACTTAGGTGAGGTAATTTCTTCCAGGTTTTCCACAGTAAATGGAAGTTTATCCACCAGGAATGTTGTGGAAAATATTCCTGTGTTAACTTCTTGCAGGATGAGCTTTGGTTTGCTGGTGGACTTCCCGTGATTAGACTTAGAGACTGTCTTTGAAGTGTCATCTCCATGGCTCTTGGTGGATCCAAAGGCCCCAGTTAAAGACCAAAATTTTCCCTATTTATTCATCCTTCTAAAGGTAATGTTTTCTTTATTTCTCCCTTTAGTTTATTCTGCTTGTGAGAAGATTCTCGAAAAGAAAATGATAGAGTATGAAAATCAGTCATAGGATGACAGGGAAGGGAAAAAATATTCACTTATGGTATTTGTTAAATTAATTCAGCCAGTGAATAGAAATATTGAAGGAACATATTTATCTTATTTATCTTTTAAAACATATTTATCTTTGGAAAGACTGAGAAATTACCATGGGTCGGAAAAAACTAAAGTGGCATGAAAACTAAATGGAATGTGGAAACTTCCACCAAATCCTGGGCCAGAAAAGAGGACATCAATGGGAAAGGTGGTAAAAGTCAAATAAGGTTTAATTATTTCCTGCTTTTAAAATTGTACTATGGTTAAATAAGATATTAAGATTAGGGAACATTTATTCCTTTTGTGGGGAAATGATCCTCTGAGGACCATCTTTCTTAATTCCATGTGTTCCCCTGTCTGGTCTCCCTCATCTAAACCGGTCTCAGGGTTGATATAGCAAAGCTTTCTTTAATGGAGTTGCCCCTTTTTATTCCTCTGACTAAGTCCTTTCTCTGAACTTAGAAGTATGTAATCTTTTGTCAACTCTGAAATTCAAAATACTTAACGTAATGTGCAGGGCAGGTACTGACAGTTTGGAGTGGAGGTGGCTGTAAACAACAGGTACAGCCATCCATCCACTCTCTTCCTGGAGATCAAGCAAACTGCAGGCACCTAACCATGCCCTTGTTTATGATACATAATACAGTGTATTATGTATTTCATAATACATGGCACATAATACTCACTGTATTATATATGGGAAACAAATGGTTAACACATTTTCCTACGTGGAAAGATATTTCTTTATGTTTAATGTGTAGTGGTGAGTGAATGTTATAACTTCCAAACACCTGAAACAAATTCAAGCTCCATTAATGTTTCTCATCTACACCAACTACCAAATATGATGATTTATGGTACTTAATAGTGTACTAACTTGTTTTATGCGAATGTAAGTCATTTATTGGATGACATGAGACAAATTACTCTAAGGCATGGTAATGCAACGTAATGCATGCAGTGCTCTTTTTGCCCCATTTGTGGAACACTGTCAGGAACATACATTTAAATTAATCAACATGTTCTGATTTCAATGTCGATTAGATGTCAGATTTCTTTGTTATTAATGATACAACAATATAAAAATATTTCCATTTCTGATCACAATGATTTTATGACTTAAAATCTAATCCTTTTTCCATTTTACCTTTATTTTGAATGTTAGAAGCAATTTTTCCCTCATGTCTTGAAATATGTTCATTTGAAGTTCTCATTGAAAAGAAATTTCAAGTTATAAAAACAAGAAATAAAAACAAGAAATATAAACAAAAACCAGGAGCTCCACAGAGAAATTTTCTTTCTTTTTAATATATATGCAATGTGTGCATGGAAGCAGACACAGACACACATACCTACTGCACATATATCATTTAAAATTTCACATTTAAAGATAAAATCAAGAGGTTGCAGGTCATATGCACCAATGTCTCAAAAAATACTTATTTATCCAGCACCAGCAATTTTGTTTTCACCAACATATGTTTCAGGTCTGCCCTTTAGTTTATAGCTGTAGCCTTTTTTATAGGGCCCACAAATTTTTGAGTTTACCGTTGAATGCCTCGCCTCATGCTAACATTCGTCTGCCCTCAGGTGACTAGAGGAAGAGGCACTGTGCTACCACTAATAGCTAGCAAGTGGTAATGACTGAACACTGCGTATCTACCAGGTACTGAGCTGAAGGCCTCATGAGCGCTGCCCTCATTTAATAGTCACAATCATCATAGAAGGCAAGAACTATAATTATTCCCATTTAACAGCTATGATGTGGAGAAGTTAATTTGCCCAAGAGTACACCATTGGTAAGTAATAGAGCAGGGATTGGAATTCAAGTTGATCTCAGTCCAGAAGCCACAATATTAAAATACTGCTCTCTAGATGATCTCTGAATTTATGATGTCTGTTTCAAACAGAATCTCACAGCTGTGTTTCTGATATAAATGGATCCTGGACAGTGCCAGAAATCAAAGCAATTCTTAAACATTGAGTGTCCCCCAAACTACCACATACTCTTATTCTAAGATACACATGTTTTCATGTGTTAACATCTTTGAAACTGATATGCTTCTCATAGTCAGTGCCATTTCATAGTTTGTCAGGATTTTCCCCTTTTCTTACAGGTACATAAAATACTAAAGTTGTTTTACTTTTGATAAAATATGGCAAGAAATATAAATGTTTTGAATCATGTAAGAAAAATTATTGAACATTCACTGTGTTCCAGGAATGTACTAAACACTTTACTGACATTTTCTCTTTTAATTGTCATAACTAACCTGTGAGTTAAACTATGTAAACATCACCATATACAAATGAGAAAATATAGGCTGGGTGAACTGTTTTTGTCTTAGTTCCCACTGTCAGTTGGTGGTTGAAAAAGAAATCTAACCCAGTCAGGTGGAGTCCAGAGGCCTTACTCTTGGAGTAAGCTAGTTTTTGTATTTTGCCTATTTTGCTAACAGAGTTTAGAATAGCTAAATTGGTCTAATCTAATAAACAAGTAACTTTATGCAAAATAATTTTTACACTAACAAGAAGTTTATTTTTCTTTAAAAATCCCTCTTTTTCTCTTTCTTTCCTTTCAAATATCTCTGAATGTCTTTCTTTGGGCTCAAGTTGCACCACATGCATCTCTGCTTTCACCCCAATCCCTGAAAGAAAAAAAATTAAATAGCATGCTTTCTCTCCATATCGAATCAACCACTGTTGACTGCTTCAACTCACTTGAGTATATACCCAAGTGTGATTGCTGAATTGTATGGTAAGAGTATGTTTAGTTTGTAAGAAATTGCCAAACTGTTGTCCAAAGTCGTTGTACTCTTTTTCATTCCCCCCAGTAACAAATGAGAATTCTTATGGCTTCATATCCTTGCTATCATTTGGTGTTCTCAGTATTTCAAATTCCATTTCAAATGATTACTTAAGCATGGATGACTTCTATCTCATCTACATGGCAATCATTTGTCCCTCTGCTGGGAACATCCCTAGTTTACATACATCGCTCCATCATAATTATTAAAAATACCCCTTTCATTCTCCAAAGTGTCTGGATGATAAATTATTTCATCACCCAGCTTGAATATCCACTTGAATTATAAAGGAAAAATCACATTTCATTTTTTTCTTTCCCTCCTGGTTTTTAACAGAGTGCTAAGCATAGGGTATATAATCTTTCAGCACTTCAGGAATGGATGAATGGAAAATGCTTGTTGAAATGAGCTGGCTCCTTTCAGTGTCTACTCTTAGGTTATGTGCATTAGCATTGCATTATTTGTGCTGGGCTTCAAGGTCACCTAATTCTTCAGCCCACTCTGCCTAGAGCTGTACTCCTGCTCATCTGACAGCAGATCTTTGATAACTTGATGTTGATTGTCCCTTGCATATGGTCAGTGCAGGGTGAGTGATCTTTTCAGAGGCTTGTGCCAGCTCCTCTGGCTTGCACACCTGTCTTACCACTCTATATGCCTTACAGATGACATGGGTGAAAATGTGCAAGAAACAGATATGAAGGAATTAATGCTTCTTTCATTGGCCTTTTTTGAAAGTCTGAGACTGGATATTTTTTGAAAGTCTGAGACTAGATAATATTTTGGTAACAAGCTATGTCTGTTAGCCTTCCAAAGGACAAACTGTCTTCTTGATTCCAGTTTCCTTAGTGCATTCTTAGACCACGGCTTGAATATGCAGCTAGCTTCAGAAGCACCTTTCCTTCCCTGTTGCATTGACCCTCTGGGTAGAAGCTACCTCACGAACTGCACATCTACACTCAGGCCACAGGCCACTGCCCTCTGTAATGTGCTGAGATTTGTTGTTGTTTGACCTGTTTGTCCTACTGTAGAAAATGTTACATAATAATCAATGATAGCCCATTTCTTTTAAAATTATGAAGTGTTTCAGCCATAAAATATAAAATATGCATCTTTTTTGCAGCAGTGCCTCAAAGGTACAACAATGAGCATATTGTGACTCTCCAGTATTGAGGTCCTTTATGTACGAACTACTTATGAAGTTAAAAGATTTTTTTTTTGGCTAGCAAAATGGCTTGTGCTAATGTCCAGATTCTTCTTTTGCATAATATTTGACCCACATAACATAAGAGGTAATAAACTCAGCAGACTCAGAATTCAGAACAAATAATATATACTGCTGCATACACATACATATATACACACAACATTAAAAGTAAGCAAGCTAGAAATCCTGCAGCAAGCCGAGATCACACCACTGCACTCCAGCCTGGGCAACAGAGCGAGACTCCATCTCAAAAGAAAAAAAAAAGTAAGCAAACTAGAAATCCAGTTATTTTCTTTCTTCTTTTCTTTCCTTCCTTTTTTTTTTTTTTTAAAGAAAGGTAACCAGGGGTGATAGCATATTGCAGATTTTACTTAGTGTAATGATTTCTAGTACTCAGAGTGAAACTTTCATAGACATGCTGAATTATCCTATCTTCTTTATTATTCTTCATCACTGGATAAAAACAAGGTTTGATCCTCAAGGGTATTCAGCATCTGAGTTGCTTTTCTACTAAAATTAAAAAAAAAAGTGTAAGTGGCATTCCTATCATCTCAAAGAGAGTGAGAAATAAAGAATGAACTACTAAGAAGCACAAATCCTCTTTTCTTGTGATGCTATTGATAATAACTTAGGAGTGGTAGCTAAAGTACAGATGCTGTATAAGCAAAAATAAATCTGTACTAAATAGCTTTCATGTTTGAACGGTAAAAGTAACTGTAAAGTTACAATGAGTGTACTATAAACATTGCCATAGCAATGTGTTTTGCCTCGAGTTCTCACTGGAATTATTTGGTATATTGCTCAAAAGAGCCTGAATAGAATATATCTAATGAAATATTTTCCATTCATTATTCTCTACTGAGTGATGCTTTACCAAATGTAGAAATTCAAAACTATAAATTATTCCAAAAAATTATTCCAATTTCAGTATGGACATTACTAGTAAGTCCTCCTAGTATGAAATGATACTTTTAACAAGCAAATTTATTTCCAAAATAGATAGCCATTAAAAACAAGAGACTATCCAGTTTCCATAAAGATATGACCATTAAAGTGACTGAAGTAGAAAGATAAGAATCTTAAAGAAGAGAACTGCCTTCAGATATGATAAAATCAAACTCCCTCCAAAGTTTGGAAACCATGTTACATCCCAGACAGATGGTAGCCGAACTTCCCCTTAAATACTTGCAGTTTCAAGGAGTTCACACTTTTGCAAAGCAGTTTTTTTCTACTGTCAGTTTGCTCTCTTTCACTGAAGGTTAATCTTCATGTTGAGTAAAGTGTATCTCCTGGGAGCATCTACATTTCCAGTAAAGTTTTGGCCTTTAAAGCAACACAGGATATCTTCCATTTGTCACTATGGAAAATGACAGGCTATGTCTAACCTTGAGGGCTCAGACACAGCTTAGCAGTAGGAGGTGAGGTTGGAATACTCCTGAGTGATTTAAGAAGAGTCAGGGCCAAGCTTATATGTGACAAGGACATGATATGGCTCAGCAGGTTCAGACTAAGCAAAGACAGATATGCCCTGAAAAAAAATAAGCTGGACACTAATTAAGGAGTCTGAACTGAGTAGGTCAGTGGATATAGTTGAGTATCTTCCTTTGGAGATGTTTCAGAAATCTTTTTTTGTGTGTGGGCTCATCGGGAATACATTAGGAGATCCACTTGGGAGTTCCTGCAACTATAACAGAGACAGAAAACATTGACTGGTTTTCTTCCAAGTGTTGAAAGAAATACCTGGGTTAGGAAGTCTGAGGATTTAACAAGTGTGGGTTCCATCAGGCATGCTTTGCTGTCTTTCTTGAGTGCAGTTCATACTCTTCAGAATTGTTAGCACTCTGTGATACTGAGACAATGTGTCCCTTTTGAGGTTTTGCCTTTTCTGGTTAGGCTTCAAACCAAGGACATGGATCAGCTTTATTTGCATAAACTGATAACAAGTGTATCATTTTTTTCTTTTATAACTGCTAATTTTTTTTGAATTTTTTTCTTTATAACTTATGACAAATATATGTATATTTATTCTTTTTTTTTGAACTGATAATTATGCTTGCACAGTCTCTTCCTCCCATGACAATGATCTCTTCTGTCATTACAAACAGGTTGAAGACTAGAATTGAATGAGAAGAGGTTTCTTAAGTACTTCTGCCTCCTAGAACCATATTTTATAGGATGGCAAATAACAGAACATACCTTTTCCTCCAAACTGTCTCTCAGCACTTAGTTCTATGACATGTTGAGTCTCATAGCCCTCTTTCACCTTAATTGTGATTTATGTTGCCAAGTTTAAGAGTAATGGGAGAATAAGAACGCTGTTAAATTTAAATGAACCATTTAAATTCAGAAATTATTAAGGGTTCCATAGAACTACCATTTAAATGTTAATTTCTTTAACGCAAAAGCAAGAAAAGAGTTTGTATTTTGTCTCTTAACCAGAAAATGAATCCTTTTTATTATTAAGAATTGCTACAGTTTTCAGAGGGTAAGCTTTTTTCTCCTCTTTCTTACCCCTGAATACCTTGTGGTAGGCCTGCCCTACCAACATGTGTTTTTCTCTGTGTTAAAAGTATTTCAGGCTATGCATTCACAAATAATAGGTAGTAGCTATATTTATCAAAAGTCATGTCAACTATGCAGTTAGACAGCTGTCAACCTACAATCAGTATTGTTCAGTGAAACATCTTAGGGAGGTCTAATATTAGTCATTTAGCTCTTAGTATAAAAGGCATATGAAGTTTTCATTGAGCCATTTAATTCAGTTTCTAAGTTTGCATTTCACATTATCAGATCATAAATTCTTCAAGCCCCTGTAATTACTGAATGACTGATGCATTCAGAGATATTATATTTCTAGTGCTAGGTATGTTCCAGGAATTGTGATAAAAAATGACACCAGGTTTGTATTGCTTTTTAGTTTATAGCACGTTTAATTTCTCATCTATTATGATATAATAGTTGCTTCAAACAGCATAATCGGCTCAACTCACTTGCTGCAAATGGCTATCTTTAAATAAATGCATATTCCAATGTTCATTCTGAAAATATTTGTGTGTGTGTGTATGTATGTGTGTGTGTATGTGTATATACATATATATATATATATATATATATATATATACATATAAGTATATATATAAAATTTCTCTCCTCCAACTATTCTCATAGGGAAAGATTATATCACAATTTATCTTAGTGTTCCCACTCCTAATCAGGGTGATAGGCACAGGGGCAAGTGTGCAATGAATATTTGTTCAATAAATAAATCCTTTTTTGGCAGAGTGTGGTGGCTTACCCCTCTAATCCCAACCTAAGCACTTCGGGAGGCCTAGGCAGGAGGATCACTTGAGGCCAGGAGTTCTAGTCCAGTTTGGGCAAAACAGGAAGACCCCATCTCTACAAAATAAAAATTTAAAAAATAGCCAGTCATAGTAGGGTGTGCTTGTAGTCCCATCTACTTGAGAGGTTGAGGCTGTAAGATTGCTTGAGCCCAGGAGTTTGAGGCTATAGTAAGCTACAATGGTGCTACTGTACTGCAGCCTCAGCGACAGAGTGAGACCCTATCTCAAAAAGAAAAAAATCAGTTTTGTATCAACCCTGCACCTTTGACAATCAGGTATATAGGATTTAGAAGAATCTTGCTTGAGGTTATTTGGTTTTCTATACTATTCTTTCTTATCCAACTATGTTTGGAGTTATATATTTACTCATTTCATGTTGAAACAACTCCTCTCACATTTCTTTTAAAAATGTTTTCCTGTCCTACCTACCCTCCTTCATTATTGTGCCAACTGTAAACAATCTATCATTATTGAAATATGACCAAAACAATATTCTGTACCTCCATTTCCACCTAAAATGTAGATAGCTACTGGTCTTGATTTAAAATAGTGACCATTACAATTTCCAGCCGCCTATCATTTCACTGTTGCCATTAAAAAGAATCCTTTGCAACTCATGCTTATTCTATTGTGTCATTCAAAAGAAACGAGAGGTCATCCTCAATAATCTCTGCCTTTATAACAAATATCCAGATCAATCTGCCTTACATAACCCAATCTGCTTAGTGGTTATTCTTGATCTCCCAGATTGACATTAACACTAGTGTCCTATTTGACAGATTTGAGTCACTTTTTCAAGTGGCATCACTTTCTGTTCATGCTTGGTGCAGAATTGTTCCCTGACATGAGTGTTCTTGAATGATTACTTCCTACAAAGAAATACAATTTCATTGTTTAAGAATTTACACAGTGAACAGACTAGAGAGCAGAGGAAACATCAGCCCCGAACAATGTTTTTCATGCTTAGAACACAGCCCCAGAATCTACAAATAAATAAACCAGCAGCTGTCCACTGACCCAGCAGGCACAGTGCATCAGTCATAATACAGTCAGCAATAGCTCAAGACCCTGAGAACTTTGCTTATTTTAAATAGTCAACTCTCAGTTATTCCTGGGAATGGGAGGCAAAGGTGAGCATGGCTCATTGAGCTGAGAATATACTTTTAAAACACTCATGCTCAACATTAATTTGAAATGCTTTCCTATATAATATTATTTTTCTGGGGCTATTTTCAAGTAGGAAAACTAGCTAGTATTTTAGTTTTTCTCTGTGTTCCAGTTTACTGGTATAGATTTTCATTCTAGGGCTTACAATTAACAATTAAAGAAATAGACAAAGTCAAAATACCAGGGAAAGACAATGGGAACGGAAGAGTAAAATGAGCACCACCTTAGGTTCATCAGGCCAACTTCCAACTTAAATGATGGTAATTGTTTCCTATTGCTGCTGTAACAAAATAAATCAAACCTAGTGGCTTAAACAATACAAATTTATTATCTTACGCTTCCTGGAGGTCCAAAGTCCTACATGAATCTCACTGAAATAAAATCAAAGTGTTGGCAAGTCTGCATTTTTTTCTGGAGGCTCTAAGACTGTTAAAATTCTCTAAGGGAGATTCTTTTTCTTCATGTTTGCCAACCTTTAGAGGCCACCTAAAATCTCTGGCCCACAGCCCCCTTCTTCCATCTTCAAAGCCAGCAATAATGTGTTGAGTTCTTCTCACATAACATGACTCTGACCCCCGCTTCTACTTCCCTCTTCCATTTTTATTATCTTTGTTTATTACAGTGGGACAACCAAGATCATCTCAGCTAAACCCTTTATTGTAGAGTCATCTGATTAGCAACCTTAATTCCATCTGCAACCTTGATTTCCCTTTGCCATGTGTGGCCACATATTCATAAGTTCCAAGGAATAGGACATGGGCATCCTTGGTGGGGATGTGTGTGTGGGGGGATGGAGGCTCATTATGCCTACCACAATAATGCAATAAAGATTATGTTTCAAAGCCATGAATATGCTTTTATTTTTTCCCATATGTTATCTTTTCTTTAGTTGGCCCATAGCGTTCATCTAGCTGGAGGGGAAATTAGAAATGTTAAAGAATGTTAAAGAAAGGCTAAACAATATCCAGCTTCTAACATTCAAAAATGGAACTGTTGAAAATATGTAAATTTTTTTTCTCTCTGCCTTCAGTAGATCAATGTCCAAGGCTAGAAGAACCAGCTCAAAGAGTTCCGTCATTTTACAGAGAAGATAATCCTTTTGCCTATGGCAGAAAAGCCCTGAGGTTTGTTGCTGTAGGGCAGATTATGTAAAATGAGCGTAGTTAAAGATAAGTTGGCTATTCCTAAAACCAAGGTGAGGTTGGGAAGAAGAGAGAAGACAGAATGCAAAACCGTGGAGAGAAGGTGGCATAAAACTGACAGATGGGTTTATGGGGAGCCATAGTCATGTGTTATAAGCCAGTGAGCACCACTGAGCTCTGAAAAAGCTTAGAGAGGGCCAAGAATTTGGGTTATACCACATAAGGAGGTCCCACTATTAGGCTGTTAACACTTAGTATAAAAGGCTTATAAAGTTTTCATTGAACCATTTAATTCAGCTTCCAAGTTTGCATTAACTTTTTCACTTTACAAATTCTTCAAGCCTCCTTAAATTACTGATGACTGATGATGTATTCCAGGAGATTATATTTGCAGTTGCTAGCTGCATTCTGGGCACTGTGATCAAAGAGGACATCAGATGTATATTGCTTTTTAGTTTATAGCATAGTTTTAATTTCTTATCTTAATTTCTTATCTTTTGTGATTTAATCAATGTTTCAAGCAGCATAATTAACCCAAATCACACTGCAACTGGCTGTCTTTAAATAAATGCATATTCCAATGTTCATACTGAAAATATTTGTATGTATGTCTGATTCCCCTCCACTACTCTCATGGGGAAAGACTGTCAAAACTCACCTTGGTGTCCCCACTGCCTATCAGGGTGATAGGCACAGGAAGACTGTGCTTTGGACTGTCAGCATGTAGCAGAGGACTCCAGGGGGAGTAATTCTTGGGATACTTCATTATCTTACTACAGTTCCTTAGAATTGCCACCATTCAGTGTAACAAAGAATGAATAAAGTTTGCCTCACTTCTCAAACACTGGAGATTACTATATAATCTTTGTAAATACTTTCTATCGCTGATACTCAAAGACTGATCCCCAACCAGCAGCCTCAGCCTCACCTGTGAATTTTTTAGAAATACAAATTTGGGGCTTCCACCAAGACCCGCTGAATTGGGAACTCTGGGGAAGGGTGAGCAATCTGTGTTTGAACAAGCCCTCCAGATGATTCTAATGCATGCTAAAATTGAGCACCACTGATCTTTAATAATCCTGAACTTAGACCAGATATGTTTTCCACTTGAACATATCACCTTGAGAAATGAGAGCTATGGTCCTTAATAATATAGTGTGTTGGAGATGCTTCCCTATGTACCTACTGTCCTAAAAATCCCCACCTTCAGTCACGTTGATAAGAATTCTGAAAAGCAAAGATTTCAGGGATTTAAATTTGTCCTTCCAAGATACCTCTGAAGAACTCTAGTAGAAAGCCTTAATTAGCCTCTACTTGTTTCTCCTTTTAGGTTGACAGGTGTCTGTACCAAAAGTTGTAGTATTGTGAGTGGATCTTTATAGTGGTATATTATAGTAGTTATCGGACTATAGTGATTATAATATTGTTGCAGTATTAATGGGGAATATTTATGGCCACTTATTTCTTAAAGGGTCAGTACTTTTTTTTTCCTTATTCCATATTTGATAGTATTTTATCAAAACTTACCTTCAAAACTCTGTTTTGTTCTTTAATTTCTTATGCTGTTCTTGCTACTTTCTGGAAAAGATATGAAGAATTGGATATACTTGGAGATGTGCTTGTTTGTTTCCTCTGCCTTTTTACTTTTGGCTTCGTAAGATGACTTCATCAGTTATTTAAGAAATCTGCATTCACGCTTTTGACAGGAATAAATGATTCTCTGTCTTGGCACAGGAATATTTAAAAATATATGTAGATAGCTCATCTTCACCTAAGATCAGATTACATCAGAATAGTTAGAGGTTGGGATACAGAGAGTTACTGTAATTTAACGTTTCTAAATGACAATGTATAGCTAGGATTCAGAATCACTGACCTGGGTTGTCTGTCAGCTCCAAATTCTTTTGAGTATAGTTTCGGAGCTCTTGTCCCATTCTTTAATATGTTGCCCATGGAAATGTTCTAGATCTGGGTGAGACATTGGCAATATGAGTGAGATCTAGATTATGTTTAACATAAGGCACTTCCATTTATTTTTAATGGGATGCATAGTAGCACCCCATGTTTTCTTATGGGATAAATGTCAGACGTCACAGTGATCTGGCCACAACATCAAACATATGATTTACCACCAGACTTGAAGCTAATTAGCTGGCCCAGATTCCCCTCCTCCCTGACTGTTAATAGGCAACTTTTCTGAAACAGCGTGTTAATGACAAAGGAACATTTTCTTCTTGATTGTTGTTGATAGTATCCTATTATATCTACTAGTGAGAATGGAAGTCAATTGAAGACATCTTGGGTTTCTCTTTATAACATATATTTCAATAGACTCATGGAAGACTCATAATAGGTGCTCAATAAATTGTTGAATATGCCTCTATTGAAATTTGAGATGTAGAAACTTGATTGTATGATAGTAATTTTGCATGTATTGTTTTATGTTGGATTGATCGGTTTTGAAATTGAAATATAAAAAAATTTCCTGATTGACACTAATATAATTATCTGATTATTTTGGTAATTCACTTTAACTCCTAAATGTCAGTTTCTGTATCTCTAAAATGAGGAGCAAAAATAATTGCAGTTGAAATTCTGCTTTTTTCCTGCTATTTTCTCTTTTCTTCCACTCTAGACTTTATAAACAGAGTTGTATTATTTCAGAACATTCCCACTGAAAAAAGACGTAAATTTGAATGAATTGTGTGTTTTGAGAGTAGTTAGCTGTGTTACTTTGTTATCAGTTGCCTATGCTCTTGGACCTCAATTTCCTTAGTTTTTATGTACAAATATGATTGCTAATTCCAGAATCCCAAGTGGGTTTGGGCAGTAGGACACAGCCAGCATCAGATACAATGCAATATTTCTTTGTCAGGGAGAAAAAGGCAAATTGCAGGACATGTCATGAGCTCAATGAAGAGAACTAAAATTCAGAAAATAGCTGGAGACTGAAAAAGAAGATTTTGGAACAAAGAGAGAAATAAGATTAGTGTAGGTCGATAGATTATATTATAATATGAAGACTAAACAAAGGCCCTCGTACTTGCAATTGTAATGCAGTGAGACCTGGAAACAGACATGAATGTTTAAGATTTTGCTTCAGATGTGCCTCTTATTTTGAAGTGGTTAATTTGCATACAGTGAGATGTACACATTTCATGTGTGCAGCTCTGTTGGATTTTACATATTTATATGTCAATTGACTCATGTGAGCATCTCTTAGAGCAAAATTTTGTCTCAAGACCTTCCCTCAAGCTCCTTCCAGCCAATAGCACCTTACCCATAGGTAACAACTACTCTTCTATCATAACAGATTAGATTTCCAGCACCACTTTTAAACTTTATTTGAGTCATACAGTATATTAAATATATTCTTTTGTGTCTATTTTTTCACTTAACATATTTTGGAGGAGCTTTTCCATGTTACTGTGTATAAAAGTAGTTTGTATGCTTTTATTGCTGAGTAGTTTGCCATTGTATAAGTATATAATAATTTGCTTAACCATTCTTTTGTGGGTGTGTATTTGAGTTGTTTTCATTGTTTTACTACTTTATTCAATTTTTGAATAAAACTGCTATGAATATTTTTACACATGAACTTTTGTGGACATATGCATTATTTCTCTTGGATAGAAGTATAATTACTGACACAATTCCTTGCTTATGTTTAGCTTTAACTGATTAATACAAGTAGTTCTCCAAAGTGATTGAACTAATTTACATTTCCATCATCAGTGGGTGAAAGTCTAGTTAATGTCTCTGACATTATTTATATGTGTATTTTTAATTTTAGCCATCCTAGTGGATGTGTAATATTCTTATTTTGGTTTTAATTTCATTTCCTTAGTAACTAATGATGTTAACCACTTTGTCAATGTTTATCGCACATATGGATATCTTCTTTTATGTATCACTTGTTCAAATCTTTTGTCCATCATATTAAATTGGTTTTTGTATTTTTCTGGATTTGTTGGGTATATAGATGCTAGATATGAGTCATTTCCCAGATTATCATCTTCCTGTTTGTGACTTACATGTATACACACTCTCTCTCTCTCTCTTTTTTTTTTTTTTAATTGAGACAGTGTCTTCCTCTGTCTCCCAAACTGGAGTGCAGTGACTCAATCACAGCTCACTGCAGTCTTAACTTCCAGGGCTCAAGCAGTCCTCCCTCCTCAGTCCCCCAAGTAGCTGGGGCTACAGATGCAAGCCACCACACCTTTTTGTTTATTTATTTTGTAAAGACAAGGTCTTACTATATTGCCCAGGCTGGTCTTGAAATCTTGGGCTCAAGCAATCCTCCCACCTCAGCTGAACGAAAGTGCTTGGATTACAGGTATGAGCCATGGCATCCAGCCCATACGCTCTCTTAATATATTTTTTGCTCATCAGAAGTGTTTTGTTTTAATAAGTCTAATTTATAAATGTTACTATAATGTTCTGTGTAAGAAATACTTGCTTACTCCGGTATTATAATAATATTTCTATATTTTCTTTTAGAATCTTTACTATTTTTCACATTTAGTTCTGGTAGTTCAATTTAAACTTTTTGTGTGTCTGGTGTGAGGTAGGGATCCAGATTTTGTTTCCATATGTGTAGTATCTATTTGCTGCAACACCACCGCTTGAAAAGACCAACCACAGCCCCTGACATACACTGCATTGCCATGACATGTTTGTCAAAAATAAGTTTACCTCTATATCTGGATCTATTTTTGAACCAACTATTCTATTCATTTGGTCTGTTTGTCCATTTGGAAACCAATATCGCACTATCTTCATTATTGTAGCTTTGTAATAAATATTAAAACCTGGTGAACTTCCTCAACCCTAGTTCTTCTTCAGGATTGTCTTGGCTGTATTTATTCCTTCCTGTTTGCATTTAACTTTATAAAATTATTTTGTTAATCTACACACACACACACACACATACACACACACACACAAACATGCACCTTCTGGAATTTTAATTGGAATAAATTAAACTTATATATCAATTTTTTTTTTTTTGAGACAGAGACTTGCTCTGTCGCCCAGGCTGGAGTGCAATGGCGTGATCTTGGCTCATTGCAAGCTCCACCTCCCGGGTTCACACCATTCTTCTGCCTCAGCCTCCCGAGTAGCTGGGACTACAGGGGCCCACCACCATGCCTGGCTAATTTTATGTTTTTTTAGTAGAGATGGGGTTTTGCCGTGTTAGCCAGGATGATCTCGATCTCCTGACCTCGTGATCCACCCCGTCTCGGCCTCCCAAAGTGCTGGGATTATAGGCATGAGCCACTGTGCCCGGCCAACTTATATATCAATTTAAGAGGAATTTACATCTCAAAATATTAAATCTCTTAATTCTTTAACATAAAATGTCTCTAGCCAAGATCGTGCCACTGCACTCCAGCCTGGGCGACAGAGTGAGACTCCTCTCAAAAAAAAAAAATTGATATATAAGTTTAATTCATTCCAATTAAAATTCCAGAAGGTGCATGTTTGTGTGTGTGTGTGTAGATTAACAAAATAATTCTATAAAGTTAAATGCAAACAGGAAGGAATAAATATAGCCAAGACAATCCTGAAGAAGAACTAGGGTTGAGGAAGTTAACCAGATTTTACTATTTATTACAAAGCTACAATAATGAAGATAGTGTGATATTTGGGTCTTTTAAGGTTTTCCTAATACTATTTTATATTTTTAATGTAGAAATCTAATATATAATTTATTCTCTGATATTTGCTATTTCTTGTTGTTGACTATTCCAGTGTTGTTTTGAAGATGTAAGCCCATTTGTTAAAAATGGAAGGACACACGTTAAAAAAAAATCAGAAACAAAATGCAGGTTAGTTGAGGAAGATTTGAGAATTACAGGAGTGTGAGGATAGACCTTAAAGTGACCTCCAATATTTCCTACCTTCTAGTATTCAAGCCATTGAGTAAGGGTGGGGCCTTCTTCTAACCAATAGAACATGGTAAAAGTGAATGACATCATTCCATTGCTTATGTTATATTGCATAAAAGTCCATTTTGTTTAGGAAAAAATCAACAGCAAAAAAAAAAAAAAAAAAACAAAACTAGGGTCTCTCTCTCTTGCTTGCTTTGAAGAAGCAAGCTACCATAATTATATGCCACACTGGAGAAGCCCATGTAGCAAGGAACTGAAGGGAGCAGCTTCAAAAAGCTGAGGATGACCTCCAACAATAAACTGAAACCTTCAGTCCTTCAGCTGCAAGAAAGGGAATCCCACCAAAAACCTAAGGGAACTTTGGACATGGCTCTTTTCCCTAGTGAGCCTCTGATAAGAATGCACTCATAGCTGACACCCCAAGTGCAGCCTATTGAGACCCTGAAGCAGAGAACATGGTTAAGCTATGCCCAGGCTTCTGACCTATAGAAACTGTGAGGTAATAAATGTGTGTTACTTTAAGCTGCTAATTTTGTGGCAATTTGTTACCTATGAACATAAAATGTACACAAGGCACATACAAATAAAACATAAACATTAATTTAGTCCTCTATAAGATCCTCTAGCTTTGCCACCTATGGACACACCTCTGCCACTTTCCTCTCAAAAATGTACAATCAGGCTGGGTGTGGTGGCTCACACCTGTAAACCCAACTCCTTGGGAGGCTGATGTGGGCAAATCACTTGAGGTCAGGAGACCAGCCTGGCCAGCACGGAGAAGCACTGTCTCTACTAAAAATAAAAAAAAAATTTTTTAAAAAAGAAAAATAATTAACTAGTTGTGGTGGCACACACCTGTAGTCTCAGCTAGTCGGGAAGCTATGTGAGGAGAATGGCTTGAACCCAGGAGGTGGAGGTTGCAGTGAGCTGAGATTGTGCCAGTGCTCTCCAGCCTGGGCGACAGAGGGCGACTCCTTCTCAGAAAAAAAAAAAGCACAATGTGTGTGTAGATGCTTCGACAGTCAGCATTTATTAAATACTTTCAGAGGAGTTCTATTATAATTGGGTACATTGATGATCCTGAAGCTGTGATTGTGCTAATGAAGTTTTTGAAATTTATTATGGTATGTTAAGAAATGTCTAATAGATGGTAGCAGCAACTATTCTATACAGGGAACAGGTCTGTGATGTGGGAAAATGATGAATATCTAATGTTATAAAAATGCAATATTTAAAACCATATCTAAAAATATTTTTAACCATATAAAAGAGACTAATAGGCCAGTAGATAAATTTGAGATAGAAGTACAGATAGCTAGAAAGAGGGATGGATGGACTGGAAAAAGTAGTCTTACATTTGTTTTTGTTTTTGTTTTTTTATACTTTAAGTTCTAGGGTACATGTGCACAACGTGCACGTTTGTTACATATGTATGCATGTGCCATGTTGGTATGCTGCACCCATTAACTCATCATTTACAGTAGGTATATCTCCTAATGTTATTGCTACCCCCCTCCCCACTCCATGATAGGCCCTGGTGTGTGATGTTCCCCTTCCTGTGTCCATGTGTTCTCATTCTTCAATTCCCACCTATGATTGAGAACATACAGTGTTTGGTTTTTTGTGCCTGTGATAGTTTGCTGAGAATGATGGTTTCCAGCTTCATCCATGTCCCTACAAAGGACATGAACTCATCCTTTTTTGTGGCTGCATAGTATTCCATGGTGTATATGTGCCACATTTTATTAATCCAGTATATCATTGATGGACATTTGGGTTGGTTAAAAGTCTTTGCTGTTGTGAATAGTGCCGCAATAAACATACGTGAGCATGTGTCTTTAGAGCAGCATGATTTGTAATCATTTGGGTATATACCCAGTAATGGGATGGCTGGGTCAACTGATATTTCTAGTTCTAGATCCTTGAGGAATCGCCATACTGTCTTCCAAATGGTTGAACCAGTTTGCAGTCCCACCAACAGTGTAAAAGTGTTCCTATTTCTCCACATCCTCTCCAGCACCTGTTGTTTCCTGACTTTTTAATGATTGCCATTCTAACTGGTGTGAGATGGTTGTCTCATTGTAGTTTTATTTGCATTTCTCTGATGGCCAGTGATGATGAGCATTTTTTCATGTGTCTGTTGGCTGCATAAATGTCTTCTTTTGAGAAGTGTCTGTTCATATCCTTCGCCCACTTTTTGATGGGGTTGTTTGTTTTTTTCTTGTAAATTTGTTTGAGTTCTTTGTAGATTCTGGATATTAGCCCTTTGTCAGATGAGTAGATTGCAAAAATTTTCTCCCATTCTGTAGGTTGCCTGTTCACTCTGATGGTAGTTTCTTTTACTGTGCAGAAGCTCTTTAGTTTAATTAGATCCCATTTGTCAATTTTGGCTTTTGTTGCTACTGCTTTTGGTGTTTTAGACATGAAGTCCTTGCCCATGCCTATGTCCTGAATGGTATTGCCTGGGTTTTCTTCTAGGGTTTTCATAGCTTTAGGTCTAACATTTAAGTCTATAATCCATCTTGAATTAATTTTTGTATAAGGTGTAAGGAAGGGATCCAGTTTCAGATTTCTACATATGGCTAGCCAGTTGTCCCAGAACCATTTATTAAATAGGGAATCCTTTCCCCATTGCTTGTTTTTGTCAGGTTTGTCAAAGATCAGATGGTTGTAGATGTGTGGTATTACTTCTGAGGGCTCTGTTCTGTTCCATTGATCTATATCTCTGTTTTGGTACCAGTACCATGCTGTTTTGGTTACTGTAGCCTTGTAGTATGGTTTGAAGTCAGGTAGCATGATGCCTCCAGCCTTGTTCTTTTGGCTTAGGATTGTCTTGGCAATGTGGGCCCTTTTTTGGTTCCATATGGACTTTAAAGTAGTTTTTTCCAATTCTGTGAAGAAAGTTATTGGTAGCTTAATGAGGATGGCATTAAATCTATAAATTACCTTGGGGAGTATGGCCATTTTCAAGATATTGATTGTTCCTATCCATGAGCATGGAATGTTCTTCCATTTGTTTGTGTCCTGTTTTATTTCTTTCTCCTGCCTGATTGCCCTGGCCAGAACTTCCAACTATGCTGAATAGGAGTGGTGAGAGAGGGCATCCCTATCCTGTGCCAGTTTCAAAGGGAATGCTTCCAGTTTTTTCCCATTCCGTATGATATTGGCTGTGGGTTTGTCATACATAGCTCTTATTATTTTGAGATACGTCCATCAACACCTAATTTATTGAGATTTTTAGCATGAAGGGCTACTGAATTTTGTCAAAGGCCTTTTCTGCATCTATTGAGATAATCATGTGGTTTTGGTCTTTGGTTCTGTTTATATGCTGGATTACATTTATTTATTTGTGTATGTTGAACCTTGCACCAGCCTTGCATCCCAGGGATGAAGCCGACTTGGTCATGGTGGATAAGGTTTTTGATGTGCTGCTGGATTTGGTTTGCCAGTATTTTTTTGAGGATTTTTGCATCGATGTTCCTCAGGGATATTGGTCTAAAATTCTCTTTTTTTGTTGTGTCTCTGTCAGACTTTGGTATCAGGATGATGCTGGCCTCATAAAATGAGTTAGGGAGGATTCCCTCTTTTTCTATTGATTGGAATAGTTTCAGAAGGAATCGTACCAGCTCCTCCTTGTACCTCTGGTAGAATTTGGCTGTGAATCCATCTGGTCCTGGACATTTTTTGGTTAGTAAGCTATTAATTATTGCCTCAATTTCAGAGCCTGTTATTGGTCCATTCAGAGATTCAACTTATTCCTGGTTTAGTGTTGGGAGGGTGTATGTGTTGAGGAATTTATCCATTTCTTCTAGATTTTCTAGTTTATTTGTATAGAGGTGTTTATAGTATTCTCTGATGGTATTTTGTATTTCTGTGGGATCGGTGGTGATATCCCCTTTATCATTTTTTATTGGGTCTATTTGAATCTTCTCTCTTTTCTTGTTTATTAGCTTGCTAGTGGTCTATCAATTTTGTTGATCTTTTCAAAAAACCAGCTCCTGGATTCATTGATTTTTTGAAGGGTTTTTTGTGTCTCTGTCTCCTTCAGTTCTGCTCCGATCTTAGTTATTTCTTGCCTTCTGCTAGCTTTTGAATGTGTTTGCTCTTGCTTTTCTAGTTCTTTTAGTTGTGATGTTAGGGTGTCGATTTTAGATCTTTCCTGCTTTCTCTTGTGGGCATTTAGTGCTGTAAATTTCCCTCTACACACTGCTTTATCTGAGTCCCAGAAATTCTGGTTTGTTGTGTCTTTGTTCTTGTTGGTTTCAAAGAACACCTTTATTTCTGCCTTCATTTCGTTATGTACCCAGTAGTCATTCAGGAGCAGGTTGTTCAGTTTCCATGTAGCTGAGTGGTTTTGAGTGAGTTTCTTAATCCTGAGCTCTAGTTTGATTGCACTGTGGTCTGAGAGACAGTTGATTATAATTTCTGTTCTTTTACATTTGCTGAGGAGTGCTTTACTTCCAACTATGTGGTCAATTTTGGAATAAGTGTGGTATGGTGCTGAGAAGAATGTATATTCTGTTGATTTGGGGTAGAAAGTTCTGTAGATGTCTATTAGGTCTGCTTGATGCAGAGCTGAGTTTAATTCCTGGATATCCTTGTTAACTTTCTGTCTCGTTGATCTGTCTAATGTTGACAGTGGGGTTTTAAAGTCTCCCATTATTATTGTGTGGGAGTCTAAGTCTCTTTGTAGGTCTCTAAGGAATTGCTTTATGAATCTGGGTGCTCCTGTATTGGGTGCATATATATTTAGGATAGTTAGCTCTTGTTGAATGGATCCCTTTACCATTATGTAATGGCCTCTTTTGTCTCTTTTGATCTTTGTTGGTTTAAAGTCTGTTTTATCCAAGACTAGGATTGCAACCCCTGCCTTTTTATGTTTTCCATTTGCTTGGTAGATCTTCCTCCATCCCTTTATTTTGAGCCTATTGTGTCTCTGCACATGAGGTGGGTCTCCTGAATACAGCACACTGATGGATCTTGACTCTTTATCCAATTTGCCAGTCTATGTCTTTCAATTGGAGCATTTAGCCCATTTCAATTTAAGGTTAATATAGTTATGTGTGAATTTGATCCTGTCATTATAATGTTAGCTGGTTATTTTGCTCATTAATTGATGCAGTTTCTTCCTAGCATCGATGGTCTTTACAATTTGGCATGTTTTTGCAGTGGCTGGTACTGGTTGTTCCTTTCCATGTTTAGTGCTTCCTTCAGGAGCTCTTTTAGGGCAGGCCTGGTGGTGACAAAATCTCTCAGCATTTGCTTGTCTGTAAAGTATTTTATTTCTCCTTCACTTATGAAGCTTAGTTTGGCTTGATATGAAATTCTGGGTTGAAAATTCTTTTCTTGGGCTGGGCACGGTGACTCAGCCTGTAATCCCAGCACTTTGGGAGGCTGAGGCGGGCGGATCACAAGGTCAGGAGATCAAGACCATCCTGGCTAACACAGTGAAACCCCGTCTCTACTAAAAATACAAAAAATTAGCTGGGCGTGGTGGTGGCCTCCTGTAGTCCCAGCTACTCGGGAGGCTGGGGCAGGAGAATGGCGTGAACCCAGGAGGTGGAGCTTTCAGTGAGCCGAGATCACGCCACTGCACTCTGGCCTGGGCGAAAGAGCAAGACTCCATCACAAAAAAAAAAAAAAAAAAACAAAAAACAAAAACAAAAAACAAAACAAAAAAAAAACAAAGAAAATTCATTCCTTTAAGAACGTTGAATATTGGCCCCCACTCTCTTCTGGCTTGTAGAGTTTCTGCTGAGACATCTGCTGTTAGTCTGATAGGCTTCCCTTTGTGGGTAACCCGACCTTTCTCTCTGCCTGCCCTTCACATTTTTTCCTTCATTTCCACCTTGGTGAATCTGACAATTATGTGTCTTGGAGTTGCTTTTCTTGAGGAGAATCTTTGTGGTGTTCTCTGTATTTCCTGAATTTGAATGTTGGTCTGCCTTTCTAGATTGGGGAAGTTCTCCTGGATAATATCCTGCAGAGTGTTTTCCAACTTGGTTCCATTCTCCCTGTCACTTTCAGGTACACCAGTCAGACTTAGATTTTTTCTTTCACCTAATCCAATATTTCTTGGAGGCTTTGTTTGTTTCTTTTTATTCTTTTTTCTCTAAACTTCTCTTCTCAGTTCATTTCCTTCATTTGATCTTCAATCACTGATACCCTTTCTTCCAGTTGATCGAATCAGCTACTTAAGCTTGTGCATTCATCACGTAGTTCTCATGCCATGGTTTTCAGCTCTATCATGTCATTTAATGACTTCTCTTCACTGGTTATTCTAGTTAGCCATTCATCTAATCTTTTTTCAAGGTTTTTAGCCTCTTTGCGATGGGTTTGAACTTCCTCCTTTAGCTTGGAGAAGTTTGATCGTCTGAAGCCTTCTTCTCTCAACTCTTCAAAGTCATTCTCCATCCAGCTTTGTTCTGTTGCTGGCGAGGAGCTGTGTTCCTTTGGAGGTGGAGAGTCACTCTGATTTTTAGAATTTTCAGCTTTTCTGCTCTGTTTTTCCCCCATCTTTGTAGTTTTATCTACCTTTGGTCTTTGATGGTGGTGGCGTACAGATGGGGTTTTGGTGTGGATATCCTTTCTGTTTGTTAGTTTTCCTTCTAACAGTCAGGACCCTCAGCTGCAGGTCTGTTGGAGTTTGCTGGAGGTCCACTTCAGACCCTGTTTGCCTGTGTATCAGAAGTGGAGGCTGCAGAACAGTGAATATTGCTGAACAGCAAATGTTGCTGCCTGGTCATTCCTCTAGAAGCTTCATCTCAGAGGGGTACCTGGCCATGTGGGGTGTCAGTCTGCCCCTACTTGGGGGTGCCTCCCTGTTAGGCTACTCGGGGGTCAGGGACCCACTTGAGGAGGCAGTCTGTCTGATCTCAGATCTCCAGCTTCGTGCTGGGAGAACCACTACTCTCTTCAAAGCTCTCAGACAGAGACATTTAAGTCTGCAGAGGTTTCGCTGCCTTTTGCTTGGCTCTGCCTTGCCCCGAGAGGTGGAGTCTACAGAGGCAGGCAGGCCTCCTTGAGCTGTGGTGGGCTCCACTCAGTTCGAGCTTCCCAGCCACTTTGTTTACCTACTCAAGCCTCATCAATGGCGGGCACCCCTCCCCCAGCCTCACTGCCGCCTTGCAGTTCAATCTCAGATTGCTGTGCGAGCAATGAGTGAGGCTTCATGACTGTGGGACTGTCCAAGCCATGCATGGGATATAATCTCCTGGTGTGCCATTTGCTAAGACCATCGGAAAAGCACGGTATTAGGCTGGGAGTGACCTGATTTTCCAGGTGCCATCTGTCACAGCTTCCCTTGGCTAGGAAAGGAAATTCCCTGACCCCTTGCACTTCCCAGGTAAGGCGATGCCTCGCCCTGCTTTGGCTCACGCTCAGTGGGCTATATCCACTGTCCTGCACCCACTGTCCGACAAGCCCCAGTGAGATGAACCCAGTACCTCAGTTGGAAATACAGAAATCACCCATCTTCTGCATCACTCACACTGGGAGCTGTAGACTGGAGCTGTTCCTAATTGGCCATCTTGGAACCGCCCCTGCCAGCCTATCATTCTTAAATGTTAATAATTTTATGTCTAAGTGTTGAATATTATAATATTTTAATGATTTCTCTATATTATTCCTTAATGATGATTTTTTCAGAAGTTTCTACATATGTTTCTTCTATCCAACTATAAAATATTTGAAAAAGAAATGATCAACAGAACAACTGTTCTATAAAAAGAAGAAATATTGAAAATGTGTTAAATTACTTGAAGACAGTTTTGTATCTTACTTTGAGCAGAGAATTCTGACAAATATTTTTACATTTTCATACAAATCTTTAATAGGAGATACCAATTATATGGCACAAGCTAACTGATAAAGTTACAATAAAGAAACAGCAATATAACGTATTTATCTGGTTCTGCTCTCCATCTTCTCTGTGAAAATTCTAACCTCTCAAGTTCCTTCCAGTTATTCTGCCATTTTCCAGAATAATATATTCATTCTACTCAATAGTCAGTAGTAAGCACTACCATCCTCACCTTTCTGTATCTATGTCAGTACATGAAGTGACCAATATGACCACAAAACTGTCACAAGCACCTATGCCCTGGCAAAGTTTCTAATGTTGCCATAGGCCCATGGAGGCACGAAAACCATGCCACATCCCTCTGTTCTACATGTAACTACCCTGACTCAGTTCAGGCTTTAAAAAATATTGACCCTGTGGGCATTTTGATATCTTAGAATAAGTTTAGCCTTGGAGTCAAGCAAAGACATCGTAATAATATTGTCTTAATTTTGTGTAGCCCACATGCTTTCATAGGTATTACTTCTCTTTATTTTCATGAAAAACTTCAATAGGCCCAAAATACATTGCCTAATGTTATTTGTTCCATGTCATATATAGGCAAAATGAGGTCATTTGCAACTGCGGGCAGTCCAAGCACACAAGTGTTAGTGGCAGTGCCAGACTTCAAATTAGCCACCAAGTCCAAGACTGTATGTTATGCTCCTTCCATAAAAAATATTGTGCAATCAAACCACAGCATCAAATTTTATGTATCATTTAAAGACCATTGTTATTATCCATATTTCATAAGTTTGTACTGATAAACAATTACCAAGAGTAGGCAGAAAATGTTAAAATCATTGCTTTTAAAATATGGTATTTTCATCAAAAATTTCTGTTTTTCACATACTTGTATTAGAAAAGAAATATCAGTATGAGGTTTTTTTTTAAATACAAAATAAAAGCCTTGAAGAGAGACTGTTTTGAATTTTAAACTCTACAGCATCAACCAAATTGCTGCCATAAGTGTTAAAAATAATTAACAACATCAAAATATTATAAATTAAATTGAATTTCTCAAACAGCATCTCTTGTTGTTAGTAATGAAAACATCAAAATATACATGAATCATCAGAAGTTATATTCCAGGAGAGATGAATAAAATTAAATCCCACTTTCATTAAATTTAAATTTAATACCATTAAATACAAACAAATGCCTATCAGATAGGACAATTAATACCTCCATTGAAATATTTCTATGGGAAACTTTGTTTCTTTTGTTATTCACAATAAAAACATTTTCTCTTTAGGATTCATGTAAGAAAAGTAAGAAAAAGGTACTAACTATAAATCATTATCATAGGCCTAATAATATAATAGAAATATTTGTACCTTTTTATCTTCATTTATTTTAAAGCAAAAATAGATAATATATAATCCATTTTTAATTTTAAATATAATTCTAAACAAACATTTACAAGATAGCCAAAGCATTGAAAGGTGAAACACTTTTTGGGGACTATCATGAAATGGCTCTGCTCTCTCTTTGCTTTCTCCTTGTTCTGAGCAGAGGATTCTTTTGTCTCCACTTTAAAATATCACTGTCTTCAGAAGATCCAGCAAGGTATGAAAGTAGTTGGCATTTAGAGGTTTTGTTCATCATATCACCACTCGTCTTCATATACATTTTACTTCATGTGGCAAACAATGCCTTTCTACTTCAATTCATGTTAGTGTACATGGAATTCCACTCCACCTCTGCAGAGGGGCATGGGACTGAAGTCAGGGCAAAAAGAGCATGATTGTCTCATGTCACACTGACTGGCCAGTGGTGGGCATATGATTGGCCTTAGCCAGGCCAATAAGAATGATATATGCCCTGTATGGAAGCAATTCAAATTAAATTTTTTGAAAATCTTTCATTGAGTCTCTTCCTTTTCACTTTTTCACCAGTTGTTCCCCCAAGAGAAGGGCTGGATCATAGATGTAATTTTTAGCCTAGGCTTTTTTGTCAAGATGATTTTCCTCTAGAGTACAGACTCTTGTTCCATAGTGGGTTTGATTTCATGTCTGCTTCAATTATTTCTACTCCAAAAATACTCCTTAGCAGGCATCCTCACACATAAATATCTTGATGTGTATAATTGAGCAAAATAGCAAATAATGAAAAGTGAAATATGGATGCTGGCAGCCTTTTCTCTTTGACCCTCTGAATTGTTTCCCAACAGAAAGGTGAATAATTGGTACAATGAAGGATAGCCTGGAACTTACTAACTTTCTAAGCCAGATGTTTGTCTTTGATTTTCTTTACAAGGTTTTTCCAGTTCATTGAATGTAATCTGTTAGTATTTTTTCTTCAAATTAATGTATACTGTTAATGATTATTTAAAACGTGTATTTTTAGAAAACTGTCATTAGTCCATTCATTTTTCCTAAGAGAAAAGAAGCAATTATGGTTTGTTATGTATTTGGTTGTATCTCCAAAGAAAATAATTCTGCCTCCTGTTCGTAAGTTGCCTCATAGAAGTCAACTTGTGATGAAAACCTGGGAATCTAAAAATATGTGCTTCATGTCTTAGCCAGTGATAACAGCTGCCAGTACCATAGGCATTGTGAAATCTGGAATAGTTACTATGTTACATTTCTTCTCAAAAATAGATCCCTCTTGGGAGAAATATTGGAAGTTAATATTCATGTCATAGCAGATGAGAGCCCAAGAGGTGCCTTTAATAATCAATTTCAAGTTATAAGATCAAAACTCAATCTAACTTAAGAAAAACAGAGTTCATGTGTTCATGTAACTGGGATCAATAATAATATTAACATTTAGGTACATAATTCAATATATGCTAGGCATGTTTCTAAGTGCTTTTTATGTTTTAACTCATTTTATCTTCACAAAATCCCTATGACCTAGGTGTTATTACTAAAATCATCATTATTCCATTTTTAGTGTTGAAGAAATCAAACCATAAAGACATTAAGTAAAATAAATGGGGCCACATCTATTGACAGAGCTGGGGTTTGATTGCAGATTGGCTATAGAGATCATGTACCGAATCTTCAGGCAAAAGTGATTCAAATGCTGCTGGTTCCTGAGGTATCTTCCAGAAAGCCCTGTGGGAAGTACAACCAAAATATTGACAGCAGGACTCTTTTGGTTTATCTTGTCAACTCTGCTTGTGTTTGCTTCTCTTGGTTTGTTGATCACATTCTCTCCTCCTTACCAGGCCTCTCAGTCTAGCTCAGAACCCATCCTCCATTAGGCTCAGGATACTGACCTCAAGTGGTAGAATATTGTCTAGACCAGGGTCATCCGCCCACTTCCAAGATTTGGAATATAGTAGGTTACCAAAGTAAGGAGTATGAGAAAGTCTTCTGGGCAGACAAAAGCAAATAGCTACACATTCCTCTGTAGTCTCCTATACATGCAATGGATAGGTTTTGCTCTGTTTTTTTTATAGTGAATGTTAAAGCATAAAAATAGGAGTGTATGTCTTACAGGAATCTCCAAATCCGTTGTAGGACATTTTAACAATTACTTATTCTGGGAATGTGATTTAGGATCTACAAGATTTTCATAGCCCATAAAAAGTTATGAGAGCTGTAAAAAGTAAATTGGCTCAAAAAAACCTTAAAAATCAAAAAAAGTAAATATCTAATTAAATTTTTATAAAAGTAACGTATCGGAAAGACAGCGGTAACCCAACTCAATTCATATATAGGTACTTTTAATAGATTTGGTATAAGAGGACTAAGTTCCTCAAAAGTATAAGACTCTAGAGCCTGTGGAAAACCTTAAATGGCACTGCTTTACTAAGATAAATCTTTTTTTTTTTTTTTTTTTTTTTTTGAGATGGAGTTTCACTCTTGTTGCCCAGGCTGGAGTGCAATAGTGTGACCTCAGCTCACTGTAACCTCCAACTCCCGGGTTCAAGCGATTCTCCTGCCTCAGCCTCCCAAGTAGCTGGGATTACAGGCATGTGCCACCACACCCGGCTAATTTTGTTTGTTTGTTTGTTTTTTTGGTAGAGATGGGGTTTCTCCATGTTGATCAGGCTGGTCTCGAACTCCTGTCTGCTAAGATAACAGTGGGAGAACCAAAGTATCCAAAGGGATTAGAATCAGACAAAAACTGAATAATGCCACCATTCAGTGAGTTCATTTGCCACCTTGGTCCACATCATTGCAAAACAAATGGAGCAATTTAAACTTTGGTTATCTTTTCTATGGTTTCTGTCAAAACTCTCACAGATGAGAAGATCTTCATCCTGTGTTTGCTCACAGAATATAACAATGACAATTATGATTTCTAGAGTTATTAAAATAGTCATGTTTTTAAAATGAAAGGCCATGAGCTAAAAGGAGAGTATCCTGATTATATGAGTAAATTTAGAATAATATATAGTCTGCACTGTTTAAGTAAAACCTAATGTTGAAAATGATGAATTCTTCTTCAGTTGTTGGATATAAGTTCTGTCATAAGAGCACTGTGTCCTTAGGCCACTAACTGCGCAAACTATCCATTTGCTTGTCCTTTTTTATATCTCACCCAGACAAGGAGAATCTACTTTTCCTTTTATTTCAATGATTTATTTTGTTACTCTGATTGTTTGAGTTGTTGTGCATAGCCCTGGATGGCTCTTATTCTAATTTAGATTACTGCTTCTTAGCAGGGTTATAGAAACAACCAGATATGTACCAGTGATATTGGGAATTAGAAAAGTGACATGGTGTATGCATCATTTTACTCAAAGATTTGAAGAGGTTTTTTAATAAATATAGACACTCATAAGTATTCATGGAGAATGATAGATGATAGATAGATAGATAGGATTTCCTCAGAAGGGTAAAAATTGTGATTCTCATATAAACATTAAAGAAATACAAATAAAATATTTTATCTACTCATTAATTGAGAGGATCAGTAAGATGTTACAATCAGTTCAAAAAAGAATTTAATATTAATAGTCAAATAAAAAGTATGTAAATTAATTTACAAATAGATATAAAACTGGTTTAATATCCAAGGGATAACAATCAGATTCCACTGAATACAATTTGGATCTCTATGGGCAAATATCATTTTCATTGCTATCAATTATCTAAAACTTACAGATATGTGAAATAGTTCAAAAACAATGAAAGGCATAGCCCCCACATTGTATCTGATAACACTGAAAAGTATGATAAATGCTTTGTTTCCATTGTTTTGTTTCAAATTTTCACAATTTTTTCTGAAAATAGAATCTATCAATAAACATAGATATAAATAAAAGTTTGAAATTTCTAAAGTAAAATATCAACTGCAATACTGCATTATGTTTTCAAAAAAAAGGTGGCATTTAAAACACTTTTGACTTTTAACAATGAATACTGCATCATTTTTTATAGTACCTTTACAACAGGAGTTCAAAACCTGGGATACATGGGTAGCATTTTTGAATCTTCCATGGGAAGAAGCCATTTATTTTCATGAAAGTCTAAAACAGTGTTTGACACACAGTGGGTGGAAATCAATTCTTTAGGGAGCACTTTGGGAGAAAATTCTTTGATATGAACTCATTCAAGTATTCCCTCAAATGCAGAATATGGCAGTTCTACTTCCTTGGTATTCTTCATAAGCCTGAAAGCAGAATCTTATTTTCAGAAAGAAATAAAAAGACATTTTTCTTTTAATATTTTCCCATATTATTTAGTTTTGACATTTGTGTTCATTTTATTTTTAGCTTTTGCAAATCCACCCCTTGCCACACACACATTTTAGTGTGGTGTTCAAAATTCTACTGTGAGAAATAGGACCTTTCATTTGTTGCTGGTGGGAACGTAAAATGGAACAACCACTTTGGAAGGCAGTTTGGTGGTTTCTTACAAAACTAAACATAATCTTAGCATATGATCCAGGACTTGGGCTCCTTGGTATTTACCCAAAGACGCTGAAAGCTTAGGTCCACACAGCAATCTGGACAGAGATGTTTATAAAAACTTTATTCATATTTGCCAAAACTTGGAGGCAGTAAATATGTAACTTCAGTAAGTGAATGGATAAACTGGTACATCTAGATGATGGAATATTACTCAGCACTAAAAAAGAAATGGGCTATCAAACTATGAAAGACATATCATTAAGTGAAAGAAGCCAGTCTGATTTCAATTGTGTGACATTCTGGAAAGAGCAAAATTATGGAGATAGTAAAGAGATCAGCGGTTTCTGGGAGCTGGGTGAGAAGAGGATGAATAGAAGTAGCACAGGGAATTTTTAGGGGCAGTAAAATATACTTCGTATGATAGTATAACGGTGGATTCATGTCATTATACACATGTCTGATCCAGTAGAATGTACAACAACATCAAGTGAACCCTATTGTAAACCATGGACTTTGTGTGATTATGATATGTTAATGTGGGTTCATCTATTATAACTAGTGTATCCCCTCTGGGGCAGGATGTTGATAATGAGCAGGGCTGTGTATGTGTGGAGGCAGGACATTATGGGAAATCTCTTCCTTTCAATTTTTCTTTGAACCTAAAACTTCTCTCTAAAAAAAATCTATTTTAAAAAGTCTACTATGTGGTAGCTGGACGTTATACAGTTATCTGACTATCTTAGGTTGAAAAAATGAGAAGAAACAAAGACCCTTGGAGAAGATACGTCAAACCCACTTTATGTACCTCAGAAATTTTGTATTTTATAATCATTTCAATAATCTTTGTGGGCTAAGAATTATTACCCTCATTTCACAGATAATGGTACTAAGGTTCAGAGAGGTTAAGCAGTTGCCTGTGTCTGTATTTGCTCTAAGTTTTGTCTAACTCTAATATCTGTACAACTTTACTACTACATCATGATGCCTCTGTATTTCCAGCTTTCCATATTCTAATCTTCCAATAGAAAGTTGCAAAAAGCCTTTAAAATCATAAAAATGGTTAGTGGCCACATGTCAAATATTCATTTAATTAATTAGGGAACCAACAGAAAGACAAGAGAGCTGATTCCCAGAACATTTGAAAAACACGGTTTTGTACAGTTGGTCAGAAAAGAAATACCAAAAGAAGACTGCCAAATTATATATAAAACTAGTTATTTTCCTACTAGAGAATAAAATAATAGCTTTTGAAATTATTTTTCCTACCAGTACTCCACCCTACAAATCACATCTCATCAGGGTGTTTTTTTTCTCTCTAAATGTTAACCTGTAACAGTACAGGCATGTAAAACACCCAGGCCTTTGTTAATAAAGCAGCATTATGTACTCCAAGAGAGTCAAATGAGAGTCAAATAGGCTCATGAGGTTCATGAGCAACTGGTCCAGCATCATATTGATAAATCAAGAATTATCATTTTGCTATATTTCCAATTTTGAAATAAATTATTATTTTACACAGTATAGCGATTCAAGAGTATTAGCCCTGGAGCAAACTGCTTTGGTTCAAATAAGACCTCTTTCCCCCATTAGTTCTGTGTCCTTAAACAACTTACTTAGCTCTCTGTGCTTTAATTTCCTAATTCTTAAAATGCAACAATAATGATGGAGTTTACCTTATGAAGTGTTATAGTAGTTAATGGAGGCTTGCACATGGCAAATAACCAGTCAAAGTTGATAATTCGAGGTTGACTTCATCTTGGTCCTTTTTGTTGCAGCTACAAGGTGGGGCTACAGCAATTTTCACCTTGAGGGGTTTTGCCTTTTCTTTCTCACTTGTTTCTAGATGTACATTCATTGCCTTAGTTTTATTTCTCCATGTGAATAGCACCTTGCTCAATGCTCTTTTTATGAACCATGTTTCCAGTTGGTCAAATTTATATGCAGTTGTGTTCATGTCAGACAATCTATCACCAACTGTGATTAATTTAATATTACTACAAATTGGATGAGCATATTCATGATTCTAGGACCAGATCATCAGTCAAGGATTGTATAAGATTGCTTCCAGAACCAATGCATTAACATAAAGTTCCTTGAACTTAATATAAAATGTGTCATACATTGTGTTTATATCTATATTTCTATAGATTTTTATTGACCTTAAAACTATAAAATTACTTCACCTGAAATGTGTGATTTAAAAGTCAAGATAACTCATTCTCAAATATATTCTTTTTTTCCCTTTTTACAATTTTACCTACCTTTTCTAAAATGCTGCCTTTTAATGAGCAGAAACTGAACAACAGACAACAGACTGAACATTTGGATATAAAAGGATATGTCATCAGTATAAATAGTACTAGTGTAGTTAATTACATACAGATAGTTTTATAAATGCGATGGCTAGCAGTCCCTTAAAATTCTAAGATATTACTCTACACTGAATAATTTAAATTAGAAATGCAAAGCAAATGCTAAAGGTAGCATTTGGCAATGTTCTTGATTAGAATATCTGCATGTAGTATTTGTTTATGCAGCAACTGAAGTGCCCTCCCTGGTTGTTTTGCTATTTGAAGAATCTTCATAGAATCTCAAGTACTTGTTGTCACTGAGGCAAAAACTAATTTGCTTCCCATTATTATATCTGCCTTTCCGTTCGTGTATTTAATTGTGGTGAGGTCTTGGGAGTAGTTACTGATTTTTGTACAAGGAAAAATTAGAGTAGAGTTGTTACTTTTGGCAGCTCACAGATAAAAAAAAATTGATAGAAAATAGGTTGGAAGGCAGAATTAAACCCAAACTATAAAGGCCTTAATTAGTGGAAGCATAATTATAGGGAGCTATTGTAGAATAAAATCTAAATTGTATTAAAATATTTTTCCAACTGATTTGAAGATGGAAAAGGCATGTTTTACACTACAAGCAATTTCTCTAAATTACTGCCCTTCACTGAATTTCATAAATTAAAACTGAGAGCTAAAATAAGAGCTTGTTGCTCTCATTGTTTTTGTTTGTTCAGTTTAGAATGATTTTCTAAGGCATTTTTTTGAGCAATAATGTGATTTCTTCTTGTTGTTATGGTGAAGCCAGTCCAATCATTTTCAAGGCCAGGGATATCACTGATTATTCAAATAGATAGACAGTACAAAGTTCCCTCGTTAAGAAGTTGTTCAATCATTTGATCATTAAATAAGCAGTTATTATATACATTCACAGCACAGAATAGACACTCAGTATCACTCTTCCTATAACGAGGGATGCTAAGGAAGAGGCTAAACATGGAGAGTATTTGGGATCAAATAAAGGAGACAAAATATCTAGCATTTTGGTCCCAACAGTCTCCAAAGAGGCATAAACAAACAGGGATATAAAAACGACGGAGTGGAGAATGGAAGGTAACCAAGAATTGCGAGTTATTATTACTGCACAGTTTTAAACATAAATATGCAAACATTTAAGCATTCATAATGTCATAATTAGTTAAGCTTGTATATACGTTAGGCCATTCTTGCACTGCTATAAATAAATAACTTGACTGGGTAGTTTATAAGAAAAGAAGTTGAATTGGCTCATGGTTCTGCAGGCTGTACAGGAAGCATGGCAGCATCAGCTTCTGGGGAGGCTTAGGAAGCTTCCAGTCATGGTGGAAGGCAAAGAGGGAACAAGCATGTCACATGGCAAGAGCAGGAGAAACAGAGAGATAAAGGGAGAGAGAGAGTTGGGACAGGGGAGAGGAGGTTCCACACACTTTTAAGCATTTTAAGGCAGAGGTTGCAGTGAGCTGAGATTGCGCTACTGCACAGCAAGGTGGGCAACAGAGTGGAAAAAAAAAATTTAGAAAGAACATTCTTGTAAATGAAAAGAGATTCCTTCCAAGTTAGAAAAAAAAGTTGGCAATCTGTATGTGTCATGCATTGAATATTTTTTTTGATTTTCTTTTGTCATGGTCAAAATTGGTCAAAATTTCATTACTGACCAAGGTTCAGAAATCACTGGACCAGAGGTCAAAGTATGTCATATGGACATTTCACAATCTAGCCCCAACCTAGCTTTCTACTCTCATCTTCTGCAATCTTTACCCATGAATTCTAAGCTTCAGCTACACTGAAACACTTTTCATGCTCCTAACGAGCACATGCTTTGGAGAGCACAGACTTGAGATCCTATCCTATTGCCTGCTACTTGACTTCCCTGAGCCTCTGCGTCTCCTATGAGAGGCAGGATGTAATCGTGCTTCGAACTTTTATGCTCTACCACTCAGCGGTGTGGCTTTGTGTAGGCCATTTAGCCCCTGTGTGCTTCAGTTGCTTCATCTATAACAGGAGGATAATAACATTACCTGCCCTATTGAAGTGTGTGAATTAAATGAGTCAATAAAGGAAGCTTCAAATGTATAAGCACGCTTATCAGTTTTCTGCTACTGTGTAACAACCCACCCCAAATTTTATGGCTTCATATAATGATTTGTCACTTTTCATGATTTTAAGGTTTGCTGGCATGTGTGTCACCCAGGGTCACTCACCCAGCTACATTCGTCCGGTGGATGAGCTGAGCTTCTTGCAATCCCTAATCTTTTTATACTATTAAATTCTTTACCAAATGTCTTTTAAACTGTAAGTGTTCACTGAATTTAAAATGAACAAAATTCAAATCATATCACATTTTAATTTAGGTAATATCTGAACTGCTGAGGTCTTTATATGCCAGTATTTAACTTCATAAGGTAATAAATTTAAGAAACGCCCTGCAGAGACATGAGAAAATCCATTCTTCTGAGAATTTTGCAATTAGGACAAACATGTCTAGAATTATACAAATTTCACACTTCTCTACTTCCAGAGAGTAGGTTTTTATCACCATGAATTCTAATTATCTGTGGTGATTAATATTAATAATCCCACACGAATCCTGAAATAATAAATTATTAGTCTTCCAAAGGTGTAGTTTCTTACTATAACAACTTTCATTGGTTCAACTTATTTAAAAATGGAAAAGAACAATTTATGCTCATCTTTACTCTGTTTTTTTTTCAGACTTCATTGGTTCTAAAAGTCTCATTTCAAATAAAGCTTGAATTTTACACAATAGCAGTGTTTCAACAAATGAAATAAAGAAGGACTGTAATTTTATATTCTCAACTATCTTCATGGCCAGTGTAGATTGATGGAAAACAAATGATGAAGAAAAGCTTCTGTTTCATCATGACTCTTTCAATTATATGGTGCAGATGTGGACAATATCAAAATTCAATTTAAAAATTGCTTAGGCATTTCATATACAAAATTATTATTGCAGAGAGAGATATGTCAAGAAACTAAACATGATTTTAAAGGAACTAACTTTTTTGTTTCTTAAAATAGCCTACTGGTTCTGGGGCTAGTTATGGTGTCCCTAGCATACCTGGTAATGTTCCCCTATTATGCAAATGTAACATATGTTGCATGCTCTCCAAAGTGCAAATGTGCAGTGTACGTTGTAACTGTCTCTTGTAGAGCCCAGGATACCACTATTGTGTTGATATGGTTTGGCTGTTTCCCCACCCAAATCTCCTCTTGAATTGTAGCTCCCATAATTCCCTCGTGTGGTGGGAGGGACCTGGTGAAAGGTAATTGAATCATAGGGATGGGTCTTTTTCATGCTGTTCTCCTTATAGTGATAAGTCTCACAAGATCTGGTGGTTTTATAAAAGGAAGTTTCCCTGCACATGCCCTTGCCTGCTGCCATGTAAGTCATCCCTTTGCTCCTCCTCTGCCTTCCACCATGAGTGTCTGGTATGTCTTCATAAGCAGCATGAGAACAGACTAATACCTGTGTCTTCAAGAGAAATAGTTCAATTCCATTTCAGTATGAATCTAGAAGTCTGAATTTTTTGATTTGATTAAATGCAGTAGCAACAACAGATCAAAATGGCCATGCTCTGGATTAGTTAGTCTGGACTTGCCTTTGAATAGGAAGTAGAATGTTCCATCAGTTATGAAACCAATATAGGCTCTGAGGATGAGCTACTACCTCTGGTGCACCGTCACTTCCTTAAAATACCATTTTTCCACAACAGCTTTATTCTACTGTAGACATTCTTAATGATATTATTTAGTCTCTCTAACATCTGTCTTCCTTCCTTCTTTCCTTCCTTCCTCTGTTCTAATTCTTGCATAGCCAGTCATTGCCTCCCTTATACAGTCTTCATTTTTAAAAGAAAAAACATGATTTTAATCATGCTATGTATAAAAGTATTATGAATTATTTTTCTAAGTTGAGATATAAAGAAATCATAGGAATTTTCCCCACATATTTTATTGTTACATTTTATTTTTTGATTATAAAAGTAATAAAGTATTAAACCCATCACTCCAAGGAACTGACATATTTTTGTATAACCCTACTGGGTGTGTGTGTGAATGGGCAGTAAGTAGTGAGGGACCACAAAAATGACCATGTAAGCTAAACCATGCAAAACAATCTTAATAATCTATGGAAAATTTATGAATGTTCCATGATGTACAATTTTTGTCAAAATATTAAGAACTGCTACTATCAACTATAAATACATGTGGAAATTTAAAAATAATAAAACACGTATTTAGTAAACTAATTTAAATCATTAGAAATATTAAGAATTAAATTATTTCAATCATTAGAGAAATGCAAACCAAAACCACAGTGAGATACCATCTCACGCCAGTCAGAATGGCAATTATTAAAACGTCAAGAAACAACAGATGCTGGTGAGGTTGTGGAGGAATAGGAACGCTTTTACACTGTTGGTGGGAATGTAAATTCGTTCAACCATTGTGGAAGAAAGGATGATGATTCCTCAAAGATTAAGAACCAGAAATACCATTGGACCCAGCAATCCCACTACTGGGTATATACCCAAAGGAACATAAATCATTCTGTTATAAAGACACGTGCATGCATATGTTCACTGCAGCATTATTCACAATAGCAAAGACATGGAATTAACCCAAATGCCCATCAGTGATAGACTGGATAAAGAAAATGTAGTACATATACACCATAGAATACTACGCAGTCGTGAAAAGGAACAAAATCATGTCCTTTGCAGGGACATGAAGCTGGAAGCCATTATCTTCAGCAAACTAATGGAGGAACAAAAACCTAAACACTGCATGTTCTTACTTATAAGTAGGAGTTGAACAATGAGAACACAGGGACACAGGGAGGGGAACAACACACACTGGGGCCTGTTGCAGGAGGGTAGGGAGGGGAGAGCATTAGGAAAGAGAGTTAATGCATGCTGGGCTTAATACCTAGGTGATGGGTTGATAGGTGTGGCAAACCATCATGGCACACATTTACCTGTGTAACAAACCTGCACATCCTGTACATGTACCCCGGAACTTATAAAATAAAATAATTGTTTCTTTGTAAAACATATCAAAATATGGAAATATTATTCATAGCATTTTTCATAAGAGACAAAAATGGGAAACAAATTAAATGTCTATCAATTAGAAAACGGATAGACAAAATGCAGTATGTCTATTCAACGGAAAACTATTCAGCCATAAGAAAGAATAAATTACTGACTCGTGCTATGATGTGAATGAACCTCAAAACCCTATGCTAAGTGAAAAAAGGGAAACACAAGAGACCACATATTGTATAATTCCATTTACATAAAATGTCCAGAAAAGGCAGATCTATAGAGACAGAAAGAAGACTGTTAGTTGTTTAGGGAAGAGGTTGTGAGTATGAGGGGCAAGAGGATTAACAGTAAATAAATATGAAGGATTGAGGGGGGTGAGGGAAATGTTCTTAAAACTCCAAATGGCAATGATTGTACAACTTGATAATTTACTACAAAAAGCATTGACCCATACACTTGAAATAAGTACATTATATGTTTTATAAAATATATCTCACTAAACTTATATATTTAAAAATTATCAAGCGTAGTTTGAATAGTTGCCGTTTTAAAATCCATACAACTTATGATATAGAGTAATCATCTTTTCTATACCCTCGTAAAATGTCATTCTCCTTTCTAAGCTTGAATCAGCTTCAAGAATTTCATACTTTGTGCTTCGAATATTTTGAAATACCTCTGTGCATTCATTTAATGTGAAGTGGGTTTTTCTGTTTAGTTTGCTTTTTTTTTTTCTTTTTGGCTAGCATCAGTTCTTTGGAACATCTTCATCCTTTTCATCACAACCACTTTCCTCTCTTATGTCAATAAATTTGTCTTCACTAAGTTTCACTGGCTACATATCTGGAGTCTCTCAAATGGCTGCAGTGTCAATATTCTCATGCTCAGCTATTTTTTCAGTAATCTCATTAGGTTTGACTGAAATTTTACTGCCAGCATTATCTCTTTTCATTTATTTCATTATCTCTTTTCATCTTTCTTGGTCAATTCTATTTTTCCATGATCTTCTGAAAAATATCATAGGGTTTATCTCTGGGAGAGAGAAAGTGACACAACTATATGCTTTGCTGTTTGTGTGTGAAAGGAATAACAAGCGTGCGTCGATCAATCACTGACAGATTTTGAATTAAGTGATGTGATTGGTCATTGATTATGATGAGCATTTTTTTGTGTGTAGTGATTTGTGGACTAAATAGCTAGCAGTGAAGTTTTCACTTAATGAGATAACTCATTGCTAATATCCTTTGTTAACTAAAATTTGAACTATATCTTAGGAGGACCTGGTGTCATTTAACTAAGTTGTGGTAATTAAAATCTGTTCATAATGAGACTGTTCAAAGCAAGGACTACCTGTATTGTCTGTGTGTGCATGTGACTGCACATGCATATGAGTATTTTGTGGTCATTGTTCCATGTAAATTCTTATATTGGTTGTAGATTGCATTCAAACCCAACAGATCCTGAGAAAGATAGTGGTTTAAATAATTACTTGTTTATTTTTCTTCATATAAAAAAAGTCCAGGGTTGCTAGTTGTCAGGTCCCATAGTCTTCATTTCAGTTAATCATCTTAACCACGTAGCTTTGATTCTCATACATCCTCTCATGGTTTCAAGATGGCTGGTCCTTGAGAGACTAGTATTAGGCAGGAAGAAGGGGAAAGGCAAAGGGCAGAATAAACACCCAAAGATTCTGTCCCTTTAAAAAGTGCTTCCCTGGAAGATCCTCCCATTGGCTTTCATTTATATCTCAATGAGGGAAATGTGTCACAAGACCAACCCTAGCTTCACAGCAGTCTAGCAAATGTTTAATTTTGAATCAGTTTGAAGTTATGTTAAGATAAGAAAGGTTAGAATGGATATTGAATAACTAACCATACATACTGCATTAATTACTTTGAAATTTTGCTTTATTATATCATAAGCATTTTATATAATGTTACACCCTCTTTAAAACCATTGTCCTGGAATACTGTATAATGTTATATCAAAGGTAGTTGTTATTGATAGAATTCATTTTCATTTTGTTTCCATGTTGTGCCTCATTTGTTGTTGATTTTTCTCTTTATCTGGAGATTTTTCTTAGTCACTAGTCAAAGGATATTAATATTTTATGATCTCAAAATGGTCAGTTGGAAGAATCATTCCTTATTAAAATTAAATTGTACAAGGGAAAAAATGTAGGAAATGCCACTCTCCAAGATTTATATCTAACTTTTCTTACTTTTCTGATTAAAATAATTTTCTTCAGGCATTAGCATTTAAGATTTAAAATAATTATTTTATTCCAGTTTTATTTATTTTTTATTTAGGAGAACTTGGATAGTTTCATTTTGTACTATTTTTTCCTAGGGAAATAAAAATTATTTACATTTGTGATTTAATAAATGGACTAACATAAGGGCTTAATACCAATAATTATCTCTATTTTTTATGAATGTATTAGATGCTACATCAAATAAACATTTTTTACACATAAATTTAGTGCTATGCAGTTGTCCAGGAATGGGTAAATGGAACTTTTTAAAGCAATTATACTCCCTAAATGCAAGCAAAGTGTTGCATCCTATGCTCAGCAGAAGAAATTGTGGCCTGTTCCCACAAAGAGGAAGCATTAAGCATATACACCCTATCAGGAGAGATTTGTTTAAAACAAACCATGCAGATAGACCCATATGAGTGATTTAGGTTCACTTCAGGCGTACTTTTTATGTCATTGATTTTCACGTTAATCATTGACTTTATAACCTAACTCTGTATAAGACATGACTGCACTGTAAAAATATTCTGCATTGTATACAGTCGATTTCCTTTTGAAACTTTGTTAGGAACTTCCTGTGGTATCTTACATCCTTCTCTCAGTGTGATTGCTAGCTACTTCCTGAGTGTTGATGATAGTTGAGTATAATTGCAAACTAATGAAGAGGAAAAAGCTTGAGAATCCAACATGATTGGTGATCTTGGAATCTAAGAGTGGTTTATATTTGCCCTTGAAATGTGAGCGACTTTGCTAACTATGATTTTCTTAAATTAAGATGATGCTGAATTTTAGCTTGCTGCCTGAACATTTCCCAGGAATGCACTGACAAACAAGACCCATTGACTGTGGGTGAGGGGCTAGGCGCATGCCCAACAGTTGTGGGGGATGGCAATTAAAATGCTTGGAAAATAGAGTAAATTAGATATTTATGCAGCAGTGTTTCAGATGACTCAATTGCAGAGGGAGAGCAAGTAAATCTAATAGAGAGAGAAGCTGAGGGCAGCTTTTATTTTTCTTTGCTTATAGACTTTTAAGTGTTTGTGAAGGGCATTTAGGGCATTTGAGAGTTTTCCTCATATGAACAACATGGACTGGTGATCTTCAGTAAGTATTCTTGCTTGTAAATATAGCTGGGGTTTGGAGCCCTAGTACCCACATTCCAATCTTGGTCTTGGCACTTCAGTGTGTGAAGCTGGATGAATTGCAAAATTATTTTCTGCTTTAGTTTCTCTCTGTGCAAATAAAATAAAATAAAATGCCTGCCTCTTAGGGTTGTGAGGATAATACACAGAAAATTCTTAAAAAGATGCCAGGGAGTTGAAATAACTCAGTAAATGTTGTGCTTCTTGTTATTATTATTAATTTTTATTTTACTGGGCTAAAGAACATCAAGAGTCAGTCTTCTTACTGTGGTGAGTTGTTTCTTGCCATGTCTTTTTCCCGCAATAAAAATCTTATCCTAGTATCTTACAATTTGAATAATCTACATCATAAATAAATAATCAGCCTTTCATTCAGCATTATGTATTCATGGAATTTCAATGGCAAAGGGGATTTTCGAGAACGTCTATTCCAACCTCTTCTTTGTCACAGAAGGCCAGGAAAACTCTAGCACAGACTCCTCTGCCTTTTCCAGTGACTACTCCACATCCCATAATGCTTTGCCTGAAGCATCTCTGTTTCTCTCAACGGCTTAAAGTAGGAACATTCCTGGAAGAAAGCAGAGCATCTCTGTGGTGATTGCCATCACTATGTACTCGAGAGAATGTATTTTTTAATGTATTCTTGTCCTGGTTGTACCCCTGTTTCTTTTCTTGCTGTCGTCTTTAACATATATCAAAAGCAGTTTAAAAGCAAGAAAGTGCAAATGTCCCTGTTGTAAGAAGTAAATCTCAGCCATTTTCTCTGATCAAACCCTGAAAAGCTGCCCCTGGAGAAAGCCAGATAAAATAAGGGCTACAGAGACCTTCCATGGACAAGTGCAATAACTCATTTTTGTGCATTTGGATTGTGAGGCTTTACTATGCAGTTCTGCAGATACAAGCCAAAGCAGTTGTGTGATTAGATTTTTAATCCCATTAACTCTAATTGCTTCTCAGAAGCCGTGTACTTACAGTATGTGTCTGATGTTAGAAATGCAGGGGGAAGGAAAAGCTATGAAGTGTTTCCCTCATTCTGGATGGGAAACCAAAAAGCAAAGAAAACAGTATATAGGCAACCATTATGAAGGAATCCTGGCAGACTTTATTAAAGGCTACATTTATGATGATTACATATTCTTTTGAATATAGAAATTCTTCTGACCACTCTGAAATCTCAGCATAGCAGGGTTTATTTTCCTCTTGTTCATTCTTTGGAGTTAGACTTTAATACCCTCATTGTACTTTTGAGAGTTTGACCACAAATTATTGCACTGAAGAAAACGAGTTTCAGAGGTTAAACATCTTCTATTTGAGAGGATACAATCACAGTGACTGTCTTTGTGATTCCAAACCAGGTCTATTAAACACAAAGCTGACCTAGTGGAACTGATCAGCACAATCACTTTAAGGAAATGGAGATGAATGGTAGCTGAGGTTTTGGAAAATAGGAAAGCATAATTGAGTAAATTAAAAATAATGTTAAATCACAATTATAATAGCACTTCATCTATTCTTACCCTGCCAGTTTCTTGTCACATGGGCTGTAATTTAAGAATATTTCACCGTAGCTAAACTTACTATTTTAAAAATGATGTTATTAACAATAAACTCCATTTTGTTCTGCAGAATATATATTCATTGTGAACACACTGGGCTAAAACTGAGGTTGCTTTTTAACCAAGAATATCACAACCTTGGAGGATTGAAAACTTGGTGGAGAGGGGATATGTTAGTTGAATGATGAAGGAAAATAAAAAAATAAGTGGAAAAGAAAATGCCATTAACAATATCCTTCCTGTTGAAAGCCCAAAGAGTAAGTAGCAGAACAATTAAAAGAGACAGAGAGAAGAGAGAAAAGGTCAAATATTTGTTAGAACAGTTGTACTTATAAAAAGGGCATGTGACTGTTTCAAAAATAAGAAATGAGTCTCCCACCAGGATCAGGTTTGATCTCCTTTTTGCAACCCTCTGCTTTGGTGATCATATTACTGAATGTTTTCAGAAATGCAAAGACTCTTGGAAAGGAATGAGCTGCCTTAGTTTTTCGTCTCTACACCACTCTTGAAAGGACAAATTTTTCAGGAGTTCACTTCAATTATCTAAATTATCCCCGATTTTAAAGCAATGTGTATTATAAGGGGTAAACTTAGTATGGGATCATAGCATACTTTGGTAGGTTGTTCACAGCTATAAGCCAGAAAATTTGGATCAATACCATTTATCTCAATGGAAGTAAACATGAGCATAATGAATATTTGCAAAATACTTGATAATGAAAGTCAGCTCAGGAACTCTTTATAAGGATTTTATTAAAGAGACTAGAATTGGGCTTATTCCAGGCCTCCTACTTTGAAGCACTTATTGGCACCTTGTAACCATCCTGACCTTTTACTTGTCCAGGCGTGTATTAAACTCATTGGCAGTACACTGGCTTGTGCCCTTTGAGGCACATTATTGCCATTAGAGAGCTCAGTTTAAGTATCATCATTGCATCAGATTGCTGTACTTGCTTAATTAGCATAACATGAATATGAAGAGTATTGTTAATGTAAATTGCCACTCCACAGCCCCCCTCTCTGGGCTCTGGGCTGTATACCACAGATTTACTGGCAAACTTGCAGCTAGGAGAATTTTTTGCAGAGAGCAGAATTACCCCTCACTTCTGGGTGAAGAGAGCACAGCCATTAACAAGGATGATTGAATCGTTTTGTATTGTCTTTTAGAGTTTTTTCTTCCCTTGGACAGAAAGTGACCTGTCCAGCATCAAAAGAGCTATGACAGAGAATATTTAAGCATGCCTCACCTAAATTCAGCAGAATGTCATCAAATTGAAGCCTCAGAACATTTCTTGGAGATTTCAGAATTGATGTTCAGTACATTTCAGGGCCATGAGGTTGCTTTAAATTGTTCTTAATGCTGAATTTGTATTATAAGTTACTTTTAAAAAAGTAAAAAAAGAATAACTTCAAATCTGACAGCTGAATTAGCCTTCAAACAGCTAATATATTTGTTTACTTACTTTGTATTCTATTTGCAATATAAGGAAATGAAATGGAAAGTGCTATGTGTGACAATAGTTATAACAATAATCTTGATCAAATATGTCTCCTTTTGCCTTATTTTGTCAGGAATAGATATGAGAAATTTACTGTCTAAAAAATACAGGGCTGAAAAAGGACAGTGTGTCTGCCTAGAAATTTCTCTGTCTACAGATTGACCAGATTTTTAATCCCTATCAACTTAAAATTATATTTTTTACCTTCCTCGCATGGAGTGGAATTCTAATTTACCTGAAATGTGTAAAATATATACTTTCAACTTTACTTTTTTTTTGGATTTGTTAACAAATGTAAATGTGGTTATGGAACACATTAAAATCCATGTAATAAGCTACTTTGAAAATATTGAATATTTGTCTTTTAAAAAAGCTAAGGATGAATTAAGCATACCTCTGGGAATTAAGGAAAATTCAGTAAAATAGAAGAATTGTGTTATGTACCTGAATGAAGATCGGAAGGTGAAAAAGAGACAATGAGTGGCCATAAAAGTTCAAGGGAGGAAGAGATATTTTGTTGGTCCATTTCTCAATGAAGATGGTATTATTAATAGCATCATGGGCAACATAATACTATGTTTAGAATCCTGGGCACCTGGCCACCCACAATCTTGTAACAGCTTAAAAAGTAAAAATATCCACACATATCCAAAGGTCATCTAAACAGTCTTTGCTGATAATCAACTATTTCTTTGGAATAGTCAGATCTTGAGCTATGCCTGTAAGACTAATGTTCTGAGTATGCAAGAGATAAAAACTCCATCTAAGTCTAGGAAACTGTATAAGCAGAACCACAAAAACCGTGCATATGATGCAGTGAATGGCCCATACAGCAGCTTACAGGGGGGTAATATTGTATTGTCATTGGATACACTAAAGACAAATTTACATCAAGATTGATTTGTTTATAGGGACTCTAAATTATCTGGAGAGGCAGAAAAAATGCCTCATACATCTATAACAGCAAATTATTAAAGCAATTTATTGCAAGCATATATTCACATTTATTTCAGACTTGCTTCATAAGCAAAAAAGAAAAAGTAGGAAAAAGCAACTCAAAAAGTTTTTGGAAGAGATAAAGAAATAAATGATACAACAAAATAATGCCTTGTTGAAGTTTATTAATTTGTCATGGAGATAATCCAATGTCAGTAATGGCAGGAGGGTAATTCTGATTTTCCAAATAGAGGTTCTTAATCTCATTAAATTCCATTAAAAATTGCTCAAGCATTTTATCAGGAATATTAGTTACTTTCTAGAAAAGGTTGTAAATTACAATATCCTCTGCCCCCAAATTTCTGTACCAGAACAGATTTAAACCAGTTTTTTTCTTACATTTTAGTGCCCTAATAAAATGCCAACCATTGTAAGACAGAAGGAATAAGTTTTAGTGTTCTGTAGCACTGTGGGATGACTATGGTTAACAATAATATATAGTTTCAAATAGCTAGGAGGAGGATATTGAATGTTCCCAACACAAAAAATGATAAATGTCTGAGATTACAAATATACTAATTACCTTGATCTGATCACTATTCATTATATATATTGAAATATTGCAATGCATCTCATGAATATGTACAACTTTGTCAATTAAAAATTATTAAAACAATTTATAAATTCTAAAAAATAAAAATAAAAAAACAAAAATCATCAATAAAATTTGTTGAGTAATTTATAAACAATATAGCTCCAAAATAGCAGTGGATACATATATGACTATTTATATATTTATTTAGCAGTCCTTTTATTCATCCTCTCATTTATTCATTCATTCATTCGTTCATTCATTCATTCATTCTAGCTGTTGGAGATTCAGAGATGACAAGTCGACCATTCTCAGAGTTACACGTTCAGAGAAAGGTGGACTAAAACAAGTAAATAACTAGGGTAATTTCAGATAGCAACAAGTGTTAATGAAGGCAATAAATGAAAGTGTAAATGAAGAATAAAAATGTGGAGGAGGAGAGACTCTTTCGTAAGGAATGGTCAGTCATGTTATATCTAAGAAAAGATATTTGAGCAGAGGTTGCAATGTCACCAATGTACAGATTTTAGGTAAGAGAAATCCACATACAGGGATTAGAGGGATAAGTTATGGCAAAGACACAAAGGCAGATGTGAGATGGATTCAGGAACCTCTCAGAAAGAAGACCAGCATAGCTGAAGCAGAGCAAAGAAGAGCACTCATAGCATGGGAATGAAGTCAGAGAGGTAAGCAGGAGTGACAACATGTAACATCTTGAAATTTACTGTAAGAATTTGTTATATTATTTTTAAATCGATGGAAAGCCATTGAGGGCTTTTAAGTAGAGGAAGTTTGTGATGATTCTGGCTACCTTGGGAAAATAGAAGCATCAGACAGTGTTCGGAGATAATTACAACTGTCCAGGTGAAGACATGGTGTGTTCTAAAGTTAAAGGAGGAAGAGCAGAAACAGGTGGTGGGAGACAGGATATATTGTTAGAGTAGATCTTAAAGGACTTGGGGATGAAGTGAATGTGGGAATTAAAAGAGGGAAAGTAAAAAATGATTCTGAGGACAATAAGTAGGTTAGGGTAGGAATAGTCATTGAACTGGACATTGTAATTTGATTCTATAGATACATTGATTATGAGTATATGGATAAAATTAATTGGGACTTGAATTTTCATTCCAGCAGCTGGTTCAGATTGACATCATTTAAAATTATATTGATAATACTTTCAAATATTTAATTGTATTAATCATATTGTCATTGCTTTAATGTATAGGCAAATTGTGTTTTCTCATAATGCAGGAGGATGTTACAATCAGTAAAAGGTAAGAGGTTGAAAATCTGTTTGTCATAAGATTAGGGTCATCTAGCTCTATATTTTTTTAAGAAATGTCAGTGCTGTAAGCTTAAATATGAATATCTGATATTAATACTATCACCTTAAAATATTTTTAGTTTCATTACCGCAAATAGGAGGCTGTAAATGATTTTGGACAAGGAGTGAAACTTGCTTATCTACCAAAATGCATTGACAAGTCAGTTGAGAATAAGTTGCTCTTGATCCTCCTTTTATCATCCTTCCACCTGCAGCTCTGGGACTACCAGCCTAATACACATATGTCCATCTTCATAAACCAACTGGGCAATGTGAATCTTTGGTTACCTCGAATTTTGTTGTATTTGTATATAAATTTAGCCTCCATATACATTTCAGAAGTGTTGGAAACTGAACAATATTTTTAAGTAATTTAAGTTTATCTTAGGCAGCCTTCACGGTCCCACTCAATATACCTCTTTTTTCTTCTAGTTGCCCTTTCTGATCTACAGCTTGCCTACCTAAATCATTTAGGATAGCCTCAGTTTGTGCTTGTAACCCAAAGGTTTGTTTTTCTGTTTGTCCTCATACTATATATTCATCACAGGTCAGCTTAGAGGCTCTGCTGATCATCGTCTTTAAGAGACATGGTATGTCAGAGGCATAAGCACTTTGAACATCATCAGTTGCCCACCACAGGGAGAAAGCAAGAGGGAGACTACTATATAAGCAATTAATTAAGTGCTGCAATGCAAAAGTGATGCATGTCACTTAACTTGCAATTCAGTGAACAAATTAGTCATGTGGCCCAATAATAAGGGGCAGTTCTAATATGTGATTAGAACATGAAGAGTCAGTAATATTTGAGGAATCACTAACACACCTTCTGACCTGACTTACCAGTGTCACTATTCTCTACCAGAACTCAGCTCCCAACATTATTCAGGGCTGGATTTCTATTGTCCTGACTCTTAGCAAGTCCTTTGAATCAGTCCTTACTTTCTAGTGTGACGTTTTCCTCCAGTATGCACTTACATTTTAGAAGGAAATGCTTAAAGAACAAAAATATCTCAATGACTGTGGAATTCAGTCCCACATGTACTAAATATTTATAGGTGATCATGAATGAGCCTGGAAGGACAGAGAATATGACAGAGTCACCTTTTTAGAGACTTAATAACAGATACTCAATTGTCTTCTTATACAGAGGTAGTTTTCTAAATTTGTTTTTTTGTGTTTGTTGTTTGTTTGTTTATTTGTTTTGAGACAGGGTCTCTCTCTCTTGCTGAGGCTGGAGTGCAATGGCTTAATCATGGCTCACTGCAGCCTTGACCATGTAGACTCAAGCAATCCTTCCACCTCAGCTTCCCAAGTAGCTGGGAACACAAGCATGCACCACTATGCCAGGCTAATCTTTTATTATTTATAGAGACAAAGTCTCCCTATCTTGCTAAGGTTGGTCTGAAACTCCTGGGCTCAAGCCATCCACCCACCTTGCTGGCCTCCCAAAGTGCTGGGATTATAGATGTGAGACACCATGCCTGGCCTCTAAGTTTGATTTCTTTTTTTTTTACTCAGAAGTCTCTTTTTATCAAATTAAAAGTTGTAAACTGTTACATAAAATAGATAAAATAAAAATTTATTTGCACATGTTTATTTTTAAAGTACAAATAAATAAATTGTGTTTATCTATTAATAACTTGAGTCAATGACACTTTGAGGCTTTTAAATAAAATCCCATATTTTCTTACAGCTGTAATTTTATATAAACCTCCATAAAAATGTCTACACTTTAAGTGAAAAATAAAAACAAAAATTTAGGCTGAATTCTTGATTCAGGCTAAATAGTTGTCAATATTAACACTTTTTTAAAAACTTAATTTGCATTCTCAATATATTTTTCACGTAATAATTTGATCTAGAAAACTTGAAAAATTTCTTAAATTACTTATTTGAAAACCAAATCACTAATGATAATTAATTTCTGTTCATATAACTTATAAATACAAATAGCCAACCAGATATACCTAAATTTGAAAATGTGAGCTAAAATTTTTTTACATATATCTATATTTGTCTCATGTTTTTATCGTTTATGTTTATATATATTTGTTTTATATGTTTTAGTATACATATTTGTTTTATATGTTTATATAGACAGCAAAAGTTGTGATGCTCCTCAGGGACCTCTGCCAAAGATACATAAATATCCTTTTTACTTTACTTTCCTTCTCCCACCTCACTTTTGCTACTTCTATATTTTTTATTCTCCTCCATCTTCTAGTTCCACTCTACTTTTAGCCAATCTCTTAAGAGGGCCATTGTTTTTTATTTGCTCCATCTAATTCTATTGCTATAAAGAGACAAATGTGGACCTTTGAATCATGACATGGATAATAGAAGAAAGCAAAAGCTCTCCTAGTGTTCTGATGGCAGGGTAAATTACAGATAATCAGATCATTTGCAAAACAAAAGTCAAACTACAGCTTGCATAGAGTCTAAGTGGCATATATCTTAGCACCTTGCTATTCAAAATGTAGTGCTTGGACAAGCAACATCAACATCACTTAGAACCCTGTTGGAATTTCAGGCTCATTTAAGATCTACTGAACCTGATTTTGCTTTTGGAACAACATCCTCAGGAGATTTGTAGGCACCCCATATTTGAGAAGCACTGCATCTAGTCTGTGTATTACTGTGCATATGTATTCTTCCTTCCTGCTTTGAGTTCTATGACAAAATGTCATTCTCCATTGGCTTACCCTTCATAGTTGTCAGAATCCTGATAATGAGAGTAGTGGGAAGAAAAAACAAACTCATTTTACCACCATAGTAAAGAAAACACTACAAATAAATAAAATAAAACGTTTGCTGAATCCCTATAGCAAGTTTTAGAAGAAGATAGACTCACTGTTAAAAGTCAAAATATCCCTAGGTGAAGGAAAAACCCATTGCTTTCAAGAGATTTGAAGTCTTCTCCTTCTCAAGCTCCTTGGGAAGCTAAATTTCCTAAAATTATATTAAATAACTTTAAAGCAATCTTATTGAGCCACTTACTCCATGGAAGCTCGCAAGGCACAAATGACATTGCTAAACCATATGTAAATAGATATTGATTCTGTTTGTCAGCACAAAGTTGTCTTGGGTCCTCTGGAGAAGTACTGGAGCAATACTTTTACCATTTTCTCTAGGATGTTGGGCACTACATGATCAGAAAGCTGATGTAAAGAAATGTATGGCAAAGCGAGACCTACCTAATCTATGCAAAGAGGACAGAGGTCTTATGCTCCACATAACCTTGTATAAATATGTGATTTTCTACCTATAACCACATTACATAAACTTACCAGGAGATTGACTATAATCAGTAAAACATTGAATGTCAGTAGTTTTACTATTTCAATCATGGCCCATCTAACTATATAACATGGAGTGGAAAGAAATTTTATTTACATTATTCTAAAGATGACAGTGATTATTCTAGTTCCCCACCTTTGCTACTTTTAATTTTTTTGATTTTCCTCCATCTTATAATTCCACTCTACATTTAGCCAATCTCTTAAGAGGGCTATACTGGTGAAATCCTTGTTCAATCATAAGCCATAAAACTTCTATATAAACAAGTTTATGTTTTAAGAAAATCTGACAGAAATAAGGGTAATCTGATGATTGGGCACTGCAGATTTCTTTAAAAGAATATATTTAGCTACAGTTGCACGTGTTAGATGAATTTCTAGAATTTCAAGAAGTTTATGCTAGCTAAACATATAGAAGAAGGTATCAGCCATTAGAATTGTATGAAGATGGAATGAGCTTCTTAGAAGCTAATGAGTTCTTCAACAACAAAGGAATTCCAAAGAGGTTCAGTGATGACATGGAGGGCATGATAGAAGGGCCCACATCATGAGGAGGTCTTTCCAGTTCTGAATCTTTTACATTCCAAGTTTCTAAAATTGCTTACGTAGAATTGGTGTTCTTTTATCTATACAAAAAGGCACTTACTGAATAATGTCTGATCATGAAAAATTTAAATATCATCAGTATTTTCTGAAAACCCATACGGAGAACAGAAACAGAATCTGTCCTTTAAAAATTTAAAATACAGAAACAGTAAATGGATTTATGAAGAACTAAAGAATTCGACATTCCCTGATGCTCTCCATGTGACAGATTTCTCAACCACTTTGTGCCTTCAAATCCCTGATGCTTCATTTGCCATAGAATCTTAGGCCATTAAAGCTGGAAGGAAACTTACTGCTTATTTGTTGCAAAGTCTTTTTACATATGAGGAAATATCCAGAACCTGCTCCATTTTGGCACAATGTTCTTTTATATTAGATCTTCTCTGTTTTCAAGAGTATGTATAAATCATGCTAAATCATTAACCTTTAAAGGTAAAAAATTTGATTTTTTTTTCTATTTTTTAACAGAAGCTAGTACAATAGCATGTACGAATATAAGTCTTGACTGACAGAAACAAAACACAATGATGCTATAACAATAACATTTACAAGAGATAAATGGTTCTAAATGATAGGACAATAATATCTGCCAAAGGCGGTTTGTATCTCTCTTGTATACCATGTTCTTATTTCCAAAGGAGCTTAAATAATAAATAAGTTTACTTCTTCACAAAACAGAAAAGCCTGAGGCCAATGTTTGTGTCAAGAAGAGTTTTATCAAGGCTCTGGACCCTCTTCCCCGCAAATCCCACAGCTCTACCTTGCTCCGTGTAGTCACTTTCTCCTCATGGGAAAATATTGCTTTCCAGAAGTTTCTAAATCTACGTGTTTCTTCATTCACATCCAGGGAGTGAAAAAAATATTGAATATAAGTCTTGAACAGCATTCTGAAGAGAACTAATGAAGTCTATGCCAACTTCCAAAACAGTCACAGTGGTAAGAGGATGAGGTCAATTCTACCTAACCTCAAGACTATGACACTTTGAATAGATGTTCAAAGGATCAGGAGACAGCAACAATGTTTACTATACAAAGTGAATTTATTCACGTCTAGTCAATATTCACCAGTTAATGAAGTTCCAGATTTCCATATATGAAAGTAGTATATAAGAGCTGCAGCCTTTAAATTTGATAAATAACTACTTATTAATATGAAACATGATAATCTATTAAAATAATTCCAAAATCCTGCTGGGTTTTTTAATATCTTCTGCAGTATGAGTGAGAATAAACGATATTACAATAAAAAAAAAACTCCCTTTCAATCATTGTTCCTTTAAAAGTGGTTAGAATTTTAAGGCTTCATATATGACTTTTCTAAAAATATTTTAAAGCATCCCAACTGGGAAAGCAATTTCATGCTTGCTTTTTAGAGGATCTATTCAAAGAACTCATTAAAACCATTCATTTAAATAATCTCGTGTATGTTCATTATGCCCTTTCCTTTGGGAGGAAAAAAAAAAAAGTATAAACTGATGCCAGAAAGCAAATGAAGGGAACAAATGTTAAATGCAAAAGGTTAGTCCTTCATTAAAATTGTTTGAATAAGCAGCAACTCCCCCTGTATCCTTAAAACCTCTTCTAAGAAACATTTGTACACATTTAGGACAGCAACTTAAAAGCAGAGCAAACTAAAATTAAAAAAAAAATCTGTAGCTCAGTTTCATGAACCATTAGCATTCGGATCATTTTTGCTTTTCGCTTTCAGGTCTGGGTGAATGAAAGGGAACCAATCTGCCCACATAATGTGAAATGTTTATGGACAACATGAACCAGAATCTTATTGGAGCCCTGTAAAGATAATTTATTAGAAATATTTATTTTGAAGAGCATCTACATTTTACTTAAAATGTTTTGCTTGCTCTATATCCTTCAGCTTAGTATTTTTACCCTTACTTTTTGATAACTATCTTTAGGATATGAAAAGTTCTTGTTGAGGGAGACATGAATAATCTAAAATGATTTGACTTGCCATTTAGGAATGGGTTTTAACACAGTATTTCTTTTATTCTTCCTTCTTGCCTAAGCATTGAAAATCATTATAATTTACCTGATTGTGAAGTATTTCTTAAATTACATGAGTTTTTGGCAAGATTTCTTATAGTTTTGTTTTTTTATTTTGCTTTTCCCAGTTGAATGAGTTTTGTTGTTGCACTATTCCCTTTTAAGTGTCTTTGTGTCATAACCAGTAATTGACACAGAAATAATGCAGCAGAATGGACAGTGTATCTGATTCTCTTGTCACTTCTTTTCAAATAATATCATGAACTATTCTCATTTCTAGATTTTTTTTAACTTCAAGAAGAACACAATGGTTGTATTCTTAGTGAATCGATAGGTACCTTGAGGATTCATAGAAAACACAGACAAATGAAAAGGTAAATCATGATCTTAGGTAGAAATATTTAGCCTAGGGAAGATTTCAGTTCTCCTAAGTTAACATAAATTTATAGTGATTCACATAAAAATATCAATAATATTTTCCTTTGATATCTTGTAAAACCAATTCTGAAGTTGATATTTTCAAATAAATATACTATCATATATTAAAATATTAAAAGGTCTTAATAATGAAAACAACATAAATAAATGAATGAAATGTACAAAGGTAGAAATAGAAGCCAATACATATGAGAACTCAATATATGGCTAGGTATTATCTTGATTTTTAGAAGGAAGATCAATAGTTTAATATAAATGTTGGTACATGATGGCTATCTAAAAAATTCAATAGCATCAATGAACAAGGAAATATTAGGTACACATTAAGAGGAGTAAGTCTATTGAGATTATTTTTTTCCACATTAGATGCTCTCTTAAGAGTAAAACTCATCTCTTAGCATTTAATACAATTGTAATTTTTACTTTAAGTAAGTTTAAATTAATTAAAAAATTAATTATTCTCTTTCTTCCCCTAGAACATATGCTACATCAGGGCAGGAACTATGGATGATTTTGCTAATTGCTTTCACAACCTAATACAGTGCCTTATTCATTGTGGCTCACTCAGTGTTTGTTGAATAAATGAAAATTCATCAAAAAGTTCCAATTTTTCAGGAGATACTTTGAAGAAAGGAAAAAAAAGTATGAAAATTTAAGTAACTTATTGGGCCTATGTGATATTAACTTGGGGAGAATTTTAAAGCTCAAATATTTTGATTCATTAGAGCACAACATGAATTAATTACTTCTGATATTTTGGACTCCCTACTCAACTACTCTCTTCCACAAGCTTGTGATTTATGAGCTCATAAATGAAAAAAAAATTATTTGCTAGGTATAATTAGTTCTTTTTTGAATGTCAGACATTTTACTGATATCATGACTTTTTTCAAGGTGGATATTTTACAGTGGTTTTGCAAAGTCACTCTACAAAATCAGACATTGATCTACAAGACTGACAGGAGTATGTCAGAATATTTAATGAAAAATATTTTGTAGGTAACTTAGCTTTTCATAGGAAAATAATTTTTAATTATTCATATCTGAGGTGGGGATATTTGAACAACATGAAAATCACAGTTTGCAAGAGTAGTTACCAACTTGGGTGAAGGGCATTGATTTTGTATAAAGTAGTGCCCATGATTACCTTAACATTTTCATGTCACTTTTAGATACGACCAACAGAAAAATACGTGAATGAATGTAAATATAAAGGACATTTGCTATGGACTGAATGTTTGTGTTCACACCAAACTCCTATGTTGAGGTCCTAATCCCCAAAATGAGGATATTTAGAGGTAGAACCATTCGGAGGTGATTAGATTTAGATGAGCCCCCACCTCCCGCCCCATAATGGGACTAGTGCCTTTATAGGAAAAAGAAGAGAACAGAGCCCTCTCACTCTCTGCATGTGAGAATACATACAGCAAGGAGGCAGCCTTCTGCAAACCAGGAAGAGTGACCCTCACAGACACTGAACCTTCCTGCACCTTGATCTTGGATTTCTGCCATCGAGAACTGTGAGAAATGTTTGTTGTTTAGCCACCCAGGGTTTTTTTGTAGCCAGAACTGACAAACACAACACTTACTTTGGTATGTAATGGCATATCAGATAGGAATATCTTCATAAGTGTATGAATAATTAGCAGCTCGATGATGTCAAAAGGAAAGCAGCTACTAGCTATTTATTAGTTTGAGCTAAACAGGAACTATACCTCTCTGTTGCTGGATTACCTTCCCAGCTCTGATGAGAAAAAATATTCTGTAAGGAAGGAAGAGGAAAAATGGACCCTGGGGAGGCACTGATTAGTAGCTACTAAAGCACAGTTCATATTCTGCAAACTCCAGCCATAAAGTTTTATTAAGAACAAACACAGATAGTAGTAAAATGGAGGCTCTGGTAACTTTATTTAAATAGTAAAGCAGTTATTTGATGACAGACTGCATAAGGAATTTATACAGTCAGAAGAGGTTTTCACATACAATTCTGGCACCCTTATTGGGAGTAGAATGCATAGGAATAGTTGTCTCCAGGGGGCTGTTTTAATCTTTATTCCATTCTATTGTCATTCAGATTCCAGGTATAGCTAGTGATAAATGGGAAGGCTAAATCCAAAAAGTAGTCTGGCAAAAGAAGAATGGCAATTTTTGTAATCAATTATTTTGTGTTCCAGATATCTTAGTAATGCTTTCTAAATTTATCATCACTTGTCTGACATGATATGAACTGTGAAAGCACATTTCATGCCTCCAAAATATTTTACACATTTTTTTGTTTTAACTTACATTTTCTAGCAAATTAATTAAATAGCTGAGTAAATCTGGCTTGAATCGTTGCTTCATTTCATACCACTTGCATTTCATCAGCCATTCACTCCTTTTCATAAGTTTTTCTATAGTCTGGCAAGTGAATTTTTTTCAAAATAGGGAGAATGATAATGGATTTAATGAAAAATATAGGATTTTAAGGAAGAAATATTAAGTCAGAAATAACTGCTTATGTGAAAATTTGATGTTTTGTTATCAGGATTTCAAAAACATATTTTGTCATTTACATCATTGCCTAGAAAACATTATAGAATTTCTTGTCCAACTAGTAAGAGCTTCTGTCATTATCTTTTAACTTCGCTTTTTGTTCCAAGTACCCTACAAACATTTTAGATGTAAGTGTAGCACTAGTTATTTCCATGTAGGTGTAACTATTCCCTTTTCACAGATGAGTGCACTGAAACAAACATAGTTAATATATTGGCCCAAAGCTGCACAGCTACAGAGTCACAGACCAGGGTATCAAACTCAGGTCAATCTGACTATCAGATCCAAAATCCATGCAATGCCTCTCTGTACTGCAGGTTCTTACCAAAGTGTGTTTCAACAACCAGTAATGTCAGCATCACATGGACACTTCAAAGCACTTCAGAATCTCAGTCCCCCACCTTAACCTACTGAATTAGAATTTGCATTCTAGTAACATTTCATTAACATTTGGCAAGTACTGCATTAAGTCATTTATGTCGTTAAAGAAGAACCTTAGCCCAAAGCATAAAGACATATATTCATTTCTTAATAAATATTCTTGAAAATGTATTTCTACATATAGATAGATGATTCCATTAATTTTCCATTAAGTTTTGGATATATTTATTGCTAATGTTTGTTTATCATAGAGAAGTCGCACAATGTTATAAAATGAATTTTAAAATTCATTAAGGGGTCTAGTCTCAGCAATGGCAGAGTGCCTCTTAGTAGACAAATCAATGTCAGATAAAATTTATGAACTTGGGATAAGTTACAAAAGACAACTACATAAAGAACCATTGGAACAAACAACTGTAGGCAAACACTGGGTGATAGGTTTCAACTTAAAAAATAACATGTGCTGATTGCGATCTGTGTTTCTGTGGCTTTTGTTCTGGGGTCACTCCCCAGTCTGCAGCACGAGTTGTTTGGAAAGAGGCAAAGAGCTTCAATATCATTGGCTTGGAGTTTCAGAGGAAGGGTTTGTGGCAGATCCACACTGCAAAAAATAATGAAGGAAATCCTTCAGTATGAAGAAAAATGACACCGAGTAGAAACAATGCTCTAGAAAAAGGAATAAAGAGCACTAGAAATGATAATATGTGGATAAATATAGAACACTACTATTTTTTCCTCGTATATCTTTAAAAGATAAACTAAGCAAAAACTAAAATTGTGTATTGTGGGGTTTAAAAGTTATATATATATACACATATATACATCTATCTATACACATACACATATATACATATATATATCTGATATATGGAATTATACTGCCCAAGCTTCTTAAAATTTCCCTGAAGATATATAATAACTCTAAGTAGACTATGGTAATGATAAATATTGCAAACAGTAGCAATGCTTCTAGATGAAAAGTGATAAGGAGGTAGAGTTAAAAGGAGTTAAAACATACTACCTAAAGTTAATTATATAAAAATGAATCAGTATAGGAGTAACAAGAGAAGAGAAGAACAGATAGAACAAATATAAAAATATTGCAAGTAAAATATACTTAAATCCAAGCATATCAATGAGAATGTCATATGTAAATGGACTAAATATTTAAAGGCTGAGAGTCAGTATAGATAAATGTAAAAAGCAAGCCCCAACTATGAGTTGTCTAAATGAATCCTATTTTAAAATAAACAACATATATTGAAAATAAAAGCATTGAAAGGATTCACTATGCAAATATTAGAACACAAGAAAGCTAGTATAACTATACTAATACAAGACAAAATAGACTTCAAGACAAGAAATGTTTCCAGACATCAAAAGTATAATTTCATCCTGATCAAAAATTTTGTATTGATCAAAATGTCAATACATAAATAAGACACAAAAATTATAAATACATATTACCTAATAAAAGAACTTTAAAATACATGAAGTAGAGACTGACAGAATTAAATGGATAAATAGATCTACAACAGTTGATGATTTTAACAGCTTTCTTTCAAAAATTGGCAGAAAAATTAGATTAAAAAATCAGTCAAGAATCAAAAAGATTAAACAACACTGCTGAACAACATAACCTAATTGACATTTGTGGAACAATACTTCAAACAAGTACGGAATAATCATTTTTTCAAGTGCATATAGTATATTCTCTAAGATATACCATATAGTGGGTCATAATATAAATCTAAATAAATCTCAAAATTGAAATCTAATAGACTATGTTCTGTGACCTCCAGCCTGGCGATAGAGCGAGACTCCTTCAAAAAAGAAAAGAAAAGAAAAGAAATTAGAACTTTTGGTGTATTTGGGGGACAAAGATAAATTGTAAGGGGTCAACAGTGGATTTTCTGGAGTTATATGAATGTCCTACATTCTAATTAGTGGCTACATAGGTATAAATATTTAAAACTGTTCATTGTGGCCGGGCGCGGTGGCTCACGCCTGTAATCCCAGCACTTTGGGAGGCCAAGGCGGGCAGATCACGAGGTCAGGAGATCGAGACCATCCTGGCTAACACGGTGAAACCCCGTCTCTACTAAAAATGCAAAAAAATTAGCCGGGCGTGGTGGCGGGCACCTGTAGTCCCAGCTACTCGGGAGGCTGAGGCAGGAGAAGAGAATGGCGTGAACCCTGGAGGCGGAGCTTGCAGTGAGCCGAGATCGTGCTACTGTACTCCAGCCTGGGTGACAGAGCGAGACTCCGTCTCAAAAAAAAAAAAAAAAAAAAAAAAAAAAAAAGGTTAATTGTACACTAATACCCATATCCATGCATTTTAGTGTATACTAAAAACTATCCTTTCACTATTGTTGTAGACAAAGCCTTGACTGTCCCAGATAGATAATCTTTGATATTATTCCTCAGTAATGTGGAATATGAGAACTGGAAGATAAGCTTTCTATCTAAATATCCAGGTACCCCCAGTCCTACTAGGCCCAGATCTGCAATGGTGAGGTCTTTTCTGTTACATAAGCCAAATCAATATCCTGATGCTATCATTGTTCATATCTCCTTGTTATCTGGTTTCCTCTCTCCCCCTTATTGTTATGTGTGAAGGCAAGTCTATTCTTTTATCTAAGACCAACTTCTCTAGCTGTGGCATTTCTTCCACTCTCCCATTCTGTGTTATCAGCTGAAATGTGTTCTATCTGTCTTGTTTCTTGCTTTGCTACTTTTTTACTTCTTTGGGGGAGTATAATAAATGTTTTCTATTATTCCACTTTTTCTTCTAATAGCTTTTTAGCTGTTGTTCTTTTTAATGTTTCTAATGTTTACTGGAGTAGTCACAAAATGCAACTTCAAATTATTTCAGTCTACTTGGAATTAATATTATATCATTCCCTACTTAATACCTGACACTCCCAATTTCCCACTTCACAAACGTAAGAGCCTTACAACAGTATAACTTCATATGTGAACACCCATCCATTGTGCTATCTTTGTCTTACTTTTTGCTTCTGCATATGTCACAGCCCCTGTCTTACAGTGTTATTCTTAAAAAAACAAAAACAAAAAAACTAGCCATTTCCGTTGTAAGGAACTCAAGGACAAAAAAAGGATAATCTATACATACCCACTATATACCATTTCTGGGGCTCTCCATTTCCTCCAAGACTTAAGTTTCCATATGCTATCATTTCCCTCATGTAACATTGTTAGCAATTCTTGATGTGAAAGTCTATGGCAATGAATTATCTCAATGTTCATTTACCTCAAAATATTTTGTCTTCGGATGCATTTTTCAGGTTTATTCTAGAAAGCTACAACTTGTTGAATGATTGTATTTTTCAGCATTTTAAAGATGTATTTTTATTTTCCTCTTGCCCCAGTAATCAACCATTGCTCATATGATTGTTTTCCTGAAAGCAATGTGTGTTTGCTCTGTTGGTATTTTTTTTTCCTCTTGCTACTTTCAAGATTTTTGCAAAATCCTTTTTTTAAAAAGTTTGGCCATGATGTACTTAGCTGTCAGTGTGTGCATGTGCAAGCATTTGTCTTGCTTGAACTTTGCTGAGCTTGAAATAAAGTTTCTTGTCAATGGTTTTCAAATTTAGAAAATTTTCAATTATTAGTTCTTCAATATTTTTTCTAACCCATTCTCGCAGTCAGCATTTTCTAGTTTATTCCAATTACAAATCCTTTGGACTACTTGACATTATCTCATAGGGAGACTGCTTATATTTTCCCCAACATTTTTAAATGAAAATCATCAATAAAAAATTTGGAAGATATTTATAGTGAACCATTAAATATCCATCATATCAATTGTACTGTTAACATTTTACTGTATTTGTATTATCATATATCTCTCCAACCCTCTATCCACCCTTCAGTTCACTTTATATTTTAGTAATTTTTTCCATTGAATCTAAACTAAAAAGAGTAACAATGAAGAGATTTAAACTTCTACTGCAAACAACAAAAACTGGGAAAAGGTATAAAAAAATGATTCTGAGGCATTAGAGTTCAGGCAACAAAGGGAAGTAATCACAAAGATGGAGAGGGGAATAAGTGAAGTAAACCTTGCTGTTTTTCCAGCTTACTGCCTGCAGAAAATTACCAGGACCTGGTACAGAAGATAGCAATTTTCATAATTCATAGGGTATCAAGTAATATACTCAGAAATGCATTGCCTCAAGAATGGGGCAAAATTAGCCTCAAACTATTACTAGCTTTAAACTTACATATTCTGTATAAGAAAGCTTTCTCTATGTCTAAGTCATAAAGATATTTCCTCTTTTTAATACAAATTTACAAGTATAAATTTTCCATTTAAATTTATAATTCAAGTCTAATTAATGTGTGTATGTTTGCATGTGTGTGATTGTGTTTATGTGTTCATGAAAGTAGTCAAAATTCATTTCTTTCTATACAGATTTTCTGTTTTTCCAATATTATTGTTCAAAAATATTCTTCGTCTCATCATGTTGCATTGGCGCTTTTGTTGAAATTAAATTAAGTGACCTGAAAGTGTGTATTTGTTTATTTGCACTCTATTCTGTTTCACTAATCTATTTTTTAATATTCATGTCACTACCACTGTCTATTTTTATTATAGATCTACAATAAGTAATCAATCAGGCATTATAAAGCCTCAGACATTTTTATTCTTTTTCTTCAAGATTGGTTTGAATATTACAATTCCATAGAATTCACATATAATTTTAGAAGTAGCTTATAATTTTAGAAGAGCTTGGGGAGACTGAGGCTAGGGTTGTGTAAAATTAATATATTAGTTTGGAGAGAATTGACAACTTAATAATATTGAGACTTCCAAACCATGAACATAGTATATCGTTCTATTTATTTATTTATTTTTAACTTTCAGCAATGGGTAGCAGTTTGTGTGAAGTCTTGCACATATTTGTTGAATATATTTACAAATGCTTTATTCTTTTGGGATATTTTTGTGAAAGAAATTGCTTCATCATGTTTATTTTTCACTTATTTCCTGTTTGTATATAAAAAATAATTTTTCTAGCCAGACATGGTGGCTCACGCCTGTAATCCCAGCACTTTGAGAGGCCAAGGCAAGGATCACTTGAGCCCAGAAGTTTGAGACCAGCCTGGGCAACACAGTGAGATCCTGTCTCTACAAAAAATTAAAAACTAGCCAAGTGTGTTGGCAAACACCTGTAGTCCCAGCTACTCAGGTGGCTAAAGTAGGCAAATCCCTGAGACTGCAGTGATCTGAGATCATGCCACTGCATTCCAGCCTGGGCAACTAAATAAATGAGATATCATCTTTAAAAAAAAGAATAAAAGCTTTTCCATATTATTCTTCTATCCCATGACCTTGCTAAATTAGTGTATCACTCTAGGACTTGTTTTGTTGATATCATAGGAATTTCTACATGACAAATTTTGTCACCTACTGTCAGTTTTTATTTTGTACAGTTAATCTTTATGCCTTTTTTCATGGAACATGGTTCATAATAATCTATTTTAATTGGGAAAGATACATTCAAATATCAGTATTATCTTTGAGCTTCTATGAGTACCTGAATGAGAGAGAGAGCATTTTCAATTGGCTCTAGGATACCGTGTGTCTGTCTTCCCAATTAAGGTTAACTCTAGTATGGTAAAGTAAATCAACACTTGACTAGAAACTGGCTGTGTTTCCTTTTCTTTTCTTTTCTTTTCTTTTCTTTTTTTTTTTTTTTTTTGCTTCAGTAGCTAAGGCCTCAAGTATAATTGTTACTGGCCTGGTAAAAGTAAGCATTCTTGCCTGGTCCCAAATCTTAGGAGAAAGCATTCAATATATCACCATTAAGTAAGATGCTAAGAGTAGGGTTTTTTTTTTAGAGATACTATTTATCAGACTAAAAAAGTTCTTTTTTATTCTTTGTTTCTGCAACGGTTGTTTTTACCATGAATAGTATTAAAATTTGGTCAAATGTTTTTCTGCATTCATTGAGATAATGTAATTTATCTTCTATATGTTATTAATCTGATGAATTGTATTGACAGCTTTTTTAGTCTTAAGCAAACCTTGCATTTTAAAGATAAATTATACCTGGTTATGACGCATTTGCCTTCTTATACATTGATTAATTTCGATTGCCAATATTGTAAGCATTTTCACAACTATGTTTTCAAAGCATATTGGCAAATGGTTTTCCTGCATCTTTTCTTGGTTTGTTATTAGGATAATGTTGGCCTAAAAAGTGAATTAGGAATTTTTTCTTTCTCTTCTATCTCTGGAAGAGTTGGTTTGAATTGAGATTATGTAATCCTAAATTTTTTTCAAGAAAGACTGGAATTTTCCTTGTAGTAATGTGCTTAATTACAAATTCAATTTTTTAAATACATATAATATTGTTCAAGTTAACTATTTCTTCTCAATAAGCTTGGCAATTTGTGTCTTTCAAGAAATTTAGCCATTTTTTCTGCTACAAATGCCTTAGAGTTTTTATTGAATTTCCACATATATTTTTAATATACATAGCTTCTTTTTCAATAAAGAAGCTCACTTTTGAACCTAGTATTGGTAACTTATAACTTTCTTTTTTTCTTGATTACTCTAAGAGTTTTTATAAATAAGTTTTGTTGATATTTTAAACCTTGTTTCTTATGGACAGAGTAGTTGGGTCATGCTTTTTAAATCCATTCTGACCATCTCTGTCTTTTAATTGGATAATCTAATCCATTAACATTTATTGTAGTTATAAATTTTAATGCAGTTACTAATATAGTATTTTTTTTTGTTTTGGAGATGGAGTTTCACTTTTGTTGCCCAGGCTGGAGTGCAATGGCACAATCTCAGCTCACTGCAACCTGCGCCTCCTGAGTTCAAGCAATTCTCCTGCTTCAGCCTCCCGAGTAGCTGGAATTACAGGCACCCGCCACCACGTCTGGCTAATTTTTTGTACTTTTAGTAGAGATGGGGTTTCACCATGTTGGCCAGGCTGGTCTCGAGCTCCTGACCTCAGGTTATCCACCCACCTCAGCCTCCCAAAATTCTGGGATTACAGGCATGAGCCACCATGCCCAGTCACTAATATAGTATTGATGTTTGTAATACTAATGTAGTTATTGGTATGACTGGAATAACAACCAGCATTTGATTATTGGTTTTCTATTTGTCTCATTTTTTTTTCTTTTTCCTATTCTGCCTTCTTTAGGATTAATTGAAAATTTTTAGAATAACATTTTAATTTACTTATTGGCTTTTTGGTCATGCATTTTTTCAAATGTTTAGCACTCTCTCTAGTGATCTCACAGTACATCCTTAACTTTTTCACAACCCACGTATGGTTAATATTATACAATTTCATGTAAAATATATACTCTTAACAAGAGTATTAGTATGTTTACTGCCCTCCAACTTGAACACTTGTATTTGCAGTATATGTTATATTTATGTATATTTTAAATCTTGTAGTGTAGAACTATTTGCTTTAATTAGTGTATTAATTTATTGGGGCTTCCATAACAAGCATCAGAACCTGGGGGTCTTACAACAATAGACATTTTTCTCAGTTCTGGAGGCTACAAGTCTGAATCAAGGTGTTATCAGGGCTATGCTCTTTCTAAGACTTTAGAAAAGAATCCTTCTTTTTCTCTTCCTAGCTTCTAGTGGTTGCTAGTAATCCTTGTTTTACAGACACATCATTTCAATCTACCTGTCTTCACATGGTGTATTTCCTCTGAGTGCCTGTCTCCTCTATGTGTCTGTACATCTGTGTGTCCTCTGCTCTTCTTCTTTTTTTTTTTTTAAGATGGAGTCTTTCTCTGTCTCCCAGGTTGGAGTACAGTGGCATGATCTCAGCTCACTACAACCTCCACCTCCCGGGTTCAAGCAATTCTCCTGCCTCGGCCTCCAGAGTAGCTGGGACTACAGGTGCACACTGCCATGCCTGGCTAATTTTTTTTCACCGTGTTGCCCAGGCTGGTCGCGAACTCCTGAGCTCAGGCAATCCGCCTGCCTCGGCCTCCCAAAGTGCTGGGCTTACAGGCATGAGCCACCGCACCCAGTTCCTTCTCCTCTTCTTATAAGGACATCAGTCGTGATGGATTAGGGGTCACCACAGTTCAGTATGAAGTCATCTTAAAGTGAGGACATATACGAAGACCCTATTTCCAAATAAGGTCACATTCTGAGATTCTGAGTGAACATCAATTTTGAAGGGATGCTACTCAACATAGTACAAACACTTAGATATACTTTAAATAAGATGAAAACATATTTGTGTTTTCTCATACTCTTCTTTCTTTCCTAAAGTTCAAAGTATCCATTAACTCGTTTAACTCATAGTTTCTTTTAACTCAGCTTTAACAACTTTCTTTAGCATTTTCAGTGTAGATCTGCTAGGCATCACATCACATTGTCCTAGTTTTCTTTTACTTGAAAATGTCTTTAACATTTTTCTTGAAGGATATTTTCAATGAACATAGAATTTTGGATAACTTTTTCTTTTTCTTTCGATATTTTAAAGGTTCTTTTTCACTCTTTTTAAATCTCCATTATTTCTGATAAAGAGATATTCATAACTTCAATTGTTCTTCCTTATGCAATTTGTCAATTTTTTCTAAGTGCATCAGGTTTTTAATTTATCTTTGGTTTTCAGCAAATTGTAATATGTTTAGGTACAGTTTTTTTTTTTAAAAAAAAAACAGTCTGGGTTAATATTTACTGAACTTCTTGATTCTGTAAAATTTGATTTTTCTTCCAATTTTTAAATTTTTGGTACCAATTTCTTCAAATATTATTTTCTGTCCCTTTTTTTCAACTTCTAGAAGACATATGTATTTTACCACTTTTGATATAGTCCCAGGGAAGACTAGACCTCTATCATGTTTTTTTATTAATTTTTAATTCTGTTCTTCAGATTTAAAAATTCTTAATCATCTATTTTCCAGCTCAGTGGCTTTTTCCTCCCTTATGTCTATTTTGCTCTCAGCCCCTCCTTGAGTTTACTTCTAATTTAGATAATAAATGTTTTGGTTCTATAATTTCTATTTTGTTCTTTTCCACTGTTTCTTTTGTCATTCCCTCATCCTTTGCTATTTAAAAGCACATTTTCTTTTTGTTCCTGTACATAAACTACTTTAAAATCCATGCACGCAAATTCCAACATCTGTATCATCTCCATTTCTACTGACTATCCTATAATTCTTGAAGCCAACAACATGGTAGATTTTTCTATTAGAGTTTTATTGTCCCTGCATGACAGAGATTACAACTCTCCCTCTTACTAAATGCTGTTAAATTGTGAAACATGCCCAGAACCATCCCCGTCTACCAAATGCCAATATACTAGTGCTGGCTGTTTGAGTCTTGGCTATTTTGATCCACTTTCTGGTGCCTTCAGTTAGGTGGCTTTTGCTGTTGCTATTGTTTCATATTTGTATTTTTCCAGAGCTATGTTTTTTATCTGGGGGAAGTTTGATTCAATATGAGCTACTTGGCTATAATCGAGGGTTGGTTTTTAAAAAGTTTTTTTCATCTGTATTGTATAATCCTATTGATCTATCTTTAAGTTTACTAACCCTTTCTCTGACATTTCCAATATAATTTTTAATTCTACCTGGAGAAATTTTATATCATTTATTATAATTTTTCATTCAAAAATTTACATGTGATTGTTTTGATAGATTATATTTCTTTCCCAAGTTTTTGTTTCTTGTCATTTATTAAGATTTATTTCACATTAAAATTTTAATTATAGTTTTAATAGTTGCTTTAGATTTTTGGCCTTTTAAATCCAACATCCAGGTCATCTCTGGGACTGTTTCTATTGACTATTACTTTGTATATCTAGATTACTACCTAATTAGACATTTTTGTTGGTATGCTATAGACACTTAATTCTGTTTTCTTCTTCTGAAAAGTGTTCATTTTTATTCTAGCAGTTAGTCAATTGATGGCTGATCTCTTTGAGTTTTTGTAGTCTTGACTTCATGCTTTGTGGAAGGCCAAAGTGTGTACCAACCTTTCTAAATTTGACAAGGATCACACTCTAAATTCTGTCTTTTCTATGGAGAAGTTTGGTAATTGTCCCAAGACAAAGAGCCAGGGGAGACATGGGACTCATCTCATGAGTTCTCTTTTTACAAATAGTTCAATGTTTTGCCAAATGTAGAATGACTATGATTTATTGTTATATATTTTGTACATGCTTTTAATCGTGTATGCCACAATGACAGTCTGGTGCTAATTATGCCACATGAACAAATGAGGAAGTCCCTATTGGTTATCTTGAAACTCTCCTTCTTTGCTAGTTCCTTCAACCAGTATTTAAATATTGTCATGTCTCTCACCAAAGAAAGCAAAGAAACACAGCCCTTAAAACCTCTTATTTCTCTCATCTCCCACCCAATTTCTCCACTTTGCTGCATAGCTAACCTTATTAAAGTTTGTTCAAGATGGCCATCTCAACTCTTACAATTCCCATTCATTCATTATTATACTGTAATATGACTTACAGCTCCACTAGAAGACTGCAAGAGGACAATTTATCAATTGGTTTCTTGTCACTAAATGACAGGGAAATTATTCTACCAAGTCTTCAAAAAGAGCAATTTTACTCTCATATTTCAGTTTTCTACAAGGTGTCTCATATTTTGTGGGATTATCTGGTTTATTTAAACAAAATGTTTCCTTTGAAGAAGACACAGTAGCCTAAAATAACTTCAATCAGTACTAGTTTTGGAGGCTTAGGAGGCTTACAGAAGTCATGTGATAAAATCAGTTAAAAAATGAATTAAAGTTTTCTGAAGATATGTTCTTAATTTTAATTTTTGGGTATTTAAAAATAAGTCTTTTAAAGATTACTATAAAATAATATTATAAGACAAAATATAAAGATCACAAATAAATATCTGCAGGAAAAAGTATATTTTTATTTAAGATATCATCTTAAGGTTTTTGAATGAATACCTGAGCATCAGAAACATGTTTTAGAAGTGCTGTATCTATAAGAATTCGGAAGGTACTAAGGATGATATATTAGGGAACTCTTGTTAAATGAAGCAAAATGTGGTTCTAATGATTATGAAAACACTGATATCAAAAATGAATGCAAAGAATTTGAATAAAATTGTTTCATGAAATATCAGAGCTGGGCTTCTGTCACTTAAAGTGGAGTTCTGATATTGAGGTTAGAGAATTAGGCAGATGCCAGGGCACTCATGTGTTTACAGGCTGGTGAGCTTTTGGCTTTATAAGACTCAATTTGAATTTTACTTTTTTCAAATCAGTTCCAACTACTGTGGCCTTACCTTTACCCACAAACCAAGTGTTTACATATAGTCTTACTTATTCTGATTCACTGCTGATTTCATTGAGTATAGCTATTTGCTTATGTGTCATGTAGTCTTTGGAACTCTTATTGCCAGATATGTCACATCATTCTTTGTTTCCACAACATCCTGCACAAAATTTAGTCCATAATAAAAACAGTGGTTGGGGTAATGCTAAACACATACTACAATTCTTTTTTTCCCCTTTGTCATCATTAAAAATGGAAATCAATTAGAATAGCAGTTAAAGCAATTGCAAGTACAGCTTAGTGACCCTAGCTAACAGACAGGTTGGAGAGAGAGATAAGAAAATAAAAAGTAATCTATACAGTTAAAATAACTTGCAATCATGTGCATCTGCTCAAACATGCCATTGATTTTTACTTACTAACATTGTCAAAGTGTTTTATTTAGGATTAATACTTTTTATGTCCATAATTACTACAATATCTTAATCTAAAAATCTTTTCTTTCTTTTTTTTTTTTGGAGATAGAGTCTCTGTCGCCCAGGCTGGAGTGCAGTGGTACGATCTCCGCTCACTGCAACCTCCGCCTCCTGGGTTCAAGCAATTCTCTTGACTCAGCCTCCCGAGTAGCTGGGACTACAGGCACCTGCCACCATGCCCAGCTAATTTTTGGTATTTTTAGTAGAGACAGGGTTTCACCGTATTAGCCAGGATGGTCTTGATCTCCAGACTTGTGATCCGCCCACCTCAGCCTCCCAGAGTGCTGGGATTACAGGCATGAGCCACCGCGCCCGGCCTAAAAATATTTTCTAACAATTATTCTTAGTGTTGGTCTGGGTGTGAAGTGATGTTAGGAATTTCTGATCACCCAGCTCTGAAAAAAAAACCCATAATAACACTCTTAGGGGTCAGTCTCCCAAAGAGGGAAGTATCATATTCCTAAAATCAGGTGATCTCCTCATCTGGGAAGAAAAGATACAAGTCCAAGGCTGGCAGAGCAGGCTCTTAATTGTCAGAGCAGTGGTCTAAATTGAGAGAAGCATACTGATGGAACTAGGAAGCTATAACCCATATTTCCTATAACAGCAGAAGGAAATGGTTGCACCAGGTTGTACCAGAGAGAGTACCGTGCTTTGCAAGACCGCCTAGCTGCATTGGTATTCTCTACCTCTGACAGAGGAGGTTTGGAAATAAGGGCGCCACTTCATACATTTAAACTGATGAGGTTCTTTTGTGGCACATTCTGGAATGGTTAGAGGATGGCTTTGGAATTCCTTCCATAGCAGAGTAGTGGAACATTCTAATAGACCCTAGGATTCTGAAGATATTTTCCCAGTGTCCTCAGAACTTCTTCAATATAGAGTGAGACTCATCATAATTAACATCTCAAAATCTCTATGTAACTGATGTAATGTAGCCACTGGAGAGAGGATTTTTACAAAGTGTTTTGAGTTCCTTCAACATTGTATAAAATATCAATGGTCACTTCAACTGAAACTTGCAATGTGGAATATTTACACGTTGCGTGACATTCATTGTGTTGCTAGCCGCATAGCTATGATAGTTAGGTATATGTCAAAAGTGAAGAACACATCCTAGTATAAAGGGCACCAAACCAGTTATTATCTGCCTTTAGCACCTGCTTTCTCTTGAGATGTTTGTGTCACCAAATATTTCTTAAATATCAGGGAACTGCTTATTTTGCAACTAATCAATAAAAGGGCAGTTTATGAAATACTGAATGTGAATGTATAACACTGGTCATGAGAAATGATCCTGTTAAATGTTTATCAGGGATCTTTGTATTGAATTAATTTAACTTTTTCGTGCTGTGAAATGCTGTCATAAAACAAACGTTTAGATAAATGAGATTATACCAGAGGATGCACAGCATAAATATGTTGTCCTAAGATTCTGACCTTCTTTGTTTGCACATATTGAGGAAGAAGTAGAATTGTCTAGGCTTAGTTTTATGCATTTTGGGTTTTTTCCAAGAAATATATTATCCAAAATACTTTCTTATATAATTTATTTCACTTTATTGTCAGGCATAGAAATCACTGAATTAATAGTCTGTCTCATTTAGACATCAAATAAAACCTGGGAATCTAAATGGAGGGTAGATGTTAATGACATTTAATCTAGTATAAACATGTTTAAATCCATTGCTTTCCTCTTAACATCTAGCTCATGTCAGCAATACTGAGGATTCAGAAGTTTTAGATGGGATGAGGAGAAGAAAAAATTTTAACATGGGTCCTGCAAGGGAATGGAAGACTACCTGAGTCACTTTTGTCAGTTCTGAGTAGTCAGAAGGCAGCATGAAGACATTGCCTACATAAGGGCTGGGACTAGATATAGAGTAAACTAAGAAATAAAGTCCCAAAATAGACTGATCTTAATGAAAAGACTTGGAGAAGGCAATAACAGGATAATCGTCTATCCTGTAATAGGGAGAACAAGACAACAGCATCCAGGCTATTGGACATGTCTGCATGGAAGTCTTGGATTGCCAAACTCCATTGCAAACAGTTGAGACATTTGGGGTAAATATAAATGAAAACATTATAAATAATAATATTTTCACTGTCAAGTCATTCATAGCATTAGAAAATAAAAACCTTACCAGATGAATAACATAATGAACTTAGAAATAATAAATCTTTATTCTATAAAAGATTTTAAAAATTGGCATTTGAGTAGCATCCAGATCTTGTTCTCTAAAACTCATTTTTCAATTAAAGGAATCAGAGTTTAACATGCTTAAAAGATTTGAATGTGCCAGATGGTTTGGAAGTGCTCAAAAAATCATGGATATATAAAGGACTCAGGGGTCTACTTGAAGGAGTTCTCAATGTTCTAGTATGGGACAATTTAAACAACAAATTAAGTAACAATAGTAACAGATTGTAGCCAATAGAATAAGGTAAGTATCCATGCATGATAGATATTAACATGAATAAGAAATTGAATGCATAACAAATAGGAAGGCATGCATTCTTCCATAAAGTACAATTCCAAGTAATTTCTATAGAATGCACAATGGAAATATAAAATAACCACGAAGCAAACTCCAGAGCAATTGGGGCAGAAAAGAGACACTGATGTATTTAACATAGATGACAAATAGGACATTTGCATAATCTCAAAGTATCTTCCCACAGATATGCCTTAATTTCAAAGAAGAAAACCCAACTTTGCATGAGCAGTAATAAGACATGTGGATATCAAGCACCCCCTACTCTAATGCACTTGAAAGCATCTAACATTACCTCTGTTGTATTATTGCCAAATACCTGTAAACTCAATGTATTAAGAAGAAAACCGCAGACAAACCCAAGCTAAGGGACATTCTACTAACTGCCTGCCAGTATTCTTTAGAAGTATCAAGGCCTGAAACACGATAAAAGACTGAGGAACTTTCAGATTAGTCGAGACACAGGAGGCATGACAGCTGAGTGCAATGTGGAATTCTGAATTTGATCCTGGGCCAGAAAAAAAAATTAATGGGAAAACTTTAGTTGGAGGAGCCAAGATGGCCGAATAGGAACAGCTCCGGTCTACAGCTCCCAGCGTGAGCGACGCAGAAGACAGGTGATTTCTGCATTTCCATCTGAGGTACCGGGTTCATCTCACTAGGGAGTGCCAGACAGTGGGCGCAGGCCAGTGTGTGTGCGCACCGTGCGCGAGCCGAAGCAGGGCGAGGCATTGCCTCACCTGGGAAGCGCAAGGGGTCAGGGAGTTCCCTTTCCGAGTCAAAGAAAGGGGTGACGGACGCACCTGGAAAATCGGGTCACTCCCACCCGAATATTGCGCTTTTCAGACCGGCTTAAGAAACGGCGCACCACGAGACTATATCCCACACCTGGCTCAGAGGGTCCTACGCCCACGGAATCTCGCTGATTGCTAGCACAGCAGTCTGAGATCAAACTGCAAGGCGGCAACGAGGCTGGGGGAGGGGCGCCCGCCATTGCCCAGGCTTGCTTAGGTAAACAAAGCAGCGGGGAAGCTCGAACTGGGTGGAGCCCACCACAGCTCAAGGAGGCCTGCCTGCCTCTGTAGGCTCCACCTCTGGGGGCAGGGCACAGACAAACAAAAAGACAGCAGTAACCTCTGCAGACTTAAGTGTCCCTGTCTGACAGCTTTGAAGAGAGCAGTGGTTCTCCCAGCACGCAGCTGGAGATCTGAGAACGGGCAGACTGCCTCCTCAAGTGGGTCCCTGACCCCTGACCCCTAACCCCCGAGCAGCCTAACTGGGAGGCACCCCCCAGCAGGGGCACACTGACACCTCACACTGCAGGGTATTCCAACAGACCTGCAGCTGAGGGTCCTGTCTGTTAGAAGGAAAACTAACAACCAGAAAGGACATCTACACCGAAAACCCATCTGTACATCACCATCATCAAAGACCAAAAGTAGATAAAACCACAAAGATGGGGAAAAAACAGAACAGAAAAACTGGAAACTCTAAAACGCAGAGCGCCTCTCCTCCTCCAAAGGAACGCAGTTCCTCACCAGCAACAGAACAAAGCTGGATGGAGAATGATTTTGACGAGCTGAGAGAAGAAGGCTTCAGACGATCAAATTACTCTGAGCTACAGGAGGACATTCAAACCAAAGGCAAAGAAGTTGAAAACTTTGAAACAAATTTAGAAGAATGTATAACTAGAATAACCAATACAGAGAAGTGCTTAAAGGAGCTGATGGAGCTGAAAACCAAGGCTCGAGAACTACGTGAAGAATGCAGAAGCCTCAGGAGCCGATGCGATCAACTGGAAGAAAGGGTATCAGCAATGGAAGATGAAATGAATGAAATGAAGCGAGAAGGGAAGTTTAGAGAAAAAAGAATAAAAAGAAATGAGCAAAGCCTCCAAGAAATATGGGACTATGTGAAAAGACCAAATCTACGTCTGATTGGTGTACCTGAAAGTGATGTGGAGAATGGAACCAAGTTGGAAAACACTCTGCAGGATATTATCCAGGAGAACTTCCCCAATCTAGCAAGGCAGGCCAACGTTCAGATTCAGGAAATACAGAGAACTCCACAAAGATACTCCTCGAGAAGAGCAACTCCAAGACACATAATTGTCAGATTCACCAAAGTTGAAATGAAGGAAAAAATGTTAAGGGCAGCCAGAGAGAAAGGTCGGGTTACCCTCAAAGGAAAGCCCATCAGACTAACAGCGGATCTCTCGGCAGAAACCCTACAAGCCAGAAGAGAGTGGGGGCCAATATTCAACATTCTTAAAGAAAAGAATTTTCAACCCAGAATTTCATATCCAGCCAAACTAAGCTTCATAAGTGAAGGAGAAATAAAATACTTTATAGACAAGCAAATGCTGAGAGATTTTGTCACCACCAGGCCTGCCCTAAAAGAGCTCCTGAAGGAAGCCCTAAACATGGAAAGGAACAACCGGTACCAGCCGCTGCAAAATCATGCCAAAATGTAAAGACCATCGAGACTAGGAAGAAACTGCATCAACTAATGAGCAAAATCACCAGCTAACATCATAATGACAGGATCAAATTCACACATAACAATATTAACTTTAAATATAAATGGACTAAATTCTGCAATTAAAAGACACAGACTGGCAAGTTGGATAAAGAGTCAAGACCCATCAGTGTGCTGTATTCAGGAAACCCATCTCACGTGCAGAGACACACATAGGCTCAAAATAAAAGGATGGAGGAAGATCTACCAAGCCAATGGAAAACAAAAAAAGGCAGGGGTTGCAATCCTAGTCTCTGATAAAACAGACTTTAAACCAACAAAGATCAAAAGAGACAAAGAAGGCCATTACATAATGGTAAAGGGATCAATTCAACAAGAGGAGCTAACTATCCTAAATATTTATGCACCCAATACAGGAGCACTCAGATTCATAAAGCAAGTCCTGAGTGACCTACAAAGAGACTTAGACTCCCACACATTAATAATGGGAGACTTTAACACCCCACTGTCAACATTAGACAGATCAACGAGACAGAAAGTCAACAAGGATACCCAGGAATTGAACTCAGCTCTGCACCAAGCAGACCTAATAGACATCTACAGAACTCTCCACCCCAAATCAACAGAATATACATTTTTTTCAGCACCACACCACACCTATTCCAAAATTGACCACATACTTGGAAGTAAAGCTCTCCTCAGCAAATGTAAAAGAACAGAAATTATAACAAACTATCTCTCAGACCACAGTGCAATCAAACTAGAACTCAGGATTAAGAATCTCACTCAAAGCCGCTCAACTACATGGAAACTGAACAACCTGCTCCTGAATGACTACTGGGTACATAACGAAATGAAGGCAGAAATAAAGATGTTCTTTGAAACCAATGAGAACAAAGACACCACATACCAGAATCTCTGGGACGCATTCAAAGCAGTGTGTAGAGGGAAATTTATAGCACTAAATGCCTACAAGAGAAAGCAGGAAAGATCCAAAATTGACACCCTAACATCACAATTAAAAGAACTAGAAAAGCAAGAGCAAACCCATTCAAAAGCTAGCAGAAGGCAAGAAATAACTAAAATCAGAGCAGAACTGAAGGAAATAGAGACACAAAAAACCCTTCAAAAAATCAATGAATCCAGGAGCTGGTTTTTTGAAAGGATCAACAAAATTGATAGACCGCTAGCAAGACTAATAAAGAAAAAAAGAGAGAAGAATCAAATAGACACAATAAAAAATGATAAAGGGGATATCACCACCGATCCCACAGAAATACAAACTACCATCAGAGAATACTACAAACACCTCTACGCAAATAAACTAGAAAATCTAGAAGAAATGGATACATTCCTCGACACATACACTCTCCCAAGACTAAACCAGGAAGAAGTTGAATCTCTGAATAGACCAATAACAGGCTCTGAAATTGTGGCAATAATCAATAGTTTACCAACCAAAAAGAGTCCAGGACCAGATGGATTCACAGCCGAATTCTACCAGAGGTACAAGGAGGAACTGGTACCATTCCTTCTGAAACTATTCCAATCAATAGAAAAAGAGGGAATCCTCCCTAACTCATTTTATGAGGCCAGCATCATTCTGATACCAAAGCCGGGCAGAGACACAACCAAAAAAGAGAATTTTAGACCAATATCCTTGATGAACATTGATGCAAAAATCCTCAATAAAATACTGGCAAACCGAATCCAGCAGCACATCAAAAAGCTTATCCACCATGATCAAGTGGGCTTCATCCCTGGGATGCAAGGCTGGTTCAATATATGCAAATCAATAAATGTAATCCAGCATATAAACAGAGCCAAAGACAAAAACCACATGATTATCTCAATAGATGCAGAAAAAGCCTTTGACAAAATTCAACAACCCTTCATGCTAAAAACTCTCAATAAATTAGGTATTGATGGGACGTATTTCAAAATAATAAGAGCTATCTATGACAAACCCACAGCCAATATCATTCTGAATGGGCAAAAACTGGAAGCATTCCCTTTGAAAACTGGCACAAGACAGGGATGCCCTCTCTCACCGCTCCTATTCAACATAGTGTTGGAAGTTCTGGCCAGGGCAATCAGGCAGGAGAAGGAAATAAAGGGTATTCAATTAGGAAAAGAGGAAGTCAAATTGTCCCTGTTTGCAGACGACATGATTGTTTATCTAGAAAACCCCATCGTCTCAGCCCAAAATCTCCTTAAGCTGATAAGCAACTTCAGCAAAGTCTCAGGATACAAAATCAATGTACAAAAATCACAAGCATTCTTATACACCAACAACAGACAAACAGAGAGCCAAATCATGAGTGAACTCCCATTCACAATTGCTTCAAAGAGAATAAAATACCTAGGAATCCAACTTACAAGGGATGTGAAGGACCTCTTCAAGGAGAACTACAAACCACTGCTCAAGGAAATAAAAGAGGACACAAACAAATGGAAGAACATTCCATGCTCATGGGTAGGAAGAATCAATATCGTGAAAATGGCCATACTGCCCAAGGTAATTTACAGATTCAATGCCATCCCCATCAAGCTACCAATGACTTTCTTCACAGAATTGGAAAAAACTACTTTAAAGTTCATATGGAACCAAAAAAGAGCCCGCATCGCCAAGTCAATCCTAAGCCAAAAGAACAAAGCTGGAGGCATCACACTACCTGACTTCAAACTATACTACATGGCTACAGTAACCAAAACAGCATGGTACTGGTACCAAAACAGAGATATAGATCAATGGAACAGAACAGAGCTCTCAGAAATAATGCCACATATCTACAACTATCTGATCTTTGACAAACCTGAGAAAAACAAGCAATGGGGAAAGGATTCCCTATTTAATAAATGGTGCTGGGAAAACTGGCTAGCCATATGTAGAAAGCTGAAACTGGATCCCTTCCTTACACCTTATACAAAAATCAATTCAAGATGGATTAAAGATTTAAACGTTAGACCTAAAACCATAAAAACCCTAGAAGAAAACCTAGGCATTACCATTCAGGACATAGGCGTGGGCAAGGACTTCATGTCCAAAACACCAAAAGCAATGGCAACAAAAGACAAAATTGACAAATGGGATCTAATTAAACTAAAGAGCTTCTGCACAGCAAAAGAAACTACCATCAGAGTGAACAGGCAACCTACAAAATGGGAGAAAATTTTCGCAACCTACTCATCTGACAAAGGGCTAATATCCAGAATCTACAATGAACTCAAACAAATTTACAAGAAAAAAACAAACAACCCCATCAAAAAGTGGGCGAAGGACATGAACAGACACTTCTCAAAAGAAGACATTTATGCAGCCAAAAAACACATGAAGAAATGCTCATCATCACTGGCCATCAGAGAAATGCAAATCAAAACCACTATGAGATATCATCTCACACCAGTTAGAATGGCAATCATTAAAAAGTCAGGAAACAACAGGTGCTGGAGAGGATGTGGAGAAATAGGAACACTTTTACACTGTTGGTGGGACTGTAAACTAGTTCAACCATTGTGGAAGTCAGTGTGGCGATTCCTCAGGGATCTAGAACTAGGAATACCATTTGACCCAGCCATCCCATTACTGGGTATATACCCAAAGGACTATAAATCATGCTGCTATAAAGACACATGCACACGTATGTTTATTGCGGCACTATTCACAATAGCAAAGACTTGGAACCAACCCAAATGTCCAACAATGATAGACTGGATTAAGAAAATGTGGCACATATACACAATGGAATACTATGCAGCCATAAAAAATGATGAGTTCATGTCCTTTGTAGGGACATGGATGAAATTGGAAACCATCATTCTCAGTAAACTATCGCAAGAACAAAAAACCAAACACCGCATATTCTCACTCATAGGTGGGAATTGAACAATGAGATCACTTGGACACAGGAAGGGGAATATCACACTCTGGGGACTGTGGTGGGGTCGGGGGAGGGGGGAGGGATAGCATTGGGAGATATACCTAATGCTAGATGACACGTTAGTGGGTGCAGCGCACCAGCATGGCACATGTATACATATGTAACTAACCTGCACAATGTGCACATGTACCCTAAAACTTAGAGTATAATAAAAAAAAAAAAATTAAAAAAAAAAAAAAAAATTTGAAGGCTTAATTTAATGTGTAGGTAAGGCTTCCAATACTGCATTTCAATAGCACTTCTGGATGTCTTCAAATTACAATATGGTAGGACAGCAATGATGTTAATGATATTTACGTTGAATCCATTCTTCAATTGCAGTGTAATGTCAAAAATTAAAGCCTGGATTCCTCAGTCTATCAAAAAAAAAAAAAACTTTAAAAATTTGAGTAAGATCTAAAGGTGAGTTAATAGTATTATGTCAGTGTTAATTTCCTCATTTCAGTAACTGTACTATGGTTATGTAAATGATGATGTCATTAGGGGAAACTAGTTTAAGGGTTTACAGGAATTGTGTACTACATTTACACATTTTTAATCCTATAAATATTATACAATAAAAAGTAAAAATGAGAAAAATGTGGGCTTTGACTTCTTTTTTTTTTTGACCGAGTCTCCATCTCAGCTCACTGCAACCTCCGCCTCCCGGGTTCAAGTGATTATCCTGCCTCAGCCTCCCTAGAAGCTGGGACTACAGGTGCGCACCACCTCGCCCAGCTAATTTTTGTATTTTTAGTAGAGATCAGGTTTCACCATGTTGGCCAGGGTGGTCTCAATTTCTTGACCTCGTGATCCCCCCACCTCGGCCTCCCAAAGTGCTGGGATTACACGTGTGAGCAGCCACGCCTGGCCTGACCTCTTTATTTTAGCAAAAGCACTATTTATTGTTGGGTTCTAAGAAATTGCTAGTGTATGTACATTGTAGAAATAGCCATCTGGCATTTGGATATATGCTTTGTTGCGTGGCTGAGCCCTACTGAATTTCATCTTTAAGGCAAAAACGTTAGTGACCTCTTTTCTCTAAGTGATGCTTTAAGTGGTACTTTACCACAAGTACTGCCTCTCTAAATTACTGAAGGTTCCACGGAGAATTCTTGGCCAGGATCAGTTAGGGCTGATGATCAGTTATGAGGCAATTTTAAAGATGCAGAAGCAGTAAGAACCTTTTTCTGCAAAATTTGTCACATCATCTACAAGGTTCTTGATAATATTTGTTCTATTGCAATTGAGTTTAAAGAGATTGAGAAAATGTCCCTTCTGTGTCTACTATAAAATTAAAGATAGACTATTAAATTTCTCCATCTCCTATAATATGGGGATAAAAGAAGCAATAAAAACAATTGCTATATAACACTTTTGTTGTGAAAGTAATTTTCAAACACAAATTTCTTAGCAGGTGTAGAGCATTACTGACCTTTTAAGCTGTTATAAAATTTGTAGTAGGTGGAGATTATAGGAAAATTCCTTGCCCTTGGCTGTTTCCTTGAAGAGAATTGTGTTAGCCCTCATTCCAAGTCATCAAATGCCACTTCTTATCGCAGAGCCTATACTTGCACTGTCCTGAGGCCTACTTTCCTCAGCTTTCACCAGCCTCATTTGAATCATCCTTTACTTTTCAAGATTCAGCACCTAAATTAACTCTACTTGACAGCTCCTCTCCTCTTTTTCTTCTGCCCCTCCATTTATATGAGTCTTGAATAGCATGACCAAGGTACCAATCACTGTTTTATAAACGACTACTTAATGTCTCAGGATCCCACTCCAAGTTGTAGGCTCCTTGAGGGCAAGGGTTGAATCTTTTTCTTTTCTTATATTTAGTCTTAGGAGAGTTCCTGGTACATAGTAGATACACAGTAATTATTTGACAGAGAAGTGAATGAGTGAGTGAGTGAACTAGTAAATCGAAAGAGGATTCAAATTTGGTGAAACGTAAAACAAGCCCAGAGTACAAACTTGCAAACTTATCTGTAAGTTGGCAAAGTTATTTGCCAACATAAGTAAAATTCTAAAATGTCTAGTTGGGCTGGGCACAGTGGCTTATGCCTGTAATCTCAGCACTTTGGGTGGCCGAGGCAGGCAGATCACTTGAGACCAGGAGTTTGAGACCAGCCTGGCCAACATGGTGAAAACCCATCTCTAATAAAAGTGCAAAAATTAGGCGTGGTGATGCACGCCTGTAATCTCAGCTACTCAGGAGGCTGAAGCAGGAGAATTGCTTGACCCCAGGAGGCAGAGGTTTCAGTGAGCCGAAATCATGCCACTGCACTACAGTCTGGGCAACAGAGCAAGACTTTTTCCCAAAAAATAAAAATAAATAATAAATAAAATGTCTAGTTGGCATTTTTTCAGTATGTTTCAGAATTCTATATATCTAGTGTAATACAATAAAATTGTAGTCGGCCTGAACCAAGATGATGCATTGCTGTGCTGGGTTGAGCACCCCTTCTTACGACCACTCCAGTGCACAACACACACACATAAACTCACCTCTCAAATTTAGGAACTCACTCAATCTTCACTTCTGTCCAGATCCCACCTCTGTTTCGAAATTAACCTAACCTGCTCTCATTCCCAAAAGACTGATTAAGTTACTTAAAGGAAAGAATAATATTTGTCTTTGCTAGATAACATTTACACCTTAATAAAGAGAAGTTAAATCAAAATATACCTAAAATGAACAGTCCTAGATATGACAGAAAAATGAATAAGTTTTCTTTGTGTTGCTTATACTATGAAGGAGGACGTCTACTGGACCTAAATGTAAGGTCATACCTACATTTGGTATGATCATACCTTCATTTTGGTACAGAACACATTTAGCACTGATATATTTCAAAAATATGAAATCTCATTTTCACAGGATTTTTTATTAATCTTTCTCCAACCTACCTTTTATTCTTTACTACATTCTTAACCCTATTTGTTTCATAACTCTTTAGACTGTCATGAACCTTATAGGCATTTTTATTTCTTGTTTACACAAAAATCCTCAGCTTATAATTCTGTATTTTTCAAGTCCCAAATTATACTTTAAGATCAAATTAATAACTCACATAACCTAAAACAGCTACACAAAAAAATGTTTAAATGAGGAGGTAGGTTAGTTGCTAAGAAAATCTGATTCAGTGTATCATTCACATAGAGAATAGGTTCCATTTAATATTTTTTTCCAGTCTTTATCTCCTCAATGAATGTAAATTACACAAAAATGACCTTATTTAAGGTGAATTTTGTAGAAAATGCATGCTTTGACTTTTCATAAAATGAATTTTGCTAAGAAGTTCAGTTGACTTGGGGGGCCTGGCACAGTGGCTCACGCCTGTAATCTCAGCACTTTGGGAGGCTGAGGCAGGTAGATCACTAGGTCAAGAGCTCAAGACCATCCTGGCCAACATGGTGAAACCCCATCTCCACTAAAAATACAACAATTAGCCAAGCATGGTGGCGGGCACCTGTAGTCCCAGCTACTCGGGAGGCTGAAGCAGGAGAATCACTTGAACCCGGGAGGCAGAGCTTGCAGTGAGCCAAGATTGTGTGCCACTCCACTCCAGCCTGGTGAAAGAGCGAGACTCCATCTCAAAAAAAAAAAAAGAAGAAGAAGTTCAGTTGACTAACGCTTACTGAGCGCCATTTTGGTTTAGATGTTGATTTCTATACATCACATAGAGTTACAATTTAAGAAGTAGAGAGAGATATTATGAAATTTCTAAGTAAATTTACACTCCTTGTAATTTCTTCAGAATACACATAAAATGCATGTGATTCTCAACTCTATCCTCTAGATTTCATTATGTTTAAAAATTATTTTGCATTGATTCCATGTCTTTGCTATTGTGAATAGTGCTGCAATGAACATACGCATGCAAATCACCACAGCACACGTTTACCTAAGTAGCAAACTGCATGTACTGCACATGTATCCCAGAATTTAAAATAAAACAAAATTAAACTAAAAAAAATTAATTGACAAACCATTAGGTTAAGGTGACTCCAAGATGTTAAGTTCCTATGTAAGAAAACCAAAACTCGGCCAGGAGCAGTGGCTCATACCTGTAATCCCAGCACTTTGGGAGGCCGAGTCAGGTGGATCGCAAGGTCAGGAGATCGAGACCATCCTGGCTAACACAGCAAAACCCTGTCTCTACTAAAAATACAAAAAATTAGCTGGGGGTGGTGGCAGGTGCCTGTAGTCCCAGCTACTCGGGAGGCTGAGGTAGGAGAATGGCGTGAACCCAGGGGACGGAGCTTGCAGTGAGCTGTGATAGCGCCACTGCACTCCAGCCTGGGTGAAAGAGCGAGACTCCATCTCAAAAAAACAAAACAAAATGAAAACCAAAACTCAACTCAGAGTGAATGGTCATAACCTATGAAAAGAAAGATTAAGTTTAACCAATCAGAAACTGCCAACTAACCTTTGACTAGTGACTTTCCACTTTAACCAATCAAATATTTTCTTTGTCTTGCTTCTTCACATGCCTTATAAAAGTTTTCTCCTGGTGCCCCCTTGGTGGATCCCTGAACCACCTGAGGTCTCATGCTGCCTGATTGGTGAATTGCTGAATGCTTAAAGAAACTCATTACAATTTTGATGTACCTCTGTTTATCTTTAACAACTGAAAACTTAAAATATTAAGGTAATTAAATCCTAGAAAATGAATTTAAAATATCTACATTTCTTAAATTCAAAATTGATTTTAAAATTGTCTTTTGGCTTTTAGTGAATTTTTGATAAAATAACCATCTATTCTGTATTTAAAATCATATATTTATTTTTAAGTGGAAGATAAAATAAATACATAAAAATATTTGCTTAGGTTGAGGGATTGAAGGTTGAAGGATGCTTAATATATTTATATGCCAAGAAAGAGCAGTTTAAGAAATAGCTTTATTTTGATACCATTTAGTATATGCACATATCTTGTGAAATATGAAAAACTTGAAAATATATCTCAAACCATGGCAGTCTGAGTAAAACAACTAGTAGATGTTATTTTATTCTGTTTATTTCTCTCTGTTGCTTATTTCCGCTTGAATATGTATTACTTTTCTAATTTTAGAAGTAAAGAAAATATTTTTAAAAGGAAAAGGAAAAATAAAAAAGAGCAGTAGCCCAGGTACTGCTCTTTCAGTACTGGTTTCTTTTCTTTGTGCCAAATAACAAAGAAACCATTGGCAATGTACATGCAACGTACATCCATGTTCCTAAACTTGACTGATAAATTTAATGTTGAATGGTCAAGTCAGTATACATTTTTATACCCTTTTACAATTCATTCAAGGGCCAGTTCTGTCTCTATTTTACACCATGTCTTAGAATGTCAGTCATTCACCCATTTTAATTCTCGCTTAAAATAAATGATTTAATTTCAAATCTACAGTCTTACAGGGAAACATAGAGCATCTGACAAACTTAAGCAAGAGATAATTAACTTGTCAACAACATTTTTTCTTCCTGACATAGAGAACTAAAAATTCAAGAGCATTTCAAGTCATTCTGGTGTAATTTTGTATAGAAAGGGGAATATTTTCTCAGAATTTAGGGCTATTTTCAAAATTCTTTCTTTCCTTGTAGCTAGAAGAAAATTATTATAAGAAAAAAATATTTATCCTGTAGAGAACTCAAGTAGAGGTAAAAAAGATTTTACCTTAATTTTAAAAAGATATTTGGCATAAAGTAGGCAACTATGTTGCAAAATAAATTTCCATTTGAAATGTGTGATTGCAGAAAACCCAACCCTGATAATAGTGTAAAACAAATTGCCCACTGGGTTTTCTGTCATAAATATGGAAGTGTTTCAGTTAGGAAAATGTAAAAATAATATTTGCTAGGGAATATTAGAGAACATATCACTGATGAAATTGAAAGTATTCCTCTTGTGCCTTAGCTACTTTATGTTGTCTTTCTCAGAAAAATGAAATTATGATAGTTTCCTCTTGATTGAAGATCCAAAAAGGCCCACACATAGTGATTGTTTCATGGGTTTCATAAGATACTTTTAATTTCTTTTTTGCTTGTTTTTATTTGTTGAAGAAACCTGGACAATTTTCCTGTAGAGTTTCCTTAATTGTTACTTTTTCTAATTGCATCACTACGTTTCTCTGATCTCTGAATGTCTTTTAAATTGGTAGTTAGAGCTAGGGTTAATTTGGTCAAGTTTGATTGGTTTTTGTTTTGGGGTTTTTTTGTTTTTTTTTTTGTTTTATGATCAACATGGCTTTAGAAGTGGTATGGATTCTTCCAAGAAAAAAAACATGTTTCTTTTGTTATGTTTGTGGCCATGGATGTCCAGATCCATGAATTCATTAGGTTTGAAAAGTTGGTTATAAAGGACCTATTCCTGCATCCACTCCTTGTTTACCCAGAGGTAAACATTTTATGTTTCAATCATTTACAGTTATTTTCAGGATCTATATTCCAATTGTTTCAAATTTGGACATTGGGACATTACTGTGCACTTTTGATACAATCATAATGTCTTTGATAGTCTAGCCCTCAAAAAATTAAAATTTCCTTCCCATATCTTATTCAAATAATGGAAATAGTAAAGAATACAATGGATATAAGAAAGTCTGACCAGGTGCAGTGGTGCAGACCTGTAGTACCAGCTACTTGGGAGGCTGAGGCAGTAGGATAGCTCGAGACCAGGAGTTCGAGGTTATAGTGTATTATTATTGTGCCTGTAAATAGCCCCTTCACTTCAGCCTCCATTTCTTAAAAAATAAGTATGAAGAAATTTTGATCATTTTCTATAATGATTAGTTTAATATTTTCTTAACAATTATATACTAAGTTCTTTTGAAAATATATTAGTGGGGTGGATGATTTAATGTTACCGATACCCTAAACAGGTGCTTCCTATGCCTATTGGATAAATAACTCTAACACCAAGCACTAAAAGTATCATCAATAGCTGTGTCTGCATCCCATCCGCCTACGTAATAGCCTACCTCCCCCAAGAACACATGCACATGCACCTCATCTTTCTGGGTATTTTCTGAAAGGCCACAATAAAAAGAAATTTGCTGATTCAGATTCTGAGTTAGGATAAACGCTAGGGATCATATTGAATAAGCAGATAACTTGTTTCACCTCAAATGATATCTATAATAAACAATAGTTTCAAAATGTTTTCTTACTATTTTCTATACACAGTAAATCTTAAGCTCTGAACATATTAGTGTAAAATAAACTATGAAACCAGAAAAAATATGGTACTAGAAATAACGCTATCAGTCAGTGGTCACCCAATCATTACTATCAATCAATGAAATTCTTATGAAGTTTTCCTATTGTAAATAACCTGCATTATTAGTTAACTGTTAAACTGAAATGAAATACATCCTGTAAAACTTAGGATTTTGTAAGTGCCCCTAGTACAAAAACATATCTTTTGATTTTTCAGATATCTCTCTACTTACTTGGCTTTGATTTATTATGTTTGCAATGATATCTTCTTCCTGTGACTTTATAATTCTCTAAATGTAACTATAGTTAAAGAATCATAAACAATTAAGAGATAAGTGAACCATTCTTTCCGATGCTTGAAAAATGTTGTGTAGCACTTTGACATTTTTATTTTCCTCATTTAGCTTTTTATTTCAACAAACATAGGAAAAATTACTCTTTAATTCTGAAAACTTATTTAAAATATTTCACTTTCACTTGAAATAATTATTTGGAAAAATATTACCATGCTGTTCACTAAAGCAGCATTTTAATTCTTTACAAAATTACATGATTTCTTAGAGAGCTATACAAATAATTCTAAACTGAAAGTTTCAAAGTTTACATGGCTTGTTTCAAGTTAATTGTGGCCAAAATATAATTGTATAACTATACAACAATATCATTTTCCTGCAATTTTAAAATCAGATTTATTACCTAAAGCATCCGGATTGAAATAATGAATAACCCCAACCAGAGGGCAGAGCCAGTTATGCCCTGGATAAATCTGTTTAAAAAATCTAGTTTTACAAATTCATCATGTAGGCAAATCAATCTGGCTGTGGTTCAATGTCATACTCAAATATTCATTGTCATCAGGATGCCAGTCATAATGTTTTTATTTAAGTGTCTAACATGTAATTTAAGTGTCTAACATGATTATGGTGGATATTTAATATCTATACTCTTTGCTTCACCAAGAATAGGAAGAGGACAAATACTGAAAAGTTGAAAGGTTGGTAATTTTCCATCATCACATGGCCAGACATTGTTAATGTCTTAAGGTACAACTCAAGTTTTCTTCTCCATTTCTAAAAGAGAATTATCTTTCCTTCTTTTGAACTTGTATTTTGTTATTACTTTATTCATTTATCAATGTCTGGCTTATTTATAAGGATGTCTTATCTCACCTTATAGAAGTTAAATTCTTTGAAAGTAATAAATATTTTTCAGAATATCCAGTTTAATGTCTTAAACATAGTAATTTTCAATGAATATTTGTTGAATAAAAGAAAAATTAATTGGCATTGTGTGAGTGAAAAGAAAGATGATAATGTTATCTTTGTTAAATAGTTCTTTAAATATTCAAATATGGTATTAATGTATTTCAGGACATGTTATGCTTCCTATTTGATGCTTGGATTGTCAGATGCTCATGGCTTATTAACCCTATAGTTTATGAAATTTGAAAAAGAAAAGTCACTAGCATATTTGCATATTACTCAGAACCATCATTTCTTATGTTTCTCTTATTGAACAATTTATAAAATACACAGGTTTGAAGTAGAAATACCAAGAGAGAATGAAACATTTCTACATTACAGAGAGAAGGAAGTAGAGATATAATGTGACAATCAAAAACATATGTAATACTCATTAATTGCAGGTGAAACTTATATACAAAAAATCCCTATTTATTTGGCCCACAAACACTTGTGTAGGACTGGCATAGGTAGAAAAAAAAAGATAAAAAATGAGAACCCTTCCCTTGAAGAATTTTTACCATTACATTAGGAGATAGAAATATAAAAACCTAATTAGAATAGGATGAATTAAATAAATTCTGAAAAAGATGCCTGAAAAGTGCAAAGGGAATACTGGGAAGAATAGAGAACACTAAAAACAGTTGGGGGGTTAGAAACCTTCAAAGAAGAGAAGATATTTGAGCTGATTATTAATGTTTCAATACATTTTATCATCAAGTATCTGTGTGTGGAGAGAGGTGGTGAGTGATAGCCCAGACACAAAAATCAGAGTGCAAATTTATGCAAGTGTGAAGAAGTATGAAAGATTTAGGGAACAGCATGTAACTCAGTATGGTTGGGGTATTTATTATGAGTGAAAATATTTTTGAGTAATTGGAGAATTTGCTCCTAAAGAAAGTGACACAGAATGGTAGAAAGAAGACTTTAAAGAGATTTTAAATGTTATACTTTATTCTCGAAGCAATGGAAAGCTGCTGGAGGATTTCAGGTGGTAAATGACATAATGAAATTTGTATTCATGCCAATAACTCCAGCTGATGCTGCAAATGAAAATGAAAATACAAGAATCTACTTAATCATGTATTTTGGCTTTTCTTAATAAACTGTGTTTCTGATAACATCTTTATCCATCTGGAATACTGCTATCAAATATATTGCAAAATAATTGTAAAAAATTTAATTATTAGGATAACAACATAAATTATTGGAAGGTTTTAAATTATCGAGTTAAAATATTTCTGGTTAATGCAGGAAATAATTTCATTGTCATTTCATTTTAATAAAGTTGTTAAATTCCTCAATTTCAAAGATTATATAAGAAAGAGAAAGAAAGTCCATGGAATGTTTTTATTTCTAGAATATTATAATGAAAACCCAAATGCCTTTTTATCTATGAGAATATTATCAGCAATATAAGAAGGCAACAGCCATGATTATTTATTAAGTGCCCATTATGTGCCAGTCATATTTTAGCTGCAGGTATGCATATGATCTCATAATTCTTTTATAACCCTGGGAGATACATAGATATGAAATCTGAGACCAAAAGGAATTTTGTACTTTCCCAAGGTTCATCACAATATTAAATGGCAGGACCATTTGACTTCAAAGCAAGTCAATAAAGCAGTTTTTATTAAAAACTATTTGCCAGACATTCTATTGATTAGTTTAATGTGTAAATGCAACTAAAACATTTAATGCCACTAAAATGCAGCTAAGAACTTTAGAATCAGAAGGTACCAGACCATACATTGAATAGGAACACGTGACAATTTGTAAAAGAAAGAAGATGTCATATCTCGGCTGTGTAGCAACGTAAGGCCTCTGAACTGTGAGTTAATCAAGTAAAAAAAGGAGGACAAGACAAAGGCATTAGAGGACCGGAAGCTATTTCAAGTACAAATGTATAGCAGAAACAGAATTCAGGTCATGGACAAGGTGAGATTGTGGGTTAGCAGAATCTAGGGCACCAATTTGAAATCTAGTTAGTGCATGATTCAATGTCCACAGTCAAATCAGTAATCGAAGACCAAAAGAGCAACAAAAATGATGAAATACAGAAACTAAGGCCAATCCACCCATCTAAAACAGTGTAGATAGATTCTCACAGATACAAGGCCTCTGTTGAAAGTCCTAACATTGTTTCCTTATAAAATTTTCATTTTTAACTGACATGGTGCAATGTAACAGTATGTTTCAGGTGAATTGAAGTGACCTTCGTTATTACTTGCCATTGATGGGATTTTTTTGTAGCAGACAGATCAGGCCACTATTGGCAAGAAATAATAAATTCAAAAAAGAAAGTAACTAATATAATGTAAAATAAAAAGTTCCATGGTGGGGGTTATCATACCTCTGGCATGATGCATTTGCAAATAACAAGTTAAAACAAATTTCATAGTTTTTCCAATTTTTCTGAGAGTCCCACTGCACATAATAAGGAAGTGAATCACTTTCCATCCTAAATACACATACTCTTCCCACTTACTCTTCAGAAGAAACAAGAATATATTTTGTCATATTCTTTAGAGACTATATTAGCCTAGGACATCTTTTATCTGTTTTGTTTGTTTGCCAATGAAGTCACTGCAGGTGGTGAATCATGGGCTGTACCAGCTGGAGGGAACCTTCTAGACAACACTGTAGTTCAAGTCCAACATGTACAGATGAAGAAACTAAGATGTAAAGGGATTAATTAAAGTCACCCAGTGAGTCAGTGGGTGCTGAAAATGTTGAGAATTATTTAAAACAACTGAGAATTATTTAGAATAACTGAAAAACTTTAAAACAATTATAAAGATTTGGAGATTATTCAACGTAAAATAGAGAAGGCTTTAGAATGAATTACCTCATAAATAACTTCTAGTTATGGGGATTACACATTAGAAGAAGTTATGTAACTGTTATCAATTTACCCAGAGGTTAGCATGGAGCAGGATGATCTTAAATTATTTGAAACAAAAGACAAATAATGAACATCTGGAAAGTACTGGCCAAGTTTTAAATATAGCATGTAGAATCTCTTTATTGATAAAAAAAAAAAAATTACACAACTGGCTGTTTGCTGAGCCAAAATTACAAAGGGCTTAAAAATTCTTGACAACCTTCTGGATCAGAATCTGACCAACCTTCTGGATCAGAATCAGAGTATGCATGAGGACAGCAGCACTGCTCCAAATCTGTTTGGTCTGATGCGTGTCCACATCAGAATCATAACTCTTGGCACAATCATAACTTTGGAAGTCTTTATGTGATAAGTTATTTAAGATCATTTACTTTTAGAATGTCAAATTCATGCGGCTAGGTACTACGTTGATTTTACTGATTACCTTATTCCAGAATCTACCATGGTGCCTGGCAAGTTTTAGATTTTCAATGTTATTTTTGAGAATAAGTGGATTAAAATGAGGCTGAAGCAGGAGTTACAAGACATTTCGAGGAGCTTTGGGTAAGATACTTGGATATGAAATGACTGTAAATGATGTTTGAAGCTACCAAGGATTTTTTATCCCCCCTAGGAGTTAGAGAAGACTTTGTAGATGGCAAAGGAGCCCACAGTTCAATGGTGGGGCGGGGGGAATGTAATGTGTAGAGGATCCAAAGTCTTTGACAAAAAGGTGGGGAGAAAAGTCTGCTACTACTTGGGTGGGAAAAGTAAAACCTTGTATACAAAGAACCGTGGCATTATCTTTTTCTTTTTCAAGACTGTTGTTGCCTATTCACGATGAGAAATATTCTTCTCTGGAAATTGAATGTGTTTTTGTGATTTCTGTTTCTAAGCTGCACTGCATGATATTACCATGGGGGTGTTCAGCTGCCTGATGGGCAAGACAGTTCCTTCTGAGGCAGGAAATGGCACCAGATTATTTATAGCCAGAGAAGAACATGTAAAATCCTTGGGGAGCAAAGTAGACCAAGCATCCCAGCAACAGGCACATAGTTTTCCTGTCAGTAGCGGAATAAAAAATCCTTAGGGTGAATTGAAAACATTGTTAAAATCCCAGCACACCAATAAATTTTCTTCTGATTATAATATTTTTTCTTCTTTGAGTAATATTCTGGCAATCCTAAAGATTTAAGTCTGTAAACCTTTCTTATCCTTCTCAAGGCCTCATCTTTCCCATTCTTTAATATTAACTTTAAACCTATTCATTTTTCACTAAAGTAATCTAGAAAAGTAATGAAAATCTATAGGAACAATGAAGAAGACTTCAATGGATTGCAGAATTAAAACCCTCAGATATACCATACTAAAGGAAAAGCACCTGGTACAGTGTTATAATAGCAACAATGTTTCACTGCACAAAGTACATCTTATTTCTCTTATTTGCAAATCTTTTGATTCTTCACAGACATTGAAATAATTTCTATGTCTCTAAAAGAAGTACCTAATTATGTACAAAAGACTCATTTTTAAAACAAATTAAACATATCTGAAAACCACACTTGAGCCTGGGTCATATTTTTCTACATGAAAATGTTTGAATTGGGGTTAAGTCACCAATGATGGGATATCATATAAATTATAGAGGTGGAAAAGAACAAAATATTTTAAAAGTTAGGGTTCCACAATACATTTTTTAAATCACTAAAAATTATTCTTTGTATATAACAAAATGTTAGAGCTGAAATTAGATTATAAACTGTAGTCATTAATTTAGGATATCTCAGAAAAAATGACATTACCAGTAATGTTAATCAGTAATAATCTATAATTTTTCAAATTATACTTATGGAATTTGGGTAATAATATGTAGCAAAGTAGATTCATTGATTGCAGCAACTGTATCACCCTGGTGTGGGATATTGATAGTTAGGTAAGTTGTATGTACTGGGGGGAATGGGGCAGTAATATGTGGTACATGTCTTAAACAAAATCTATTATAAATTTTTAATATACATATATCTTACCCACATGTACACTCTCTCTCTCTCTCTCTCTCTCTCACACACACACACACACACACACACACACACACACATTAATGAAGCTTGGCAGAGAAAATATTGAATTATCTTTTCAGAATCTAATAGAAGATATAACAAAATTATTATACAAAAAAGACATGATCAAAGTGTGTACATTTTTAAAATGTGGAAGGGGAAGTATTAGACAAGTCTGGTGGGCACTTAAAATAATTAGGTTATTATTTGGATTTTATAATATTTGTGGTATTTGACATCTTTTGAAAATGTATGCTTTGTTGAATATTTTCTCATTGTAAGTATTCACTTTGTGCCTACTTTTGTATTCCAGTTATGTATTTCTGTTTGTCTTCTTAAAGGGGATGTCCAAATTGCAAAAGCTGCAGGCTCCATGAAGCCAGGAGCCATCCTTGGATTGAATTTACTTTTATCTCATTTCACTATAGGACATATGGTCAGAATTTTTTTCTTTATGATTAACTCTAATTTGTCAACATATATCTTTTATTTATAGACCCAAGCTCTATCTTCAGAGATCAAACAAAACAAAATTTTTTTTTCTGCTAAGAGAGATCTGTCATTCTTCTCTCTGTCTTATTTTTACTGGAAAGTATTATCAGTTTCTTCAATTGGTTTTTATATGAGAATACTAAGCTGGTCTCTCTTTTCTGATTATGTTTCACATTACTCTAAAGTGTGTTGACTAGAACTGTAATAAAGAAGCTATAATGTGATGGAGTTTTATGAAGCCATAAAATTCTGTCATAATAAAATGGTCTTTCCACTCCCCCATTTTATATACTATTTACTCATGTTACATGAGGTTACTTAAAGAATTAATAACGGAGGGCAGCTATGGAAGGAAATAAAGTGGAAGATTGAAATTGGAGGCAACAGTGGTTTGAAGATTTTGTTTTTTAAAAAAATATATGAATTTTTACTTACATCACAGAAATAAGGAAAAATAGACAATACATTGTTGACATATACAACTGTGAAAACATAAACTGCTTTAAAAAATAATCACAAACCTGAAACTAAATAAGTACATAATTATGGACCTTTGTGCATCCCAACTTTTTAGCTGTGTTAATGTAATATCCATTCAAAACTACAAAGAAAAATGGAAATTAAAAATTTTATATTTCATATTTTCTTAGTCACTTTGGATACATTCAACAAAGATGAGTATATTGTATAATGTCTCCTTTCTGAGTTTAACACAACATACTTTTCACCTAATTTAGAATTTTATTCAATTTTTCAAATATCTAATAATCGCAATAATATTTTTCAATATAAATATTTTAAGAGATTAATTTCTTTTATATTAGCCACTGCTGCAACTTCCTATTGGCAATATTTATTTATTTATTATTTTATTTTATTATTATTACATTTTAAGTTTTAGGGTACATGTGCACAATGTGCAGGTTAGTTACATATGTATACATGTGCCCTGCTGGTGTGCTGCATCCATTAACTCATCATTTAGCATTAGGTATATCTCCTAAAGTTATCCCTCCCCCCTCCCCCCACCCCACAACAGTCCCCAGAGTGTGATGTTCCCCTTCCTGTGTCCATGTGTTCTCATTGTTCAATTCCCACCTATGAGTGAGAATATGTGGTGTTTGGTTTTTTGTTCTTGGCGATATTTTGCTGAGAATGATGCTTTCCAATTTCATCCATGTCCCTACAAAGGACATGAACTCATCATTTTTTATGGCTGCATAGTATTCCATGGTGTATATGTGCCACATTTTCTTAATCCAGTGTATCATTGTCGGACATTGGGGTTGATTTCAAGTCTTTGCTATTGTGAATAGTGCCGCAACAAACATGCGTGTGCATGTGTCTTTATAGCAGCATAATTTACAGTCCTTTGGGTATATACCCAGTAATGGGATGGCTGGGTCAAATGGTATTTCTAGTTCTAGATCCCTGAGGAATCGCCACACTGACTTCCACAATGGTTGAACTAGTTTACAGTCCCACCAACAGTGTAAAAGTGTTCCTATTTCTCCACATCCTCTCCAGCACCTGTTGTTTCCTGACTTTTTAATGATCGCTATTCTAACTGGTGTGAGATGGTATCTCATTGTGGTTTTGATTTGCACTTCTCTGATAGCCAGTGACGGTGAGCATTTCTTCATGTGTTTTTTGGCTGCATAAATGTCTTCTTTTGAGAAGTGTCTGTTCATTTCCTTCACCCACTTTTTGATGGGGTTCTTTGTTTTTTTCTTGTAAATTTGTTTGAGTTCATTATAGATTCTGGATATTAGCCCTTTGTCAGATGAGTAGCTTGTGAAAATTTTCTCCCATTTTGTAGGTTGCCTGTTCACGCTGATGGTAGTTTCTTTTGCTGTGCAGAAGCTCTTTAGTTTAATTAGATCCCATTTGTCAATTTTGTCTTTTGTTGCCATTGCTTTTGGTGTTTTAGACATGAAGTCCTTGCCCATGCCTATGTCCTGAATGGTAATATTAGCCTAGGTTTTCTTCTAGGGTATTTATGGTTGTAGGTCTAACGTTAAAGTCTTTAATCCATCTTGAATTAATTTTTGTATAAGGTGTAAGGAAGGGATCCAGTTTCAGCTTTCTACATATGGCTAGCCAGTTTTCCCAGCACCATTTATTAAATAGGGAATCCTTTCCCCATTGCTTGTTTTTCTCAGGTTTGTCAAAGATCAGATAGTTGTAGATATGTGGCGTTATTTCTGAGGGCTCTGTTCTGTTCCATTGATCTATATCTCTGTTTTGGTACCAGTACCATGCTGTTTTGGTTACTGTAGCCTTGTAGTATGGTTTGAAGTCAGGTAGCGTGATGCCTCCAGCTTTGTTCTTTTGGCTTAGGATTGACTTGGCAATGCGGGCTCTTTTTTGGTTCCATATGAACTTTAAATTAGTTTTTTCCAATTCTGTGAAGAAAGTCATTGGTAGCTTGATGTGGATGGCATTGAATCTATAAATTACCTTGGGCAGTATGGCCATTTTCAAGATATTGATTCTTCCTACCCATGGCCATGGAATGTTCTTCCATTTGTTTGTATCCTCTTTTATTTCATTGAGCAGTGGTTTGTAGTTCTCCTTCAAGAGGTCCTTCACGTCCCTTGTAAGTTGGATTCCTAGGTATTTTATTCTCTTTGAAGCAATTGTGAATGGGAGTTCACTCATGATTTGGCTCTCTGTTTGTCTGTTATTGGTGTATAAGAATGCTTGTGATTTTTGTACATTGATTTTTGTATCCTGAGACTTTGCTGAAGTTGCTTATCAGCTTAAGGAGATTTTGGGCTGACACAATGGGGTTTTCTAGATATACAATCATGTCATCTGCAAACAGGGCCAATATGACTTCCTCTTTTCCTAATTGAATACCCTTTATTTCCTTCTCCTGCCTAATTGCCCTGGCCAGAACTTCCAACACTATGTTGAATAGGAGTGGTGAGAGAGGGCATCCCTGTCTTGTGCCAGTTTTCAAAGGGAATGCTTCCAGTTTTTGCCCATTCAGTATGATATTGGCTGTGGGTTTGTCATAGATAGCTCTTATTATTTTGAGATACATCCCATCAATACCTATTTTATTGAGAGTTTTTAGCATGAAGGGTTGTTGAATTTTGTCAAAGGCCTTTTCTGCATCTATTGAGATAATAATGTGGTTTTTGTCTTTGGTTCTGTTTATATGCTGGATTACATTTATTGATTTGTGTATATTGAACCAGCCTTGCATCCCAGGGATGAAGCCCACTTGATCATGGTGGATAAGGTTTTTGATGTGCTGCTGGATTCGGTTTGCCAGTATTTTATTGAGGATTTTTGCATCAATATTCATCAAGGATATTGGTCTAAAATGCTCTGTTTTGGTTGTGTCTCTGCCAGGCTTTGGTATCAGGATGATGCTGGCCTCATAACATGAGTTAGGGAGGATTCCCTCTTTTTCTATTGATTGGAATAGTTTCAGAAGGAATGGTACCAGTTCCTCCTTGTACCTCTGGTAGAATTCGGCTGTGAGTCCATCTGGTCCTGGACTCTTTTTGGTTGGTAAGCTATTGATTATTGCCACAATTTCAGAGCCTGTTATTGGTCTATTCAGAGATTCAACTTCTTCCTGGTTTAGTGTTGGGAGGGTGTATGTGTCGAGGAATTTATCCATTTCTCCTAGATTTTCTAGTTTATTTGCGAAGAGGTGTTTGTAGTATTCTCTGATGGTAGTTTGTATTTCTGTGGGATCAGTGGTGATATTCCCTTTATCATTTTTTATTGTGTCTATTTGATTCTTCTCTCTTTTCTTCTTTATTAGTCTTGCTAGCGGTCTATCAATTTTGTTGATCTTTTCAAAAAACCAGCTGCTGGATTCATTAATTTTTTGAAGGGTTTTTTCCTTCAGTTCTGCTCTGATTTTAGTTATTTCTTGCCTTCTGCTAGTTTTTGAATGTGTTTGCTCTTGCTTTTCTAGTTCTTTTAATTGTGATGTTAGGGTGTCAATTTTGGATCTTTCCTGCTTTCTCTTGTGGGCATTTAGTGCTATAAATTTTCCTCTACACACTGCTTTGAATGTGTCCCAGAGATTCTGGTATGTTGTGTCTTTGTTCTCATTGGTTTCAAAGAACATCTTTATTTCTGCCTTCACTTCGTTATGTACCCTTTTAATCAAATCAACAGAAGTTTAATAAGATTCTACTTTCTACTATGCTCTAGTAGTATCAGAATGAATCAGACTAGATTTCTGTCCTAAATTTTGTAAAGGAAACTGATGTAAGCAAATGATTATAATACACCTAAAAAGAAATGAACAAAGTAAAAGTTGAATAATCCAGCTTCTTTCTGATAGCTGTTAACATTACACTATGTGGTACACATAATCATCTACACTTAAGAGCCTTTCTTTCTAGATTTAAAGTTTCCCATCATTATGACATAGTAGGCCATATACTCACCTTTCTTTATGTATTCTCGTCTCTATTTTTCCATGTCCTTGTAAAATGTCCTGGTCAGCATCAATGGTTATTTTAGCCACAGATTCCTTCTTTCTTCATTGAAATCATATGCCTCTCCTTTTAGTGCTTTTCTTTTAGAGATTCAGACTAAGAGATGATACACAACATTCTTCCTATGTTTTGAAATCTAACTTCCCATAATCTAGCCTTTCAGTCTGGCTATGCCTTAATTTCCTTCAATATCATAGACTCCAAAATAGCTAGCTGTAATTCTCCAGCGTTTTGTTATTTCCAGTTCATCATTGGTTCTTTCATGATGATAAAAATTAGGATGTAGTAGTAAAATTTTTTATCACATGTTCTTCCTTCTTGGTGGTAAAATTGACATTAGGACATAAATTAAATTAAAAATTTATCAACCATCCTCCTTTTGCATTGAATCATGTGACAACTAACTGACCAGTTAAATTGTGTACCCAAACTATATCGTAGCTCTGATATAGTTTGGTCATTCCCAATATGACTCATGTCAGTTATTTTCTCTTTGCCTTTATTTTAATCAGTTTATCAATATATTTCTGTTCACCTGTACAAGGACTTTCATGCAAATATATGATATCAGATGCTCCTTGATGTTCTTCCCCATGCTGTTTCTTTCTGAATATATTACAATAATGCTTCTAAAATTATGGTATATTATTTTTAATGTAGAGCACATAGGAAAAAAACAATTCTAGACTGAAAAATAGTGACTTTCAAGTTGATCCTCTTTCTTATATACTGATGCGGTCTTAAATAAACATAAGAATCAGCTGCAGATTCTGACTCATTAGTTCTGGGAGAAGCTGAGATACTGCATTTTTAATAAGATCCCAAGTGATAATGATCCTTCTGGTTAGCAAGGTTCTTCCTCATATTAGAAAGTGTATGCTAAATGCATGGAGAATATATATAGAAGTCCTAAAATAATATAAAGACTATATATATATGTGAAATATAAATGAATGTACTAATTATAACATTAGATTTTCTATTTGTCAAGGGACATATTTGTTACCATTTAAAAACACATTTCTAATGTAATAGCCTTAGGATTTATTTGGGCAATGGATCAAAAAGTAACTTATAGACAGAAATCCCAGAAATGATATAAGGATATCTTAAATATTTTATTTTAGCTTTGAATTTATGAATGTACATGCAATCTTTTCATGTAGGTCCAAGGTTTTTCTTTTGAGAATGCATTGGGTAATTAGATTCCTCTTCCTCGTTCTCATCCTACAACACTCTGATATATCAGCTCAGTATCTAGTATCTGTTTCTTTACAGGGGAGTGAGGACTTAAAGAGATTTGTGGAACAAACTGAATGCAAATTGTTCTGGATATTTAGCATTTGATCACTATCATAATTAATCTGCTCATGATTAATCTAGCAGTAACAATTTTTGGTAATTATATGTTATTGCTATTTGCATAGAAATAATGATGCTCTTATCCCCCTCTTTTTATTGGTTTACCATTTCTTGTTCACTGCTAGTCCAGTCAGACTTCCCATCTAAGGAAACAGAAAGCAGGCCAATGCACATTAGGAAAAACAAATTAAAAGGGACAGTCAAAAATTACTAGACACACAGAGAACACCTATAAACAAAAATAAAAGTCCAGAATAAACAAACAGAAAGCCTAAACTGAGAAGAAGAAGATGTTTCAGGAAATATGACAATAACTAGCAAGCTCAACAATAGATATAAAAAGATTGAGGTATAACAACAGAGAAAATCAAGAAGATATTGTTTCCACAAAAGAATACAATTCGATATAAAGGAAAAATTATAGAAAGGGAAAGTTGTTAGAAATTTGAAATGATTGTGTTTTAAAAATCTGTAAAATGACTGTGGGATAAAATTTGAAGAAATCTTTCAGAGCAAAGAACAAAAATACAAAGAAGTGGAGAATATAAAAGCAAAGATGAAACATAGAGCAACCCAATAGGACATCAGATAGTGAAAAAAAAGGAAATACATTATAAAAGTTAATTCCTCAGAGTTAAAGCTGTGAAATGTTTTCAAAATGAAAGGGCTCATGAAATGTTGAGCAGAATGAATGATGTAGCAGTAGCAATGATAGCTAACATTCATTAGCTATTTATTGTGTGCCATTTCCTGTGCCAAATGTTAAGTTCTATTTTACAGTTAAGAAAACTGAGGTTTATGAAGGTTAAATCACTTGCTTAAGGTTACATGGCTAATAAGTAATGGGGCTGGGATTTGTGTATCCCTCTAAACCTCGTGCTTTTTAACACTACGGTAATACATTACATTTTATTGCCTCTAATCTCACCTCCTTGTGCAGGTCATGCAATCAACCATAATTTTACACATCCACGAGTCTCCTTTGCAAACTAAAACATTTGTAGTGGTTCAAGAACAATATGCCTGGCTCCTATTTCTGCAAAAATGAGTTCTTTCCCAAGACTCACCTTTGACCACAGGCAAGTTGGTCATAAACAGCCCACCTGGCATCACCACATACACTAAATTTAACATAGATTTAAATTTGAATATTTTTTCTCTTTTTCTTATAATTGATACTATGGCAATTTATTAAACATAGCGTTAAAATATTTGTAGAAAATTTAAAAGTTCATATTACTGCTAGTCAACATAAACCAGTAAAAAATGTCATCTTCCCTACTTTGAGGTGTCTTCAATATTCTAAAGTCAGCCTTTTCTTTGTATCATAAAAGTAATAGTTAATATCTACTAAGTACCTATCCCAAACACGATGTTGATTATCTGTCTTTTATCTATCTATCTATCTATCTATCTATCTATCTATCTATCTATCATATTAAACTCATTATCATTCTATGGGATGTAGGTTTCCTTTCATGCCTATTTTACAGATGAAGGAATTGAGTTTGATAGCTTAAATAAATTTCTTAAAGTCACCTAAGTTGCAAAACTAGAATTGCAATATTACCACTCCAAATCCTACTCTTTAAGCACTAATTTATATTGCTCTAATAAGATTGTGTTTCTTGTTGAGGGCTATGTAAATATATCAACAAGAAATGGAGAGCCAGAAAGAGAAACTTTGAAGAGAGGGTACAGGGAAGGTTAAGTACCCTGGAGAAGGCAGATGCCCATTTGTAAAAATTTTTAAGTAGAGATGTTGGTATAATTTGTTCCTTTCCTAAGTTGTCTTCTTCTGTCTCTCTGTATGTCCTCCCTAGGTAATCAGGACCACTCCTAGATCACTTATAATATTATATAGAATTTATATTTTATATAAATTAAGTTACCATATCTTTGTCTCTACCAACTCTCTCTACCCTGACTTTCAACCCATATATCCAACTCTCTCTTCCATAACATGACTTGCATTTTCCCCATGTTCACAAATTCATTATATCTGGTGTCCTTTTATTCTCCCCTTCCAAGCCTCCAAGTTCACGTATTCATGTAAAGCAATATTCTTTGTTCAAATAAATTCAGATTTATCCTTGTCGATTCCGTCCTCCTCCTCAACCTGCTCTTCCTCTTTTTTCTCCTTCATCTTCCCCTCCTTTTTCTCCTTCCTCCTCCTCATATTCTCCAATCAATACAATAACAATCTCTGTTGATTATTGCATATCTCTTAAATTATCCATTTCTCTTCATCCTAAAAGTCAGTTTCATTAGGTAAAGACTATTCTCTGTCCTAAAGCTAATTCACCAATATTTCTTTCTTGACAAAGTGGAAAGAGTGGTCCTTCTAAAATACAAATCTTACACAGAAGTCTCCTTTGATGCCTCTTCAGTCTCCTGAACAAAGACATAACTCCTCAGGGGCAAGACAAAGCAAAACAAAACTTCATAATTCAGCCACATCCCACAAATTGCGCTGCATCTCTTTACAATTCATGAACTTCTGCATAGACACTTGTACTCAATATAACACAAAAGATTGACTTATTCAAACAGTCTGTACTTTTACTTCCTTGGTTCCTATGTTAGTTTAGGTCCTCTGGGAAGCAGCTGCTAAGGTAGAATCAAACGAAAAGATACTTATTGGAGGAAATGCCTATGAAAAATAAAAGGGAAGAAGCAGGAGCTGTAGCAGGGAGAGTACTCAGATTTGAACCCAGAGGAAGGAAAGAGGTAAGGAAGGAGGATGGAGTATGAAGATTCTCATCCTGCATCACAATTCAAGCAAATTTTTACCAAGCTGATGGAGAGTTATTAAGACAAAGTCACCATTAAAGTAGTTTAGTGACTTAGGGAAGAAATGAGAAAAAAGAACTTAGTTCTTATATCATGCTTTTTCACTGGCTTGAAGTAAGACAGGTGAAGTATGGCCTTAAGGTAAACATGGTGATGGATCCTGCAGGGTAGCAGCTTGGTCTGGGTGTCAGTCAACTATACTCTTCACAGTGGGAGATCTGAGCATGCACTCTCACAGCTGCCATAGTTCACGCCTTACACTGCACAGGTCTCCTTCACCAAATAATTCAGGGATTAGTTCCTCCATTGTTTCTGTGGACCTTCATGAAAAGATTCTGGAAGTAGAAGGTGAGTCAGACAAACTACAGCTCCCATTCCTGAAGTTGTTCTCATGACTACAACTGGTACTAATCTCCCACTTCCTCTACAATCTATTGTAATTTCCTCTAACCTTCAATTACTGTCACTTGAGCAAGTCTTGGTGATTTATGTGGTTGCATAACTAAAAATTTTTATTTCTGAGAGTCTGAACCAAGAAGGTCCAAGTAGATCACATGGGTTCACCATGTATTCCTCTCTGTCAACACTGTGTAACAAAAAAGCCCTTTCTCCTCACACTCATCAGTCAGTTACCCTTGCCAAGATAGTTTTTCTTCTCACCTGATGGTCTTTAAATTCAGAGTCCATTATGCTTTTGTAGCATCCATATTTTTGTAGTTCAATGGGAAACTTGCTGGAAATCAAGTTCTCCAATGCCAAAGAGCTAGGAGTTATGAGTAGGAAAGGCACAAAGGACTCCATCATTGTGAGTCATGTTAAGTGATGCCATTCCTGCTTCCACCTCTTGGTTCCTCGACTCATGTAGAAGTCTTATTGGGGATAAAAAGCACATAGAAACCTCTGATTAAATTCACGTGCCAGATGCTAATGATGATATGCCATCTTACTAGGAAAAGGAGAGCCACCCCTGCAAGCTCTGACAGTTAAAGAAGTTCTCCAGTACCAACATCTTCGGGAACATTAATCCAGATGTCCCAGCCCATATTTTAGAGTCCCCAGTTTTCCCAACCAGATCCATGACCTTAACAGAAAAGACCTTTTTACTGCGCACTTGGACATCTCTTGAGTTCAATGAATGTAAACACTAATGATGAGTTATTACCTTAGCTGGGTCTACTCTTCCACTGCAGGAGACAAAACCCTCTTTGTAAGCTTACAAGAGAACCTCTGGCTCTAATACCTAGCCTTTTACTGCTTAATAACATTCCTCAATTTCTCGTCATCTCTCTACAAGAAGTTCATTCAACATAGCAATAACCAGCCAACTCCACAGCCTTCTAGGCATTGTTGCCCCTGTATTTTTTAAATTTCTGAATCTTTACACCCATGTGGAAGTTCCCCAGTACCATAGCATTTTCCCAGGTCACCTTAATGAAATTTCTGGCACTGGTCCTCTACCTTTGCCAGGGGTAGGAAGTGAGATAGTCCTCAGACCCTATTTTCCTTGCACCACTCTTAATACTATTTGTGTTAGTTCAGGTTCTTGAGAAGCAGACATCAAAACAGGATTGGTTATGAAAAAGGCATTCTGGGAAAAACAAATGTAAAGAATAAAGGGGGATAAAGAACAAACAGAGAGACACACTATTTAGTCCATGATAAGAAACCTGACATCCAAGAAAAGAAAGGGGACAAGAAGACCACCTGGAGGGAAGATTCTCAGCAGCAAAATCTGAGAATTCAGGCATAAGCCACAGACATAGAAGAGTCCCACATCCCACAAGAATGGACCCAAATAAGTACCCCCAGGGCATTTTACTCATTTTTGGCATCAGGCTGTGGTTGCCAGGGCTGTCAGTCCATTCTGCTCCTTGAAGCAAATCTGAGTGATGTCTTTTCTTAGACAGCAGAAACCTGAAGAACCATTTCCTACCACTTACTGACATTTACGTAATTTAAAATTTAGCTTAGTGTGCATTTCCACTGAATACACATCACCTCCCACTTGCCTTCCCTTTCTCAGTATCCGTAGAGCATGCAAAACTTTAGTCTGTCCCCCAGGATCACAGTGTACAAAAAATGTCTGTTTCCTTTCATCTTTGATGTGAGCACCTGGAAGGCAGGGATTTTTTTTTCTTTTTTAATCTTTGAGTTATTTCTGCCTGCCACAGTTATAAGGATATAGTTATTGCTGAGCAAGAGTTTGCTGAGTGAATAACTGCATGCACAAGAGACCAAAGGAGGTCTAGTTAGGTTAGATGCTGAGAAATCTGTACAACACAGAGATGAAAATAAAGTGCCAAGGAAACTCTGAAATTTCTCTGTGAATATGAAATATTTTCTACTTCCTGTGACTGTTAGGAGATTTAAGACTTCAAAGTGATTTAAGGGGTAGATGAACTCTCAAGGTCTCGTTCAGTCCCTGCTGTTATAAAAATCTAAGAGTCAATTATACAAAAAGAAAAACAGTTGTACTTTAAACTAAAAACAAGATGTACACTCTGATTACAAAGAATAGCGACCCCAATAATAATACCATGAATAAGAAAGGTTAGCAGGTAAGTTACTATGGAGAGTAAGGCATGGATAAGATTATTTAGAAGGGTGAAATTCTGGGAGAAATATGAATATAGAAGGGCTTGACCTCTTTGCTACAAATCTAATCTCTGTGGCACTGTGGTTGTCAAGAATTTTGTCTTTACTAAAGAAGAAAATCACAGTGAAAAAGAACAAGGCAATAAAGTAAATGTCAAACACTCTCAATTAGCTAGCCAGGGTTAAGACCTTCAGTCTTGAAATTCAAGTCAGATTTGCAGTGTTTGCATTCATTGTTTTACTGAGAAGTGGCAATGTGGTAAAAAGATTTTCTCATTGATTAAATCAAGATTAACTTAAAACATATTTTCATAACCTTGCATTTTTATAAATAAGACATTTAGCAAAAATATCAGTAAAAGAGATACACTCTTCGAGGGTTATAAATTCCTCAAGTTGTTACACTTACCCCATCTGAAAAATTGTCACATTTTAATGACTGCATTAAAACTTATATACATTTTATAGCAGTGATTTGTACTGCCAGTCTAAGTGCTTCTAACTGTAGCAAGATGATTCTTTAAAAGCTTATATTTTTATTTTCTGATTTCCAGCAAGGTTATAGTATGGCTCACAAATGCACTATTCGCTTTTAGGAGATGGATGTTAATGTCACTCATTCTTTCAAGCATAATGAAGACCATAATCAAAACTTTACACTAATCAACTTGTTTCAATCTAAATTAGAACATTTGTTTCAATCCAAATATTTTCATGATGGTTGTTTATGGCCAAAATTCAAAACGAAAAGAGAAACCAGGATTAAAGAACATGTAAGTGATCCTAAAAAATAATACTAAAATCTTCACTTTTATCTCATCTATCGGGATCTTTCAGGCCAAAGTTTATGAATGAATTTTGTAGTTACTTAAATAGTAACAAATAATATGTTTATATACTATTAAACATTCAAATAATAGTGAAACAAATAATGACTAATTAGCAGATGAAAAAGCCTATTCTTCTAAGTCCATATTCTTCCACCATCAACAAACACCACAGATCATTACTTAATCTTTGAAAAATGAACTTATGTAGTATATACAATGTATTGCATATGCTATAAAACACCATGTATTATATAAACTGTATATATGTCTCAATATCAAACTCTTCTATTCGTATGATCAGTACTCATTACAGCTGTATAAATTGTTTGTGTGTGTGTGTGTTCTACCCAGACAATTCTTTTTTGACTATGATTTCTTCAGGATAGGGATCAAGTATGTTCTGAAATGCATAGTTTCAAATATCTATACTGGACAAACACAGATGGTTAATTTGCTGGCTGATGATTTATTATATCTCTTTCTAAATGTCTTAAATGAAAGAAATTTTTCTATATCAGATGACTTTCTTATTTTATAATTATTTGTTACATCCCCATCTGATACTTAATGTGATCATTCCCTCCTCTGATCAAAGGAGTAACTTTTTTATTATTTCTACACCTTAATTTACTGTTATTAAAGTCTTACTTATTTCAAAATATAATTTATTAATTGTTAATTGAAATAATCTGCTATTCCAGTGGTCTTCGAAATTTATTTCTTGGATCTTTGCGTTGGCAGGGGTGTTCCACATAAATGGCTGTCTAGTTCTACATATAATTCTTCTAGAGTCTTGGTTCTCATCCCTGGCTGCATGTTAGAATAAATTGGGAGGATTATTATTTTTAATTGTGATGAGCTCTAATTCGTATGCTTCTAAAACTTCTTAGTTGATTCTGATATATAATCATTTTGGCACCTATCCTTCTAGAAAAGCTGTGCTTTCAGGTGTGTTTTATAGTGTGATTACTTATAAGATTTTGTTTGAATAAATCGTCCCACTGCAAAGATAGTTGAAAGTTATTCTTTATTGCTCTATTTGAAGTGTAGTTCCTTTGTCAATAACTTCTACAAACAAATATAATTTGGCAGAAAAATTGTATGGTGATACAACTATTTATTAGTTGTTTCCTGATATGTCTGCTCCCAAAACAGTATATTATTTTAATTATAGCACTACACGTGCAAAAACTATTTTTAGTAATATTGAACTTTTATTAAAGCTCTTACTTTTGGTATACTACTTTCAAGGTCAATTACCTTTTTTAAAAATATGGGTGATTTTTAATGTTTGTTGGAAATTTTTCTTTAAAAGATTTACAGCTATCTGCAGTGGCTGATGTCTGGAATCCCAGCACTTTGGGAGGCTGAGGCAGGAGGATGATTTGAGCCCAGGAGTTCAAGACCTAGTCTCTACAAAAAATAAAAAATTAGGCCAGTGTGACGGGGCACACCTGTAGTCCCAGCTACTCAGGAGGTGGAGGTGGGAGGATCTCATGAGCCCAAGAGATTGAGGCTGTGGTGAGCCGTGACTGTGTCACTGTACTCCAGCCTGGGTGACAGAGAGAGATCCTGTCTCAAAAATAAAATTTTTTTAAAAATTGCCGTTATAAAAATAATTTGATTACTTCTTATATGAATAAATCTGTACAAATTAGTATCAACTATCTTCATTGTATTCAGATTTATTTTCTGTATTTCACCATATTAATACCTTTCCATTTTGAAAGTTATTAACCCTACAAAAGTAAAGATTAAACTATGAGGTAAACATAAAATGTGAATTTAATTTCATGTAATATATTAATGATGGCTACAGTAGTTTGGAATGCTTGAAGAACTGTTCAAAGCAGCTCTAAAATCCCACAGTCACAGTTTTAATATATCTCCTTTTTTTCCTCCTAAAACACGTTAAGGAAGAATATCTTTACAAACTATACATTGTAATGTATGAAATTGTATGGGGAGCAATATTTTGGATTCCTAAGACAACGTCTATACCTGTGAAACAACAGATATTTTTATGTAGAATGAGTAATTCAAAATCATAAAAAAGTAAAAAGCAGGAAAATTGAGAGTCATTTATGCAATACATGCTAAAGACACAATGATTTTCTAAATGTTGTTGGATATTATTTTAAGTATTAACACATTTAATTTTCTCAGAACATATCAATTGCATAATGTTATGTATTCATTTTTTTAATTTTATTATTATTATACTTTAAGTTTTAGGGTACATGTGCACAACGTGCAGGTTAGTTACCTATGTATACATGTGCCATGCTGCTGTGCTGCACCCATTAACTCGTCATTTAGCATTAGGTATATCTCCTAATGCTATCCCTCCCCCCTACCCCCACCCCACAACAGGCCCCAGAGTGTGATGTTCCCCTTCCTGTGTCCATGTGTTCTCATTGTTCAATTCCCACCTATGAGTGAGAACATGTGGTGTTCGGTTTTTTGTCCTTGCGGTAGTTTACTGAGAATGATGCTTTCCAATTTCATCCATGTCCCTACAAAGGACATGAACTCATCCTTTTTTATGGCTGCATAGTATTCTATTCCATGGTGTATATGTGCCACATTTTCTTAATACAGTCCATCATTGTTGGACATTTGGGTTGGTTCCAAGTCTTTGCTATTGTGAATAGTGCCGCAATAAACATATGTGTGCATGTGTCTTTATAGCAGCATGATTTATAGTCCTTTGGGTATATACCCAGTAATGGGATGGCTGGGTCAAATGGTATTTCTAGTTCTAGATCCCTGAGGAATCGCCACACGGACTTCCACAATGGTTGAACTAGTTTACAGTCCCACCAACAGTGTAAAAGTATTCCTATTTCTCCACATCCCCTCCAGCACCTGTTGTTTCCTGACTTTTTAATGATTGCCATTCTAACTGGTGTGAGATGGTATCTCATTGTGGTTTTCATTTGCATTTCTCTGATGGCCATTGACGGTTAGCATTTTTTCATGTGTTTTTTGGCTGCATAAATGTCTTCTTTTGAGAAGTGTCTGTTCATGTCCTTCACCCACTTTTTGATGGGGTTGTTTGTTTTTTTCTTGTAAATTTGTTTGAGTTCATTATAGATTCTGGATATTAGCCCTTTGTCAGATGAGTAGGTTGCAAAAATTTTCTCCCATTTTGTAGGTTGCCTGTTCACTCTGATGGTAGTTTCTTTTGCTGTGCAGAAGCTCTTTAGTTTAATTAGATCCCATTTGTCAATTTTGTCTTTTGTTGCCATTGCTTTTGGTGTTTTAGACATGAAGTCCTTGCCCATGCCTATGTCCTGAATGGTAATGCCTAGGTTTTCTTCTAGGGTTTTTATGGTTTTAGGTCAAACATGTAAGTCTTTAATCCATCTTGAATTAATTTTTGTATAAGGTGTAAGGAAGGGATCTGGTTTCAGCTTTCTACTTATGGCCAGCCAGTTTTCCCAGCACCATTTATTAAATAGGGAATCCTTTCCCCATTGCTTGATTTTCTCGGGTTTGTCAAAGATCAGATGGTTGTAGATATGCGGCATTATTTCTGAGGGATCTGTTCTGTTCCATTGATCTATATCTCTGTTTTGGTACCAGTACCATGCTGTTTTGGTTACTGTAGCCTTGTAGTATAATTTGAAGTCAGGTAGCGTGATGCCTCTGGCTGTGTTCTTTTGGCTTAGGATTGACTTGGTGATGCGGGCTCTTTTTTGGTTCCATATGAACTTTAAATTAGTTTTTTCCAATTCTGTGAAGAAAGTCATTGGTAGCTTGATGGGGATGGCATTGAATCTATAAATTACCTTGTGCAGTATGGCCATTTTCATGATATTGATTCTTCCTACCCATGAGCATGGAATGTTCTTCCATTTGTTTGTATCCTTTATTTCATTGAGCAGTGGTTTGTAGTTCTCCTTGAAAAGGTCCCTCACGTCCCTTTTAAGTTGGATTCCTAGGTATTTTATTCTCTTTGAAGCAATTGTGAATGGGAGTTCACTCATGATTTGGCTCTCTGTTTGTCTGTTATTGGTGTATAAGAATGCTTGTGATTTTTGTACATTGATTTTATATCCTGAGACTTTGCTGAAGTTGCTTATCAGCTTAAGGAGATTTTGGGCTGAGATGATGGAGTTTTCTAGATATGCAATCATGTCATCTGCAAACAGGGACAATTTGACTTCCTCTTTTCCTAATTGAATACCCTTTATTTCCTTCTCCTGCCTAACTGCCCTGGCCAGAACTTCCCACACTATGTTGAATAGGAGTGGTGAGAGAGGGCATCCCTGTCTTGTGCCAGTTTTCAAAGGCAATGCTTCCAGTTTTTGCCCATTCAGTATGATATTGGCTGTGGGTTTGTCATAGATAGCTCTTATTATTTTGAGATACATCCCATCAATACCTAATGTATTGAGAGTTTTTAGCATGACGTGTTGTTGAATTTTGTCAAAGGCCTTTTCTGCATCTATTGAGATAATCATGTGGTTTTTGTCTTTGGTTCTGTTTATATGCTGGATTACATTTACTGATTTGCGTATGTTGAACCAGCCTTGCATCCCAGGGATGAAGCCCACTTGATCATGGTGGATAAGTTTTTTGATGTGCTGCTGGATTTGGTTTGCCAGTATTTTATTGAGGATTTTTGCATCAATGTTCATCAAAGATATTGGTCTAAAATTCTCTTTTGTGGTTGTCTCTCTGCCAGGCATTGGTATCAGGATGATGCTGGCCTCATAACATGAGTTAGGGAGGATTCCCTCTTTTTCTATTGATTGGAATAGTTTCAGAAGGAATGGTACCAGTTCCTCCTTGTACCTCTGGTAGAATTCGGCTGTGAATCCATCTGGTCCTGGACTCTTTACGGTTGGTAAGCTATTGATTATTGCCACAATTTCAGATCCTGTTATTGGTCTATTCAGAGATTCAACTTCTTCCTGGTTTAGTGTTGGGAGGGTGTATGTGTCGAGGAATTTATCCATTTCTTCTAGATTTTCTAGTTTATTTGCGAAGAGGTGTTTGTAGTATTCTCTGATGGTAGTTTGTATTTCTGTGGGATCGGTGGTAATATCCCCTTTATCATTTTTTATTGTGTCTATTTGATTCTTCTCTCTTTTCTTCTTTATTAGTCTTGCTAGCGGTCTGTCAATTTTGTTGATCTTTTCAAAAAACCAGCTGCTGGATTCATTAATTTTTTGAAGGGTTTTTTGTGTCTCCATTTCCTTCAGTTCTGCTCTGATTTTAGTTATTTCTTGCCTTCTGCTAGCTTTTGAATGTGTTTGCTCTTGCTTTTCTAGTTCTTTTAATTGTGATGTTAGGGTGTCAATTTTGGATCTTTCCTGCTTTCTCTTGTGGGCATTTAGTGCTATAAATTTTCCTCTACACACTGCTTTGAATGTGTCCCAGAGATTCTGGTATGTTGTGTCTTTGTTCTCATTGGTTTCAAAGAACATCTTTATGTCTGCCTTCATTTCGTTATGTACCCAGTAGTCATTCAGGAGCAGGTTGTTCAGTTTCCATGTAGTTGAGCGGTTTTGAGTGAGTTTCTTAATCCTGAGTTCTAGTTTGCTTGCACTGTGGTCTGAGAGACAGTTTGTTATAATTTCTGTTCTTTTACATTTGCTGAGGAGAGCTTTACTTCCAACTATGTGGTCAATTTTGGAATAGGTGTGGTGTGGTGCTGAAAAAAATGTATATTCTGTTGATTTGGGGTGGAGAGTTCTGTAAATGTCTATTAGGTCTGCTTGGTGCAAAACTGAGTTCAATTCCTGGGTATCCTTGTTAACTTTCTGTCTCGTTGATCTGTCTAATGTTGAGTGTGGGGTGTTAAAGTCTCCCATTATTATTGTGTGGGAGTCTAAGTCTCTTTGAAGGTCACTCAGGACTTGCTTTATGAATCTGGGTGCTCCTGTATTGGGTGCATATATATTTAGGATAGTTAGCTCTTGTTGTTGAATTGATCCCTTTACCATTATGTAATGGCCTTCTTTGTCTCTTTTGAGCTTTGTTGGTTTGAAGTCTGTTTTATCAGAGACTAGGATTGCAACCCCTGCCTTTTTTTGTTTTCCATTTGCTTGGTAGATCTTCCTCCATCCTTTTATTTTGAGCCTATGTGTGTCTCTGCACGTGAGATGGGTTTCCTGAATACAGCACACTGAAGGGTCTTGACTCTTTATCCAATTTTCCAGTCTGTGTCTTTTAATTGGAGCATTTATCCCATTGATATTTAAAGTTAATATTGTTATGTGTGAATTTGATCCTGTCATTTGATGTTAGCTGGTTATTTTGCTCATTAGTTGATGCAGTTTCTTCCTAGCCTAGATGGTCTTTACATTTTGGCATGTTTTTGCAGTGGCTGGTACCAGTTGTTCCTTTCCATGTTTACTGCTTCCTTCAGGAGCTCTTTTAGGGCAGGCCTGGTGGTGAGAAAATCTCTCAGCATTTGCTTGTCTGTAAAGTATTTTATTTCTCCTTCACATATGAAGCTTAGTTTGGGTGGATATTAAATTCTGGGTTGAAAATTCTTTTCTTTAAGAATGTTGAATGTTGGCCCCCACTCTCTTCTGGGTTGAATATTCTTTTCTTTAAGAATGTTGAATGTTGGCCCCCACTCTTCTGACTTGTAGAGTTTCTGCCGAGATCCGCTGTTATTCTGACGGGCTTCCCTTTGTGGGTAACCCGACCTTCTCTCTGGCTGCCCTTAACATTTTTTCCTTCATTTCAACTTTGGTGAATCTGACAATTATGTGTCTTGGTGTTGCTCTTCTTGAGGAGTATCTTTGTGGCGTTCTCTATATTTCCTGAATGTGAATGTTGGCCTGCCTTTATAGATTGGGGAAGTTCTCCTGGATAATATCCTGCAGAGTGTTTTCCATCTTGGTTCCATTCTCTCCGTCACTCTCAGGTACACCAATCAGACCTAGATTTGGTCTTTTCACATAGTCCTATATTTCTTGGAGGCTTTGTTCATTTCTTTTTATTCTTTTTTCTCTAAACTTCCCTCCTCGCTTCATTTCATTTATTTCACCTTCCATCACTGATACCCTTTCTTCCAGTTTATCACATCAGCTCCTGAGGCTTCTACATTCTTCACGTAGATCTCAAGCCTTGGCTTTCAGCTCCATCATCTCCTTTAAGGACTTCTCTGCATTGGCTATTCTAGTTATCCATTCGTCTAATTTTTTTTCAAAAAGTTTCTAACTTCTTTGCCATTGGTTTGAATTTCCTCCTGTAGCTCGGAGTAGTTTGATTGTCTGAAGCCTTCTTCTCTCAACTCATCAAAGTCATTCTCCATCCAGCTTTGTTCCATTGCTGGTGAGGAGCTGCATTCCTTTGGAGGAGGAGAGGTACTCTGCTTTTTAGAGTTTCCAGGTTTTCTGCTCTGTTTTTTCCCCATCTTTGTGGTTTTATCTACTTTTGGTCTTTGATGATGGTGATGTACAGATGGGTTTTTGGTGTGGATGTCCTTTCTGTTTGATAGTTTTTCTTGTAACAGACAGGACCCTTAGCTGCAGGTCTGTTGGAGTTTGCTAGAGGTCCACTCCAGACCCTATAAACAGGTAAATCTTAAATAGAGAAGAAATAATTACTACTAAATAGGGAAAAGAATTCAAATTTCATTAGTACTCAAATAATTGCAAGTTAAAACTTCAGGATCTCTTTGGTGAAATAACACATTTGCCTAGCAAATATTTTAAAGAAAATAGTCATGTCAATAAATGTACAGTGAGAAGAGGCATCACACACTGCAGGAGGAAAACAAATGGATACAACTCCTCTGGAAGGCCATTTGATATTTGAAAAATGTTTTATTCTTCCTTACATTAACTCTACTTCTGTAAGCATATTTAACATTATGATCAAAAACTATTCCAAGTAATCTTATTTAAAATATTAAATTTTTCTTTCAAACTTACAAATATCTAACATAAGAAAATATTTACTCTAAGCCAGGCATTGTATTAAGCAGTTTATTTGCAAAATTTCTTTTATTTCTCACAATAATCATATGACTATTAACCAAAATTTTGTGCAAAAAATTAAACCTCAAGATAGTATGTATGGTTATAATCACTAAAATGTTAGTGACATGGCATGCCTACCCCTGATTCAGGCAGCTCAGGACATACTGAGAGACTCCATTTGTTGAGCAGAAACTAAGAGAAGAGAGCAAAAGTGTCTGCCTGGTAATCCAAGGAATTCTCTCAGATCTTACCCAAGGCCACCAAGGCAATATCTCTATGATTCTGTAAGAGTCACAGTGTTACTGGGCTTGGGTTGCCCCTTAATGCAGAAATGCAGTGACCAAAACTTAGATCAAAACACTCAATTCCATTTAAATATTTGGGAAGCCTTCCCAAGACAGGTACAAAGAAGTCCAGACCTCAAAGACTACAATAAATACCTAACTCTTCAATGTCTAGACACAGATGAACCTACAGAAGCATCAAGAACATCCAGGAAAACATGACATCACCAAATGAGCTAAATAAGGCACCAGTGACGAAATCAAGAATGACAGAGATATTTGACCTTTCAGACAAAGAATTCAAAGTAGCTGTTTTGAGGACCCGCAAGAAAATTCAAGGTAACACCGAGAAGGAATTCAGAATCCCATAAGATAAATTTTTAAAAGTGAAATAATTTTTGCAAGTCAAGCGGACATTCTGAAGCTGAAAAATTTAATTGACATACTGAAAAATACCTCAGAGTCTCTCAACAGCAGAATTGATCAAGCAGAAGAATTAGTGAGCTTAAAGATAGGCTCTTTGAAACTACACAGTCAGAGGAGATAAAAGAAAAAAAGAATGAAAAACAATGAAACACACCCACAAGAACTAGAAAATAGTCTCAAAAGGGCAAACCTATGACTTAATGGTCTTAAAGAGGAAGTAGAGAGAAAGACTGGAGTAGAAAGTTTGTTCAAGAACAACTTGACTTCCTCTCTTCCTATTTGAATATGCTTTATTTCTTTCTGTTGCCTGATTGCCCTGGCCAGAAATTCCAATACTATGTTTAACAGGTGTGGTGAGAGAGGGCATCCTTGTCTTGTGCCAGTTTTCAAAGGAAATGCCAGCTTTTGTCCTTTCAGTATGATATTGGCTGTGAGTTTGTCATAAATAGCTCTTATTATATTCAGATACGTTCCCTCAATACCTAGCTTATTGAGAGTTTTTAGCATGAAGCAGTGTTAAATTTTATCGAACGCCTTTTCTGCATCTATTGAGATAGAGCATGTGGTTTTTGCCATTGGTTCTGTTTATGTGATGGAATACGTTTATAGATTTTCATATGTTGAACCAGCCTTGCATCCCAGGGATGAAGCTGACTTGATTGTGGTGGATAAGCTTTTTGGTGTGCTGCTGGAATCAGTTTGCCAGTATTTTATTGAGAATTTTTGCATCGACGTTCATCAGGTATATTGGCGTGAAATTTTCTTTTGTTGTTGTGTCTCTACCAGGTTTTGGTATCAGGATGATGCTGGCCTCATAAAATGAGTTAGGGAGGAGTCCCTCTTTTTCTATTGTTTGGAATAGTTTCAGAAGGAATGATACAGCTCCTCTTTGTACCTCTGGTAGAATTCGGCTGTGAATCTGTCTGGTCCTGGGCATTTTTTGGTTGGTAGGCTATTAATTACTGCCTCAATTTCAGGACTTGTTATTCATCAGTTCAGGGATTGGACTTCTTCCTGGTTTTCTTCCTAGTCTTGGGAGTGTGTATGTGTCCAGGAATTTATCTTTTTCTTATAGATTTTTCTAGTTTATTTGCATAGAGGTGTTTGTAGTATTCTCTGATGGTAGATTGTATTTTGGTGGGATCAGTGGTGATCTCCGCTTTATCATTTTTTATTATGTCTATTTGATTCTTCCCTCTTTTATTCTTTATTAGTCTGGCTAGCAGTCTATCTATTTTGTTAATTTTTCAAAAAACAAGCTGCTGGATTCATTGATTTTTTTGAAGGATTTTTCATGTCTCTATCTCATTCAGTTCTGCTCTGATCTTGGTTATTTCTTGTCTTCCACCAACTTTTGAATTTGTTTGCTCTTTCTTCTCTAGTACTTTTGATTGTGATGTTAGGGTATTGATTTTAGATCTTTCCCGCTTTCTCCTGTGGGCATTTAGTACTATAAATTTCTCTCTAAACACTGCTTTATCTGGGCCGTAGATATTCTGGTACACTGTGTCTTTGTTCTCATTGGGTTCAAAAAACTTATTTATTTCTGCCTTAATTTTGTTATGTACCCAGTAGTCATTCAGGAGCAGGTTGTTCAGTTTCCATGTAGTTGTGCAGTTTTGAGTGAGTTTCTTAATCCTGAGTTCTCATTTGATTGCACTGTGGTCTGAGAGACTGTTAGGATTTCCATTCTTTTGCATTTGCTGAGGAGTGTTTTACTTTGACTTATGTGATCAATTTTAGAATAAGTGCGATGTGGTGCTGAGAAGAATATATATTCTGTTGATTTCGGGTAAAGAGTTCTGCAGATGTCTATTGGGTCCGCTTGGTGCGGAGCTGAGTTCAAGTCCTGAATACGGTGATCTGTCTAATATCGACAGTGGGGTGTTAAAGTCTCCCACTAATATTGTGTGGTAGTCTAAGTCTCTTCATAGGTCTCTAAGAACTTGCTTTATGAATCTGGGTGTTCCTGTATTGGGTGCATATATATTTTGGAGTGTTAGCTCTTCTTATTGCATTGATCCCTTTACCATTACATAACGGCCTTCTTTGTGTTTCTTGATCTTTGTTGGTTTCAAGTCTGTTTTATCAGAGATTAGGATTGCAAGCTTTGCTTTTTTTTTTTTTCTTTCCACTTGCTTGGTAAATCTTCTTCCATCCCTTTATTTTGAGATAATGTGTGTCTTTACATGTGAGATGGATCTCCTGAATACAGCACACCAATGGGTCTTGACTCTATCCAATTTGCCAGTCTTTGACTTTTGATTGGGGCATTTAGCCCATTTACAGTTAAGGTTAACACTGTTATGTGTGAATTTGATTCTGTCATTATGATGCTAGCTGGTTATTTTTCCCATTAGTTGATGCAGTTTCTTCATAGTGTTGATGGTCTTTACAATATGGCACATTTTTGCAGTGGTGGGATACCGGTTTTTCCTTTCCATATTTAGTGCTTCCTTCAGGAGCTCTTTTAAGGCAGGCCTAGTTGTGACAAAATCTCTTGGCATTTGCTTGTCTTTAAAGGATTTTATTTCTCCTTCACTTATGAAGCTTAGTTTCGCTGGATATGAAATTCTGGTTTGAAAATTCTTTTCTTTAAGAATGTTGAATTTGTCCCTGTTTGCAGATGACAACTGTATATTTAGAAAACCCCATGGTCCCAGCACAAAAACTCCTTAAGCTGATAAGCATTTTCAGCAAAGTTTCAGGATGCAAAATCAATGTGCAGAAATCACAAGCATTCCTTTACACCAATAACAGACAAACAGAGCCAAATCATGAGTGAACTCCCATTCACAATTGCTATAAAGATAATAAAATACCTAGGAGTATAACTTAAAAGGGATGTGAAGGACCTCTTCCAGGAGAACTAGAAACCACTGCTCAATGAAATAAGAGAGGACACAAACAAATGGAAAAAAATTCCATGCTCATAGATAGGAACAATCAATATCGTGAAAATGGCCATACTGCCCAAAGTAATTTATAGATTCAGTGCTACCCCCATCAAGCTGCCATTGACTTTTTCAACCAAGTTGGGAAAAACTACTTTAAATTTCATATGGAAACAAAAAAGAGCCCATATAGCCAAGACAATCCTAAGCAATAAGAACAAAGCTGGAAGCATCATGCTACCTGACTTCAAACTATACTACAAATCTACAGTAACCAAAACAGTATGGTACTGGTACCAAAACAGATATATAGACAAATGGAACAGAAGAAAGACCTCAGAAATGACACCACACATCTACAACCATCTGATCTTTGATAAACCTGACAAAAACAAGCAATGGGGAAGGGATTCCCTATTTAATAAATGGTGTTGGGAAAACTGGCTAGCCATATGCAGAAAACAGAAACTGGACCCCTTCCTTACACCTTACACAAAAATTAAGGTGGATTAAAGACTTAAACATAAGACCTAAAACCATAAAAACCCTAGAAGAAAACCTAGGCAATACCATTCAGGACATAAGCGTGGGCAAAGACTTCATGACTAAAACACCAAAAGCAACTGCAGAAAAAGCCAAAATTGACATATTGGATGTAATTAAACTAAAGAGCTTCTGCACAGCAAAAGAACCTATCATCAGAGTGAACAGTCAACCTGCAGAATGGGAGAACATTTTTGCAATGTATCCATCTGACAAAGGGCTAATATCCAGAATCTACAAGGAACTTAAACAAATTTACAAGAAAAAAACAACCCCATCAAATTGTGGGCAAATGATATGAATAGACACTTCTCAAATTAAGACATTTATGCAGCCAAAAATATATGAAAAAAAGCTCATCATCACTGATATTAGAGAAATGCAAATCAAAACCCCAATGAGATACCATCTTACATCAGTTAGAATGGCAATCATTAAAAAGTCAGGAAACAACAGATGCTGGAGAAGATGTGGAGAAACAGGAATGCTTTTACACTGTGGGTTGGAATGCAAATTAGTTCAACCATTGTAGAAGACAGTGTGGCAACTCCTCAAGGATCTAGAACCAGTAATACCATTTGACCCAGCAATCCCAATACTGGATATATACCCAAATGATTATAAATCATTCTACCATAAAGACACATGCACACATGTGTTTACTGCAGCACTATTTACTGTAGCAAAGACCTGGAACCAACCCAAATGCCCATTAATGTTAGACTGGATAAAGAAATTGTGACACATATACACGATGGAATACTATCCTATAAAAAAGGATGAGTTCATTTTCTTGCAGGGACATGGATGAAGCTGGAAAGCATCATTCTCAGCAAACTAACACAGGAACAGAAAACCAAACACTGCATATTCTCACTCATAAGTGGGAGTTGAACAATGAGAACACATAGACACATGGAGGGGGACATCACACACTGGGCCTGTCAGGGTTTGGGGGTTTAGGGGAAGGGTAGCATTAGGAGAAATACCTAATGTAGATGAGGGGTTAATGGGTGCAACAAACCACCATGGCACGTGTATACCTGTGAAATAAACATGCATGTTCTGCACGTGTATCCCAGAACTTAAAGTATAATAATTTTTTTAAAAGTTTATTCAATGCAATAAAAACAGAACTTTCCAAATCTGGAGAAATATATCAATATTCAAGTACAAGAAGGTTATAGAACAAGCAGATTTTACCCAAATAAGCCTACTCCATGGCATTTAATAATCAAACTTCCAAAGTCTAGTATGACAACAGGATCTTAAGTACAACAAGAGAAAACAAAACAAAACAAAACAAATAACATACAAAGGAGCTCCAATACATCTGGCAGCAGACTTCTCAGTGGAAACCTTACAGGCCAAGAGAGAATGGCATGACATATATAAGATAATGAAGGAAAAAATATCTTATAATAGTATGCCCTGGGAAAATATCATTCAAACATGAAAGAAAAATAGATTTTCTCAGACAAACAAAAGCTGAGGTATTTCATCAATACTAGACCAGTCCTACAGGAAATGCTAAAGGAAATTCTTCAATCTGAAAGAAAAGGATGTTAATGGGCAAAAAGAAATTAGCTGAAGGTTGAAAACACACTGGTAATAGCAAGTACACAGACAAACACAGAATATTATAACAGTGTAATTGTGTTATATAAACTACTTATATCTTGAGTTGAAAGAATACAAGAGGAAACTGTCAGAAATAATAACTACAACAATGTTTCAAGACATAAACAATATAATAAGGTATAAATAGAAACCATAAAAAGTTAAAAAGAATGGGGATGAAGTTAAAGTGTAGGGGAATTAATAGTTTTCTCTTGGCTTGTTTGTTCATTAGCTTGTTTTTGCAATCAGTGTTGTCATCAGTTTTTTAAAAATGGGTTATAAGATGTTATTTGCAAGCTGCATGGTAACATTAAATAAAAAAACTTACAACGGATACACAAAACAGTAAAAATCAAGATATTAAAACATACCACCAGAAAAAATTACCTTTTCAAAAAGGAAGACAGGAAAGAAGGGAACTACACAGAATAACAAAAGAAATCACAAAATGGCAGTAGTAAGTCCTTACTTATTAATAATTACATGAATATAGATGGACTAAACACTCCAATCAAAAGATACAGAGTGGCTGAACAGAAAAAAAGAAAAAAAAAAAGACCCAGTGATTTGTTGCCTTCAAGAAACATACTTCACCTATAAAGATACACATAGACTGAAAATAAAGGGATGGAAAATGATATCCCATGCCAACAGAAACCAATAAAGAGCAGGAGCAGCTATACTTATACAAAATAGATTTCAAGACAAAAACTGTTAGAAGAGACAAACAAGGGCATTACATACTGATAAAGGAGTCAATTCAGCAAGAGTATATAACAATTTTAAATATTTACGCACCCAATGCTGGATCACCCAGATAATATAGCAAATATTATTTGTGGTAAAGAGATTGACCTGATATGGTTTGGCTGTGTCCCCACCCAAATCTCAACTTGAATTGTAGTTCCTAGAATTCCCACATGTTGCGGGAGGGCCCCAGGTGGGGGAAATTCAATCATAGGAGCCAGTCTTTCCCATGCTATTCTTGTGATAGTGAATAAGTCTCATGAGATCCGATGGGTTTATCAGGGGTTTCCGCTTTTGCTTCTTCCTCATTCTCTCTTGCCACCACCATGCAAGAAGTGTCTTTTGCCCTCCACCATGATTCTGAGGCCTCCCCAGCCATGTGGAACTGTAAGTCCAATTAAACCTCTTTTTTCTTCCCAGTCTCCAGTATGTCTTGATCAGCAGCATGAACATGGATTAATACAGTAAATTGGTACCAGGAGTGGGGTGCTTGCTGTAGATGCCCAAAAATGTGGAAGCGACTTTGGATCTGGGAAACAGGCAGAAGTTGGAACATTTTGGAAGGCTCAGAAGATGACAGGAAAATGTGGGAAAGTTTGGAACTTCCTAGAGACTTGTTGAATGCCTTTGTTGAAAATGCTGATAGCAATATGGACAAAAAGGTCCAGGCTGAATTGGTCTCAGATGGAGATAAAGAACTTGTTGGGAACTGGAGGAAAGGTGACTCTTGTTATGTTTTGGCAAAGAGACTGGAGGCATTTTGCCCCTGCCTTAGGGATTTGTGAAACTTTGAACTTGAGAGAGATGATTTAGGGTATCTGGTAGAAGAAATTTCTAAGCAGCAAAGCATTCAAGAGGTGACTTGGGTACTGTTAAAGGCATTAAGTTTTATAAGGGAAGCAGAGCATAAAAGGTCGGAACATGGGCAGCCTGACAATGTGATAGAAAAGAAAAACCCATTTTCTGTGGAGAAATTCAAGCCAGCTGCAGAAATTTGCATAAGTAGCAAAGGGCATAATGTTAATCCCCAAGACCATGGAGAAAATGTCTCCAGGCCATGTCTGGGAACTTCATGGTGGCCTCTCCCATCACAGATCTGGAGGCCCAGGAAGAAAAAGTGGTTTCATGGGTTTAACCCATGGCCCCTATGCTTTGTGCAGCCTAGGGACTTGATGCCCTCTGTCCCAGCTGCTCCAGCCATGGCTGAAAGGGCCCAACATACAGCTTGGGCTGTGGCTTCAGAGGGTGGAAGCCCCAAGCTTGGCAGCTTCTACGTAGTGTTGACCCCTTGGGTACACAGAAGTCAAGATTTGAGTTTTGGCAACCTCTGCCTAGATTTCAGAAGATGTATGGAAGCACCTGGATGCTCAGGCAAAAGTTTGCTGCAGAGGCAGCGCCCTCATGGAGAACCTCTGCTAGGGCGGTGTGGAAGGGAAATATGAGGTTGGAGCCCCCATACAGAGTCCCTACTGAGGCACTGCTTAGTAGAGCTGTGAGAAGAGGGACACTGTCCTGCAGACCCCAGAATGTTAGATCCACTGACAGCTTGCACTGTGTGCCTGGAAAAGCTGCAGTCATTCAATAGCAGCCCATGAAAGCAGCCAGGAGGGAGGCTGTACCCTGCAAAAGCACAGGGATAGAGCTCCCCAAGACCATGGGAATCCACCTCTTGCATCAGCATGGCCTGAAGGAGATCATTTTGGAGCTTTAAAATTTGACTGCCTCACTGGATTTCAGACTTGCATGGGCCCTGTAACCCCCTTTTCTTTTGGCCAATTTATCCCATTTGGAATGGCTGTATTTACCCAATACCTGTACCCCCATTGTATCTAGGGAGTAACTAGCTTGCTTTGATTTTACAGGCTCATAGGCAGAAGGGACTTGCCTTCTCTCAGATAAAACTTTGGACTGAAGACTTTTGGGTTAATGCTGAAATGAGTTAAGACTTCGGGGGAGTGTTGGGAAAGCATGATTGGTTTTGAAATGTGAGGACATGAGATTTGGAGGGGCCAGGGATGGAATGATATGGTTTGGCTGTGTCCCCACCCAAATCTCAACTTGAATTTTATCTCCCAGAATTCCTGCATGTTGTGGAAGGGCCCCAGGGGTAGGTAATTGAATCATGGGGGCTGGTCTTTCCAGTGATATTCTCATGATAGTGAATAAGTCTTATGAGACCTGATGGGTTTATCAGGGGTTTCCACTTTTGCTTCTTCTTCATTCTCTCTTGCTGCCACCATGTAAGAAGTGCCTTTCACCCTCCGCCATGATTCTGAGGCCTCCCTAGCCATGTGGAACAGTAAGTCCAGTTAAACCTCTTTTTTTCTTCCCAGTCTCAGGTATGTCTTTATCAGAAATGTGAAAACAGACTAATACAAGACCCCAATTCAATAATAGCTGGAGACTTCAGCACTCCACTTTCAGCATTGGACACATCTCCCAGACAGAAAACCAACAAAGAAACATCAGACTTAATCTGCACTATAGACCAAACGCAGCTTATAGATATTTACAGAAAATTTCATACAATGGCTGCAGAGTACACATTCTTCTCCTCAACACATGGATCATTCTCAAGGATGGACCATGTGTTAGGCCACAGAACAAGTCTTAAAAGATTTAAATTACAAGTTCACAGAACAAATATTCAACTCACATAAGGCCAGTCCTGTTTAGCAACTCTCTCTCATTCCTGGGTCACCAACCTGTCAGCTTGCTATTCTTGAAGAAATGGCACCAAGCCTATCTCTGTAGTTTTGCTGCATTTCATATTGAGTGGGTTTTTGGCTTGAGGTTTTTTCATGTGGGGGGTGTGTGTGTGTGTGTGTGTGTGTGTGTGTGTGTGTGTGTTTTAAGATATTTCAACTTCTTAGCAGGAAATTTTTTGCTGCTGATTTAAATCTAATTGAAGTATTTTGGATGTACACCCTGAGACCCTCAGGCTAGGGTATATTTTTAATAAATCAAACAGATAAAATCAAAGCTTTGTACTAAAATAAATAAATAAATAAAACAGGGACACAGGAAAACATTAAAAACATAATAAATAATCAGAATACAAGAGTCTATGTAAAGAATTATCTTAACTCTATGAAAATATAGGAAAATCAGTAGCAACTACAATAGGCTAAACCTGCAATTATACTAAAATATTAGGCATTTTAATATTGAAATGTTGAGATTATTGATAATTTCTTTTTAATAATAAATTTTTTATATTCTAGATTTTCCTTCAGTGAGCTTTATCTTATGTCAGAAAAAAGGCAAGAAAAGTTAAATTCGAATAGTACTAAATGAAAGCTAAAGTTGCAGCATTAGGAAAAAACAATTTGCTAAACTGTTTCAATTTTCGTATAGAAGTATTTTCAATAGTAATGTCTTTATTGAATAAATCTAAAATAATTGGTGTCAGCTACATAATCTTTGAATATTTTTCTTTTGAGTTATGTGCATTTTTGAATAAAAAATTTTAATTTACTGTTTTGTTATATGCATAGTTCAAAGTTGCTATTTTTAAAACAAATTTCTTGACTTGGGATTATATGTAAGTTACTTTCTAATTTATATATTACTTTTGCACCAACCTATTAGTTTCTCCAATTGTAAATGAAGCTAAAAGAGGCCATGAAAACCAATAAAGTACATTTGGTTTAAATTTAAATACAAAATTTTTAGTATATGCTTTATCTGTATTTCATCCTCTTTAATATACATAAATATTGTAATATATTAAATAACTATTACAATCCATGAAGTATGGAATCAAACATTATCCTACATATTGACATTAAACTCTTGACCCAGAAATTCTATCCAGAGAAAGCTTAGTTCTGGGATTTTTTTTTCCAGTAGTGATATAACATATAATAATTAGAAAATTCCCCATGTTGCTTTTCTTGTATCTTCTCTTATACAAATAGTAAACCTAAAATAATAAATATAAGTATTTATTATTTGATTTTTAAATAGAGAGTCCTATCCATATTTATACTAATGTCCTGAAATGTAATCTCAGTGACTTAAAGATAACTGTTAGTGGCATGATCCTCATACATATAAATGTCTTAACTTTGACTACTCTGGCTGTGAAATTCAGAAGATTAAAGAAATGATTAGGGCTTGAGATTGTGTTTACAGTTGTTTGTAGACACAGAATAAGTTCATGGGGGGCCACTTAATAAACTATTTTAGTCAAATCATTAAAAAACAAAAAAAATCTACTAATTTGTGTGATCAAATTTCTATTCATAACTGACAAGCAAAACAGCTGACCACACCAAACTGTTTTTCTACATTTTTTTCAGCATAAGAATGTTAATTCTTTGAACCAATTCTATTTACTGCTTTCCCAAGAACGATTTGGTGTATTATTTGATTTGATCTTAACAAAAATCCAATTTAGAAGATATATACATACACATAGACACCTTCACTCTGTAGAACAGGTACTTGTCATAAAATAAGGACAACTCTAAAGAACCACAATGAGTTTAACTGTAGCAAGAAACAACCTTACTCTTAAATTGTGAAAAAAAAAGTTTTTCTCAGTAATTCAATTTTTCTTCATTATAAAGCCTGCTAATTTTCCTTTATTAATCTATTCATTTATTCAATTACTCACTCATTTATTCAACAGTATTTGTTACATGCCAGACACTCTGCTAGGCATTGCTGTGAACACACACATTAAAAAGATGGAGAACCTAAGAATGCAGAGTTAAGAGAAAACAAGATCAAGGAAACAATTTTGAGGCAGGTCAAGAGTAAGTTACAGAGAAAGGAACAATCATATCTGTCTAGAGGAAGTCATTCTTGTAGCTAAGTGGTTGAAGCAGAAGATAGAGCCGTATGAATGAGTACACACACACAAACACATACACAATCTCACACACACACACAATGTGGTATGGAGAGAATGTGGGAAATAGGAGTTGAAGTGGTGAAAGTCAAGGCTGATAGACAAGAGTAGACTTTGGCAGGTCTTATACAATGTCACACTATTTGTGCCCTTTTCCTCTGTTGGTAAAAAAGGAAAAATATTTATAATATATTGGAATTTATAAGTTTGCACATATGCTGATTTTAAACTGTAACAAACATATTGAAAGGCAGTTTGGTAACGTATTCAAATTGAGAAGATTTATAACTTTTAACCAAATAATTTCACAATAATTTTACATATAGGTAAATATGAATTAGAAACTAATGAGCCAAAAAATCAATATACATACATGCTAACTGCAGCACTTTTTGTAATAGTCATGTCAGAAACAATTATCTATCAGTAAGTGAATGAAAAATACAAAATACGGTTTGTTCTATAATATGGATTGCTATGTATTGCAACAAAATAAACTGAAAGGAGATTATCATGATTCTTTCAATAATATTAGAAGCATTTTGTAATGTTCAACAGCCATTTAATTTCAAAAGTTTAGCAAAATAGACAGGAATATTTGAGGGAGCCAAGATGGCCAACTAGATACAGCCAGGAAGAGCTTCCCCCACCATGAGACCAGACCATCAAGAAGACCAGCACATTTCAAACACATCTTCAGAAAGAAGGCATTGAGTGTAAACAGAAGGAGAATGCACACCCCAGGCTAAAAGGGAAGGAAACTAGGAACTCTGAAACTAGGAACTCTGCCTGGGATTGCTGAGCACAAGGACTCATTCCTTACCCCAAGTAGATCCTGGGGAAGGGGTGAGTGAAATAGGCAGGAAGTGGCCCACTCTCACCACAAATCTTAGGAACACCAGCTGCAGGAGACCCCACAATGCCCAGGGACATTTGAGCTGGCAGGAAAAACTGCCCAGAGTGTTGGCAGAGACAGAAATCCAGCCTGCAAAGAGTCCAGGTGGTTTGGCCAGGGAATGGTTGCAATGGAACACAGCCATGGGAACACATCCCAAAGGCTTACCATGCTTCTCTAGGGGTTTTTAGCCTTTGTTGGTCAGGGCACGGCTATCTTGCCAGTGGAACAAGGCCAGGCTGATCTTAGCACCCCTCTACCAGGGTCCCTGTCTGGCTATGGCCACCAGCAAGTGCTACCACCATAGCTCTTTCACCTGCAGACCCTAGGTAAATAGCCAGATAGCTTTTGCAGGGTGGGCCCCCACCAGCACCTACCTGCCCACAACCATTCTCCACTAACGTGCACCAACCTGCAGCCTCCCCCTGCCAAATTGTGAGGGGCATGCACAGACTCCATTGCCACCACGCTGTCCATGCCCACACATGCATGGGACAGCCCGTTGCCCTGCTGCCGCCCTGACAAAGTGCATTTGCCAGCATCCTCCATCACAGTGTTGTTGCCAGCAGATCAGGAACTCTCAGCCCCTCCACTGCAGTAAGAGTTTAACCTCAAGGAACCAGAGAAAAAAACCCATAAACCTGGGCCCAGCCCTCCAGGGTTAGAGCATGCAGGCTAGGAGCGCTGAGCTAAGCCTTGGCCCCCTGAAATCATCCGGACAGTAACTTCAAACATTAAAGGAACATCAGCTCACATATATGAGAAAGAACCAGTTCAAGAACCCTGGAAATTGTAAAACCTAGAGTATCTTCTTACCTCCAAGTGGCCACACTAGCTCCCCAGCAATGGTTCTTAACCAGATTGAAATGGCTGAAATGACAGACATAGAATCCAGAATCTGGATGACAATGAAGCTCATCAAGATTCAGGAGAGAGTTGAAACCCAATCCATGAAACCTAAGGAATCTAATAAAATGATACAAGAGCTGAAAGACAAAATAGCCATTTTAAGAAGTGAACTGACCTTCTAGAGTTGAAAAAGCAATTACAAGAATTTCATAATACAATCAGAAGTATTAACAGCATAGAATAGACCAGGCTGAAGAAAGAACCTCAGAGCTTAAAGACCAGTCCTTTAATTCTACTCAGTCAGACAAAAATAAAGAAAAAATAACTTTTAAAAAATGAACACAATTTCCAAGAAATGAGGAATGATGTAAAGAGACCAAACCTATGATTCTTTGGAATCTCAGAAAGACAGAGACAGAGAGAGAGAGAGAGGGCACGTGTGCAACTTGGAAAACATATTTAAGAATATTGCCCACAAAAATTTCCCCAACCACATTAGAGAGGGTGACATGCAAATTCAGGAAATTCAAAGAAACATATGAGATACCATCACAAAGGCACATGGTCATCAGGTTCTCCAAAGTCAATACAAAAGAAACAATGTAAAAGGCAGCTAGAAGCTAGAGAGGGAAGGGGCATGTCACATATAAAGGGAACCCTATCAGGCTAACAGTGGAAATTTCAGCAGAAACTTTACAAGCCAGAAAAGATTGAGGGTCTATCTTCAGCATCTTTAAAGAAAAGAAATTCTAACTAAGAATTTCATATCCAGCCAAACTAAGTTTCATAAGCAAAGGAGAAATAAAATCCTTTACAGACAAACAGTGCTAAGGGAATTCATTACGACCAGACCTGCCTTACAACAGTTCCTTGAGGGTGCGCTAAACATGGAAACCAAAGATCATTACCTGTCACCACAAAAACACACTTAAGTACATACCTACTGACACTATTAAGCAACTTTATAATCAAGTCTACATAACAAGCAGCTAAAAAACATAATGACAGGATCAAATCCTCACATACTGACACTATCCTTGAACATAAATGGATTAAATGCCCAGCTTAAAAGGCACAGAGTGACAAGATGAATAAAGAAGCAAGACTCAACTGTATGTTGCCTTAAAAAGACCCATATCAAATGCAATGACACCTGTAGGCTCAAAGTAAAGGGATGGAGAAAGATCTATCAAGAAAATAGAAAATGAAACGAACGAACAAACAAAAAAATGAACAGGGGTTGCCATTCTTATCTCAGAGAAAACAGACTTTAAACCAACAATGGTCAAAAAGGACAAAGAAGGGCATTATATAATAATGAAGGGTTCAATTCAACAAGAAGACTTAACTGTCCTAAATATATGTGCACCCAACACCGGAGCACCCAGATTTGTAAAACAAGTTTGTAAAGACCTATGAAGAGAGTTAGATAAACATACAATAATAGTTGGATATTTGAAGACCCCCACTGACAGTGTTAGGCAGATTATTAAGGCAGAAAACTAACAAAGACATTCAGTACCTAAGCTTGACACTTGACCGAACAGACCTATCAGACATCTACAGAATATTCCATCCAACAACAACAGAATATACATTCTTCACTGACCACTTGCTTGGCCATAAAGCAATTCTCAACAAATTCAAAACAACCAAAATCATATGACCCACATTCTCTGAACACAGTGCAATAAACATAGAAATCGATACCAAGAAAATTTCTCAAAATCATACAATTACATGGAAGTTAAACAACCTGCTTCTGAATGATGTCTAGGTAAAGTATGAAATGAAGGCAGAAATCAAGAAATCCCTTGAAACCTATGAAAACAAAGGTATAATGTACCAGAATTTCTCGGATACAGCTAAAGCAGTGTCAAGAGGAAAGTTTATAGTGCTAAATGCCTACATCAAAAAGTTAAAAAGATCTCAAATTAAAAACCTGAAGTCACACATAGAAGAACTAGGAAAACAAGAGCAAACCATCTCAAAGGTAACAGGAGGAAAGAAATAACCAAAATCAGAGCTGAAGTGAATAAAATTGAGAACACAAAAAAAGATACACATTCATACAAAAGATCAATGAAACCAAAATTTGGTTCCTTGAAAGAGTAAATAAGATTGATAGCCTAGTAGCTAGACTAATAAAGAAAAAACAGAGAAGATTCAAATAAACACATTCAGAAATGACAAAAGTGACATTACCAGCAACCCCACAGAACTACAAAAAACCCTCACAGACAATTATGAACACTTCTAGCACATAAACAAGAAAACCTAGAAGAAATAGATAAAGTCTTGGAAACATACAACCTCCCAAGATTGAACTAGGAAGAAAGTGAATGCCTGAACAGACCAATAATGTGTTCTGAAACTGAATCGTTAATGAAAGAAACTTACCAAAAAAATCCCTGGATCAGATGGATTCACAGCCAAATTCTACCAGATATATAAAGAAGAACTGGTACCAAGTTTACTGAAATTATTTCAAATAATCAAGGAAGGGTTCCTTTATTATGTTTATACTGTAAATATTCAGTATTATGATACTGAATATTATTCCAAATGTCATCATCATTGTAGAGTGAGGATAACAAAATTATCCTCACTCTCTGATGCTATCATCATTCTGATATAAAAAACAGGAAGAGAGATAAGAAAAAATAGAAAATGTCAGGCCAGTATTCCTGATGAACATAGATGCAAAAATCCTCAACAAAGTACTAGCAAATTAAATTCAGCAGCACATCGAAAAGCTGATCCACCACTATCAAGTAGTCTTCATCCCTGGGATGCCAGGCTGATTCAACATACAAAATCTATAAATGTGATTCATCACACAAACAGAATTAAAAGCAAAACCACATGATCATCTCAATAGGTACAGAAAAGGCTTTTGATAAAATTCAATATCACTTCATGTTAAGAACTCTCCACAAACTAGACATCAAAGTAACTTACCTCAGAATAATAAGAGCCATCTATACAAACCAACAGTCAACATCCTACTGAATGGGTAATAAATGGAAGCATTCCCCTTGAGAAGTGGGGCAAAACAAGGATACCCACCCTCACCGCTCCTATTAAACATAGCATTGGCAGTCCTCACTAGAGCAATCAGGCAAGAGAAATAGATAAAAGGCATCCAAATAGGAAGAGAGGCAGTCAAACTGTCTCTCATCACAGATGATATGATTCTATGTCCAGAAAAATCCAATAGTCTCAGCCCAAAGGCTCTTAGAACTGATAAACTTCAGTAAACTTTCAGGATACAAAATCAATGTACAAAAATTAGTAGCATTTCTGTGCACCACTAATCTCCAAGCTGAGAGCTATATCAAGAATGCAATTCTATTTACAATAACCACAAAAAGAATAGAATATAGCTAACCAGGGAGGTGAAAGATCTATACAATGACCACTGCTCAAAGAAATCAGAGATTACACAAACAAATGGAAAAATATTCCATGCTCATTGACTGGAAGAATCAATATCATCAAAATAGCCATACAGCCCAAAGTGATGTACAGATTCGATGCTATTCCTATCAAACCACCAATGTCATTTTTCACAGAATTAGAAAAGCCTCTTACAAAATTCATATGGAATCAAAAAGAACTCAAATGCCTAAAGAAATTCTAAGAAAAAAAAAAGCCAGAGGCATCACAATTCCTCATTTCAAACTATACTGAATGGCTACAGTAACAAAAACAGCATACTATTGGAAAAAAAAGAAAAAAACAGGTGGACCAATGGAACATGTTAGATAAGCTAGAAATATAGCTGCACACCTACAACCATGTGATCGTGGACAAAGTTGACAAAAGTAAGCAATGGGAAAAGGATTTCCTAATCAATAAATGGTGCTGGGATAGTTGGCTAGCCATATGCAAAAGATTGAAACTAGACCTCCTCCTTTCACCATACAGAAAAATTAACTCAAGATGACTTAAAGACTTAAGCATAAAACCTAAAACTATAAAAAATCTTAGAAGAAACCCTAGAAAATACCATTCTGGATATTGGCCTAAGCAAACATTTTATGACAAAGACTCCAAAAGCAATTGCAACAAAAACAAAAACTGACAAATGGGACTAATTAAACTAAAGAGTTCTGCACAGCAAAAGAAACTATCATGACCGAGTAAACAGACAACCTATTGAATGGGAGAAAATATTTGCAACCTATGCATCCAACAAAGGCCTAATATTCGGAATCTATAAGGAACTTAAAGCACAAACAAAAACAGTAAAAAATGGGCAAAGGACATGAACAATTTTTAAAAGAAAACATAGATGTGGCTAACAAGCATATGATAAACTGCTCAACACCATTAATCATTAGAGAAATGCAAATCAAAACCACAATGAGATACCATCCCACACCAGTAAGAATGGCTATAATTAAAAAGTCACAAAATACATGTCGGCAAGGAGAAAATGGAAGACTTATACACTGCTGGTAGGAAGGTAAATTAGTTCAACCACTATGGAAAGGTGGAAAGCAGTTTGGACATTTCTCAAAGAACTTTAAACAGAATTATCATTCAACCCAACAATCCCATTACAGAAATCCCGGCCGTTGCCCATTCAGTATGATGTTGACTGTGGGTTTGTCGTAGATAGCTGTTATTATTTTGAAGTATGTTACTTTGATGCATAGTTTGTGGAGAGTTTTTAACATGAAGGGATGTTGGGTATATACCCAAAGGAATATGTCATCTCTGATTTCTTGGGCAGTGTTTGTTGTAGAGATATTTCACCTCCCTTGTTACCTGTATTCCTAGGTATTTTATTCTTTTGGTGGCTATTATGCATGGAATTACATTCTTGATGTAGCTGTCAGCTTGGACATTATTGGTGTACAGAAATACTACTAATTTTTGTACATTGATTTTGTATCCTGAAAGTTTGCTGAAGTTGTTTATCAGTTCTAGGAGCTTTTGGGCAGACTATGGGATTTTCTAGTATTTCAACAGGCCCCAGTTCTCAAGGTATTGCCCATTCACTATGATGTTGACTGTGCATTTGTCATAGATGGCTGTTATTATTTTTAGGTATGTCACTTTGATGCCTAAGGTGTGGAGAATTTTTAATATGAAGGGATGTTGGATATATACCTAAAGGAATATACATTATTCTACTACAGAGACACATGTATGCATGCTCATCACAGCACTATTCACAATAGCAAAGACATGGAATCAACCTAGATGCCCATCAGTGGTGGACTGCATAAAGAAAATGTAGTACATATACACCATGGAATACTGTGCAGCCATAAAAAAGGAATGAAATAATGCCATTTACAGCAACTTGGATGCAACTTAAGGCCATTTTCCTAAATGACTTGACATGGGAACAGCAAACCAAATACTGCATGTTCCCATTTCAAAGCGGCAGCTGAACATGGAGTACACATGGACACAAAGAGGGAAACAGTAGACACTGGAGCCTAATTGAGAGTGGAAGGTGAAAGGAGGATGATGATCCAAAAACTACCTCTTAGTGCTGAGCTCACTACCTGGGTGACAAAATCATTTGTACACCAAACACCAGCAACGTGGAATTTATTCATGTAACAAACCTGCCTATTTACCCCTCGAACATGAAATAAAAGTTGAAAGAAAAAAAAAAGAAATTTCATAAATTTTAAAAACACTATTCTCCAACATTAAGGCAAATACTCTACTTAATGATAAATATTAAATGAAATTCGTCTAAGATTACAAACAAAATAAGGACACCCACTGCCTCAACTACTGTTAACATAGTATTAGAGTTTTAGGTCAATGGTCTTACGGGAAAAGGGAAGTAAATCGAAGTGTAAGATTTGGAAAGGAAATGAAAAAAATCTGATAATTTCAGAGAATCAACAAATAAAGTAATACAACTAATTTAAAAGTTCAAGAAAATTTTTACATACAGTATCAACTTACAAAAATTAGTAACATTTCTTTATGATAGCTATAAACAATAACAAAATATGTGATTAAAAAGATGTTCACATTATGAAGAGAAATCTGTAAAGCATCTGTTAGGCATAAGTAGCTTCACCGAGATAACATTACACAAGATTTCTGTGGGAAAAACTTTAAAATCCTAATAAAGGATGAAAAGATAATCTGAAAAAATGGAGACATATTTTCAGCTCTGGAATGGCACAAATGTCAATTATCTGCCAACTAATTTATAAATTTAATGCAACCTAAATAAAATTTTCAGATACAATTTTGAGGGCCAATAAAATTATTCAGAAATATGGAGGATAAAAAGTTCCTAAGTAACGAAACTTTTTTTAAAAATATGAGATCTGTCCTATTAGACAATAATATTTAGTACAAGACAGGGCTGACAGTAGCAATTTGCAGAATATCTCTATCACCTGTTTAGGGCTCATGTCAGTTCTTATTTGCCAGGCATTTATTTTGATTTCTTTATGGCTATGCCAAGATGGCTTTGAACTATTGTGAATATAATTACTCCCTCAAAGCACAGTAACAAAGGCAGTGGAACAAAGTGAATTTGGAGGGGTGTATATGTATAAACTTAAAAATTCATCATGATTAAAAGCACTCTTTTGTTTAATAGATTTGAAGGTTAATTAAACTTTCTTAATCCTAGATAACCAAACCAAACTCACCTCAATATTATTTTACCACAATGATAGAGTCAAAACTACAATACTACTTAATATTACAGCTATCCATGCCAAAATTTCTGAAAGACATTAACTACCTCCAAATACCATCACATTGGGAATTAGGTTTTAACATATAAATTTTGGAAAGACAGAATCATTCAGTCTGTAACAGTGGGCATCAGTTATACAAGTAATAGATGCATCTACTGTGGTCAATATATCTCTTATGCATATTCCATTCTTCTGCATATGCATTATTTTTATTCTCTACTTCATTCAGATTGTTTTATACTGATCTATTTTTCAGTTGTTCTGCAAAACTTGTTCTGCAAAACTCTCTTCAATACTATACAATCTCTTAGTTGGTTCTTAAATTCAGTTTATGTGTGGTTCTGTTCTTGAATTTCCCTTTGATTATAGAGATCACAGCTCTCTTTTGAATTTTCAATTAAAATAGTTACTTTAAATTTCAATCTGATGATTCTAATAATCCAATATCAAGGTCACTTTTCTTTCTATTTTTATTTTCTCTTTTTTTCCCCTTCTCTTGGTCCTTTTGCTTGGTATACCTTCTATATTTTATTTAATGTTGGACATTCTATTAGAGAAATCATAGTTTCTGGATAATGCTATGTTCATTCAAAGAAGATTCACCTTATCCTTTAGGACACAGAAGACAGCAAATTGCCTAAATCAGATCACTGAATAAACTTGTTATAAGGGGATTTCAAATTTCTCTTTCTTGGTGGATCCTGAAATCTAATTATTGTCTCCTCAGCACTGTAAGACCTCAGCAAACTTTGCCTTCCTTTTGAGTCCTTTCTAAGTACCTTCTTAGACTTTTCTTTCTAGCAAAAGCTTGAGAATAAGAAAAATCCATGATGCAAAAACTGAAAAAGGGTGCTAGTCTCATTTCTGTTTATCTTCTTTTTCCTAGAATCTTGGTGTGAAATTCTGGCTGATTTGGTGTTTCTGGATTTCATTTCTTTCCTGCCCAGCACTGTAAAATTGATGAAAGCCCTACTAGTCTTTCAGCCTCTTAGCTCCTCCCACTTTCCAGCTTCTTGGCTTCTCTCCCTACCTAAGGGTAGGCAAATGCCTGGAGGGGAAAAGTAGTATACAAATTTTGGAGCTTACTTCAATGAGTTCTTTTTCTCTCTGTGTCTTTCTCTCTGGCATTTTTCTTCTCTGCTTCTGGCTTGTGGAAGCTCTAGGAAGTGTTCAAAAAGCCTTTTTTTTTTTTAATCAGGGTTCATTACTTTTTCTCAGTGTCTGCTTTGGTCTGGTGCAAGCCCTACCATTAAGGCCAGCAAGTGGCATGCCCTTTGATTTTTAAATTTGCTTTTATTTTAAAATTTTGTCCATATTTAGTTTACTAGCAATTGAAAGCCAATATTATATATAGCTGATGAAAAACATTAGCTATCCTTCATTTATGTGTTATAAAAATAAGGTCTTAACAAAACAGAATAGAATAGTTTGTATTTCTTGGTGGCTTTTGTTTATCTGTTTGTTTCACAGATCTATATTTACAAATAATGGAGACCTTCTCCAGAAAAAAAAAAACATAATTAAGAAAAGCATACATTAACTTACTGTTTCCTCAGTTCAGAATCTATTGAAATATTTTCATGGGTCCTGCGCTTATAACCTTTTTGTCCATCTATTGAGAATTCTCTGCACAGAAACTACCTTTTCACATCCACGATGAAGAAAAGCAAAATGTTTGAATTAACTTTTGTCTTTTTATCTGGTATTTTTACTGGAAATCTTTTTTGGAAGTGCTAATTCTTTCAAAGTACCAACTCATTCTAAAGGAAGAGAGAACTGCAATGAGAAAACAAATGAAAAATGATAGTGTGACATAAAGTAAAAGTAGTAATGAAAACTACATGGTAGAAAGTTCCCTTCTGGGGGCCCCTAACAAATATCGTTGTTTTAGTTTTAGTTTTGCTTTAGCTACGGCTGCTATTTACAAGATAAAGAATTTAAGATATCTCATTCCCTCAGGCTTTGATTTGGGAAAAACTATCTCAGGAATGAGTTTTGAATGCTCACTGAGTTGCCATACATTATGATTATATGGAAATTTTCTTCCACTTCAACACTTGAAATTTTAACAGCATCTGTCTTATCCATGTGGAACAGTATACTATTCACTTTGAAAGCCAGTTGCCAATTTACTTGATTCTTTTGCTTTCTTATAGTTCTTAAGGTGTCTACTGACAGTGTAACTGCCACAACCCTGGCCTGCTGTGTTAAAGAAGCCGTTACCTTTCAGCTGTTACATATAGCTCTGAATAATCCAATGATTTAGGTGAGATTTTAACAGTAATTTAATCTAAATTCACTAATGTCTCCAGACTACTTTGGTTATATCGGATTTAAATGATATGAAATCTTTGAACACAGAGGTGCTAATTAATACACTCAAGGATTTTAAGTGATTAAATACAGTTAGCACTATTGCTTATCCATTGCATTATCCAAATGAAAGCCAAGTGATACGAAAGCCCAGAGTATGAAAATTGGATTGCATTCCTGGGAAATCAGGGCTATTTTGGCATAGAACTGTTAGAATGGGAGATACACAGGACCTGATGGCACGGCAAGGGATGGCAGTCTACGGGAAGAGAAGTCCTAGGATCACACCCTATAGATAATTTCACCCCAGAGTGAGGGAAATAAAAGAGGGAAAGCTGGGAGAATTGAACCAAAGATAGGATCAGGTAAAAGCAAGTTATCAATAGAACGAGAAGGGATAAGCAGAGGAGGAAACAGAAAATGGGAAAAATAGCAACAATCAGATGTAAGTGGAACAGGACTAACACTATGAATATTGAGCACTGCTGGCACATTTTTTTTTTTTAATAATTGCCCTTGCTGCAATGGTGGGCAGAGAGGGAGAAGCTCAATGAAGATGCATAGCGCCTACTAAAGTGACTTCGCATTGCTTATCATAATGCCTTTAAATAGTTTACCTGGAATTCAAACCTCCCTAATATATACACAAAGCTTTTACCTGGACTAAATTCTCAAAATTGCTCTTATGCCCCCTATCCATGAACAAAACTGCACTACTGTCTGTTCATGGAAAACATCTAGTGCTCACCCCTTTTGTAGCCATATTCCATACTGTTCATTTCCCTTCATCTTCCCCTAGCACTCCTTTAAATCCCAATCCAAATATCATTTCTTCTACCCGCTACTGTGAGAATTTCACGAAGCCATCTGCAGTGTCTTCACACTAGACAGAGACAATCAGTCACATCTTGGAACATGTAAGACACTTGTTTGTGTCTTTGTGCAGCTATTCTTCTAAATTGCCTTACCATTTACAGTGTGTCACCTCTAACTCATGGTAAATTCTTTGGTAATAGATAACACAGATTATGCATTTTGCATTGTGCATGGTACATATAAAAGTAACTTAAATAATACTATTCAACAAATAAATGGATAGCTAAAGCAATTAAAATGATAAATTATTTTATTGTAGTTTCAAATATTTATGTATAATTTTGATATAATGATATGTGTAATGATTGTGACATAGGTAATGTAATAAGAATTATGATAATGCATTATACTCTACATTCTCTCCTACAACTTGCTTCTTTCACTCAATGTTTTTGAAATTCATTCATTTTGAAAGGAAACCTTAAGACAATATGTAAAATGTTAACATGTAGATAAATTAGTGTAGTACATGGGTATGTCATATTATGATCTATATTTACCTTTTTGGTCTAAGTATCTTATAATAAAACATTTTAAAAATATATACAGACAAAGATATTCTATTTGGGGAAATTTTGTCAAGCACATTTGAAGAAATTTTTAGTGATAACCCTCCGAATGATTCAGTAAGTTATACAGTATTTCTGTAACTGTAAATTTGCCTTTAAGAAGCAAATGGTGACATTAAATATGAAACTGAACTTTCAAGTTAAAATCCATTTCTTGAAAAGTTCCTATAGCACCTTCTTACTATAAGGAAATCTCATTAATTTGATTAACTTTCTTTTCATTTCAAGTGTTTAAGCATATTTTTGGGTTATTTTATTGCTAAGAATTGAAAACTAGAGTGACTACTACAAGCTAAGGATATAAAGTCACTTCAGAAAAAAAGATAAGCAAGACCCTATCCACAAGGACATTAGTTTCTGGTAGGGAAAAAATAAATTACAGTACAATGTAAGTTACAGTACAGTTCATCCCCAAAACAGCCTTGGAGACTAAATGTTCTTATTCTTTTTTTACATAACTAAGAAAATGCAAGCCCAATATCACTAATATTTAGAGGTCATTTTATATTAAATTATTGTTATGTAGAAATCTAATCTTGGCAACTTTTTTTTAAATAGGGGAAAGATGGTACCTAAATTCTATCTAATCCAATTAAAATCTCGTTTTTCGTGTTTCATTTACTTAATGCATTGCCCTGATAGCATAGTAGACATGGTGGGTGCAAAATGAAGACAGCTATTATACCATTCATACACTGTGTTATGTAAGTGGTTTACCCAACATCAGGTCCTATTCAAATATCAAAAAGGATTAACTTGAATCAGTTAACCCACAGGATAACTTTTGATACTAAAATACTCCAAATTTTCTTCCATCGATCTACATAACAGTACTTTTAAATTTGTAAAATGATGATTTATTTACTTAAGGATAGCAGGTCCAGATAGATTATAATAAATTTGTACTGCTGCAGAGAAGGCACATACACAAGTATAAAACAAAGTAAACCCTGATCCAAAAGCCATTTAAAAATAATCGATAGTGGAAACACTAAGATCATTGTTTTTGTGAGGCCCAAAAGACAAAATCATTGTTTCTAGTCTGACACCTAGATGACCTGATTACCAGCCATGAAAAAGTATTTGAGGGACTTAGTCTTCTTAAAAGAACTGATATAAAATGTCTCTGTTAAATTCAAGCTTATTGAGTTATATGTAGTTGTAGACATCCAAAAATAAAACCACACTTTCTGTTGGTAATGCCTTGGCCTATGTATTTAAACACTGAGATTCTATGTGGAACACCCAGTTCAAGCAGGATAGTTAATGCATGACTCAGACACAGAGGCTGCTCATGATGTTTCTACCCTGATGGCATTCTGCCTCCCTCATGTCTGTACCTCCCGTCTCCATCAGTTATGATTTTGTTAATATTATCATGTTAATGCCCATATAATTATCTTTTGAAGTTTCCAAATGTTTATTATGTCTCCTACTCTACAGCTATAATTTAGACAAATCCATATCTTAAATGGGACATGGACATATTGAAATATTTAAAACTTTAATGAATATTTTCTTGCATGCCTATGTTTACATATGTGTTTATTTGTAGATATGTGTTGTATATTCGATATATAGCTTAGTTCTTCTTTGAAAAAAGATAATGTTCTCTTGTCTTTCAATCCATCATTTGACATTGTTTCTTCCCTTCTTGATATGTTTTTTTAAAAATCTAATCCTTATAAGGACAGGGTGCAATGGGTTGTTTTTATTAATCTCTGTATGTCAGCATCTTGCACGGAGCTGATTATGACATAAATGTCTAATGAAAATGGGATGATGACTTCTCTGTGTCAGAAAACTAAGTGCAAATTCTGTCCATAGATATAATTACCTTATTTTTATATGCAATGTAGTAAAAAAGTTTTGTACCCAAAATTCTTCCTTATTTCATTATGTAGTGGTACTTCATACCAATTTTAATAATTTGTCATGTTTTAGTCAAAGTAATTCTGTATGATAATAGGATCATTAAACATTTAATTTGTAACTTCCAATTATTGCCCTTTGACATCTTACATTCCTCTTAGTTCTCAAAATATCAGTCAGCAAAATTGCATTGCTCAAGACAGGTTCATGATAATTAAAAATTTGAGAGAATCAAATGTTCTTGGCAAGGAGTAAGCTGAGTGAGAAGATGCAAAAAAATTGTCACATTTTGAAGAGTTCCCTGAAATTGTACTTCAGTGAAACGATCTGTATTATGGTTCAAGAATTGTGTTATATTTTTCTTTGGAAATGTTTCTAAACACATTAGGAAATTTTAACATATTGGGGAACTTTAACACAGTTAAAGTTGAGAGAGTAAAATTCTATCATGGTGAAACCTCTTAATATTTGATTAGATAGCCAGCAAAATATTTTGTATTGACAACCTTCAAAATGCACAAGCATATTTTTTAATCACAATTTCAACTTAAAAATGGAAAATGCACATTGAACTATCCTTACTGTATCTCTATTTTCAACATAGTTTTTTTCACACAAACAATAATAGATGCTGTGAAGATTTTGATTATTGGCATTCTGTTCCTTGATAGAAAGCATCTTTGCTGAACACTTTATCAAAACAACTATTAGATAATGAAACTGACCCACTAGTGGTTCATGTGTTCTGAGGTCAAAAGGAAAGAGAGGCTGGGTGAGGTGGCTCACGCCTGTAATCCCAGCACTTTGGGAGACCAAGGCCAGTGGATCACTTGAGGTCAGGAGTTCGAGACAAGCCTGGCCAACATGGTGAAACCCCATCTCTGCTAAAAATACAAAAATTAGCTGGGCGTGTTGGTGTACCCCTGTAATCCCAGCTGCTCTGCAGCCTGAGGCAGGAGAATCATCTGAGCCTGGGAGGCTGAGGTTGCAGTGAGCTGAAATCGCACCACTGCACTCCAGCCTGGGCAACAGAGTGAGACTCAGTCGCAAAAAAAAAAAAAAAGGAAAAGGAAACAGGGCCAGTTTCTAGTCAAGTGTTGATTTACTTTGCCATACTAGAGTTAACCTTAATTGGGAAGACAGGCACACAGTATCCTAGAGCCATTTGAAAATTCTCTCTCTCTCATATTCATGTACTCACAGAAGCTGAAAGATAATATTGATATTTGAATGTATCTTTCCCAATTAAAATAGATTATTATGAACCATGTTCCATGACTTAGTTTTTGTTGCATAACAAGCCACTCCAAAACTTAGTTCTTAAAATAACAACCATTTGTTTAGCTCACTATTCTATGGGTTAGAATTTTGATCAAAGCTAGCTGTAGGGTTCTTCTGCTGTTTGAACTCAGCTAGACTCACTCATGCATCTGTGGTCTTGAAGTAAACTAGTTGTGGTAGAATCCGAAACCTATTTAAGCCTCAGATAGTTTGTATGCTCATGTCTCTTTTTATCGTACCTTAGTATTTTGTAAAACCTTTGAAAACTCCTTTCTCTTCACCGTGCTAAAGACCACAAAGAAAAAAGGCTCTGTGTCCATGCTCAAATGAGAACTGAGGGGAAAAAAGTTAGTGGAGAGTAGGTGAAGGTAGAAAAATCACAAATCAAGAGTAAATGAGGTGGAGTAACTCAGCCCAACTGCTTCTCTCTATGTAGTGATTTTCCTACTAGGGGTAAAACAGTGAAGCCTTTACATGTTTATTTTAATGAAGAAGGCAATTCCTTATAAGAAGATGCTTTTCATCAAGGATATTATATGGGTCATTTCATTTAATAAAATTATAAACTGCAAATCCTCTGCTATAGGTATAAATGTGGGAGAATTTACATCTTACTTGCTGGAGATTATCAGATGTGTAGGCCATTCTTGTCAATGGCCACAACATCCTCCTGGCTAAAAACATGAAATAGTGGTGTATTCTCATCTCTGAATATGCATAGTTTACCTAATATTAAGAAACCCAACTAAATAAAAAGATTTGCAATATGAGCCTAGTATATGAAAGAAATGTATTAGAATAAGAAGGTATATTTGAAGTAAAAACAAACTCCAAAAAAGTAGTTAATTGATGATAAAAATATAGCTTAATCTCAGACTAAACTGTGTTCATCTTTTTGCTCTCCATTTATGCATTTTGTAGAGGGATAGCATAAAATTTTCTCTTTTCCCCTGGACTATATACCCTAGGATTCAATGTTATATAAAATGCATTAACATAGCAAACATTTGCAAATTCAAACAAAACCTAATTTTATAATTATGTAATGTACCCATCTGCCTTTCTTCATAAATACATCGGGTTCAGTAAATACCTTCTTTTTCATCTTATTTCTTTCTTCACTAATTTTTATTTCGAAAAGTTAAGATTTGTTAAAGATATATACAATAAAAAGTAGACCAGTTCCTCTTACAGCACAAACATTACCTGGAATAGAAATATTTTAATATGAAAAGTAAATGACAGCTAAGATGGCATTTACTGAAGAAAATGAGGACAGCATTTATTTCTGGGCAGGGACTTAAAAGTAACTGGGGGGAAAATAGGGCATTTTTCTCATCTCCTCTGAAAGCCTGAAGTTATAAAATCAATGTTGGAACATAAATGCAAAATTACTTTTTTACAGATACATTTCTGCTGGTTGATTTACGTGGTTAATCATTCATTTCTGCAGGTTATCTTTCTATATATAGAAAGTCTCCACATACACCTTTAGATACTGTAAGTCTCTCTGTTTAAATTGATTGCACGAGATGTAAAGTTTCCTTCTAAGTAAATATTAGAAGTTCCCAGTTTATGCAAACTCAGTGTTCTCTGTATTTCACTTCTTTAGGTCCTCCAGAAGTTATTATTACAGACTGATTATGAGCTCAGTCTCCACTCCTAATTACTCCACTCATAATCACATGATACTTTTGTGAGCTTGGACAGGTTGTTTAACATTGCTGAGTGTTAGTTTCCTTGGTTATAAAATAAGAACAATGCTAACAATATAATCATACATATTTTTATTTGTTTAGAATAGGAAGATAATACAGGTATGATGAGTCATTTTTTGTCTGAGCTTAGAAACATATATTCTTAATGCAGATGTCTCCTCCATATCCTCCTTCCCTCCATATCCATATCTTCCCTCCATATTATATTCTCTTATAAAGCGGGGAGCTTTGGTTATATAATAAGGAAGGTGGAATTGGGGATAGGTTGAAAGTGCCTCCTGTGCTTCTTTGGGAGTGATAAACAAAAATTGATGACATTGAAAACTTGTTTACTCTTGGGCAGTTTAACTTTTCTTTCTGTTTCCATATGTGAACTGGTGATGATAGTAGTTTTACCTCACAGAGTTGGCTTGGTATATTTAATGAAAACTGTGGATAAAAAGTAAAGTGCATGGTCCAAGGATCACTAAATATTTATTATCTATTACCATCATCAACACAATCATCATCATCATCATCGTCATCTATGAAAATCTCTGTACAAGCCGGCATGTTTCAGGACCCAGATAATAAAGCATGGGAATGAATTAGGCAAGAAGCTATTTTTCTCAGCAACACTCTGACATTCCAAACCAAAGAGTCCTAAGTTTTCGGATCACCAGGAAACCACATTCCTAGTGTAGATTGGCATTTTTCATGGGAGGAAATCACACTAGGAGATTTGTTTCACCAAGTGAATTTGTGAGCAGAAGTATAAAAAAGTGGAACCAGGATAGGAGAAGAATAACATTGTGACTTCTAGATAATAACCATCTTTGGCAGACATAGAATGCTGAGGTCCGGAAACACTTGGGTTACACATGCACCTTAACACAGGATAGCAAGCATTCGATAAACAGTTGCTAAAATTATTATCACTGGGTCCATTTTTGACTTATTGTAAGGCTTAGGCAGCTGAAGAAGAAAATGGACTCCTGAAACAGTTTCAATCATCTACAATAGCCATTTTCTTGGCATGTCGACAGTTTACAATCACTTGGGCTTAAAATAATAAATACAGTGTTGTAGCTCTGACTGGTTAATGAAAATAGAGACAACCATAAATCCTGAAGGAATTTTCTGCTTGGTCAGAAGTAAAGAAATATAAGCCAAAACATATTAGAAATACAGGATACCTTTATCGCTTTGCTCAATATTTAATATCTCAATAACTTGAAGGAGGTATAAGATTTCAATAGGCAGAGGGGCTTTTACACTTCAGACGGAAGTAAAAACATAAGTAAATCACAGAAGAGACAAAAAGAAAAAGAACTTCTAAGAAGTTTGAGTAGTCTAGTTTGTCTGAGGGTAGGGCTTCCCGTTATGCATGTTTTATTTTATTTTATAATTATTTTATTTTATTTTATTTTATTTTATTTTATTTTATTTTATTTTATTTTATTTTTTGAGACAGAGTCTTGCTCTGTTGCCCAGGCTGGAGTGTAGTGGCATGATCGCGGCTCACTGCAACCTCCACCTCCCTGGCTCAAGTGATCCTCCCATCTCTGCCTCCTGAGTAGCTGGGACTACAGAAAGGCACCACCATGTTTGGCTAATTTTTGTGTGTGTTTTGTTTGTTTGTTTATTGTTGGTTTTTTAGACGGGGTTTCGCCATGTTCCCCAGGTGGGTCTTGAACTCCCGGGTGATCCACCCACCTCAGCTTCCTGCAGTGCTGGGATTGCAGGCATGAGCCAAGGTGACTGGCCTCTTTGTGCATGTTTTAGTTATTTATTGTTGCATAACAAAACTCTCCAAAACTTAGCAGGTTAAAACCATAATTTGTAGTTTCTTATGATTTTGTGATTTGACTGGCGAGATCTTCTGGTCTACTTGGTCTTGGCTAGGGTCACTCCTGTGTCTGAATTTCACTGGGATTCTGGCAGATTTCCTTGACAAGTCCTTCCTCTCAGTTGGTATCTCACCACTGGTGCCTCTCCATGTTACCTCCCTCCAGCAGAATAGCCTGGGCCACTTTATAGCATGGCTGCTTGATTTCAAGAAGGAGCATTGCAAGAGCACAAGTCCCAGTATGAAAACACGTAATATGCTTCTGTTAGAATAATGGTTGCTAATACCCCATTGACGAAGGCAAGCAGGTGGTCACGTCTGGAATCAAGGTGAGAAATACAGAAAGGCATAAATATCAACAGGTGTGACTTGTGGGAATTTTAAAAATAGGGGAAGTTGTTAGTTCTAATAGGAAGAATTAAAAGATAGAACCCAACTAGAGTAATTTATCTCCTCATTATAGCAACTTATGTTTGGCTGAGCTTACTTACATTTACCTTACTTCAACCACAAATCTCAGAAAAAGATGGAAAGAATATTTAGAAAAAAATAGTAACAGTAAATTCATCACAAAAAAGAAAATAATTGTGATTTTTAAAGTTGGTAAGCATTGGCTAGAGGATTTAACTTTTTTTTCTCTTTTTTTTTTTTTTTTTTTTTTTGAGACAGAGTCCTGCTCTGTCACCCAGGCTGGAGTGCAGTGGTGTGATCTTGGCTCACTGCAACCTCCGACTACCTTCAAGCCATTCTCCTGCCTCAGTCTCCCGAGTAGCTGGGATTATAGGTTTCTACCACCATGCGTGGCTATTTTTTTATTTTTTTATTTTTTATTTTTAGTAGAGATGGGGTTTCGCCATGTTGGGCAGGCTGGTCTCGAACTCCTGACCTCGGGTGATCCGCCCATCTCGCTGAAGTGCTGGGATTACGGGGTGAACCACCACGCCTGGCTGGATTTAACTTTAAATAGGGTTAGATTAACATGTGGAAAAAAATAAAATAAAATAAAATAAAATAAAATAAAATAAAATAAAACCTGTTCTTAAAAGAGGCTTGGAAGATATCTCTGCAAAAGAGCAATCATTCCATAAGAACTAGAATCCAAGAGAAATCAAATAGTATTAGCAAAATCAACTTACGGGGAAATTGTCAGAGAATGTCTTTCCTCCCACCTCCAGAGAACCCAAACATAGTGAGCAATAAGCAGCAGTGGCATTCTGACAAAAGAAAGCTACATACTTAGGGCTCTTACTGTGTCTCAGATTGTTACATTGGAGACTTCCAATGTCACACATCTCCAGGCATGAATACCTTGTATCATCCCCTCCGACACTAAATCTGGTCTTGGCGGTGTGCCTTGCCTTGGTCAATGCGACATCAGCAAGCATGATGCTAGCAGAGGCTTTACAACAGCTTACACAGTGAGGTGTATCCACATGAATGCTTCTGTTAGGGTCCTGCTGCCTTATAAGCTCTGGTTTTAAGTACTGAATGATAAGAGAACACATGGAGAGAAGCCCTGGAGAACTGGTGGACATCTTAGATCATCCTGGCTGAGCTGCCAGCTGAATGTACCTGAATGAGTGATCCTAGCTAATGTCACAGGAAGTTGAAACAAAAAGATCCCACCAAATTCTGCCCAAATTCCAGAACTTTAGAAAATATACACTTGTTTTATAAATCACTAAAATTTCAGATTTCTTGTTATAAAATAATAAGTTTTCAAAATGATAACGGGGGAAAAAAAGGACCAGAAATTTATGTAACCCTTTATGTATGAAATAGGGTTACATGAGATAGGGTATAAAGAAAAAAGAAGCAAAAGCAACTTACATCTATTAGGGAAAACACTAAAATCTCTATTACCCCCTTCTTAGGATGGCTATTTGGTGGGAGGAGTATTTACATGCCTCTTCATTCCACAACCAAAGAGAATTTTTCCTGTAACTCTCCTGCCAACTGACAAGCCTAAAAAAAGGGAAAGTATTTTTCCCCTGTTTTCTATTAGAAGTTTTATCTTTTTATTTCCTATGTTTATGATTAATTTTGAGGGGTTTTTTGTATATATAGTGTGAAATAATAACTGAGGTTCATTCTTTTGAGTATAAATATCCAATTGACTCAGTATCATTTATTGAAATTTCCCAACTAATTTCCTTGGAACTTTTCAAAAATCTATTGATCATCTATGTTTGGATCCATTACTGGAATTTATTGATCATATATGTGTGGATCCATTACTGGAATTTGTTTTGGTGCATTGATTTATATTTATCTCCATGCCAATATAATACTGTCAATTACTAGAGAGTTATGATAATTCTTGAATTCAGATAGGGTAAGTCATTCTTTTTCAAAATTGATTCTGCTTTTTCAATTTTGCCTTGGTTTCTACATTATTCCCATTTTCATATATTTGTTAGAATTACTTTTTGAATTCCTATAGAAAACTTGAAAAGATTTTCATGAGATTGCATTGAATTTTCAGATCACTTTGAGAATTTACATCTGAACTATGTTGAACCTTCCTATTTATGCTTATATATCTCTCTCCATTTATTTTCTCATTTATCAGAGCAATATTTTATAGTATTAAAGCATACAGTATTGAATGTATATTGCTACATTTATCCCCAATTATTTCTCACTTTATATAATAGAAGAGGCAATTATTCATTTCAATTTCCAATTGTTTGTTACAAGGATACAAAAATACAATTGACTTTTGGATACCTGTCTTTTCATCTGTGATCATACTAAACTCATACATTAGCTCTAGTAGCTATTTTGTAGATTACTTAAGAATTTCTACATGAACAATCATGTTACCTGTAGATCAACACAATTTTATTCTTGTTTTTCAACCTGTATTTCTTTTATTTCTTTGCTTTGCCTTATTGCTTTCATTTAGATCTCCAGTATAATATTGAATAAAAGTGGTGGGACCAGAAATATTTGCCTTTTTTTCCGCATCTTAGAGAGAAAGCATTTGATCTTTTACCATTAGTGGTAAGTTTTTGTAGATGCCATTTACCCTAGGTTGCTTAATGTTGTAGATTGAATTGTGTCTTCTAAAAAGATATGTTTAAATTCTAACCCCCAGTATCCGTGGATATGACTTTATTTGAAAATATGGTCTTTACAGTTCTCATCAAGCAAAGATGAAGTCATACTGGATTAGAGTAGACCTTATTACAAAATTACTGGTATCTTTATAAGAAGAAAGGAGACACATAGACAAACACAGAGAAAGCCATTTGAAGGTGGAAGCAGAGAGTGTGGTGATGCATCTATAACCCAAGTAATGTGAAGGATTGCCGGCAACCACCGAAAGCTAGGAAAAGGCAAGGAAGAGTTTCCCTTCGAGCTTACAGAGAAAGTATGAGCCTGATGACAACTTGTTTTTGTATTTCTAGTGTCCAAAACTGTGAACAAATAAATTTCTGTTGTTTTTAGACTTCCAAGTCTGTAATCATTTTTTATGGCAGTCCTACAAAACTAATACACTCAGTTTTTTGATAAACATATATTGAATATATTCAAATGATTTTTTGGCATCTATTAAGTCCAGCACCCTCGATCGCTTGGCCATCCTGGCACCCTTCCTGCCTCTATTGGGAGGATTATTTATTTTTATCTTATAGTCTGGCAATCTGATGGATTACTTGAATTGACTTTTAAACGTTAAGCCTGTGGTATGTCAATTGTGTGCATCTTTTCCAACTCTGCGTTCAGAGACCTGAACAACGATAGCTGGATAGAATTCTGCCACGGTGGGAATACCTACACCAGGGAAACTGGCAAATGTTGCAAATTAGTTTTTCTTCTTGCTATACCCCACTGGACCTCATTGCTAAACATTTAGCAGTACACCACTCTATTAAATTCATTTAGCATCTGCGACTGATTTCAGTCATGATGTATTACACTTTTTATACTTTCCTCAGTTGATGTGCTAAAATTTTGTTTAAAAGTTTTGTTTGTTTCCTCTGTTCCCTGGGGCTATTATACTACAGTATTCCTGTTACTTTGTTGTCTGGTTTTGACAACAGGTAATACAGATATTATAAAATGATTTGGGAATTATTCTCCCCTCTTCTGTTTCTGGGTAAAATTACATAAAGTTGATATTATTTCTAACTGTAATCTTTAATGGAATTTCACCAAGGAAGATATCTGGGCCTTGAGTCTTCTTTGTGGAAAAGTTTTTACTACGATGTCTATACCTTTAATAGATGTAAGGTTATTACAGTTATTTTTTTCTCTTGGGTGACTTTTGGTATCTGGTGACATTACATCTAACTTGAATTTGTGCCTAAAGGAATGATACTTCTCTTTCATTATGATATTCAAAATTGGTCTTCTCTTTTTTTTCTCTTGATCAGTCTGACCAGAAGTGTAGTATTAATTTCACTGATCTTTTCAAAAAACCAACTTTTGGGTTGATTGATTTTTTTCCTATCGTATTTTCTTTTTCATTTTATTAATTTCTGTTCTTATCTGCATTTGTTAATTTTTCTTATTTTGAGATTAATTTTATATTTGTTTTTCTAGTTTGTAGGCAAACACTTCTAACATTGATTTGAGACTATTCTTATTCTCTAATGTAAGCCTTTATTGCTTTAAATTTCCCTCTAAAAACTGCTTTAGCTACAATCTTAAACTATTATTTTTATTTTTGGTCTTCAAAGTATTTTCTATTTTTTCTTGGGTTCTCCTTTAACCAGAAGTTGCTTTTTCATGTGAGCATTTCCCAGAAATCTTTTTGTAATTGATTTCTAGAATAACGTTTTTGTGTTCAGACAATATACTTTGTATAAATTCAATCATTTTATAGTTATTGAGACTTGTTTTATGACCCAGAATATGGTTTATTTTGCAGAAAGTTTTGTGTACATTTGAAAAGAAGGTGTATTCTTCTGGTTTCGAAAGGAATGCACTGTAAATATCAATTTAGTAAGTGGGTTAATATTATTATCCAAGTCCTTTATATCCTATTGGTTTTCTTTGTACTTATTCTATCAATTAATGAGAAGTGTTGAAATTCCCAGCTACAATTGCAGGATTATTTCTGTTTGCATGGGATGTAATTTGCTTATTTTTCCTTGTAGTGTTGCAAGTTTTCACTTCACGTATTTTGAAGCTCTGTTATCAGGTATATACACATTTAAGATCATTTTATCTTTTGATAAACTGACACCTTTTCATTATATAATGTTTCACTTTACCCTTAGTAATACTTTGTTTTAAAATTGACATTGTCTCATATTAATATAGGTATTTTAATTTCTTTTTATTTGTATTTTCTAGGTTTATATTTTTCTATCATTACACATTAAATCTTGGTGTCTTTATATTTTAAGTGGGTTTCTTTTTTAAACAATATATAAACAATATATAGTTGGGTTTTGCTTTTTTAATTCAATCTGACTTTTTACTTTTAAGTAGAATATTCACACAGTCTAAATATCTATATTAGTATAATATCTACATTTAGTGTACTATCAATGATTACAATTACTTTCAATTTTTCCTGCTTGCTGTGTTTCTTTGTTTCTTTGTTAAAGTTAATCAAATATTTAAGATACCTTTTATGTTACAACTAGTTTTATAAAGTCTGTTGTATTTTTCTCCCAGCTTTAAGATATAATTAACAAAGTAAAATTTTATATATTTATGATCTACAATGTAATATTTTAATATTCATATGCATTTTGAAATGATTACCACAATCAAACATACCCATCACCTCATACTTAATTTTTAATGATCCAATTTTAGTTCTACTGTTGGTTTATTAGCTATTCCTCTTTGTTTAATTGTATAGTGGTTGCTCTGAGATTTACAATATACATCTTTAACCTGCACTTTGCTTTCAAATAGTAATCCATATTATATGCCGCATAAGAATTTTATAGCGCATACTTCTATTTATTTAATCCTTTCTTTATGTGATTGCTGTCATGCAAATGATTTCTGCCTATCACATATATCTCAAATACATGCTTTAAACTATAAATTATCTTTTAATTTTATTTTTAACTGTGGTAAAATACATATAACATAAAATGTGCCATCTTAGCCATCTTTTAAGTGTACAGTTCAGTAGAGTTAAGGGTATTCACACTGCTTTGCAACCAATCCCCAGAACTTTTCTCATTTTTCAAATGAAATTTCTATACTCATTAAACAGCAACTCCCCTTTCCATTCTCCTTGTGCCTCTTGACAACCACCAATCTACTTCCTATGAATTTGATTGTCCAAGGTACCTTATAGAAGTGAGGTCACACAGCATTTGTCTTTTTCTTACTGACCTAATTCACTTAGTACAATTTTCTCCCAGGTTCATTCATGGTGTAGCATGTCAGAAGTTTTTCCTTTTTTAAGGCTGAATAATCTTCCACTATAGGTATATACCTCATTTTGTTGATCCATTCATTTATCAGTGGATGCTTGGATTGCTTCTACCTTTTGGCTATTGTGAATAATGCTGCTATGAATATGGCTGTACAGAAATATGTTCAAGAACTTACTTTTAATTTGGGGAGTATATACCCAGAAGTAGACTTGCTGAATCATGTGGTAATTCTACATTTACAGTTTTGAGGAACTGATATACTGTGTTCCATAGAGGCTGCACTATTCTACACTTCTACCAACACTGCACAAAAGTTCCAACTTCTCCAAATCCTTGTCAATACTTGTTATTTTCTTTTATTTTGACAGTAGCCAATCTAATGGGTGTGAGGTACTATCTAATTGTGTTTTTAAATTTTTATTTTCTTAATAAATAGTGATATTAAACATTTTTCCATGGTTCATTGGCCATTTGTATACTTATTTAAAGAAACGTCTATTCAACTCCTTTGCCCATTTTTTTAAATTGGGTTGTGTAGTGTTTTGTTGATGTTGTTTTGAGTTTTAGGAGTTCTTTATATATACTGGATATTAACCCCTTATCAGAAACATGATTTGTAAATATTTTCTCCCATTCTAGGTGATGGCTTTTCAGTCAGTTGACTGTATCCTTTGAAACACAAACTTTTTTTTTATTCCAGTGTAGTCAAACTTACCTATTTTCGTTGTTGCTGTTATTGCTTGTGTTCTTGGTGTTATATCCAAGAAGTTATTGCTAAATCCATTATCTTGTAAAATATCCTTTAAAAACGTTTTCAATTGAAAAAGTGTTTTTGTGTTCCTCCACACTGTCATAATTTCGGGCTCATTTTATTTCTTTATGAGATCCAAATTTCCATCAGCTCTTTTCTTCTGCCTAAAGAACTTTCTGTAGCAATTTTTGTCATGCATGTTCCCAGGTGGTACATTTTATCAGCTTTTATTTCTTCTTATTTTTGAAAGGTATTTTCACTGGTTAAAGAATTTAGGGCCAACAGGTTTGATTGTTTTCTTTCAGTACATTATTGACACCTCTCCATTACTTCTCACATGCATAGTTTCTTTTAAAAAATAGCTTTATTGAAACTTAAAAAGCAGTACACACTTACACACTTAATGTATGCAATTTGATGAGTTTGGAAACCATGAAACCATCACCATCATTAATAAACATATCCATCACTTCCAGAAGTGTTAGGGGGTGTGTATGTGTGTGTGTGTGTGTAGAACTCTTAACATGGGATTTACCCTCTTAATAAATCTTTAAGTGCACAAGACAGTATTGTAAAGTATAGACACTATGTTGTACAGCTGATCTCTATAATTTAGTATGTGGATTTTCTGAAACCTTATACACATTGAATAACACCTCATTTTTCCCTTCTCCTTGTTGCTCTCAACCACCATTCTAGTTGCTGCTTCTATGTGTTTGACTATTTTAGATACCTCATATATTGTAAGTGGGATCACAGACATTTCTCTAAAGAAGACTTTCAAATAGCCAATGGGTGTACAAAAAGGTGCTCAGCATCACTATCAGGAAAATGCACATCAAAACAACGATGAAATATTATCTCATACCTGCTGGAATGCCTATTATCAAAAAACAAAAGATAAATGTTTGCAAGGATGTATAGAAACTGAAAGCCCTGTACACTGCTGGTGGAAATGAAAACTGGTGCAGCTGTTATGAAAAACAGAATAGCAGTTACTCAAAAAAGTGAATGTAGAGTTACCATATTAACTAGCAACCCCACTTCTACGTACATATCCAAAATTATTGAAATCAGGATGTCAAAGGAGTATCTGCCATGTGTAATAAACTCCCATGTTTATTGCATCACTATTCACAAAAGTAAGATATGGAAACAACCTAAATATCCATCAATGGATAAATGGATAAAGAAAATGTGGCATATACACTTTATGGAATATGATTTAGCATTAAAAGCAAAGGTAGCCCTGTTATATTTGACAGCATGGCTGAACCTGGAGTACATTATGCCAAGTAAAACAAGCTAGTCATATGCATTGTTTATGATAAGAAATCTGTGATAATTCTTGTATTTGCCCTCTGTAGATAACACATCTTTTTTCCTTTGGCTTATTTTTTCTTTATTGCTGGTCTTCAACCATTTGATTAAGATATACTTTGGGGTAGTTCTATTACTTTTATTTTGTCAGAGGTCATTGAGCTTCTTGAATCTGCGAGTTTATAGTTTTTGAAAATTTAGATATTTTTAGCCATTGGTTCTTCAAATATGTGTTCTGCCTCCCTCCTTTCTATTCCTTTCCCGAGACTTCAATTACATATATCTATGAGTAATTGACAGTACCCAGTTACTTGATGGTCTGTTTATTTATTTTGGTATTTTTATAGCCTCTCCATAATTTATTTTCAATATTTTCCATTGCTATGTCTTCAAGTTCACTAATATTTTATTATGCAATATTTAATTTGCTGTCAGTCCCAACCAGTGTATTTTTCATGTCATATGTTGTAGTTTTATCTCTAGAATTTTCTATTTTTTCTCCCATTACTCTCTTTCTTGTGCTCATGGCTTTCCTCTGCCACCTACAAAATTAAGATATATTTATAATACAGGCGTACCTCTGAGATATTGCAGCTTCAATTCAAGACCACTGCAATAAAGTGAATGTTGCAAGTCACATAATTTGATGGTTTCCCAGTTCATATAAAAGTTACCTTTACACCATACTGTCAGCTATTTTTATGCAATTATGCCAGAAAAAACATATCTTAATTTAAGAGTATCTATTGCTAAAAAATGCAGACGCAGAGATCCAAAGTGACCACATGCTCTTGGGAAAATGGAGCTGATACTAGCTCGATGCAGGGTTGCCTCAAACCTTCAATCTGTGAAAAATGCACTATCTGTGAAGTGCAGTAGAGCAAAGTGCAATAAACCAAGGTATGCCTGTAAATGTCTTGAAACTATGAAGACATTATAATAATTTTTTCAATGTCTTGGAGTGTTTTTCCTATTCCTTTTCAGGAAATTTCTCAGGCCTTATGTAGTTTTCAGTTTTCCATATTCATGTGCAGATTATAACTCAGCCAAAGACTTGGAAAGTCTTTCTGTACATCTCCAAAATTCTCTTTTTGCTTCCAGAGCTTTGCTCCTTTCACAAGGAACTCCCCCTGAAACTCCAATTTAAGTTATATTAGTCTTTTTTAGTTCTGCTCTGTATGTCTTAAACAATTTTCTACATTTTCCACCTTTTTTATTTGCAATTGAATTTGCATATTTTCTAATGTCTTGTATTACATTTCACAAATGTTGCCATAATATGTATTAAATTACCTGAAAATTTCTTAATACAGATATTCTTCTCTAGAATTCCGTTTGATTATTTTCTGTGGAAAACAAACAAAAAAACAAACAAACACACACAACTCTATTTTTCCTTCTATGTTTCCAGCTTTTTCTCTAATTCTTGAACATATTAAATGAAGTGATTTTAAAACCTTCCTCAGCCAACACCAATATCTGAATCACCTGTATATCTGTTACAATTGTTTGTTTTATCTCCTGATTTTCAGTCATGTAGCCCTTTCTTTTACAAGAATAAGTTTTGTTTCATTTTTTAATTGAATAACAAACAGTGTGTACAAATAATTGTAAAAGCTCTAGAACAGGGTCAGAAAATCTTATTTTGTGAATTCACCAGATAGTAAATACCTTAGGCTTTGTAGGCCACATAGTCCCTTTCTCATATTTTTCTTTGCTTTTTTTTTTCCTTTTTTAAACTAACTTTTAACATGTAAAGAATGTTTTAGCTTGAGTATTGTATAAAAGCAGGTCATGGCTCATTTGGCTCAAAGGCCATAGTTTTTCAAGCCTTGCTCTAGAGCAAGCTTGTCCAACCCATGGCCCAGGGGTCGCATGCAGCCCAGGACAGCTTTGAATGTGGCCCAGCACAAATCATAAACTTTCTTTAAATGTTATAAGATGTGTCTTGCAATTTTTTTTTAGCTCATCAGCTATCATTAGCTTTAGTGTATTTTATGTGTGGTCCAAGACAATTCTTCTTCCAATGTGGCCTAGGGAAGCCAAAAGATTGGACACCTCTGCCTAGAGAGTCTTATCTTCTATTATAGAGGATTTGCCCTTCCTTCTAGTTGGCAGTTATAGTTGTCCCTCAATATCCATGGATACCATGAATACCAATGTTCGTGGGTGCTCAAGTCCTTTATATAAAACGGTGTAGTCTTTGCATATAACCTATGTACATCCTTCTGTATACTTTAAATCACCTCTAGATTAGTTATAATACCTAATACAGTGCCTACACATTACTTCATTTGCATGGATTCAGTGTACTACTGAAGTTTTGCTTCAAATTTTCAAGTTTTGCTTTTTGGAACACTGTGGAGCTTCTTTTTCTGAATATTTTTGATCTGCAGATGGTTGAATTCACTAATGCAGAACCCATGTGTACTGAGGGCCATGTGCAGTGGTGGTTGGACACCTTAATATAAGCAGGGACTGTGCTGAGTTGAACCCCTATAAGGCTCTAGCTCTGCTTTAAGCATGACCCTCCAGCATTTTTCATCACAAATATAGCATAATCTGCTGATCCCTCCCTCTAGTGTGTCCCACACTCTAATCTTTGTCTTATCAGAATTCCAGAATTTCCACTTTGCTTTCCAGAAGCTTTGTGTTCAGATTTTTAGTCTTCCACCCATGCAGCTCCAGTGTTTGGAAAAATTGAGAAGGAAACTGACCGTGTGCATGAAGTCTCCCAAGCCCCTGCTGCCCCGACCCCGACCCTCTCCTACCACAGAAACACAAGGATTCTCACTAAGCTTTAACCTAGATTCTGTTTCTTGCCCATGCGCAGAATTGGCATATACCCCTGGGATAAGCACACAAAAGCCAGCTAACCTCTCTAGGTTTATTTCATTTTTGTCATCTTAGCCTTTCTACTTTTATTTTTCAGTACTTGTATAATGCTCCACTTCCTTCAGACAGATGATTTCTATATTTCACTCGGCTTTCTTAGTTTTTCTGAGGAGTGCTGCTCTTCCATGAGTTACCCTATCCCACTGAATGCAGACTTTTGAAAAAATGGTTTAATATTTTTTAAAAAATCATACACTTAACCTTGCACAATCTGACCTCAGCCTACATTCCAATCATGTCTCAACTACCTACATGCCTGAACTGTCCTCAGTGACCCAGTCCCAACTTGCTGAATGCTCCAAACACTCTCTCAAGGTTCTTGCTGGAATTCCTTCATTCTACCTCTCTGAACTTCTGCTTGTAGAAGTAAAATCTACTTAACTCTTATCCATAGTCATGTGCTCCTTGAAGTTAGGGCCCAAGTCTTCCTTGTATTTGGATCCCTCCAATGTCTCTTAGGTGAGGGCTTAACATATACCAAGAAGCCGATAAATATTTGATCTTCATTCAGTAGCCTTTATTTAGTATTTTTGGCAATCTTTGTCCTCTCTTTCTATGACTTCCTAATCTAACAATGCCCAGTTCCAGATAAGTATTTTATTAGTTAAGTTTTTTCTTAGTGACAGCATCAAATTCTGAGCTCACTGAACTTCAGGTCAGCCACATGGAACCAGATAAACAGAAAATCCTGTATCTATATGCTGAACAGGATAGTGAAATTGAAATCTTTATTTTTCATGTATTGTAAATTTAACATCTGAAAATAGTTTGGAATTTAACATTGAGATACATTGTTATTTAAAATGGCCATAGTAGCTCAAATGGCTGTTTCTTATCAGACAATAAAAATAGACTTTCTTTTCATTTTTATTTGTTCTTTTCTTTTATGAGTTTTTGTTATAGAGGCAGACAATATGTCTGTTGGTGGAAAGTTGGCCGTAAGACTTTTTCAAGATTTGACTTGGAGCATACCAGGCTCAAGGAAAGTTGTTTTATCCATACCATGACTTTGGCATTTTTTTTAAGGAACAAATTCATCTTGACACCCTTTTGTTAACTTAGAAGGAAAAAACCTTAAGGAAACAACATGTAATACTAACAACTATTGCTTCTTGAGAGTTTATCTGTTGACATCTTTATACTAAGCATTTGTCCACATTATATTTCATTTAAAATTCACAGCAATATCATTTACATACTATTATCACTGATATTTTATAACTCAGGCTGAGATTAAGTAGTTTTCCCAATAGCAAACCTCTAGCAAGTGTCAGGACAACAGTTTTACCAAAATTTATCTCAATCCCAAAGCCCGTACACATAATATTAAGGGTTATTAGCACTCTCCTAAGACTTGGAAAGTCAATAAAATTACTTCCTAGGGTAGGAGTCAGAGTCAAACTGAAATAATATAGTGTGAACATATGTGACATAAAGTTTTAAACTGGGTTGGTTAAACAGAATATAAATTAGTCTTGACTATAAAACTGATGTGAATGGCAGCGTTTTACACAGAAAAGTTAATGAATTAACAAAGTTAAAACATTTTCCTGCAAACATCTACACCAAAAAAATGCGTTATTAAAAAGTAATATGAGTTACAAATATAAGAAAAGCCTAAGATGTATATACTATTATGGTTCCGACACGCCGGAACAAGCCTGCCAAGACACCTGGGAAGGACTGCGGTCAGATGCCTATTTTCCTTGAAAGCTAAACTTACCTTATGGGAGCAAACTCGTAGGAGAAGGTTGGTCTCATGTGAATGCTTTTATTTTCTGAACGTAAAGGCAATTCAGAACATAGGGTGGGGTCTGTCACACAGATTTAACTCCTTGGCCACTTCCTCACCTCTTCCTGTTTGTTAGTAAAAATTTTAATAGCTATTAAACTATGTATGGCAGCAAACCAAAACATGAGAACTATGAAAACGGGGAAAGTATTATGGACCCTACTTCTTCTGGAAGCTGGCAGACCTTCTGTGCCAGGGCAGCTCTTGAGAATGCAGCACATGGCTGTTGCCAGGCTCTGGTAACAGTGGTGGCTCTCATGAGAAGATGAACCATTTGCCATTCTCAGAGGACATAAGGTCCACAGATGGAGGAATCAAGACCGTAGAGGGGAAACACCCAGCAGCTAGCATCACCCTACAGGTGGGGAGATAACCTTGCTCATAAATATTTGTGAGACACTGTACTGAGAAATAATTAGCAGGAACTTAGCAGCAGACTCTGGTATGCCAAACATAAAGCACAGTGTTAAAAATAATGATCATTTAATACAGCAGCACAATGGAATAAATATTTTAAAATATATAATATAAGCATATGCCATATGAAGTTATATGTATGTTTATGTAATAGAGTGTGTGTGTGGTATGATTGTGTCTGTGTATGTGTGAATACAAACATACATACATGCTGTCCTGTATACAGAAAGTAACATTTTGCCTCTCTGGAAATTGTTTTCTATATGGAATATTTTATGGGAGGGTATATATAGAAAACAGTGATTTATTCTCTATATGTATAATACCAAGCAAAAATTTTAACCATATCAAGTTAGTATAATAGCTATGTAATTCTTGACTGGATTGTCCTTTCTCCACCTTCTGCCTGACTGACTGGACTTTTTCTTCATGTAATAATGTGGCCTTCTCCACTCTATATACTAGGTCAAACCCCTTGATCCGCTGGTGTTCTGATTTTCTTTGTCATAGCAATGATTACACTTCCCTTATATGGCAAGATCTGTATCATATTATTCAACACATATAGAGTAATTATATATACGTCTATATCCTCAACCCCAGCAGTGTGTCAGGCACTCAATAAATACTTCATTTGAACTCTATGTTCTCTCAAATCAAAAGCTTCCCTTAGAGAAATATTCAACAATGACTTGTACATGAACCTGGCTATTGAGTCACCTTTCCAATCAGTATTTACTATGGGAACTTTATTGTTTATATAAAAATGTTTAAGTTTACATTAGATTTTGCTAACATACAAAGCTGATAGGAAACATTTGCAGGACTGAAGAGACCATTCCCTAGCCTCCAAAATCAAACCATACAGAAGGCCGCATATTTTGCATAAAGTGTATAAAACATTTCACAGTATAACTTTAAACACAAATTCTTTGAAACATTCTGCATATTCCAGTTTATCCTACTGATTAACCAAAAAGAAAACGATAAAAGTAAAATTTTGAAACAACTATGATACAACCATGATAGGTTTAGTGAGCTAAAACAATTATTATATGTTAATTATTAAATATTCATTGAAAATGAATTAAAGGCTGTTACAACATTTTATTTTAAACACATTTCAAATGATCATTAATGTGAGCTTTACAGATTTGAATTATTGTTTCAAAAATGATTTATCTTTTTCTCTGGATCATCTTTAATTATCTTTCATACTCGACTTTTAATCCTTAAGTTTTTTCTATCCTATAATTTCTCTAGCAAGTAATTACTTGGTAAAGCAATATTTACAAGTCCTAAAGAAGACATCAGTTTTTTAAGTTTAAGGAAAGTTTCTTTGTAATATAAATAACAATGACTTGTTTTGTACTTTTTTAAATAGTAAAAATACTGTTAAATAAACTTTTATTCATATAGCATCGTTGTTTCTGTTTTGTAAGAAAATCCTATGGTACACTTCTTGGTACTCATCTGTTCAATCTATTTCAGTGGGTCTGTCACTTAACTTTACTTCAGCCTTTGTCTTGAGCTTTGAAGTCCTGACAACTAGATACCAGTGTCATTATATTCATTATTTAGTTTCTCATTAAGATTCAGTCCTTCCTTTCTAGCAAATGTCTACCTGTCTAAACCTACTGGTGTAATTAGAGGCTTGAATAAGGAACAAATAGATAAATTAAATTTAGAAAGGATTTCCTTTGTATGTATCAGTCGAAATATCCCATTTCTCACAAATATGAAATACTTTGATGTATATGGGGCCCTAACTAGAGGGGCCAGTTTTCTCTTTTATATTTCCGAAACTAAATAATGTCTTTCATGCTAAGCAGGAAAAAACATAAAAGCTGAAACAGTAAATGTCTGAGATTTGGAACCTCATCTTTGATTGTCAAAGCAAGTCTTAAGTTTTTAATTGCATAGTTCAGCTTAGAATTTTTAAAATAATTTCTTCACTTCAAGCTTGCATGTAGCCATTTAGTTAACAACATCATTCTCTCTTCTCAGGAATATTTCTTTGATACTCCATGAGACACTATTATACCCATTGCATAAATTTGAGATAGTATTAAGTAGTATGGGAGAAAAAACTTTAGAGTCATGTAAATCTGAATTTCCACACTGGTTTCATCATTCTCTAGAAAGATGAACTTTGTGGCAAGTCACTGATATTTCTCAGTCTCAGTTTCCTTATTCATAAATCTGACTTAGCAATACTTACAATGTTTCAAGGTTTAAGGATAAATATGTACAGTATATATGTATACATATACATATATTTAATTAATGCTAATTATTATTGTGTCTATCTTCAAACATTGATTCAATCATTTTACTTTTCCATGCCTAGTCATTTCTCTGACTTTTTAAAATACTTGAAAACCAGAATCCTCTTATTTGTAATATTCAGGAATGAATAACAAAGTTATTTTCAATACAAAATATTATTAGCTCATTATTTTATGGAAAAAGTCATTCCATTTTAAAAATAATCACAAATTATTTATTGCATTCATGCATATTTTTTAAAACAATGGAACATATTATTGAAAGTCAGCATGGTTTAGGAGACAATGCATTGGACCAAGCATCAGAAGTCCTGGTTTCTTTCTGTGTGTGTGTGTGTGTGCATGTGTGTGTGCGTGTGTGTGTGTGTGTGTTTGTATGGGACAGGCTCTCACTGTTTCCCAGACTGGAGTGCAGTAACAGAATCCCGGCTCACTGCAACTTCCACCTCCCAGGCTCAAGTGATCGTCCCACTTCAGCCTCCCAAGTAGCTGGGACTACAGGCACCAGCCACCACACTCAGGCAATAGAGACAGGGTTTTGCCATGTTGCCCAAGCTGGTCTCAAACTCCTGAGCTCAGATCATCCACCTACCCTGGCCTCTCAAAGTGCTGAGATTACAGGTGTGAGCCACCATGCCTGGCCAGAAGTCCTAGTTTCCAGTACCACATTTTCACCATTTAATTCAATAAGTGATCTTGGACATTTAAAGAGGCTCAAAATCATCAGCTGTAATATGGAAATTCAATGAGAATTATCTTCAAGCTTGTTCTGAGCTTTAGCATCTATAGTTTATTTGGATGTGTATGTATGGATTTACTCAACATAAATCTCATTAATCATTTTTGTATCCCTAGCACCTAGAACACTGCCTGGTCTCTAGTGGTATTACATTTTTGGTTTTTTGTTTTGTTTTGTTTTGTTTTTTCAAAAAGAAGGAAAAAGCAAAAAGGCAGGGAAAAAGCATGACACGGAGAGATAGAGGGAGGTGAAGAAGAAAGGGAGAGAGGAAGTGGTATTTAGAAATGTGGCATAAAAGGCTATTGCCTATTTAGTAGAACTTTTACCCTGGGAAAACCATATCAAAGGAAAATGGGGTCGCCATTTGCTCTTTACAATTCAGCCCTTTTTCCTCACTTCTGGAACACTTTGCTCACATCAAGGCACGTCATTTCTAAGAGTTTCACAGCTGCTTGATCAAGGTATTGTCATCATTTCTCAGCAATAGCCAATTTTATTAGATTGCTAAAGGTTTTGCGTCTTTGTCTCTTTGGATTTTATTTCTTCTGTCCATTCTTTTTAAAGCATTATAATTTATAGCCAGGACCAATATTTATAAGAGATTTAAGAATTCTGTTGTCTCTTTTAGTAATACTTGTCTTTTTTAGTTTCGCTCTTGTCACCCAGGCTGGAGGGCAATGGCGTGATCTCCGCTCACTGCAACCTCTGCCTCCCAGTTTCAAGTGATTCTCTTGCCTCAGCCTACTGAGTAACTGGGATTACAGGCACCTGCCACCATGCCCAGCTAATTTTTTTTTTTTTTTTGTATTTTTAGTATTGATGGGGTTTCGCCATGTTGGCCAGGTGGGTTTCGCCATGTTGGCCAGGCTTGTCTCGAACTTCTGGTCTCAAGTGATCCGCTCGCCTCGGCCTCCCAAAGTGATGGAATTACAAGCGTGAGCCACCCCTCCAAGCCAAGACTTGTCTTTCAACAAGAACTAATGAGCACTCAGTTTGCAGAATAGGCAGTTTTTTACAGGAGTTTTCTTCAGAGGAAAATGGGTTCCTGGAGTACAAACTTCATAATATGCAGAGGATGGTATCATGAGAGTGGGCAACAGATGTTTACTGATTATGAAAAAAAAAGTGTTTCACTTCTCTAGCTTCTATTTTTTTCTAAAATGTAAATGATCTTAAATTGTTAGGTGTTCAAATGATAAATAAAAGTTAAGGTAGCATTTCCAAAGAAATATAGAAGCAATTTATATGGCATCCAGGCAATTTCTGTCTTAGACTATACTCAATCTTTTATTTCAATGCTAATACATCAAGCTTAAAATCTTTCACTTACTGTTGAAGGTAAAACAACACCATGGAGGGAGGTGAGTAAATTGTCATAAAACACATACTGAACTTTCAGAAAATATTGTCTATTATTTGTAAGAGAAAACTCATAGAGGATAAGAAAATGAACTTGCAAAATGATTCAAGAAATAATAGACAGCTGATACACAGAAAAATAAATGCAAAGTGGAGAGGGAAGAGATTTTATTAAAGATGAAGGAGGTCCATATATTCTTCCTTAATTACAGTTATAAGCTTTAGAGACATTCTTTCTTTGCTTTTTGGCAGTCATTTGTTAGACTTCAGACTGACTGGTCTATGTGAATTGATTGTATGTTCAAATTGTGAAAATTATTTTTGAAGTGGAAGATCCCCTGTGTTCATAAGCATTGATTATCTACTTTTGCAGGGAAAAGGGATGTTAAGAAAATGTATTTTCATGTTAAGGTAGCAGCTACTATGGTTAGTTATTTATGTATTTATTTATTTGGTTTTGGGGGGATTTTGAGACAGGGTCTCACTCGGTCTCTTAGGTCGGAGTGCAGTGGGGCAATCTCGGCTCACTGCAAACTCTGCCACCAGGTTCAAGCGATTCTCCTGACTCAGCCACCCGAATACCTCAGGTTACAGGCACATGCCCCCCTACTTGGCTCATTTTTGTGTGTTTTTTTGTTTGTTTGTTTGTTTTTGTAGAGATGGGGTCTCGCTATGTTGCCCAGGCTGCTCACAAACTCCTGAGCTCAAAGCAATCAGCCCACCTCAGCCTCCCAAAGTGCTGGGATTACAGGCGTGAGCCACCACGCCTGGCAATGTATTTATTTTCATTTTGCTTTCATAGATTATTTGGGGAGAAAAAGATTATTATTCACTGAAGGAAAATTTTGGTGACATGAATGGGTATTCAGGTGAGCTTTGTCAGATTACATTTTAAAGCTAGTATTACAATCATTTTAATGGAAGTATGTACTTATCTGATACTACCCTAATTGTAAGTCTTTCTTGGTGCCTATATCGAGTCATTTATTCAACAAATAATTTTTAAGAACCTATTATGTGGCAGCCGTTAGTTTAAGCACTGAAGATGGAGCAGTTAAAAAAAAAAGGCAAAATTCCCTCCATTTCACAGCTGATTTTCAAGTGGGAGAATGAATGAATAGAATTTCATAAATTCTATAAAGAAAGAATAATGAATGGAAGGGCATAGGAACTGCAGAGATGGGTGGAAGATGGCAGTTTTAAAGAGCATAACCCAGGAAGGTCACTGAAACATCTGAGTAAAGAGCTGAAAGTCTTAAAGAAGTAAGTATGGACACCTGGGGAAAGTATGGTTCTACCATACAGAACAGCAAGTGCTAAGGCCTGAAGGCAGGATTATGTCTCAGGTGTCAGAGAAAAGACCTATGGGCCATGTTAAGGGTTTGGCTTTTACCCAGAGTGACAAGGGAAGGTGTGAAAGATTTGGAGCAGAGAAGAAACATAACCAGTTTTAGGGTTTTATAGGATACTTGACTGTGCTGTTGAAAATAGACTATTGGCGTATAGTATAGTTCGACGTTGGGTAATATGATGCCTCTGGCTTTTTTCTTTTTGCTTAGGATTGCTTCGGCTATTTGGGCTTTTGTTTTTGATTGCGTATGAATTTTAGAATAGTTTGTTTCTATTTCTTTGAAAAATGACGTTAGTAGTTTTATAGAAATAGCATTGAATCTGTAGATTGCTTTGGGCAGTGTGGCCATTTCAATAATGTTGATTCTTCCAATCCATGAGCATGGAATGTTTATTCATTTGTCTGCGTCATCTATAATTTCTTTCAGCAATATTTTATAGTTCTTCTAGAGATCTTTCACCTCCTCAGTTAGATGTATTCCTAGGTATTTTATTTGTGTGTGTAGCTATTGTAAATGGGATTGCATTCTTGATTTAGCTCTCAGCTTGAATTTTTTTTGGTGTATAGAAATGCTGCAGATTTTTGTACATTGATACTGTGTCCTGAAACTTCACTGAAGCTTATCAGTTCAAGGACGCTTTTCAGTCTTTAGGGTTTTCTAATTTAGAATCATATTGTCAATGAGGAGAGATAGTTGGATTTTTCCTTTTCCTATTTGTATGCCTTTTATTTCTTTCTCTTGCCTGCTTGCTCTGGATGGGACTTCCAGTACTATTAGGTTGGTGCAAAAGTAATTGCGGTTTTTGCCTTTAACGGCAAAAACTGGCCGGGAGTGGTGGCTCACGCCTGTAATCCCAGCACTTTGGGAGGCCGAGGTGGGCAGAACACGAGGTCAGGAGATCAAGACCATCCTGGCTAACATGGTGAAACCCTGTCTCTACTAAAATTACAAAAAATTAGCAAGGGCATGGTGGCGGGCGCCTGCAGTCCCAGCTACTTGGGAGGCTGAGGCAGGAGAATGGCATGAACCCTGGAGGTTGGAGCTTGCAGTGAGCCGAGATCGCGCCACTGCACTCCAGCCTGAGCGACACAGTGAGACTCCGTCTCAAAAAAAAAAAAAAAAAGGAATGGCAAAAATCACAATGACTTTTGCACCAACAATATATTGAATAGGAGTGGTAACAGTAGGAATCCTTGTCTTGTTCCAGTTCTCAAGGGGACTGCCTCCAGCTTTTGCCTATTCAGTATTATGTTGGCTGTGGGTTTGTCATACATGGCTCTGATTATTTTGAGGTATTTCTTTTCAATGCATAGTTTCCTGAGGGTTTTTATCATGAAAGGATGTTGGATTTTATTGAATGCTTTTCCCACATCTATTGAGATAAACGTACAGTTTTTGTTTCTAATTCTTTTTTGTGATGAATCACACGTATTGATTTGCATATGTTGAACCAAACTTGCATCCAAGAAATGAAGCCTACGTGATTGTAGTGAATTAAGTTTTTGATGTGCTGCTGGATTTGGTTTACTAATATTTTGTTGGGGAATGTTGGCATGTGTTTTTCTTTTACATTGTGTGTTTACCATATTTTGGTATCAGAGTGATACTGGCTTCAAAAAATGAGTTAGGGAGGAATCCCCCCGCTCAATTTTTTAGAACAGTTCAAGTAGAATTGGTACCAGCTCTTCTTTGTACGTCTGGTAGAATTCGGCTGTGAATTCCTTTGATTGGGGCCTTTTATTGGTTGGTGGGTTTTATTTTATTATTACTGATTCAGTTTTAGAACTTAAGATTGATCTGTTCAGGGTTTCAATTTCTTCCTGACTCAGTCATGGAGGCTGTATGTTTCCAGGGATTTATCCATTTCCTCTCAACTTCCTAGTTTATGTGCATAGAGGCATTCATAGTACTCTCTGAGGATCTTTTTTATTTCTAGTGGATCAGTTGTAATGTCACCTTTGCCGTCTCTGATTGTACGTCTTTGGATTTTCTCTTTTTTGCTCTGTTAATCTAGCTAGTGGTCTATCTATGTTGCTTATCCTTCTAAAAACCAACTTTTGGTTTTGTTGATTCTTCATAGGATTTTTGAGTCTCAATTTCATTCCATTCTGCTCTGATTTGGGTTATATCTTTTCTTCTGCTAGCTTTGGGATTAGTTTGCTCTTTTTTTGGTTTTCATTTTTGTTTTTTGTTTTTTTGGGTTTATTTTTTGTTATTGTTGTTTTTCCACTAGTTGTGATGTTAGATTTTTAATTTGAGATCTGACTTGTAAAAGTGGGCATTTATCCAAACATAAAATAAAATAAAATAAAACAGACTGTTGGTGTCCAAAAAAAAGAGGCCAGTTAGGAGACTATTGCAATAATCCAGGCAAGATATGATGGAAGCTTGGGCAAAAGTTGTAGCATTGAAAATAAATGGCGAAAAGTGGTATTTAGCTATTGTGTTGTTTGCTATAATGGTGATGTTGGTTAATTTGACCAATTTCTGAAGGAAAGATGTGGGGTAAAAAAGGAAAAGTTATTTCACAAAATATTCTAAGAATTGACCAGATAATGAGAAATTTTAGAATAAATTCTCAGAGAAGACAAAAATCCCAGAGAGATAAAACAGGATGCTTAAATTGCACTGTCCTGGAGAAAACATGAGGATACTGCCAGACTAACTGATACTGTGATGCACCTTCAGGGACAGAAAGCAAACACTAATGCCAGAGCCACCAAAGGGCCAGAATCTAATGGGATAACATACATAATAAGGTAGAACTCAGAAGAAAAGGAGCCTTAGTATTGTAAAGATGGGCATGAAGTATATTCAATTCCTCTCATCCCTAGGAGATTAAGCAAAGCAAAGAGATGGAAGGAAGGAAGGTGGAAACATCTCAGTCTCATTTGAAAGGTTGAAAAACAAAAATATATTTTTATTAAATGGATTAACTCAGGATTCTGTTTACTGTATGAATATTAGTTTATGCTTTGGAGTACTAGAATAAAATATCTTTCTCTAAGTTAGAATTCCAATGGAACGTTTCCCTATAAGAAAGAATAATTTATGGTGAGAAATGTAGCCATTCCAATGGGTGCAATTTTTTATTTAACCTTGATTTATTTAAAGTTTTAACAAATCATGTTTAAGGTTGCATTGAGAAAATATTTTATAATTTCTAAAATATTAGATGTAAAAATTTTGCAAGTTTTGAGACAACAATATGTAACAAATTTCTGATCTGAGTATACAATGTTCCATATAATTATTATTTTTAAATGAGGTAATTTATTAAAGAAATAATGTAAGATTTGCTTTAAAGTCAACTTTTTAAATTTATGCAAGGGGTAATATTTAAATTTCTAAATAAAATAACTATATATAACTTGGATTGCTTAATACTGTTAAAACTTCAGAGAGAAACCAGAGATCTTCATTCCTTCCAATGGAAAGGAATTGAAATACAAGGGCAGGCACAGTGTCTCATGCCTATAATCCCAGCACTTTGGGAGGTAAAGGCAGGAGAATCACTTGAGGCTGGGATTTTGAGACCAGCCTGGGCAACACAGCAAGACCCTCATGTCTGCAAAAAATAAAAATTAAAAAACTTAGTTGGGCCTGTAGTCTGAGTTACTCAGGAAGCAGAGAAGCAGAGGTGAGAGGATTACCTGAATCCAGGAGTTCGAGGCTACAGTCAGCAGTGATTGCACCACTGTACTCCAGCCTGGGTGGCAGAGTAAAACTGCCTCTAAAAAATTTTTTAAGATGAAAAATAGAAAAGGAATACATATTACATGATTACTTTCATTAAGAAATTGTCTTCTGTTTGTAAAATAGTCAGATTAATTAAAAACTATTCTCACAATAAAGTGTTTTCAGTTTCTGAGAATTCAAGTGCTATTTGTTATTATTTATCTAAGATGAATAAAATAAGAGATCTTTAATTACTGGTCCAGAAGTCAGAAAGTATTTAAATATAGATCCTTTAACTTACAGTTAAACTAAAGCTATTCAGGAGTTAACAGAAATTAGCACACAAGAAGGTGTAATTGGCTTTGATGTATGATTTCCTTTGAATTTCTTAAAAATATTCAAGGGATATCTTAGCATGTCAGAGAGCTCTTAATAAATGATTCTTGTTTCCATCAATTGTGGTACCTTACATGAGAAAGCATAGAAGGCTAGAAGTAGTAGAATCATACACTTATATCCACTTAACCATGTATTTTCTTTTTTTTTATTATTATACTTTAAGTTTTAGGGTACATGTGCACAGTGTGCAGGTTAGTTACATATGCATACATGTGCCATGCTGGTGCGCTGCACCCACTAACTCGTCATCTAGCATTAGGTATACCTCCCAATGCTATCCCTCCCCCCTCCCTCTACCCACCACAGTCCCCAGAGTGTGATATTCCCCTTCCTGTGTCCATGTGATCTCATTGTTCAATTCCCACCTGTGAGTGAGAATATGCGGTGTTTGGTTTTTTGTTCTTGCGATAGTTTACTGAGAATGATGCTTTCCAATTTCATCCATGTCCCTACAAAGGACATGAACTCATCCTTTTTTATGGCTGCATAGTATTGCATAGTGTATATGTGCCACATTTTCTTAATCCGGTCTATCATTGTTGGGCATTTGGGTTGGTTCCAAGTCTTTGCTATTGTGAATAATGCCGCAATAAACATACATGTGCATGTGTCTTTATAGCAGCATGATTTAGAGTTCTTTGGGTATATACCCAGTAATGGGATGGCTGGGTCAAATGGTATTTCTAGTTCTAGATCCCTGAGGAATCGCCACACTGACTTCCACAATGGTTGAACTAGTTTACAGTCCCACCAACAGTGTAAAAGTGTTCCTATTTCTCCACATGCTCTCCAGCACCTATTGTTTCCTGACTTTTTAATGATTGCCATTCCAACTGGTGTGAGATGGTATCTCATTGTGGTTTTGATTTGCATTTCTCTGATGGCCACTGATGAGCATTTTTTCATGTGTTTTTTGGCTGCATAAATGTCTTCTTTTGAGAAGTGTCTGTTCATGTCCTTCACCCACTTTTTGATGGGGTTGTTTGTTTTTTTCTTGTAAATCTGTTTCAGTTCATTGTAGATTCTGGATATTAGCCCTTTGTCAGATGAGTAGGTTGTGAACATTTTCTCCCATTTTGTAGGTTGCCTGTTCACTCTGATGGTAGTTTCTTTTGCTGTGCAGAAGCTCTTTAGTTTAATTAGATCCCGTTTGTCAATTTTGTCATTTGTTGCCATTGCTTTTGGTGTTTTAGACATGAAGTCCTTGCCCATGCCTATGTCCTGAATGGTAATGCCTAGGTTTTCTTCTAGGGTTTTTTATGGTTTTAGGTCTAACATTTAAGTCTTTAATCCATCTTGAATTGATTTTGTATAAGGTGTAAGGAAGGGATCCAGTTTCAGCTTTCTACATATGGCTAGCCAGTTTTCCCAGCACCATTTATTAAATAGGGAATCCTTTCCCCATTGCTTGCTTTTCTCAGGTTTGTCAAAGATCAGATAGTTGTAGATATGCGGCATTATTTCTGAGGGCTCTGTTCTGTTCCATTGATCTATATCTCTGTTTTGGTACCAGTACCATGCTGTTTTGGTTACTGTAGCCTTGTAGTATAGATTGAAGTCAGGTAGTGTGATGCCTCCAGCTTTGTTCTTTTTGCTTAGGATTGCCTTGGCGATGCGGGCTCTTTTTCGGTTCCATATGAACATTATAGTAGTTTTTTCCAATTCTGTGAAGAAAGTCATTGGTAGCTTGATGGGGATGGCATTGAATCTGTAAATTACCTTGGGCAGTATGGCCATTTTCATGATATTGATTCTTCCTACCCATGGCCATGGAATGTTCTTCCATTTGTTTGTATCCTCTTTTATTTCCTTGAGCAGTGGTTTGTAGTTCTCCTTGAAGAGATCCTTCACATCCCTTGTAAGTTGGATTCCTAGGTATTTTATTCTCTTTGAAGCAATTGTGAATGGCAGTTCACTCATGATTTGGCTCTCTGTCTGTTGTTGGTGTATAAGAATGCTTGTGATTTTTGTGCATTGATTTTGTATCCTGAGACTTTGCTGAAGTTGCTTGTCAGCTTAAGGAGATTTTGGGCTGAGACAATGTGGTTTTCTAGATATACAATCATGTCGTCTGCAAACAGGGACAATTTGACTTCCTCTTTTCCTAATTGAATACCCTTTATTTCCTTCTCCTGCCTAATTGCCCTGGCCAGAACTTCCAACACTATGTTGAATAGGAGTGGTGAGAGAGGGCATCCCTGTCTTGTGCCAGTTTTCAAAGGGAATGCTTCCAGTTTTTGCCCATTCAGTATGATATTGGCTGTGGGTTTGTCATAGATAGATCTTATTATTTTGAAATACATCCCATCAATACCTAATTTATTGAGAGTTTTTAGCATGAATTGTTGTTGAATTTTGTCAAAGGCCTTTTCTGCATCTATTGAGATAATAATGTGGTTTTTGTCTTTGGTTCTGTTTATATGCTGGATTACATTTATTGATTTGCGTATATTGAACCAGCCTTGCATCCTAGGGATGAAGCCCACTTGATCATGGTGGATAAGTTTTTTGATGTGCTGCTGGATTCGTTTTGCCAGTATTTTATTGAGGATTTTTGCATCAATGTTCATCAAGGATATTGGTCTAAAATTCTCTTTTTTGGTTGTGTCTCTGCCCGGCTTTGGTATCAGGATGATGCTGGCCTCATAAAATGAGTTAGGGAGGATTCCCTCTTTTTCTATTGATTGGAATAGTTTCAGAAGGAATGGTACCAGTTCCTCCTTGTACCTCTGGTAGAATTCGGCTGTGAATCCATCTGGTCCTGGAGTCTTTTTGGTTGGTAAGCTATTGATTATTGCCACAATTTCAGATCCTGTTATTGGTCTATTCAGAGATTCAACTTCTTCCTGGTTTAGTCTTGGGAGAGTGTATGTGTTGAGGAATTTATCCATTTCTGCTAGATTTTCTAGTTTATTTGCGTAGAGGTGTTTGTAGTATTCTCTGATGGTAGTTTGTATTTCTGTGGGATCGGTGGTGATATCCCCTTTATCATTTTTTATTGTGTCTATTTGATTCTTCTCTCTTTTTTTCTTTATTAGTCTTGCTAGCGGTCTATCACTTTTGTTGATCCTTTCAAAAAACCAGCTCCTGGATTCATTAATTTTTTGAAGGGTTTTTTTGTGTCTCTATTTCCTTCAGTTCTGCTCTGATTTTAGTTATTTCTTGCCTTCTGCTAGCTTTTGAATGTGTTTGCTCTTGCTTTTCTAGTTCTTTTAATTGTGATGGTAGGGTGTCAATTTTGGATCTTTCCTGCTTTCTCTTGTGGGCATTTAGTGCTATAAATTTCCCTCTACACACTGCTTTGAATGTGTCCCAGAGATTCTGGTATGTTGTGTCTTTGGTCTCGTTGGTTTCAAAGAACATCTTTATTTCTGCCTTCATTTCGTTATGTACCCAGTAGTCATTCAGGAGCAGGTTGTTCAGTTTCCATGTAGTTGAGCGGTTTTGAGTGAGTTTCTTAATCCTGAGTTCTAGTTTGATTGCACTGTGGTCTGAGAGAGAGTTTGTTATAATCTCTGTTCTTTTACATTTGCTGAGGAGAGCTTTACTTCCAAGTATGTGGTCAATTTTGGAATAGGTGTGGTGTGGTGCTGAAAAAAATGTATATTCTGTTGATTTGGGGTGGAGAGTTCTGTAGATGTCTATTAGGTCTGCTTGGTGCAGAGCTGAGTTCAGTTCCTGGGTATCCTTGTTGACTTTCTGTCTCGTTGATCTGTCTAATGTTGACAGTGGGGTGTTAAAGTCTCCCATTATTAATATGTGTGAGTCTAAGTCTCTTTGTAGGTCACTCAGGACTTGCTTTATGAATCTGGGTGCTCCTGTATTGGGTGCATATATATTTAGGATAGTTAGCTCTTGTTGTTGAATTGATCCCTTTACCATTATGTAATGGCCTTCTTTGTCTCTTTTGATCTTTGTTGGTTTAAAGTCTGTTTTATCAGAGACTAGGATTGCAACCCCTGCCTTTTTTGTTTTCCATTTGCTTGGTAGATCTTCCTCCATCCTTTTATTTTGAGCCTATGTGTGTCTCTGCATGTGAGATGGGTTTCCTGAATACAGCACACTGAAGGGTCTTGACTCTTTATCCAATTTGCCAGTCTGTGTCTTTTAATTGGAACATTTAGCCCATTTACATTTAAAGTTAATATTGTTATGTGTGAATTTGATCCTGTCATTATGATGTTAGCTGGTTATTTTGCTCGTTAGTTGATGCAGTTTCTTCCTAGTCTCGATGGTCTTTACATTTTGGCATGATTTTGCAGCAGCTGGTACCGGTTGTTCCTTTCCATGTTTAGCACTTCCTTCAGGAGCTCTTTTAGGGCTGGCCTGGTGGTGACAAAATCTCTCAGCATTTGCTTGTCTGTAAAGTATTTTATTTCTCCTGCACTTATGAAGCTTAGTTTGGCTGGATATGAAATTCTGGGTTGAAAATTCTTTTCTTTAAGAATGTTGGATATTGGCCCCCACTCTCTTCTGGCTTGTAGGGTTTCTGCTGAGAGATCCGCTGTTAGTCTGATGGGCTTCCCTTTGAGGGTAACCCAACCTTTCTCTCTGGCTGCCCTTCACATTTTTTCCTTCATTTCGACTTTGGTGAATCTGACAATTATGTGTCTTGGAGTTGCTCTTCTCAAGGAGTATCTTTGTGGCGTTCTCTGTATTTCCTGAATCTGAACGTTGGCCTGCCTTGCTAGATTGGGGAAGTTCTCCTGGATAATATCCTGCAGAGTGTTTTCCAACTTGGTTCCATTCTCCTCATCACTTTCAGGTACACCAATCAGACGTAGATTTGGTCTTTTCACATAGTCCCATATTTCTTGGAGGCTTTGCTCATTTCTTTTTATTGTTTTTTCTCTAAACTTCCCTTCTCGCTTCATTTCATTCATTTCATCTTCCATTGCTGATACCCTTTCTCCCAGTTGATCGCATCAGCTCCTGAGGCTTCTGCATTCTTCACGTAGTTCTCAAGCCTTGGTTTTCAGCTCCATCAGCTCCTTTAAGCACTTCTCTGTATTGGTTATTCTAGTTATACATTCTTCTAAATTTTTTTCAAAGTTTTCAACTTCTTTGCCTTTGGTCTGAATGTCCTCCTGTAGCTCAGAGTAATTTGATCGTCTGAAGCCTTCTTCTGTCAGCTGGCCAAAGTCATTCTCCATCCAGCTTTGTTCCGTTGCTGGTGAGGAACTGCGTTCCTTTGGAGGAGGAGAGGCGCTCTGCGTTTTAGAGTTTCCAGTTTTTCTGTTCTGTTTTTTCCCCATCTTTGTGGTTTTATCTACTTTTGGTCTTTGATGATGGTGATGTACACATGGGTTTTTGGTGTGGATGTCCTTTCTGTTTGTTAGTTTTCCTTCTAACAGACAGGACCCTCAGCTGCAGGTCTGTTGGAATACCCTGCCGTGTGAGGTGTCAGTGTACCCCTGCTGGGGGATGCCTCCCAGTTAGGCTGCTCGGAGGTCAGGGGTCAGGGACCCACTTGAGGAGGCAGTCTGCCCGTTCTCAGATCTCCAGCTGCGTGCTGGGAGAACCACTGCTCTCTTCAAAGCTGTCAGACAGGGACATTTAAGTCTGCAGAGGTTACTGCTGTCTTTTTGTTTGTCTGTGCCCTGCCCCACAGGTGGAGCCTACAGAGGCAGGCAGGCCTCCTTGAGCTGTGGTGGGCTCCACCCAGTTCGAGCTTCCCGGCTGCTTTGTTTACCTAAGCAAGCCTGGGCAATGGCGGGTGCCCCTCACCCTGCCTCGCTGCCGCCTTGCAGTTTGATCTCAGACTGCTATGCTAGCAATCAGCGAGACTCCATGGGCGTAGGACCCTCCGAGCCAGGTGCGGGATATAATCTCGTGGTGTGCCGTTTTTTAAGCCGGTCGGAAAAGCGCAGTATTTGGGTGGCAGTGACCCGATTTTCCAGGTGCGTCTGTCACCCCTTTCTTTGACTCGGAAAGGGAACTCCCTGACCCCTTGCGCTTCCCAAGTGAGGCAATGCCTCGCCCTGCTTCGGCTCGCGCACGGTGCGTGCACCCACTGACCTGCGCCCACTGTCTGGCACTCCCTAGTGAGATGAACCCGGTACCTCAGATGGAAATGCAGAAATCACCCTTCTTCTGCGTCGCTCACGCTGGGAGCTGTAGACCAGAGCTGTTCCTATTCGGCCATCTTGGCTCCTCCCCACCATGTATTTTCATGAATTAAATTTAATTACATAAAAGATGATAAGTTTGTAAGCCATTGGTCATATGAAAATATTTCAGTGGCCACTATTAATTTCTGGCAACAGCTATCTTAAAATATTTCCTTTGGAAAGAATAGGAAGTATAGTTGAGCAAAATCATGGATGTTTAAAAGTATCAAAAATTATAAATTATGATGAAAAGTTCAGAAATTTTCATCTGGGACTTGGTCTGCAGCATTTTATGTATGCTCCTTTCCCTGCACCATCCCCTAAAGCAGGAAGTTTGTCAGTAATTTTTCATTATCTTTTATCCTAGCCACCTCTTAGGCGCTCTTCAGGACTCCACTTGAGCCTCACATTCTCCATTCCCTGCATTTCTGACTAGGTGACATTTCCACATGTTTCCACACCACTGCCACTGACCCACTTAAAGTCACTTAATCTCTCTCCTGGACAGCTGTGTGACACTTCACCAAGGTCTTGGCTTCTAACTCAGTTTTAGTACAACCTATTCTCCACATTACAGCCAGGATGATCTTTCAAAAATGCCAATATGAACATATCAAGCCCCAGATTTGAAACCTCAGTACACTTGCATATCTTCTAGGATAAAGTTCAAAAATCTTAATTTGGCCATAACATTCTACAATCACAGGGCCAATGGCTTTTCCAGCCTCTCCATCTGCCATTCCTTGTCCGTTGTGCCCCAGGCATACTGGCCTTCCTCAATTCCCCCAAATCCCTAGCACATGCTCCTTGCTTTCTCAACTTCAAACACATTTTCCTTTCTGCAAACTCTTCCCTATACTTTATCCCAGATAACTCTTATTCATCTTTCATGTTTAGCTTATACTTCACATTTTCTCAGAAAAGCATTCACTATGCCCCAAGATAGATCACATTTTCATAGCACTCTGAATTCTCATGAATCTAAATACAATTTCATTCTCTGTCTTCCCTACTAGAATGTAACCTCCAGGAGGTGAGGAACTCTGCCATTTTTCCCTGTACCTGGCATGTAATTAGCACTCAACAAATGTTTGGTAAATAAATGGACAAATTAATGACCTGATAATAGTGGAATAGTTACCCTGCTACCACAATCCTGTCAACTTAGTACACCAGCAGTGTACTACTTAGGATGATGTCAGCTTCATCCTCAGGTAAGCTACATTCTGCCTTAAGAGATGGTTGTCACAGTTCCAGCATCACATGTAGAGAGGACAATGTCCAGAGGAAGAAAAGCAACTATTAGGGTATCACTTTTCCAATAGCAAAGACAACTTTTTCTAAAACTCATTATTAGAGATTTTTTCCGTGTCTCCTTGGCTACTCTACCTAATTTCAAATCTGAATAACCATAGTTCATCAGTTAATTGTTCTTTCAAGTAGCAATGTTGTTCCATGAAAAAGCAATTAGCTCAGCTCACAACTGATACAATCATATAAGTGCATTGCCTCAAGACAGTCATCACACTTCAGCAGCCAGCAGCCAGGCAAAATGCTTTATGCTTACTTCCCATTATGTCACAAGGAATATCAAAATGTTGTGCGCATGAGGGTCAAGATTTAATAAAATCCATAATTTCTACTGCTTTCAGCAAGGATGTTCTTAATGCATATGTGTGTGTGTGTATTACTTAAGTAAATGTGTGTGGGGGGGTGTATTAAGTAAATGTGCATGTGTGTTACTTAAGTAAACATATGTGTGCGTGTATTACTTGTTTTTGCTGCATTACGTGACACAGAACAGGGGTTAGCAAACTTTTGACTTACCAGTCAGAGTTAGCCCACAGCTACATTTTTTTTAAGATAAAGTTCTATCGAAACGCAGCTATGCCCATTTGTTTATGTATTATCTAAAACGTTTTTGCTCTTCAAATGCAGTTTGGTAGTAGAGACAGAGGCTTTATGGCCTGCAAAACCTAAAGCATTTCCTATCTGGACCTTACGAGAAAAAAGAATTGCAGACATCTGGCATAGAAAAGTAGAGTTAAAACTAGTACTGTTTAGGATCATTGCCTTGATTTGTGCTAAGAGATTAAAAGTTTAACTTATCTTGTATTCTATAAATCAGATCAAATGCCAACTCAGTGAAGAGGGAAAATTATTTCTTATTGCTGTAATTAAAATAATTGTGTCTTTATGAACTTACTGAAGGCATCTTGGGGGTCCCTTAGACTTGAGAACCACACTTTAATAACAGCTGGCCAGATTAAAACATGCATTCTCCCAAAATGTATTAATAATATAAATTAGTTTTACCTCTTTCAGACAATGCAAAGATTTTAGGGTACTTTAACTCCATATACCCCACTCACAACTGATACGTGATTGAGTAATGTAGTTTATATTGATGTCCTATAAGACATTATTATTTTTATTTTAAGCAGTCTCTTTAAATATTGCTTTCTGCATCTCCAAACTTCTGTCAGGGATCATTTGCCATCCACCTGAAAAACACTTTATGGTCTTTTGTTTTATCTGTGTCTGATGGTAATATATGCTTTCTGTTTTTATTTGTTTGAAAATATTTTTATTTTACTTGCAAGTTGGTAAGATATTTGTCTCAGTTCATTTTGTGTTTCTATGAAAGAATACTTGATGCTAGGTGATTTATGTTTAAAAGAGATTTATTTAGCTCATGTTTTGCAGGCTGAGAAGCCTAGGAGCATGGCTCTGGGCTTTGGCACTGCATTACAACATGGTGGAGAAGGTCAAAGGGAAAGGGAACATATGCAAAGAGAAAGAAACCTTAGGGGTGTCCTGGCTTTATAACAACCCACACTCAAGGGGAACCAATCCATTCCTGCAAGAACCAATGTGATCTCTCATGACCAAGAACTCACTCATTGACTCAAGCACCAAGCTATTCATGAGGCATCTGCCCCCATAACCCAAACACCATCCACTAGGCCCCACCTGACAACACCACCCTACTGGGGATGAAATTTTAACATGAGCTTTGGTGAGGACAAACAGACCATATTCAAAGCACAACAATATCTTGCCAGATAAAGAATGATATCTTCAATATACAGAAAGAAAATAAAATGTAATCCCTAGAGAGCATTCTATTGTTGGTTTTCTAACATGGTTTCTAATGAGAAGTTAACTGTCAGTCTTCTTATTGTTACTTCTTTGAATGTGAGCTGGAATGCTACTTCTTTGTCATTGACTTTTAGTCATTTTTCTGTTCCCAAGTGTCATCTTCCTTATGTTTATCATTCTTGGCTTCATAGGATGTTTGTACCTGTGACTTGATGTCTTTATTGGTTTTGGGAAACTTAATTCTTCTGTGAAATTTGCTTTTGTCTTATTCTTTCTCCCCTGCCACTTCTGAGACTCCAATTATAATAGCCCTGTTCACAGTGTCCTCTATGTCCCTTATGCACTTATCCGTATTTTGCATCCTAGTTTTTATCTGTATTTATTTGTATGTATTTCTGACTTATCATTCACTAACTTCCTCTTCAACTATGTCTAATCTCATTTAAACCATCATATTAAATACTTAATTATAGGGACTGCCTTTTTCTCCCTCTATAATTTCCATTGGCTCTTTTATAAATATTTCAAGTTCTTTCCTGAAATTATTAGCCTTTTCTTCTTATTTTCTTGAATATGTTGAATCATAGTTTTAATTCTGTATCTGAAAACTCTAAGTTTTTTATGGCTTCTATGGTCTGTTACTTTCTTGATCTTGTGGCCCTATAGCTTCATGTTCCTGGTTATTTCTGACTAGTATTGGACATTACATAATTACAGAACTATAATTAATAATGTTTTCTACTTCAAGATGGAAGGCTGCTATAGGTATTAAACATCTCAGATTTTCATAACCCAATCAGGGATTGAGATCATTTGAAGATGGTTCTCCTTCCTTTTCAGGGCTGGTCAATTGTCAGGTCACGTTTCCTTTAGTTTGTAGCACTTCAGGGTCCAATCCCAAAGTCTAGGATATTGTGACTTTTGATGATATCAGCAGCGAACTTGAGGATAAAAGCAACACCAAATGTGATTGTGTTGACTTGTTGGGCCAAGATCCAGGTGAAGAAGGGAACCAAGAGTTCAGCACAACTTTTAAAACTTTCTAATGCCTTAAGTAACTTTTAAAACTCTTGTCAAGCTTTTAAAATCATGTTGCTTGGGGGATTTTGAACCAAGTTACCTAGTCTGGATTCCTGGAAGTAAATTCCGAATTAGTTCATCTTTGTCATAGCCCATTCTATATATCACAATTATTTTGCTCACTTTATAAATACTTTGCCTTAGAGTACCACATTATTTATATCCCACATTTTGCCATATTCATTTTTATTTATGGCTCTCATTAACAATTGCAAAGGCTTCTTAATTTTTCCATCTGCAAGTGGTATTTTCATGCTTGAGGAAGAAAGTCTTTACCAATGAACTTCTATGTCTCTGGCACACCCTGATCTTCATTACACAGAGCTACACAATAGCAACACTGCAAACAAAATAGTTTGTAAAAGCCATCCCACCAACTAATACACTTTTCAGTATAAAAGTATTTTTTTCTGGGTGGCACTATAGTTAACTGTGATGTGTCTTTGGACTGCATGCTGAATTCAGTTTCAATGTTGAAAATAAAAAATATACCCATTTCCAACGGGGCATCATTTCTTGAACACTATAATGATTCTTGCTAATCATTTTTTAAAACTTTCTTGGCTACTTAGCTACATCATTTATGGATTACATGTATAAATCAAAGCTACCAAAGCCATGACTTCATCATGTTTTATTCAGAGATGGGCTCTAAGAAAGATACATAGTGGTCAAAACTGATGATTATTTGTGAGTTGTAGAGAGTGATTTAAGCAAATTACATGCCAGATACTGATCCAGAAAAAGACAGCCCACTACTGAAGAATAGTGACTCTAACTGAAATATTAAAAGACTGCAGGAACAAATTATGTCAACAACATCTGCTTATATGTGGTACCTAAAATTGTAACCAGGATTAAATTATTTATTAATATGTTCTAATACCATGAGTGTACAGATGTTGAAGTAAACCATATTCGTGGAAATAGGTGTGAAAGCGAAATTAGTTTTCTTACTGTCTACTATGCCAAGTTTAACTTGTGCCAAAAGTTTCAATTCAAAGTTTTAGAAATAATGTCAAATATATTTTTGATGTTACACATAATAGATGCGTAATCAATGCTATTAATCAATATAATGATAGAACATAATTGAGGTCTATAATATTAAGTAGATATTAAGAATATTAATATTAAATAATTGATTAGTATAATTATCAAGTGTATGTTTGATTATATATATATATATTTTTACAGATGTACATAAGTTTGTGTTTTGTTTTTGTTTTTATTATACTTTAAGTTCTGGGATACATGTGCAGAACATGCAGGTTTATTACATAGGTATGTATGTGCCCTGGTGGTTTGCTGCACCCATCAACCCTTCATCTACATTAGGTATTTCTCCTAATGCTCTCCCTCCCTTTGCCCCCAACTCCCCAACAGGCCCCAGTGTGTGATGTTCCCCTCCCTGTGCCCACATGTTCTCATTGTTCAACTCCCACTTAGGAGTGAGAACATGTGGTGTTTGGTTTTCTGTTCCTGTGTTAGTTTACTGAGAATGATGCTTTCCACCTTGATCCATGTCCCTGCAAAGAAATGAACTCATTCTTTTTTATGGCTGCATGGTATTCCATGGTGTATATGTGCCACATTTTCTTTATCCTGTCTAACATTGATGGGCATTTGGGTTGGTTCCAAGTCTTTGCTATTGTGAATAGGACCGCAATAAACATATGTGTGCAAGTGTCTTCATAGTAGAATGATTTATAATCCTTTGGGTATATACCCAGTAATGGGATTGCTGGGCCAAATGGTATTTCTGGTTCTAGATCCTTGAGGAATCACCACTCTGTCTTCCCCACTGGTTCAACTAATTTACACTCCCACCAACCGTGTAAAAGCATTCCTATTTCTCCACATCCTCTCCAGCATCTGTTGTTTCCTAACATTTTAATGATCACCATTCTAACTGGCATGAGATGGTATCTCATTGTGATTTTAATTTGCATTTCTCTAATGATCAGTGATGATGAGCTTTTTTTCATATATGTGTTGGCCACATAAATGTCTTCTTTCGAAAAGTGTCTGTTCATATACTATGCTCACTACTTGATGGGGTTGTTTGTTTTTTTCTTGTAAATATGTTTAAGTTCCTTGTAGATTCTGGATATTAGCCCTTTGTCAGGTGAATAGATTGCAAAAATTTTCTCCCATTCTGTAGGTTGTCTGTTCACTGATGATAGTTTCTTTTGCTGTGCAGAAGCTCTTTAGTTTAATTAGATCCCGTTTGTCAATTTTGGCTTTTGTTGCAGTTGCTTTTGGTGTTTCAGTCATGAAGTCTTTGCCCATCCCTAGGACCTGAATGGTATTGCCTAGGTTTTCTTCTAGGGTTTTTATGGATTTAGGTCTTACATTTAAGTCTTTAATCCATCTTGAGTTAATTTTTGTATAAGGTGTAAGGAAGGGGTCTAGTTTCAGTTTTCTGCATATGGCTAGCCAGTTTTCCCAACACCATTTATTAAATTAGGGAATCCTTTCCCTATTGCTTGTTTTTGTCAGGTTTGTCAAAGATCAGACGGTTGTAGATATGTGGTGTTATTTCTGAGGCCTCTGTTCTGTTCCATTGGTCTACATATCTGTTTTGGTACCAGTACCATGCTGTTTTGGTTACTGTGGCCTTGTAGTATAGTTTGAAGTCAGGTAACGTGATGCCTCCAGCTTTATTCTTTTTGCTTAGGATTGTCTTGGCAATGCGGGCTCTTTTTTGGTTCCATATGAACTTTAAAGTAGTTTTTTCTAATTCTGTGAAGGAAGCCAATTGTAGCTTGATGGGGATAGCATTGAATCTACAAATTACTTTGGGCAGTATGGCCATTTTCACTATATTGTTTCTTCCTATCCATGACTATGGAATGTTTTTCCATTTGTTTCTGTCCTCTCTTATTTCTTTGAGTGATGATTTGTAATTCCCCTAGAAGAGGTCCTTCACATCCCTTGTAAGTTTATTCCTAGGTTTTTTATTCTCTTTGTAGCAATTGTGAATGGTAATTTACTCATGATTTGGCTTTGTTTGTCTATTATTGATGTATAGGAATGCTTGTGATTTTTGCACATTGATTTTGTATCCTGAGACTTTGCTGAAGCTGCTTATCAGTTTAAGGAGTTTTGGGCTGAGATGATGGGGTTTTCTAAATATAAAATCATGTCATCTGCAAACAGAGATAATTTGATTTCCTCTCCTCCTATTTGAATAACCTTTATTTCTTTCTCTTACCTGATTGCCCTGGCCATAACTTCCAATATTATGTTGAATAGGAGTGGTGAGAGAGGGCATACTTTTCTTGTGCCGGTTTTCAAAGGGAATGCTTCCAGCTTTTGCCCATTCAGTATGACATTGGCTGTGGGTTTGTCCTAAATAGCTCTTATTATTTTGAGATACATTTCATCAATACCTAGTTTATTGAGAGTTTTTTGCATGAAGGGGTGTTGAACTGTTTTGAAAGTCTTTTCTGCATCTATTGAGATAATCATGTGGTTTTCGTCTTTGGTTCTGTTTATGTGATGGATTATGTTTATTGATTTGCATATGTTGAACGAGCCTTGCATCCCATGGATGAAGCCAACTTAATCATGGTGGATAAGATTTTTAAAGTGCTGCTGGATTCGGTTTGCCAGTATCTTATTGAGGATTTTCACATTGATGTTCACCAGCATATTGGCCTGAAATTTCCTTTTTTGTTGTGTCTCTGCTAGGTTTTTCTTTCAGGATGATGCTGGCCTCATAAAAATGATTTAGGAGGCGTCACTCTTTTTTTTTTTTTTTTTTTTTTTTTTTTTTTTTTTTTTTTGAGAAGGAGTCTCGCTCTGTTGCCCAGGCTGGAGTGTAGTGGCATGATCTTGGCTCACTGCAAGCTGTGCCTCCCAGGTTCATGCCATTCTTCTGCCTCTGCCTCCCAAGTAGCTGGGACTACAGGCGCCCACCACCACACCCAGCTAATTTTTTGTATTTTTAGTAGAGACTGGATTTCACTGGAAGTCCCTCTTTTTTTTTATTATTGGGAATGGTTTCAGAAGGAATGGTGCCAGCTCCTCTTTGTACCTCTGGTATAATTTCGCTGTGAATCTATCTAGTCCTGGGCTTTTATTGGTTGCTAGGCTATTAATTGCTGCCTCAATTTCAGAACTTGTTATTGGTCTATTCAGGGATTTGACTTCTTCTTGGTTTAATCTTGGGAAGGTGTATGTGTCGAGGAATTTATCCATTTCTTCTAGATTTTTTAGTTTATTTGCATAGAGATGTTTCTAGTATTCTCTGATGGTAGTTTGTATTTCTGTGGGATCAGTGGTGATCTCCCCTTTATCATTTTTTATTGTGTCTATTTGATTCTTCCCTCTTTTATTCTTTATTAGTCTGGTTAGTGGTCTATCTATTTTGCCAATCTTTTCAAAAAACCAGCTCATGAATTCATTGACTTTTTGAAGGGTTTTTCATGTCTCTATCTCCTTCACTTCTGTTTTGATCTTAGTTATTTCTTGTCTTCTGCTAGCTTTTGAATTTGGTTGCTCTTGCTTCTCTAGTTCTTTTAATTTTGATGTTAGAATGTCAATTTTAGATCTTTCCTACTTTCTCCTGTGGGCATTTATATAAATTTCCCTCTAAATACTGCTTTAGCTTTGTCCCAGGGATTCTGGTACATTGTGTCTTTGTTATCATTGATTTCAAAGAACTCATTTGTTTCTGCCTTAATTTTTTTATTTACGCAGTAGTCACTCAGGAGCAGGTTGTTGAGTTTCCATGTAGTTGTGTGGTTTTGAGTGAGTTTCTTAACCTTGAGTTCTCATTTGATTGCACTGTGGTCTGAAAGGCTGTTTGTTATGATTTCCATTCTTTTGCATTTGCCGAGGAGTGTTTTACTTCCAATTATGTGGTCAGTTACAGAATAAGTGTGATGTGGTGCCAAGAATAATGTATATTCTGTTGATTTTGGGTGGAGAGTTCTGTATATGTCAATTAGGTTCACTAGGTCCAGAGCTGAGTTCAAGTCCTGAATAGCCTTGTTAATTTTCTGCCTCTTTGATCTGTCTAATATTGACAGTGGGGTGTTAAAGTCTCCCACTGTTATTGAGTGGGAGGCTAAGTCTCTTTGTAGTCTCTAAGAACTTGCTTTATAAATCTGGGTGCTCCTGTATTAGGTGCATATGTATTTGGGATAGTTAGCTCTTCTTGTTCCATTGATCCCTTTACCATTATGTAATGGCCTTCTTTGTCTTTTTTGATTTTTGTTGGTTTAAAGTCTGTTTTATCAGAGACTAGGATTGCAACCCCTGCTTTTTTTTGTTTTGTTTTGTTTTTCATTTGCTTGGTGAATCTTCCTCCATCCCTTTTTTTGAGCCTATGTGTGTCTTCACACATGAGATGGGTCTCCTGAATACAGCACACCAATTGGTGTTGACTCTTTATCCAACTTGCTAGTCTGCATCTTTTAACTGGGGCATTTAACCCATTTACACTTAACTTTGATATTGTTATGTGTGAATTTAATCCTGTCATTATGATGCTAGCTGGTTATTTTGCCCATTAGTTGATGCAGTTTCTTCATAGTGTCAGTGGTCTTTACATTTGGTTTGTTTTTGCTATGGTTGGTACCAGTTTTTCCTTTCCATATTTGTTGCTTCCTTCAGGAGCTCTTATAAGGCCTGGTATGACAAAATCCCTCAGTATTTGCTTGACTGTAAAGGATTTTGTTTCTCCTTCATTTATGAAGCTTAGTTTGGCTGGATATGAAATTCTGGGTTGAAAATTATTTTCTTTAATAATGTTGAATATTGGCCCCCACTCTCTTCTGGCTTGTAGCATTTCTGCAGAGAGATCTGCAGTTAGCCTGATGGGCTTCCCTTTGTGGGTAACCTAACCTCTTTCTCTGGCTGCCCTTAACATTTTTTCCTTCATTTCAACCTTCGTGAATCTGATGATTATGTGTCTTGGGGTTGCTCTTCTCGAGGAGTATCTTTGTGGTGTTCTCTGGATTTTCTGAATTTGAATGTTGGCCTGTCTTGCTAGGTTGGGGAGGTTCTCGTGGATAATATCCTGAAGTGTGTTTTCCAACTGGTTCCATTCTTCCCATCACTTTCAAGTACACCAATCAAATGTAGTTCAGTCTTTTCACATATTCCCATATTTCTTGGATGCTTTGTTTGTTCCTTTTTATTCTTTTTTCTCTAGTCTTGTCTTCATGCTTTATTTCATTAAGTTGATCTTCAATCTCTGATATCGTTTCCTCCACTTGATCAATTCAGCTATTGATTCTTGTGTATACTTCATGAAGTTCTCGTTCTGTGTTTTTCAGCTCCATCAGCTCATTTATGCTCTTCTCTAAACTGGTTATTCTAGTCAGCATTTCCTCTAACCTTTTATCAAGGCGTTAGCTTCCTTGCATTGGGTTAGAACATGCTCCTTTAGAGGAGTTTGTTATTACCCACCTTCTGAAGCCTACTTCTGTCAATTCATCAAACTCATTCTCCATCCGGTTTTGTTCCCTTGCTGGTGAGGAATTGTGATCCTTTGGAGGAGAAGAGGCATTCTGGTTTTGGAATTTTCAGCCTTTTTGCATGGGCTTTTCCTCATCTTCATGGATTTATGTACCTTTGCTCTTTGCTGTTGGTGACCTTCAGATGGAGGTTTTGTGTAGTCATTCTTTTTGTTGGTGGTGATGCTATTGCTTTCTGTTTGTTAGTTTTCCTTCTAACAGTCAGGCCGCTCTTCTGCAGATCTGCTGGAGTTTGCTGTGGGTCCACTCCAGACCCTGTTTGGCTGGGTATCACCAGTGGAGGCTGCAGAATAGCAAAGAATGCTGCCTGTTCCTTCCTCTGGAAGCTACATCCCAGAGAGGCACCCACCAAATGCCAGCCAGAGCTCTCCTGTATGAGGTGTCTGTCGACCCCTGCTAGGAGGTGTCTCCCAGTCTGTTTCTTAGCAGAGCTAAAGCACTATGCTGGGAGATCTGCTGCTCTCTTCAGAGCCAGCAGGAAGGAACGTTTAAGTTTGCTGAAGCTGTGTCCACAGCCGCCCCTTCTCCCAGGTGCTCTGTTCCAGGGAGATGGGAGGTTTATCTATAAGCTCCTGACTGGGGCTGCTGCCTTTCTTTCTGAGATGCCCTGCCCAGAAAGGAGGAATCTAGAGAGGCAGTCTGGCTACAGTAGCTTTGCCTAGTTGCAGTAGGCCCCACCCAGTTCAAACTTCCCAGTGGCTTTGTTTACTCTGTGAGGGGAAAACTGCCTACTCAAGCCTCAATAATGGCAGACACCCCTCCACCCACCAAGCTCGAGCATCCCAGGTCAACTTCAGACTGCTATCTATGCTGGCGGCGAGAATTTCAAGACAGTGCATCTTAACTTGCTGGGCTCTGTGGTGGTGGGATCAACTGAGCAAGACCACCTGGCTCCCTGGCTTCAGCCCCCTTTCCAGGAGAGTGAACAGTTCTGTCTCTCTGGCATTCCAGGCACCACTGGGGTATGAAAAAAAACCACAGCTAGCTCGGTGTCTGCCCAAACAGCTGCCCAATTTTGTGCTTGAAACCCAGGGCCCTTGTGGTGTAGGCACCCGAGGGAATCTCCTGGTCTGTGGGTTGCACAGACCGTGGGAAAAGCATAGTATCTGGGCTGGATAGCACCATCCCTCACGGCAGGGTCCCTCATGGCTTCCCTTGGCTATGAGAGGGAGTTCCCTGACCCCTTGTGCTTCCCGGGTGAGATAACACCTTACCCTGCTTCTGCTCGCCCTCCGTGGGCTGCACCCACTGTCTAACCAGTCCCAATGAAATGAACCAGGTACCTCAGTTGAAAATGCAGAGATCACCCGCCTTCTGCATTGATCTCTCTGGGAGCTGCAGACCGGAGCCGTTCCTATTCAGCCATCTTGCCTGGGAGCCTGTTATTTTTTTAACTCAAACAAAACTCTCATCCAAATTACCTCATTTATTCCTCACAACGACACTGAGAAAAACTGAAGACAAACGAAATTTCACAGAAATGGTTTAACCACTGAATTGTAGAATTGAGATATGAAGCAAGTTTATCTTACATCCCAAACCATGCTCTCCCACTATACCATAGTCTAAAAAAAAAATTAAAAAAAAATTAAAAAAAAATTACAAAATCATATATGATACTAGAATTTAAAAACATATAATTTATGAAGTACTGTGTGTAGACTTCTGGTTATGTCTAGAATGGTTGATTAGTAAAATATTCTTTGAAAAGGTTTACTTCTTTAGAATTCTTTCAAATCTTTCATTTTGTCAAGGTGCATACATCACTAACACTCAGGATTTATATGAATAATAAATAATGTAACTATTGCTTAGAGATTGCTGAGGCATATGTGATATACTAGCCTGTCTAGGATTATTATCCTAAAGAGATATTCTCCTATCTAGCACCACCAAATCCTCCTTGATAGAAGCAGACCACTAAAAGCTAACTAGTATTTCCCCTTGGCCTAAGAAGGAAGCTACCTAAAGTGTTAATATTTTCAGCACACTCCTTTAACAATTACAGTCTATAATTACTCACCTGGGACTAAGCATATGTTGCGTAGAATTGTCATTTGTCTTTCTAGATTAAAAGCAAGTAAGCATCTTGCCTGAGTAATTGCTCGTGAAATGCTGGTTGACATGAAATCAAACTGCTTCTTCTTGTTAGGTCTGTGTGTGTCACTGTGACCTTCAACCTCTGCCTCTCCCTTCTTCTTCCATCATTAGTAATTCCCTGCTCCCAATCTCTAGATGAAGTCATATTTTAACAGATCTCATTACTTGCCAGAAGAATAAGTTTTGGAAAAGATAAAGCAGAAGTTTATTTTCTAGAGATTTAGATATAAAAAGAATCTTTTTGTCCGACTTTCTTTTGCTTTTAGTGTTGTTCTTTTTTATTCTTTTTATCTGGTATCTTTTATCCAGATTCTCAAGGTCACTTGAAAACAACAATAAAAAAAATCTTTTGAACGTTGAGAGTTTGTAATTTTGTAAGCCTGAGAATTACCTTACTCATTTTCTCCCTGTATTCTAATTCTAAAAGTGTAATTCAAGTACTATGACACATTTCATCATTAAAATACTATCCAGTTGTAGAAAAGAATGAGTAAGGTGCTCATTCATTATATGTGATGATATAAGCAATTTGTAAGATTTATTGTTAAATAAAAATTAAGGTATAAAACTATGTATAGAATATAATCTCCTGGATAAAAAATGGTAAAAGAGTTTGAATATGTACATATATAATTTTTTACTTCCATAGGTTTTGGGGCAACAGGTGGTGTTTGGTTGCATGAGTCAGTGCTTTAGTGGTGATTTGTGAGATTTTGGTGCACCCATCACCCAAACAGTATACACTGTACCCAATTTGTAGCCTTTCATCCCTCACCCACTTCCCACCATTTCTCCCAAGTCTCCGATGTCCATTGTATCATTCTTATGTCTTTGTATCCTCATAGCTTAGCTCCCAGTTATGAGTGAGAACACACGATGTTTAGTTTTCCATTCCTGAGTTACTTCACTTCGCATAATGGTCTCCAATTCCATCCAGGTTGCTGCAAGTGCCATTGTTTCATGTCTTTTTATGGCTGAATATGTACATATATACTTTTATATGCTTTGGCTATGAGTGCAAAATATATAAGAGAATAGTTTCTGAGTTGTCTTAGAAGGAAGACTTACTTTTAATTTATATATTGTTTTGCAACATTTGAAATGTTTATGATATTCTTAAGGTAATTTCAATCAAAAAAGTTGCAGTGACACAATTCAGTAATTCTCAAAATATTAATATATAGGATATTTGCATTCATTCATTCATCCAAGAATGATTTATTAAGCTTCCATAATGTGGCACCTCTTAAACTTCAGTTATTGTCGAGGAAAGGGGTGAGGAGTAGAGAAGTGATAGAGGAGGTGGTGTCAACATTCCTGAAACCTAAAAATGAGAACTCATTTGAGCAAGATAAATTCTAGGTTTCTCAAGTGCAAATTAGTGATCTCAACTGAAGGGTTTAATTGCCAGTGTAGGAAGGTAAGTGGTTGCCCTAGACAGCTTGTTTGAAGATTGGTGATGGCTGCTTGATTTGAATTAGCTGGAACATGAATTCATAGGGAACAAACTAGAGATTGTAGAAACAGCATTGTTAGAATCAGAGACCAGGAGGCGCATTTCAAAGGGTAGATGCAAGCATGAAATAATCAAAGTCCTAAAGTAAAGCCTGCACAAGAAGTCCTTTGGGATTATGGCTTTCACCCCTTATCCTTTCTCACTGGCCATCTTTATATCTCTTAACATGGCCATGTGCCAGCCACTTTCTGTCAAAAATAACTGCAAAAATATGCATGTCAGCATGCATATAAGCAACTTGACATACAAGTAAACCTTATAGACGGGCAATTAGTTTCAAGACAAAGAATTATAGTTACAGTTAGAACACCCTCTGGGAGAAAAGGACACTATATCTTACCCTAGATGTAATATATAGTGCTATGAAGTCTCACTGTAAATGTACCATTTAAAATGGTAACTATACCATTGTTTTTAGATAGAATAAAAAGTGTAATATATGCTCTCATTTAATCTTCATAAAAGATCTGTCTTCAGAAAGATCAAACAGCCGTAGGGACCATCAATTCAATTTTCATTGCACACATGCCTGCGTTTGCACATGGATTTATCAGTTTATAGTGTCATATTTATTCCCCTAACTTCCTGTCTCCCTACATGGTATAGCAGACTTGTTGGTAGCAGCCATTTTTGTTTCTAAATGAATGATTTTTTCCCTTTGAGATTTAGGTCTTTGTCACTTGGGCAGTTTTATAAAAATACAATTTTACTATAACTGACCTGTCAGACAAAAGACTAATTGTTGTAAATAAAAAGAATAGAAACTTCAAATAAGAAAAAAAATAGCTGGGCATGGTGGCTCATGCCTGTAGTCCCAGCTACTTGGAAAGCTGAGATGGGAGGATCACTTGAGCCTGGGAGGTTGAGACTACAGTCAGTTCAGATCGCGCCACTACACTCCAGCCTGGGCTATGGAGCAAGATCCTGTCTCAAAAAAGGAAAGGAAGGAAGAAAGAAAGGAAGGAGGGAAGGGAGGGGAGAGGGTTGAGGGGAGAATATAGAAACTTTTGGATTTTACCTACTGTAATCTACCAGGTTATTTCTTATTATTATTACTTAAAAAGAACAAATTGTTTCCTCTATTTTGGCACAGTTCTTGGAGAATTGGCTTTCTTCTTTTCCAAACTGAAAACAGTTAGCTATGATATCTGAAGTGCATAAAGGCCTGTCAGAGAAAAAAACTTGCTTTAGTTTTATTGTTGTTGCTCTTGTTGCTGCTCTTTGGCTTTGGCTTTTTCTGAATGTGCACAGTAACCTCTTTGTTTCTTTCTTGCTCAAAACAGCTTTCCCTACAAACCTTGAGATTTAGAGAGTCACCATTGTTCCAGGAATTTATGTTGCCCAAACTCAGCAAACAGACTTAACCAATCTGCGGCAATGCTCTAGGCTACAGGAAAGTGGTTATTTGACCGGATGTTATTACAGAGTGGGAAAACAGATTTGTCTTTATACTTTGGTTCTACAGTAACCTTTCATAAAGTAGTTATACCTAAGGAAATACAGAAATCTGATTGTCAGAAAACACTTTTGCTAAATGGAATCAAACGCTAGCTGGTATGTCTTTGCCCAGATTTGTAAAAACTCATGCTAATGGCTTCTCTTTACAGAAAAAAAAAAGTAAAATATCAAGGTGAAACTGCAGCCAATTTTAAATGTAGCTACCCTTATCACTAGACTCTATTAAGTTACTGCATTATTACCAGCACCAGTGATTTGTTTTTCTGCTCTAATCTGTACTTCCTCTGTTGGAAATAGGAGTCAGTAGTCACTCCTAGTGAGGTCTTGCACACTATAATTATTGCTAAGGCTTCTTTAGAATTTTTCTTGCAAAGTATTCACTCAGGTTTTGTATGAGAACAAAAACTAAGCTCTAGCACACCAGTATGATATGAGGTAATGTTCTTCTATGATTAATTCTCCTTAAGAAGAAATTATTGTCTTCTACTCTCTTGGTTTTTCTCATGAAGGATTTTAGTATTTTTACTTGGTTGGAATGATCATATTTTTTGCAATTACTTTTTGTGTTTCATTTTGATTTTTCCATCTTGTTCTTTTTAAAATAAGCATGCACAAAAGAAGCGCATACTGATAAAAAGTTCAAAAATACTGATGCATATAGAATAAAAATTATAAGTCCCCCTTAGTACTTCCACCAACCCATCATAACAATTTTATCCCATCCCCCAAAATAACCATTATTGTTGCAGAATATTCTCAATTTACATCACATACACCACATATTTTAATTTTCCACTTCTAACACATCAGATAACTGAGGTATTTAAATTTTTATCTAAAATAAAATACTGGCCTGAACTGAATGCTTGTACTTTATGGTATGAACTTAGTGGCATTTCTTTGTTTCTTAGGAATATTAACTTTTTATTACAAGATTATAACTTCTTAATAGCAGTACTTGTGAAATAAGTAAAATCTAGTTAAATATTGTGTTTTCATAGCTTTATTTTACTGTTGCTTATTTTATTTCTTCCCACATGAAATAGTTGTGTTTGATCTTTTCCTTTTGCCATCATTAGGAGTGTTAGACATGTATGAACCAAATCAGTTGACCCATAACTATAGTCATGATGGGAATTTTATCACCAAAGCTTCTTTCAGTTTACTTTCTTGATTATTCACAATATCTGTTTATAGTAACATTCAACTATCCTCATTCTGCGCATATCTTTTAGCTTATTTGAGTCACCAGTGCAGATGATCGAATCATCCAATATAAACGTTTACTAAAAGCAAAAGCAAGTTCATAAGCAAAATTGCATTTCAGCTAATTTGATATATGAATTAAGAGTTGGATTTATATATTGAATAGCAAAACCCACTGGTGATTAATAATTGTCAAATGAATTAGTAAGTTAGTTTTTTAATCAAACTCTTTATTTTTAGATAATTGTAGATCCACACAGAATTGTAAGAAATAAAAGAGATCCCATGCACCCTTTATTCAATTTCCCTCAATGGTAACATCTTGAAGAACTACAATACAATGTTACAACCCCAGTATTCGCATTGATACAGTCAAGATACATATTTCCATCACCACATAGATCCTTCCTGTTCCATTTCCTAGTCACAACCACTTCTGTTCCAGCACCACCACCTTTTTTACCTTGACTAATGTTGATCTGTTCTCCTTTTCCATAATTTTGTTATTTTAAGAATGTTCTGTAAATGGAATTATAAGTATATAACATTTTAGAATTGGCTTTCTTCATTCAGCTTGGGATCCATCTAAGTGGTTGAGTATATGTACAAATAGTTTGTTCATTTTTATTGCTGTATAGTATTCCATGATATAGACATACCAGATTGTTTAACTATTCACTCCTTGAAGAGTATGTGTGTTAGTTGTAATCTTTGCCTATTACAAATAAAGCTACTATGAATGTGAATATTCATACACAGGTTCTTGTATGAATATGAATTTTAATTTTTCTGAAATGAATGTCCAAAAGTGCAGTTAGGGGGAGCGTATGGTAGTTTCAGCTTCAGCTTTTTAAAACACCCCCAAACTGTTTTCCAGAGTACATGTACCATTTTACATTACAATACATAAGTGATCCAGTTTTTCCACACCCTTGGAGCATTTATTATTGTTACCATTCTTTGTATTTTAGCCATTCTGATAAGTGTATTGTAATATCTGATTAGGTTTTAGTTTGCATTTCCCTCATAGCTAATGACGTTGAACATCTTTTCATGTAGTCATTACCATCTGTATATTCTCTGAGGTTAAATGCCTCTTAAGACTTTTGCCCACTTTCTGCTTGGATTGTTTTTGTTTTGATTTTGCTATTGAGTTTTGAGAGTTATGAGTTTTGAGAGTTATTTGTACGTTCCAGATACTAGTCACTTGACACATATGTGATTTGCAAATATTTTCTCCACTTTGCTGCTCCTCTTTTTGTCATCTTATTAAGGTATTTACCTGACTAAAAGTTTTTAATATTGATGGAGTCAAAAGTATCAATGTTCATTTTATGGGTCATGATTTTGAAGTCAAGGCTAAGAACTCTTCTCCTCACCCTGGATTCTGAAGGATTCTTATATGTTTATTCCTAAAAGTTTTATATTTTTACATGTTACATTTAAGTCTGTGATCAATTCTTAGTTAATTTTTAGGGAAGTTTAACTAGAGTTTGTTTGTTTCTGCCTATTGATATCCAGTTGTTCCAGCAATTACTGAAAAGGTTAAAAGTCGATCCCTTCTTCATTGAACTGCTTTTTGTACCTTTTTCAAAAATCAGTTAGGCATATTTATGTGACCTTTTTCCGGGTTCTATATACATATACTCTTTCATTAATCTATAATATATGTCTATCTGCTAATTCCCCTGCAGTCTTGATTACTATAGCTATATAAAAATTCTTAAAATAAATCTTAAAATCTTAAAATTCCTCCCAATTACTTTATTTTTTACAAAAAAAGTTTTAGCTATGTACTTTCTTTGCTTTCCATATGAATTCTATAAAAGTGTTGTCTTTATCTACAAAAAGTCTTGCTCTTTTATAGGAATTTGTCGTATCTATATATTAATTTAACTAGAATTGGCATCTTTACTTTGTTGAGTTAATCCCTGAACACAGTATTTCTCTCCATTTATTTAGATCTTCATTGAATTAATCAGCGTTCTGTAGTTTTAGCATAGAAGTCCTAAACTTTTTTATATTTACGTGTATTTTGTTTTTAAAATAATAATAATAAATGATATTGTATTATTAATTTCAATATTCACATGTTTATTGTTAGTATAAAGAAATACAATAATTTTATATTTATAATTTATATATATTGCGTGACCTTCCCAAACTCATTCTTTAGTTTCAGAATGTTTTTTATAGGTTATTTGAAATTTTCCATGTCAGCTGCAAATTGGAAGAGTTTTATTCTTTTGCAACCAAGTCATCTGCAAATAGGCACAGTTTTATTTCACCTTTTCAATATTTATGTTTTTGTTTCCATTTCTTGCCTTATTGCATTGGCCATAACTTCCAATACTGAAAGTTATTCCAATATTGGATAAGACAGGTAAGAATGAACATCCTTGCTTTGTTCACAATCTTAAGGGAAAAGCATTCAGCCTTCACCAGTAAGCATAATGTTACCCATAGGTTTTTCAGAGATGCTTTTGTCAAATTGTGGAAGTCTTCCTCAATTCTACTCTTCAAATAATTTTAATCATGGATTAGTGCTGAATTTTCTTGACAATTTTCTGCAGCAAATCATATGATCCTATAATTTTTCTTCTTTTATGTATTAATATGATGAATTTCACTGATCAGTTTTATAATATTGAACCAGCCTTGCTTCTCTATAATAAGTCTTAATCAGTTATAGTATATACCTATTTTGTATATTAAAAATTATATTTCTTTATATATTGTTAAGAATTTTTATATCTATATGAGGTATATTGGTCTATAGTTTTTGGTCTTTGGATTTTATTTTGTTTTGTTTGTTTTGTTGATTTGTTTTGGTACTGTTTTTGTCTGATTTTGGTATCAATGGAATACTAGCCTCATAAAATGATTTAAGAAGTATTACCTCCTCTCCTATTTTCTGAAACTTATTCTGTAAGATTTGTTCTAATTTTTATTTAAAGAGTTGGTAGAATTCTCTAGTAAAAATTTGTGTTTGTATGTTTCTTTTTTGGAATATTTAGATTATAAATGTGATTTCCTTAATAATTATGAAGTTATACAAATTATTTCCTATTGAATGAGTTTTGATATTTAGTGCATTTCAATGAATTAGTTTGTATATTTCTTTTTTGGAATTTTAAAATTATAAATGTGATTTTCTTAATACTTATGGAGTTATACAAACTATTTCATATTGAATACATTTTGACATTTAGTGCATTTTAAGGAATTAGTTTCTTTTATCTAAGCTGTAATAATGTGTGTAGAAAATTGTTCATCATATTCCTTTCTTATTCTTTCAATATCCACAAGTTATGTATTAATAGTATCTCTTTCATTCCCGTTCTTAGTAATTTTGTGTCATCTCTCTTTTTTCTTTACCCTGCTAGAGTTTTGTCAATTTTATTGATCTTTACAATGAACTAGCTTTTTTGTTTCATTGTTAATCTGTTTTAATTTCTTAATGTCTTGTCCTGTCTTTATTATTACAGTCCTTCCATTTGTGCTGGATTTATTATGCTCTTGTTTTTCCTAGGATCTTAAAATAGGACCATAAGTTATTGATATGAGACTTTTTCTCTTTTCTAACATAAGCATTTAATGTTGTAAACTTCCATCTTGAGACCGCTTTAGCTGTTATTTCAGAAATTTTCATATTTCTCATTTTTATTGTTTGTTCTTTCAGTTGAATGTATTTTTTAAAGATTTTTGGATGTTTATTAATAGTTTTAAATTTAAATCCTTTTCAAATAAAGTGGAATGGTAAATCGTTTACAAAGATCAGAGGAAAATATAAAACTTAAGAATAGATGTTCTGCTTAGCCAACAGAACACTGCTTATCCAACACTATACTTACATTTGAGTAAATGTACACTCTTTAAAATGTACACTCTTTAAATGTATACTCTTTAAAAATCCAAAATCTATAGTGTGATTATGTGTTTCTTGGGAGGGTTTTGTTGTGTTTTTTTTTTGGTTTGAATAAGTCTTAGGTCCTTTTTTAATCTTTTATTTTAGGTTCAGAGGTACATGCATAAGTTTGTTAAAAAGGTAAACTCTGTGTCAAGGGGGTTTGGTGTACAGATAACTTTATTACATGGGTAACAAACTTGGTACCCAATAGGTACTTTTTCTGATACTGTCCTTCCTCCCACCCTCTACCCTCAAGTAGGCCCCAGTGTCTGTTTTTCTACTCCCAGTAGCCATGTGTTCTCATTGTTTATTACTCACTTATAAGTGAGAACATGCAGTATTTGGTTTTCTGATCCTGTGTTAGTTTGCTTAGGATGATGTCCTCCAACTCTATCTATGTTTAAGATTAATCTTAAAAATATTAAATAAAAATAATCTTAATATTATTCATGGCTGCATAGTATTCCATGATGTATTTGCACCACATTTTCTTCTCCTTCTCCTTCTCCTTCTCCTTCCATGGAGTCTCACTCTTGTCACCCAAGCTGGAGTGCAGTGATACAATCTCAGCTCACTGCAACCTCTGCCTCCAGGGTTCAAGTGATCCTCCTGCCTCAGCCTCCCAAGTAGCTGGGACTACAGGCATGTGCCACCATGCCCAGCTAATTTTTGTATTTTTAGTAGAGACAGAGTTTCTCCATGTTGGCCAAGCTGGTCTTGAACTCCTGACCTCAGGTGATCTGCCCACCTTGGCCTCCCAAAGTCCTGGGATTACAGGCATGAGCCACTGTGCCCTGGCCAACCACATTTTCTTTAACCAGTCTAACGTTCATGGGCATTTATGTTGATTCCATGTCTTTGCTGTTGTGAATAGCGCTGCGATGAACATATATATGCATGTGTCTTTGTGGTAGAACAATTTCTATTCCTTTGGGTATATACCTAATAATGGGATTGCTGGGAAAGCCATTGCTTTCTACAGTGGTTGAGCTAATTTACAATCTCACCAGCAGTGTGTAAGCATTCCCTTTTCTCCACTACCTCATCAGCATCTGTTATTTTTTTCTTTTTAGTAATAGCCATTCTTACTGGTATGAGATGGTATCTCTTTGTGGTTTTAATTTGCATGTCTCTAATGATTAGTGATGTTGAGCTTTTTTTCATGTGCTTGTTGGCCACATGTATGTCTTCTTTTGAGACATGTCTGTTCATGTCCTTTGCCCACTTCTTCAGGGGTTGTTTGATTTTTACTTGTAAATTTGTTTAAGTTCCTTGTAGATTCTGTATATTAGACCTTTGTTGGATGCATAGTTTGTAAATATTTTCTCCTATTCCGTAAGTTGTCTGTTTACTCTGTTGATAGTTTCTTTTGTTGTGCAGAAATTCTTTTATTTAATTAGATCCTATTTGTTAATTTTTTTCCTTGCAATTGCTTTGGAATCTTCATCATGAAATCTTGCCAAATCTTATGCCCACAATGGTATTTCCAAGCTTATCTCCCAGAGTTTTCATAGTTTTAAGTTTTACATTAAAGTCTTTAATCCATCTGGAGTTGATTTTTGTATGTAGTATAAGGTAAGGGTCCAGTTTCATTCTTCTGTGTTTGGCTAGCCAGTTATCCCAACACAATTTATTGAATGGGGAATCCTTTCTTCATTGCTTGTTTTTGTCAGCTTTGTCAAAGATCAGATGGTTGTAGGTGTGCAACCTTATTTCTGTACTCTCTATTCTGTTCCATTAGTCTATGTGTCTGTCTGTTTTTGTACCAGTAGCATGCTGCCTTGGTTACAGTAGCCCTCTAATATAGTTTGAAGTCTGGTAATGTGATGCCTCCAGCTTTGTTCTTTTTGCTTTGGATTGTCTTGGCTACTTGGACTTTTTTTTATTCCATATGTATTTTAAAATAGCTTTTCATGATTCTGTGAAGAATGTGTTTGGCAGTTTGATAGGAATATCACTGAATCTGTACATTGCTTTGGGCAGTATAGCTATTTTAATGATATTATTCTTCCTATCCACAAGCATGAAATATTTTTCCATTTGTTTGTATCATTTCTGGTTTCTTTGAGCAGTATTTTAAAATTATCATTATGGAGAAATTTCATCACCCTGGTTAGCTATATTCCTCAGTATTTTCTTCTTCTTGTGGCAACTGTGAATAGGATTGCATTCCTGATTTGGCTCTAGGCTTGGATGTTGTTGGTGTATAGGAGTGCTAGTGATTTTTGCGCGTTGATTTTGTATCCTGATGAAATTTTACTAAATTTGTTTATCAGATCAAGGAGCTTTTGGACCCAGACTATGGGGTTTTTTACATACCGAATTACGTCAACTGCAAAGAGGAATAATTTGACTTTGTCTCTTCCTATTTGGATGCCTTTTATTTCTTTCTCTTGACTGATTGTTATGGCCAGGCCTTCCAATACTATTATGAATAGGAGTGGTAAGAGAGGGCATCCTTACCTTATGCTGGTTTTCAAGAGAATGCTTCTAGCTTTTGCCCCTTCAGTGTAATGTGGGCCATAGGTTTGTCATAGATGGCTCTTATTATTTTGAAGTATGATTCTTTCATGCCAAGTTTATAGAGGGTTTTTAACATGAAGGGATGTTGAATTTTATCAAAAGTCTTTTCTGCATCTATTGAGATAATCCTATGGTTTCTGTTTTTAGTTTTGTTGGTGTGCTGAATCACATTTATGGATTTGCATGTGTTGAACCAACCTTATCTACCAGTCATAAACTCTATTTGATCATGTTGGATTAGCTTTTTAATATGCTGCTGGATTTGGTTTGCTAGTATTTTGCTGACTTTTACATCTATGTTCATCAAGGTTACTGGCTGAACGTTTTCTTTTTTTCTTATTTCTCTGCCAGCTTTTGGTTATCATGATGCTGCTCGTCTCATAGAAGGAGTTTGGGAGGAATCTCTCCTCAATTTTTTGGAATAATTTCAGCAGGAATGGTGCCAGCTGTTTTTTATACATCTGGTAGAATTCAGGTATAAATTCATCTGGTCCTGGGCTTTTCTGGTTGGTAGGCTTTTTACTACTACTTCAATGTTGGAACTCATTATTGGTCTCTCACTTTCTTCCTGGTTCAGCCTTGGGCAATTGTATATGTCCAGGAATTCATCCATTTCTCCTGGATTTTCTAGTTTGTGTTCACAGAGGTGTTCATAGTAGTAGTCTTTGATGGTTTTTTGTACTTCTGTGGGGTCAGTGATAACACTGCCTTTGTTATTTCTAATTGTGTTTATTTAGACCTTCTCTCTTTTTTGCTTTACTAATCTAACTAGTGTTTTATCTATCTTATTAATTTTTTCAAAAACCAACTTCTGGATTCATTTATCTTTGATATAGTTTTTTGTGTCTCAGTTTCATTCATTTCAGCTCTGATTTTGGTTATTTCTTGTCTTCTGATAGCCTTGGGTTTGGTTTGCTCTTGCTTCTCTAGTTCTTCTTCTTGTAATGTTTGGTTAATTTGAGGTCTTTCTAACTTTTTAATGTGGGCATTAGTGTTATAAACTTCCCTCTTAACACTTTCTTAGTTGTGTCCCAGAGAGTCTGGTATATTATATCTTTGTTCTTGTCAGTTTCTAATGAATATCTTGATTTCTGCCTTAATTTTATTATTTACCCAAAAGTCATTCCGGAGCATTCAGGAGCAGTTTGTTTAATTTCCATGTAATATTACAGTTTTGAGTTATTTTATTAATATTTATTTTTCTTCCTCTGTCTCTCTCTCTATATATATATACCAGATATTTATATCTAGATATTTATATAGAGATATATTTATATATAATATATATAAATCTCTATATAAATCTCTCTCTCTATATATTTTTATGTATATATATAGAGAGAGATTTTTTATATATGTATATTTGAAACAGAGTTTCACTCTGTTGCCCAGGCTGGAGTGCAGTGGCACAACCTTGGCTTACTGCAACCTCCACCTCCTGGGTTCAAGTGATTCTCGTACCTCAGCCTCCTGAGTAGCTGGGACTACAGGTGTGTGCCACCACACCCAGCTAATTTTTGTATTTTTAGTAGACACGGGGTTTCATCATCATGTTGCCGAAGCTGATCTCAAACTCCTGGCCTCAATTGATCTGCCTGCCTCAGTCTCCCAAAGTGATGAGGTTACAGGCACGAACCACCATGCCTGGCCCTTGATTTCTATTTTTAATGTGCTGTGGTCCAAGAGTTTGGTTGGTATGATTTTGGTTCTTTTTTTTAATTTGCTGAGCATTGTTTTATGTCCAATTGTGTGGTTGATTTTGGAGTATGTGCCATGTGGTGATGAGAAGAATGTATATTCTGTTGTTTTTATGTGGAGAGTTCTGTAATGTAGAGAGTTCTATAAATATCTAGTACATTCATTTGGTCAAATGCTGAGTTCAAGTCCTGAGTATCTTTGTTAATTTTCCGCCTTGATGATTTGTCCAATATTGTCAGTGGCGTGTTAAAGTCTCTCCCTATAATTGTGTGGGAATCTAAATCTCTTATAGGTCTCTAAGGACTTGCTTTATGAATCTGAGTGCTCCTGTGTTGCATACACATCTATTTAAGATAGTGAGTTCTTCTTGTTGAATTGAACTCTCTACCATTATATAATGCCCTAATTTATCTTTCTTGATCTCTGTTGGTTCAATCTGGTTTTTCTGAAATTAGGATTGTAACCCCTGCTTTTTTGTTTTCCATTTGCTTGGTAGATTTTTCTCCATCCCTTCATTTTGAGCCTATGGATGTCATTGCATGTGAGTGGGTCTCTTGAAGATAGCATACCATCTGGCCCTGCTTCTTTATCCATCTTTCCACTCTGTGCTTTTTAATTGGGGCATTTAAACTGTTTTCATTTAAGGTTAGTATTGACATGTGTGATTTGATCCTGTCATGTTGTTAGCTGGTTATTATGCAGACTTGTTTGTGTGGTTATTTTATAGTATCACTGATGTGTGTACGTAAGTGTGTTTTTGTAGTGTCTGGTAACAGTCTTTACTTTCCATAGTTAGTGATTCTTTCAGGACCTCTTATTAGGCAGTTCTGGTGCTAAGAAATTCCCAACAGCATTTGCTTATCTGAAAAGGATCTTATTTCTCCTTCACTTATGAAGCTTCGTTTGGCTGGGTATGAATTCTTGATTGGAATTTTTTTTCTTTAAGAATGCTGAATATAGGCCCCCAAATTCATCTAGCTTGTAAGGTTTCCGCTTTTAGCCTGATTTGTTTCCCTTTGTAGGTTATCTGCCTCTTCTTTCTAGCTGCCTTTAACATTTTATCTTTCATTTCAATCTTGAAGAATTTCATGATTAAGTGCCTGGGGAATGGTTTTCTTCTGCAACATCTTGCAGGGGGTTTCTGCATTTCCTTGATTTGAATGTTGACCTCTCTAGTAAGCTTGGGGAAGTTTTCATTGTTAATATCCTGAGATACGTTTCGCAAGTTGCTTGTTTTCTTTCTTTCTCTTTCAGAGACGCCAATGCGTCATAGATGTGGTCTCTTTACATAATCTCATATTTCTCTGAGGTTTTGTTTATTCTTTTTTATTTATTTTTGTCTGACTTGAGTTATTTCAGAAAGTCAGTTTTCAAGCTCTGAGATTCTTTCCTCAGATTGGTCTATTCTGCTGTTACTATTTGTGGTTCCATTATGCAATTCTTTTTTTTATTATTATTATACTTTAAGTTTTAGGGTACATGTGCACAATGTGCAGGTTAGTTACATATGTATACATGTGCCATGCTGGTGTGCTGCACCCATTAACTGGTCATCTAGCATTAGGTATATCTCCTAAAGCTATCCCTCCCCCTTCCCCCCACCCCACAACAGTCCCCAAAGTGTGATGTTCCCCTTCCCGTGTCCATGTGTTCTCATTGTTCAGTTCCCATCTATGAGTGAGAACATGCGGTGTTTGGTTTTTTGTCCTTGCGATAGTTTACTGAGAATGATGATTTCCACTCTCATCCATGTCCCTACAAAGGACATGAACTCATCCTTTTTTATGGCTGCATAATATTCCATGGTGTATATGTGCCACATTTTCTTACTCAGTCTATCATTGTTGGACATTTGGGTTGGTTCCAAGTCTTTGCTATTGTGAATAGTGCCACAATAAACATACGTGTGTGTGTGTCTTTATAGCAGCATGATTTATAGTCCTTTGGGTATATACCCAGTAATGGGATGTCTGGGTCAAATGGTATTTCTAGTTCTAGATCCCTGAGGAATCGCCACACTGACTTCCACAATGGTTGAACTAGTTTACAGTCCCACCAACAGTGTAAAAGTGTTCCTATTTCTCCACATCCTCTCCAGCACCTGTTGTTTCCTGACTTTTTAAAGATTGCCATTCTAACTGGTGTGAGATGGTATCTCACTGTGGTTTTGCAATTCTTATAGTGTGTTTTTCAGCTCTATCAGATCCGTTTGGTTCTTTTGTATAATTGCTATTTTGCCTATCAGCTCCTGTATCATTTTGCTGTGATTCTTAGCTACCTTGGATTGGGTTTTGATGAATGTCCTTCTGAATCTCAATGATTTTTATTCCTATCCATATTCTGAATTCTATTTCTGTCATTTCAACCCATTTAAGAATGCTTGCTGGGGAACTAATGCATTCATTTAGAGGAAAGAAGGCACTCTGGCTTTTTGAGCTGCCAGAGTCCTTGTGCTTTCTTTCTCATTTGTGTGGGCTGATATTCCTTCAGTCTTTGAAGTTGCCGTCCTTTGGATGAATTGTTTGGCTTTTTTCTTCTTTGATGCTGTTGGGGGTTTGATTACAGTATAAGGTGAATTCAGTTGACTGGCTTCAATTCTAGTCTACTCATGGGTCTTGGAGGGGCCTCTTCTGATTATTGTCTCTGTTCTCACATTGCTTTTTTTGGATGCTGCTGACCATGGGGTTTCCTCAGGTAGGGACCACAGTTGGCAGTCAAGCTGCATCCTTGCCAGGTTGGCCCTAATCTGATTTCCATGTGCTTCCTGGGGAAACACAGGGCTGTGCCTGCCCACAGAGTTCAGACAGAAGCAGAACTACTGGGTTGGAAGCTCTAGCAGATGTTCAATATACTTTTTAAAATTTTCTTTGAGACTTCCTTTTTGATCCATGGATTGTTTAGAAGTGTATTGTTTAAGTTTCCAAGAGTTTGATGATTTTCATGTTATCTTCCTGTTTTTGATCTCTAGATTGATTCCACTTTGGTCAGAAAAACACACTATGATTGATTTTAATTATTTTAAATTTGTTGAGGTTTGTTTTATGGCCTAGAATATGGTCTATCTTGGTATACATTCCAAGGACACTTGAAAAGAATGTTTATTTTGCCTTTCTTGGGTGAGATGTTCTGTAAATATTAATTAAGTGCTGTTGATTTATGGTACTGATGATTTTTTCTATATCATTAATAGATTTCAATCAACTTATTCTATTAAATGTTGAGAGAGAGGTGTTAAAAATCTTGAAGTATAATGGTGAGTTTGTCTATTTCTCTATTCAGTTCTATCGGTTGTTGCTTTACATATTTTGTAGCTCTGTTGATTCATACATACAGAATTAGGATTGAAATGCCTTTTGATCGATTAACCATTTTTATAATTGGCAATGTTCCTTTCTGTCTCTGGTAAATTTATATGGTCTAAAGTCTATTTCATCTGATATTAATATAGGTACTCCTACTTTCTTTTGATAAAAGTTTATATCCTGTGTCTTTTTTCGACTTATTCTTTCAACCTACCTATGTTATTATGTTTGCAGTCAGTCAAAGTAAATAGCATCCAGTTATGTTGTCAACTTTTCCACATTCCCTTACTCTTTCATTGGTGTGATTAGATCATTTACATTTTGTGTGATTATTGATATGTTAGACTTTGTGTTTGAATTTTGTTATTTTTTATGTTTGTTCTGTCTTTCATCTTGTATTAGTTAATGTAATGTTTAACTAAATTATGTAATTACATTTAAAAAGATAAGTGACATATATAGTTTAGAAAAAAATACTATCCTCCCAGAGGGAGTACAATTTGATTTCTGTCAGCAGAAGAGTTAGATGTACTAGAGAACAGCCAAATAACTGTGAAGATTCACTGTACCATAGCTATAAGTAAGCATGTTTTATAGAAGGCTTACGAGTATTAATCTAAGAAAATGGATAAGTGTCCTTTGCTTATGAGAAATATGGTTTCATGTACAACAAAAATATATGATTACCTTACCAAAATAATAATAGTTCTATCTGTTTCCATCCTGGGCTGTGAAATATGTAGAGTTAGAAAATGCCTCTTGATATGATTTGGGTTGGAATTGAGAAGAACTGAACAATAGTAAGAGGCATAAAATTTATTACTTGGTTAATAGAATTGTAATCTGATGTTAGTGATCTTTGGAAATGGCAGATAACTAAATGCTTTGTTTTGTGGAGTAATTTTGCCTGTTTCTTGGACATGTCCTACTTCCTCATTCCCTAGTATTGGCGTTAAAATCTCTAGCTGGTCACTTTTGACTCCTCTGCTCCACCTCCCCACTCCCCGCCATACACATACAGTGCACACACACACAATGTATCAGCTTCTTTTTTCTCTTAGTCAACTTAATCTTTGCAGAAATCCATTTAAAGGTGACTCAAATGCGACCTTTGTTTAGTCTACAAGAAAAAAAATCATCCATTCACATTTTCCCATCAGGGAGTGACTGTAAAACCTCTTGTTTTCAGATTTCTTCAAGCAAGCCTCAGTCACCAGTTCCCTGTGTCTTGCAAATCCAAGGAGATAATGTCAGCTTCTCCAAAAAATCTCACTAACCTTTGTGATGTTTGCCTTAACATCACATGTGACTGGGGACTTCTGCAGTCTAATCTACACCCAGCTGAGCTGATTCTACTGTAGACTTTCTCATACAGCTTGAGATGATGAGAGAAACATCTAGCTCATCCTCATGTATGTGGGTTTGCAATACAGTACACCAGCAAACCTCTCCAAGGAATTTCTGCCTTTTAAAATTTTATCATTAAGATGTTGAATTTTTTTCCCATTTTACTCTAGGTTTGTCATGAGCTAACATTTGGAAATTATTTTTTGTGTTACTCTTTATTAAGTTTTGCAATAAATGACCTGGCACTTTACTTTCCGGTAAGTTGTCTCTTATACCCTTTGTTCTCAGCTTTGAGATCTGACCAAAATTCTGAGACAACAGAAAAACCACACTTGACATTCTATTCCATGTATACATAAAATTTAGAAATCAATATCTGGCTTTGGCATACATATTTGGAAGTTTCTATGTTTTTTCCCCCACCAAAAATTAATGTTGAAATTTAATCCCCAATGCAATAGTCTTGAGAGGTGTGGCCTTTTGAGAGGTGTTTAGGTCATAAGGCCACCACCTTTATGAATCAATTAATTATAAAAGGGCTTGATGGTCTGGGTGCAGTGGCTCACGCCTGTAATCCCTGCACTTTGCGAGGCCGTGATGGGCAGATTGCCTGAGGTCAGGAGTTTGAGACCAGTCTGGCCAACATGGTGAAACCCGATCTCTACTAAAAATACAAAAAAATTAGCCAGGCGTGGTGGCATACGCCTGTAATCCCAGCTGCTCCAGAGGCTGAGGCAGGGGAATTGCTTGAACCAGGGAGCTGGAGGTTGCAGTGAGCCAAGATCGGGCCACCGCACTCCAGCCTGGGCGACACAGCAAGACTCTGTCTCGATAAAATAAAATAAAATAAAATAAAATAAAATAAAATAAAATAAAATAAAATAGCTTGATGGAAGAAGATTACTTCCTTTTTGCCCTTGCGCCTTTTACCGTTCGAGTACACAGCATTCCTCCCTTCCCTCTGGAGGATGCAGCATTCAGAACACCATATTGGACAGAGACCAGACCATCATCAGATAATGCACCTGCTAGCACCTAGATCTTGGACTCCCCGGCATTCAGAACTGTGGTAAATAAATTTCTGATCTTTATAAATTACCTAGTTTCAGATAGCCTATTACGGCACCACAAACAAACAAAGACAGAGGTTATGAATGTATAGATGGAAGTCATGAAGGTGAAATAACCCACAAATTATGTATCCATACTGAAAAAGGACTAAGACCAAGAAATAAGAAGAAAGCTAAATAATTGCCAGAGAGACAGGAGGAAAAGCAGGAGAGTGCAGTGTCATGGAAGCCCAGGAAAGGAGATAAATTCAAGAGGAAGAAGAGCCTAGAGTGTTAAATGAGTTGGAAACTGAGATATGTTCATTGATTTAAGCAGCAAGGAAGGTGTTGATGAGATTGTCCCCGTGGCAAGATCAATGTCAGAGATTCAGTGGAGGCAAAAAGTGGATTGGGATGGGTTGAAGAGCAAGTGAGAAGTAATGAAGTGGAGACAGTGGTAGTAGATGATTATTTCAAGAGTTTATGAAAAGAAGAAAAATAGGAAGCTCACGAAAGGAAACTAGATTTTTTCCCCTTCTTTTTCACATTAGATAAACATTGGCATCTTGGAAGGTGTTTTGAGGAGACTCCAGAAACTTAGAAGAATTATAAAAGTATTTGAAATATAATTTTTTAAAGGATACAGTATCTCTCAGACAAATACAAATGTAAAGTCAAAGATTTTATTTAACTCGTTAATTAATGAGAGAGCAAAGGTAAAATACTATAGGGGTCTCCATGAAACAGAGCAAATATGTGACTTATTTGCAAGTTCAACACTTAAATACAATCTCATGGCTCACCAGCCTCTGAGAACCATTGCACTTGAACTAGCCTATAAGTGATTGTACCAGACTCTCAGTGCTTGAAGGACAAGCTCTTGATTGTGCTTCTTTGTCAAATTTCAGTAGTTGACAAAGTTTCTGGCATTTGATAGGTGCCCAATGTTTGTTAAATAAACAAGTAGATTATGCATGATGCCCACAATTGCTCTAAAGACTACAGAGATAATTACAATTCAAAGCACACAGTTTCAGAATTCAGAAGATTGTAAAATTCTTAATATGGTACATGCTAAAGTTCAGCAGTTTATTTATAGGAAGATTTTGTTTCTGCTTTTCTCCCTCATTGCTGCAAATGTTAAACATCAGTCTGTCATGCATGCAAAGTGCTGATCTAATTGGCCTATAAGAGCACTCCTTCTCCCTTTCAGCATCATAAAGATGTTATATGGATAATCCACTTAGAGGCTTCCCTTCTGTGCTACTATATTAAAAATAGCTGTTGTGTTGTTCTTGGGGATTTATAAAATGAGTTTCTAAAAGAGAAATCATAGAGCGCTAGTACTTCCACTTTGCACCAAGCCTTTAAACGATTTTACCTCCGTCACGGTGGGGCTGGTTTCCATTGATGTTTTTTGACCAGCTGTAGTCCAGTAGTGCAGAAACGAGGATTCTCTCAGGGAAAGCTTTAGAAAATACGAGGCCCTTTCTGCACTTCTTTACTGCCACTCCATGAACTTTGTCTCTTGGGGGCTGTATCTGGCTTCCTAGAGCTCTGCACTATTTCTAGCAGACAGCATAGTCGCCATGGAGGAAAGGACTTGAATAAGCTTTCTTTGGCATCTGTTCCTCCATGGCACTGAGTGTTATATCATCTAGAAAGAGCAAATAACTGTATTATAGCATGCAGTGTCTTCACAAATCTCCATATTTCCACCTTGTGATTCACAATCCTAGCTTTGAATGATAGCACAGTCTCCAAGGCATTTAAGACATCGTAAGGGTATTGTTTTAAATAATTATTCGAATGATCACTATGGTATGTCTGAATTATCATTACCTCCTATCTGTGGTCAAGGAAAAGAGTTACAGGGAGTATATGCTATATCCAAGTTCCCATAGCTCATGAGAGATGAAAGAAGATAAAGACTCATCTTTTTTGGATAATTAGAAGGCTCTGTCTTATATAAAGCGTGGACAGCCAGAAGCTTCATGAGATCATGTATCTCAGGCTCTTATCTTAACAAAATCTCAGCATGACATAATTAGCTCATGAATATAAATATTCAGACCCTATTAGGTTCATATTTTGCCCAAATATTTAATTTTGTATATAAAAGAGAGTTCCCAACCAGAAATCAAATACACTACTCGAGAAATCTCTGAAGTCTCTCTTTGAATGTAGAAAACCATTCCTGTCTTATGATTTCATTGATTATTACAATTATATGTTGAAATATCTTTGGGGTAGCTACCATGTATTGAATGTCTACTCTACAAAATGTGGTATTTCATATTCATTCAAAAGTGAGTGATATTATTGTGATTTTACAGATGAAGAAATGGAAGCCTACAGAGATGAAATAACTGTGTTGTGTTCACTAAGCTGGGAAGTGTTTGAAGTTGGGATATAAACATAGGTCTGATATCTTCCAACCATTTTCCACCTTGTCATTGCAACTCAACATAACTATGTGGATATCCTATCTAAGCAGAACTTTATGCTCCTGAAATAGACAGAAGCCATTCCATCTAAGCATTATTAAATCACTATTCACACAAATATACATATTTTTCTCTTTATTCTTTTGCACATTTTAGTATGATCGTTTGAATACAGTAATTCATTTTTAGATCATTCATGCCACTCTAGAGGATATCATTGGGTTATTTCATTTTCAAAAGGTCAAAGAAAATGAAATAAAAAATGGATGTGAAAACAGAGAAAGAAAACACTTTGCATGCTAACACCTAAATCTTAAATGGCACGTCAGTTTTAAAATATGTTAAAGCAGATTAGATTTAAAAGGTTTAGCCATTAGAGATTTTTCCATTGCCAGTAATGTGGTCAATTGAAACTAGTTAAAATATTTTAATAGAAGTTTTCTTTTCATTATAATTCTTTTAAGAGTGGATATAGTCTCCAACTAATAAAGATAATCCTAAAATACTTTAGGGCCCTATTTAAGAAAATGAGAGTGACTGCGGCAAGTTGCAGAATTTTATTCTTGACTGAGAAGGGAAAGAAGGCAGTATTTCTGCTTTATATGGAAAATTAACTGCCTAAATGTGAAGCCAGAATGAAAATAAGGTTACACAGCATTAAAATCTGCATCTCATGGGGAATTTATGTTCAGTACTCCTTCAGCGTAAAATTCCACAGGTTTTCTTAGGCACACAGCAAGTCATATGAACGTGACCTCTAAAGAGGTGAGAAGCAAAGAGACATAATGATATACTCTGCCTCTCAAAGCTCAAATAGCAGCATGTTGTATTTTTTGCACATGGGAGAACCTCAGTGAATTATGAAACATACCATTTTCAATTTCACAGCATTCTTTCTGTTAGGACAGTAGCAAATACCAAAATAATCATGTCCATGCCTAGCTTCTAAATGAGATCAGTTAATCTAAAGAAATTAGGTAACATGCCCACAATCCCTGAATCAGCTCTTCCCCTCCCTGAACAGTCTTTCTTCAGAGAATATTAAATAATTGTACACATGCACATAGGCAAGAATCTTTCTTTAAAATGTTGGACATACGAGTTTTAACATTGGACCCAACCAAAAATGGGGTAAGAACCAGGACTAGAATTGTAGCTTTTCTGTGCCTATTTACTTCCAGCTGTAAAATGAGAGCACAGTACAAGATTTTTCACCCAAAAGGTGCATATATGCCAAATTGTTTTCTATTCATTTGCACATTCTAGGAGAAGCAAGGATGAAAAGGCTTATTCTGCAGAGAAATAACAGGCATCAGAAATGTTGAAGCCCTACCCATGGTGAATGGTGACGTCGTTTCCAGCACCAGAATGAAAAATGTGTAGCAGTGTTCACTTGGATGTCCAGGCAATCTGGCCTCTCTGACAGGATACTGTCTCTAGATAGTATCAGCACAGGAAGCTGATTCTTCCTTCTGAAAGACCCAAGGTCCCTTAACTGAGCATTTCTGAAGACTGCAGGCACATGGCTGCCTACTTAGTGTACTTGTGAGCAAAAGGCCCCTTTTTGAGAAAATATTCTGTTATCAAATTCATAACACATCTATCAAATTGATAATACAGTATGGATCAATAGGTACATCACATTGAACAATCTACAGAAATTCAAGTGACTGTCTTTTATTTTGAGAACATGTCTTACTGCATGTGTTTTCCATTCCTAGTTTGCATTTACAGTTTTTTTATTTGGGTCTTCATGCCAGGGACTTCCATGGGACTGTGTGCCTTAATTTGTGCTTGCTTGTCAAGGGCCAGATAGGGCTTGCATTTGTTTCACCTGAGAACCTAAAAATCTGTCAGATGTTAATAAAATTGACTGGAATGCAGGCAGAATTGTGGTAGGAACATATCTGAAAAATTCAGCATTTCAAGAATGTATCTCATTTTGATCGGGGATTATAAAATAGCTGTGAAAATGTTTGCCTGTGGCTTGTCTCAGGATCTAAGGTCTGCACACCTTGTACCACATGTGAGCTTTCCACTCACTGAGAGTAAACATAGTGAGGCAAATCTGCATTCAAAACTATGAGTACACAACTATTTTGACAGTTGTTCTGTTTAATTCATCCATTGGGGGTGGTGCAGAGTCAGTGACCGTTATTAAGAAGTTCTTGTCTGGCTGTAGACACACAACTAGCTATTTTTAAAGCTACGAAGAAACTTACTTTAATAGATATATAAATGCCCAGTTATAATCTTATGCCTGTAAGGATAAATGTAGAGTACTGGTTTGCTAGGGGTGCCGTAACAAAATGCCACAGATTGAGTAGCTTAAACCAGAGAAGAGAAAAAAACTTTTTTTTGTTTTGTTTTGTTTTGTTTTGCAGTTTTAGAGGTTAGAAGTCAAGATCAAGTTGCTTGCAGGGTTTGTTTTCTCTGAGAGCCATAAGTGAAGAAGCTATTCCAGGCCTCTCTCCGTGGCTTGCAGATGGCCTCCCTCTTGCTGCCTCTTCACATGCTCATTCCTCTATGAACATGCACCCCTGCTGTCTCTTTATGGGTCCAAATTTCTTCTGATAAGGAGGACCAGTCAGACTGCTTTCTTTTTATGAGGAAACTAGTCAGACTGGCCATCCTAATGGCCTCATTTTAACTGAATTATATCTTTAAGGGCCCTGTCTCCAAATACAAGCATATTCTCAGGTACTGGGGATTAGAATTTTAGGGGTACACAATTCAACCCATAACAGTATTCAATGAAATCAATTCACTAAAGTGGATGGATGTGCTGAGTGCACAGGAATAAAACAGGAAATGTAGAACTCAGGCATCAAGCGCCTGTAGGAGTGACAAGGATGGTGTTGATTTTGTGGCTGTGCAGTTAATCAGGATTGATAAAATCATAAATAATTTGATGCATTCTCTTCCCTGGAAATGGTAGCTTCTGCTTTGTTATTTAATATGTAAACCCATTCTGGAAGGAGTAATAGAAATATCATGAGAACAGATGATCCATTAAAAAAATTGTTTCATAGTATTCTAGAAAAAAAGTCTCCTTGCTTACAGACCGTAATTTTAGGACTGATTTTGTTTCTCTCACGTATCATGGGTTTTTAGAAAAGTTTAGATGCTGAGTTCCATCTAAACAAACATTTTTAAAGTTTTGGCAATAAAGTTTTAGTTCATTATACATAGAGATATAAATTATGTTTTTCCTCCTCTCCCCAGAGGAGTTAGCCTATTTTCTTTATGTCTTTCACTCTAGAAGAAGTGTCTTCACCATATTTGGACATTTCTCAGTTGCGCTTTCTTCTGAATCCTTTATGTGAATATAAAATTCACAAAATATTCAAATCCATTTGACAAACATTTAGTAAGTACCTGCAATGTTCAAAGAAAGCAGTATGTTAGACTCAGTGTGGCTACAAAGGTGGATAAAGCATGGTCTTAATGAGCTGACAGTGCAGTGGGGGAAACAAGATGTGTCAAAAGTGACTAGAGTACGAAGCAGAATGGTAAAGGTGTAAATGCTAGAGGAGCTCTGACATGGAGTGATTGTTCTTAGCTGGGGCATTTGGGGAAAGCTTCCTAAACCAGGTGTCACTTCGACCCCATGTGAAAGCAGTTGGAATTTCTATAGAAAATGGTGGCAAAGCGGGGCATTCAGAGGAGGTTTCTTTAGACAAACGTGTAAACACTGGTGGAGAAGCAGAAAATGCATTCATTAAATGCTGCTGTCCCTTTGGGAATAGCCAGAAGGATGGCCCAGATCAGACTGGTGGAACCCACAGGAGCCACCAGTCTAAAGGTAAAAGGTTCTAAGTGCCAAGTTACTGAAAAGTCACTGGGAAACCAGGAAGCCCAGTTAACTCAGCTGCTAAACCTTACTTCTCAATACTTCATCAAGCCTTGTTAAATGAGGGGGCAAGCCACATTGTTTCTCTTGACCCTTCTAAAGTGATGTGTGCAGTAGAATGTGATGATGTTGTGACGATCATTATAATTTCTCTATCTAGTTATTGTATTTGTCTATTCTTCTTGCTGCTGTTCCTGGATACTATGTCAATATAAAATGTCATGAGACTTTTAAGAGTCAGCTCATCATTTATCAAGTACCTGCCATGTAAAAGGCACAATGCTACAAGAGTTTTAGAGAAGAATAGGATACGTAGCTGTAAAGGAGTTGGTATTTTACCTCTCATGCCATTCTAGCCTACATTATTTCAGTTTCTGGAATTGATAAATAAATTACAGTAGGGAAACAGGATGATGCAGAAGTTAAAAATACCAGCTTAGCATCAGACTGAAATAGTCCACCACTGTCTTAAGTGTGTGGCCTTGGGCAAGTTACTTAAGCTCTCTAACATTAGTTTCTTCACTGTAAAATAGAGGTAGCTACCTCATTAGTATTGTTAAATCTGTTTAATAAAAAGGATGTATTTAGAGCAGAGCACTTTGCACAAAGTAATATTCAAGGAATGTTGGCCTTTATGATTTCTTTAAGGACTACATTTCCTCATTTTTCGTATTTCTGAGTAGGAAAGTTAGAGTCAAAGAAGCTGAACAATAGGAAATATGGTGAGTAAAATATTTTCTGGTTCTTTATTGTTGCATAACAAACTACCTCCAAAATTTGGTTATTTAATGCAGTTTGTTTTAATCACTCATGGTTCTATGGGTTGACTTAACTCAGCTGGAGAGCCTTACTTGGAATATCTCATGATGTTTTCATCTAACGTGGGCCAGGGTTATAGTTATATGAAGTTACAGGACTGAACATCCATGATAGGACTGAACATCCAATATCCTCCAGGCAGCTGATGCTTCTGTTGCCTGGGACATCAGTTGGGGCCACAGAATGGAGCACCTACAAATGATCTCTCCAAGTGATGTGAGCTTCTCAATACGTGGTGATGGCTTCTGAGAGGGAGCCTCCCAAAAATGAGAGTCCTGAGAGACAGGACACCCTGGCAGAAGCTGCAAGGCTTCTTTCTTCACTCACATATCTAGGTAGCTTGTGCTCCTTGTGCGCTCTCTCTCTCTCTCTCTCTCTCACACTCTCACTCTCTCTTTCTCTGCCACCTTGTTTTTTGAGGCCACGGTAGTCTCAGATATAATCACACTTCTAACATGGTAGCTGGCTTCCAAGAGGCAGGAAGCAAAACCTGCCATGCCAGTGAAGGGCTAAGCCAAGACTGGAAAGGTTGGTCAAGTGCCATTTCTGCTGTGCTCCCTCAGAAAAGTTCCCACGAGATGAATGTTGATTCATGGAGGAGAAATAGCCTCACTTCTTGATGGAGGAGTGGAAGGTACATTACACAGGAGCATACAGATGAGGAAACTGTCCTATGAAAGTACTGTAAAAATTGGTGGGGAGGCATGATTTGTCCTTATTTTTCTGATGAAAAGCCTAAGGCTAAGGATGTTATGAGGTAGCCAAAGTAACTTCTATTAAATGGAAGAGCTCCACATTAAACTCTGGCTCCAAATTAGATCTTCTGGGAAAACTGCCCTCTGCCTCTCCTCCAATAACTTGTCATTTGCTTTCTTTGGAGATGGGAAAAACCATGGGGGCTGACAGCAGTGATCTTCTCCCAACTCCCATCCATCTACATATCCACACCTACACCCTCATCTCCTGTGCCTGTGCCTTTGATCACATGTCCTGCTGTGAACCTCACTGTCAGCATCATAAAATGAGAATAGCACCTTCCCATAGGGTTGAAATGAAAATTCCATGAGTATAATACAACTAAAGTGCTTAACACCATGCCTGATATGTAATGAGCGTTCAATACCTCCTACCTATTATTGCTGTTATTATTATTACTATTCAAATTTTTTAGGATAGGAATTTACATTGCCATCTCTTTCTCTTCATTATTAGTCTTTCCTAAGCCAACTCTCTTCTATAGGAATGGTTTTTACCTAGGCTACCTCCTAATTGCCCAAATTTGGGCATATTGGAGATATTTTTATTGCATTTTTTTCTTAAACTCCCTGCTGCATTTGAAATGCCCTACTTCCTTGGTGTTCATGACTTTGCACTCTTCCCTGACTTCCTGTGTCAGCCACAAATAGTTGTGCAGGTTTAAAGCATCTCAAGGGCACACATCTAAGGGAAGGGGATGCACATGAAACATAAGGTAGAGTTGTGCATCTATCATGACGATTTTCCAGCAGATGGCAGTAACATGATCTGGTCTAATGAAATCAGTACATTGTGACAACCTTCTGACAGATAGAGAAAAGTGTTTTGAGGAGGCACCTTTTTCCAGCTTACAGAAATGCTTCATGTGGACTGATGGTGGCTGAACTTCTGACTGTTTCTCCTCTACTGCCTTCACCAGATAATCTTTGTTTGCCCCCCAAATGCCTGAGAGGTTTGTTTCACAGCTATCTATACTGATTCTGCATGTTCTAATTCAATAATAATTGAGTCTTACTGTTGAGACTACCACCTTATTGCTGCTGAGCCCTAAATCTTTCACTCCAGTAGTGACTTCTTTGAATTTCAGATATCTCGCCGCCTGCTGGACGTATTCACCTGGATGTCTTCAGGGGAAGCTCAAACTCAACATGTCAAAAACTTAATTCACTTCCTGGCCCTTAAGAATGAAACTCCAGCATCATTTTTAAAGCCAGAGAACCCTGTTGTTCTGTATCAATATTTTCATGGAAAAGTTCAGTTTCACTTTTATGCATGAAATTAACATAGGGAGGTACAGAGAAGTATATGCTTGTTGGGGTCCCCCTGGGGGTTCATCCAGAAGAGTGCTGCCCCAAAACTGAGGGCATGGCGTGTGCTGGATTCCCCCAGTTTTCTTCTAGATCAACTCATTCTTTGTGGTCAGTCCGGAAGGAAGCCCACGATCAGTTTTCACTTCTCTGAGGCACACATTCATTTGGGGAAGACATTCACCCTGTTTTATCAATTTCATAAAGCCATCTCAATTAGAATATCTAGAAATTATGCTGGAATTCTTGCACTCCCTCACTACTTTTATCCTAAAAACTACTACTTTGACGCCTAAATATTTGTAATGGATTCTCTTCCCTCTAGTCCCCTTCTCACTATCCTAATGTAGGCTTTTTCTATCTCTCAATTGGAAATTTTAATAAATTCCTTATTACATTTACTACAGAAGATGTTACCGTGTTATTCCATTGCAGTTGACCCTTGCGCAACACAGGTCTAAACTGTGTGCGTCCACTTACATGCAGGATTTTTTCAGTAAGTAGTCAACCCTCCATATTCACAGGTTCCGTATCTGCAACAAACCATGCACGGGAAATACAGTGTTGGCGAGCTGGGAAACCCGTGAATATGGAAAGCTGACTTCATATCTACACATTCCACAGGGCTCACTATGAGACTTGAACGTGTATGGGTTTTGGTATCCGGGGCGGTCCTGGAGCCAATCCCCCCTTGGATATTGAGAGGCAACTGTATGATCTGTTTTTCACACAGCTGACAGATATATGTATCTAAAGCACAAATCTAATCCCGCCACCCCCACTTAATTCACTTGCAAGAGTTCTTGTTACCTACAGAATCAAATTCAGGAAGCTTTCTCTGACCACATCTCCCCAGAATCCTCCATCTGTAGTGTCCAGGACACCTACATTTCTTTATTATCACACTCTTTTTTGTTACAATACTCACTTGATGTATCTTTCCCTGCCATTACACTATGAGCTTCTTGAGGACCCAACTTGCATCTTAATCATTTTTGTAGTTATGGTGCCTAAAACATTTCTTGAGATAGATTAATTATTCAAAAATATTTTGAATGAGTGAAAGATGAGTATAGAATATAATGATTGAAGGGGCTTCCTGGAGGAGACTGCACTGAGTTAGGTCATGAGGGAAGAAATATTTTTAATACATAGTGGGAGAAGGTACAGTCTTCCAGGAAAGGACTTCTGAAAAAATAAAAATAAAAGTTCAAAGACCAGATGGGACAGTAACACAGCAGAATTCATACAAGGTTTCTTCTCTGGTCTTTTATATTTTGGTAATTTTCCTTTATTTTTGCTCTTCTCTTTATGTCTGTGTAAAACTTCTTTATGCTTCTATTAATATTTTTATTTCTCTAAAGGTAAGAACCCACTGAGTCTGGGAGTGTACACGAGCTAGCTCAGCATTTTAAATGTAGACAAATCTAAATATTTTCTTTTTATCATTTTATATTTTCCTGGGGACCTCTTCACTCACGGATCCACACTGAGAGGAAAATATATAAAGCAGTAGGGCAACCTGCTTTCTTTTCAAATGCCTGGTAAGATGTTCTTATTATTTTAGGGGACTCTACAGCTCCATGTCTCTTGTGAAATAGACATTGGGTTGTATTAAAGACTTGGCATTTTTCATTCTCACATCTTAAAAAATATTTTATCTTCTAAGATTATAATTATACATATGTTAAAGCAATAAATATATATAAGTAAGAAAGAAAAATTATCCTGTAATCCCAGCACTTTGGGAGGCCGAGGCAAGTGGATCACCTGAGGTTGGGAGTTCGAGAACAGCCTGAACAACATGGAGAAACCCTGTCTCTACTGAAAATATAAAATTAGGCAGGCGTGGTGGCGCATGCCTGTAATCCCAGCTACTCAGGAAGCTGAGGCAGGAGAATCACTTGAACCTGGGAGGCAGAGATTGTGGTGAGCTGAGATCGCGCCATTGCACTCCAGCCTGAGCAAGAGTGAAAAACTCAGTCTCAAAAAAAAAAAAAAAAGAAAAGAAAAGAAAAATTATCTTGCTCTCTTTCAAGTTTGTTTCCCTTATTTTCAATTGCTTTCCTCGTTTTGAAGAGTCATAAAACTAGTAAAGATAATAGACCTCACTGAGAGATTTTACTTATTTACATATTATTTAAGCGAGAGACTCCACCAGTACCTCTGGAACTGCCTCTCCATAATCAGCAATGACTTCTCTACCCTCCACCTCTTCTCCAAATACTTCTGTCACCTTCTTGCTTTAACAGAAACATGGCCCTCCCCTGAAATCACCAGTGTCCCTGAATTGTCTCCATGTACCTGGAGACCATTCTTCCTAATCACTCCTCTCCTACTTTTTCTTTAAAAAAAACCCCTGCTCATCTGAGACTCATTCAGTCAGCTGCACCTTCCCCACCAACCACCAACCATCATGACTGTTATTTATTAAATTCAATGGTTTCCCTCGTTTACAAGGACATTGATACACAACTTACAGCTTTTCTCTGCCTTCAAGTCCTTCCATTTTCCTGGGACACCATCATGGCCTCTGAGTTCCTAGGTTTCCTCCTATTTAATAACTTTCCCCCTACCCTAGCTTTCATTTTTTGGTCACCGCTGGATCCTAACAAGTTACCCTACTCCCTACAAACTAAAGCAAACATCTCAGTGGCCCCAGTCACCACTCTTTACAATTTGCTTTGCCAAGTATTCACACTAAAAGGGTTCTTTAGTTTCACCAAGATCTCCAGTCTGCTGACCCTTTATCTGTCTTCCAGTTTACCCTTTCTTTTCTTTCTTTCCTTTTAATCCAACTTACATTGCACAGTGTATCATTTCAATCGCTCTCTTAGATCTCTTGGTGGCGACCTAAATTTCCTGTACCTGGTCTCTCCCTGCCCTAACCCCACTCTGCAATAGAAATTTTATTTATATTTTTCCTCACAAAACCGCTCCCTGGCTGAAGTCAGCTATATACTTTCTCATTGCCCAAACTAGAACTATGGAGAGTTTTCTGAATTCGTAAGTAACTATGTAACTTAACAGGCCCTATTGGTAGCCCTGCAGAGTTAATATTACCAACTTCAAATGGGCCCCCAGTGCTGCACTGCCACAGTCATCTTTAGTCATCTCTCTTCCTCCATTCCCCCCATCAATTAAGGTAAACTTTCTTCATTCTCTTCAGATACCCCTATGTTCATTAGACTTTGCATCATAACAGAGAAAATAGACAACTTCTGCCTGGGTTCTTATCTTCAAGCTACCAAGCTTGCAAATCACTTATATCTACATTAATTTGACCCTCCTTCCCCTCAGTGAGAACAGGAACGCTTTCTGTTATGCTACCTTCGGGCTATATTTCTACCCATGCTTTGGGTTCCATCCTCTTGCCCTTCTCAGGAATTTTCCTTCACTGATTGTTATTGCTCTCTTCTATATAGTCAGCACCTCTATCTCATTAAATAATTTGAGTTAGCTTTTCAACATATGCAAAACTCTTCCTTTAAAACAAACAAAACACATCTCTCTCAAGTTACTGCTCTATTCCTCCCATCCACATTAACATTGAAATGTTCAGTAAGTGAGCTCCATTCACCATCTCCCAGTCACTCTCTCACCCACTTCAAATTGCCTTCCAACCTTTGTACTTCCAAGGAAGCAATTTTGCTCAACTGTTGACATCCATGTTGCTCAACTCAAAAGATATATTTAAGTCCTTTTCAAATTAATACTTTCAATACAAGTTCAATATTGTCAAAGATGTTCTTTCCTTCTGATTTTTCTCCTCTGCCATCCATTTAATGTTGGCATTTTTCAAGGCTTGGTTCTGGACTCACTCTCCATCACACTTTATATACTCTCCCCCTAAGCAAGTTCATTCAAGCCTGTTGTTTCAATTACCACGGAAGGCAGATGACTTAAATTAGTTGTTCAGTTTGGACCTCTCCTCTAAGCTCCAGGGCTACACATCCAACTGCCTTTTGGACATCTTGCTACCCAACTCATGATCTATCATCTCCCTCAAACCAGCTTTTATCTGATATTTTGACATCATTTAATAGCTTCACAATCCATTTTGTTGTGCATGCCATAGAGAAAAATTAAATTCTCTCCCATTCTCACTCCCTCTCTCTCTCATTCTCTCTCTCCCCTCCTCTCTCTATCCTTCTCAAACTTCCGATTCAATCCATGACCAAGCTTTGAAAGTTGTATCTCCTAAATGGCTTTCAACTTGGTTCACTTCTGGCCATCTCCATCATCATTCTTTCTTTAAGATCATCATCACTTGCCTGCAGTACTGCTATACTAACTGCTCTTTCCACATGTATTGTAACCTTCTACTCTAACCCAGTCTGGAGTAGTGGCTCTTTACCAGCAGTGACTTTGCTCCCCACATGAGATTTTGCAATGTGCGAACACACTTTTAATAGTTATGACTCCAGAGCTAGGGACAAATGCTCCTGGCATCTAGTGGGTAGAGACCAGGAAGGCTGCCAAACATCCTACCTGCACAGAATAAGGCTCTAATAACAAAGAATTATCTGGTTCAAAATATTAACAGTGACAAGATTTAGAAATCCTGTTCTGGAGTTAGACTGCGCTTTTCACATGGCAGACCTGATTATGTCATGTGTGCATGTGTATACACACACACACACACACACACACACACACACACACACTTAAAAACATTCAATAACTTCCCATTGAGCTAAGACAAAGCAAATATGGTGCTGCAGGCCTTTGTGATCTGCTCCCGGCCTGCCTCTGCAGGCCATCCAGCACCACGTGTTTCCTTTCAGCCTCCCTGCTCCCACCTACTCTATCCTCTGTCCTCCCTCCCAGTCCAGGACATTTGCACATATTGTCTTCACCTGGAAAGCTCTTCACGTAGTTAAGCCCCATTCATTCTTCAAATATCAGCTGAAGGTCGTTTCCCTGGGAGAGCCCTATACAGGGCTCTCTCTCACTGAGTTAATTCCCCCATTAAGACACTCAGCATTAGAGTTGCATGTTTAATACTGACTCCTGGGCTTCGTTACTATTTGCCTCCTTCTCTAGACTGGAAGCCACAAAAGGTGAAAAACATTTCTTTATTTTATTTTAAATAAAATTATACCACCAGTAGTTGGTTGTTGAACATTAGGTGTTCAATGACTAAATCTCTTCCAAGAACATTTGAGAAAACTTAGTCCTAGAAATGGCAAGTGACTTAATCAAGGCCACAAAGCTTATTAGTAGCCAAGGGAGGGCTTGAATCCAACTTTCTTATTGTGAAATGCTGCATTTGTTCCTTCTAAAGTGGTATTGTACGCATTTGTTTAAGCTTCTAGATTTTTACTCAAAGTAAATCTTTTGTGGAAGCACAGTGTATAAAACAGATTACGAGAGATTAAAGCAGATCACTGCTTTGATTGGAGACAGCTCAATTCAGCCTCATCCAAGAAGCTCTTTTACATCTCTACACAGCTGCCTCCTTACCCCTTGCCAGGCCCTGAAGAGCTTGCCTCAGAATGACTTTGATGTGATGACTAGGGCTTGAAAATAAGTCCACTACATTCACATGTAGATTGTTCCTTACTGCCTCCGTACAAGATGCACTCTTGATACTTGTGAATTCCAAAATGAGAATACCAATATAGTATAAGTTAATGTCATCACCAGCTGAAATTTAATCAAATCACATTTCCATGTAGGTATATGAAACAGAAATTATTCCTTAATATCATCAGTCTGAGTCCATGGACCATGTTCAGTATTCCACCTTTTACCAAAACATAAATTTTCCTAACAAAAATCACAACTTTGTAGGGATCTGCACCTTCTATTTATCTCATCTTGTTTTTGCCAATGCTAGCAGTTGGATTAAATTGCTGAAACAAAACAAGCAAACATACTGCGTTCATGTCATAGCAGTCACCTTCCAGGACAGTGGAGAGGACACCAGAATGAACTGAGATAAGGATGTTATACTCGTGCCACATGTAATGGCATGTCTGACACTGTGTCTCAACAGCATGATACCTCACTACAAGTTATGAACATATGGATTTTTTGTAATAGTTGGAAACACATGTTAAAGGGAATGCCCTGAAAAAAATGACAAGTTCTTTTTCTCTATTTTTCTCCTGCAATTGTTTTTAGCTTCAGTTAAAGTTCACTCTAATGAAGACAGCATACATCATATATTTTGGGAGTATCCAAAGATGATATGATTACCAGATAACAATATTTCTAGTGATTTTATATATATGTGTATATATGTGTATATACACACATTTGTAATAAATGTATGTACACACATATACATAGTGAATATATTCATATATATGAATATATATTCATGTATATTCATGTGTATATGTATATTATATATTTGTGTGAATATATATCTTCACATATACTTATGTACATGTGATATATGTATATATATATTTACGTGTGTGTATATATCTTCATATATACTTGTTATGTACATGTGATGTATGTATATATATATTTACATGTGTGTATATATTATATATAAATTGAAAAGCTTTTCTTTTCTAACCATAGCAAAGACATAGAAAATGTATCTACTCTAAGAATGTTTCGAAGCTTTTAGCTGTCTCTCAAACTTGACTCACTCATGTCTGTGTACTTAAGAGGTAACAAAAGTGAAAAACAATTACTGACATCATTATCTGAATGGCTGCTTAGAGAAATACAATAGTGCCTTCTTATCCATGGGGGTCATGTTACAAGGCCCTTAGTGGATGCCTAAAACCACATATAGTACCGAACCCTACATATACTCTGTCTTTTCCTAAATATATGTATACCTATAATAAAGTTTAACTTTTAAATTCAGCACAGTAAGAGATTCACAACAATAACTCATAATAAAATAGACTAACTAAAACACTATGCTGTAATAAAAGTTAAATAAGAGTGATTTGACCACAAGCACTGCAATACTACGATAGTCCATCTGATAACCAAGACAGCTTCTAAGTGAATCACGGTGGGTAGTATGGACAAACAAACTGATGATTCACGTCCTGGGCAGATGGAGTGATCCTCAGATCAGCATGCAATTTAAAATTTATGAATGGTTTATTTCTGGAATTTTTCATTTCATATTGTGGACCGCAGGTAAATAAAACTGCAGAAACCAAACCTACAGTTACAGGGAAGACTACTGTGTGACCTCCTGTATGAAAATCTTTAACTTATGTGTAGCTGTTGAAAACATTTTCAACATATTACTTGACATATTTAAAACTAGACTTTTGCTTCTTGAACTGTCTTGAGTCATTTACTTACTTTTTGCAATGTTTTTATTCAAAATATTTAGTCTACTTGGCTGGTTTGTTTTATTTGATTACATTACTTGGCCTATACAATAAGGAATCTGTATATTCCTTATTGGCCTATACAATAAGGAATGCTAGACTTTCTATGTTGGAAATATCCTTTATATTTCCTTTCTTTGGGAATCTTTTATCTCTTCACCTTTAAATTACTATCTGAAGAAGTAATTTCATAATCTTTATGAATCGAAAAACTGTATTCAATGTATGCTGGCTGAATGGGCTTGTAATTTGGGAACTCTATAATTGCTAAGGTTATCATTACAGGGTGAACATGACATTAAACTCATTTCCTTCTGTCTTCAGCATATAATGTTTTTACATTGCCATTTTTTGAAAGTCCCTCATCAACATTTCTCAGGCCTAGAAAGTTGCATCCATTAACATATATTATGTTGTATTGTGACCCTTATTTCCACTCTCTCTCTTTTATGAGAGAAAAAAACACACACACATGAAAGGAAGGCTAATTCAGAAGTGGAACCAGTGGCAGAAAAGTAAACTAAGCGTTCAGATATATGTTTGCAGTTCTTGGCAAAGTTATCAACATTTTACCTGAAGCATATTGAAAACATCCCTCATGACAGAAATCCCTCCCTCTTTCATTTCTGCCTTCTAACCCCCCTAAAAAACACATCTGTTTCCTACTGATAGCTTTTAACATACAACCCTTTAATGTCTTGTAACAGGAAGTGGAAATTGAGCGAAGTTTGTGCTCGCCAGCTTTTAAGAGTCACCCTGGGAGCCAGCTGGAGGATTCTGTGAAAGATTCAGACAAGAAAGGCAAGGAAACATCTTTTGACAAGATGTCACCTGAAAGTGGTCACAGCCGCATCTTTGAAGGTTAGCATAACATTTTGATATGCTTTCTTGACATCATACCTTGTACAACATGAGTGGTTAATAAATAAAATATATGAGGGGTTTGTTTAAAAATTAGTAAGGAAAATAATGACTGCATATAGTTTAGGAAATACAATTTAGGAAAAATAGAGGTGTTTATAAATGCTTCTATCCTTATTATATTTTAATTAGATTTTTAAAACTAAATAGAATATATTTTAATTGACTATAAACCAGTACAACAAGCATTTTCAGTATTAGAGGTTTGAAACAATGCACTTGACCATAATCTGACTTTAACTTTTGTGAAAATAAAAGGAAAACATACTTGTCTTTCTGTCTGTGGGTAACAAAAGAATAAACTAGGAGTAACTATCAGTAGCAAAATAAAAAAATAAATAAGATGCCTTAAGCATCTCCTTTTCAGACAATTAAACTAAACTTGCATAATGAATTTGGAATACAAAGTGACATAAGAGTGTTACATTTTAGACAGAACCTCATAAATTTGATTAATGCTTCACAAATATCATTAAAAAGTTAATAGCTCGTATGTTAGAAATCACACTATTAATATTATTTTCAACAATGACAGACATGAAAAATATAAATAACTTATTGGAAAATACAGATCTTATTTATCATTTCTGATTAGGCACATTCTGGATTTTTCCTCTTTAGCCAAATAATGTCTATTGTAGTATTTGTGGTGTTTGTTAAAGATCATAATTAGTACAAATTTTAAGATATCGTTTGGAATATTTGTAGCAAACTGTCAAGTCACCAGTCCATGTGAGCAATGTGGAAAGTCTTTGGAATATTACAGTTCACAGTTTGGGAAAGCAAATGGTACTCTGCTTTAAAACTTTGTTATTGAAAGTGCTGTTTGCGAATCAGCACGTCAGCATCACCTGGAGGCTTATTAGAAATGCAGAACCTTCGGCCTCACATCAGTTCTACTAAATCAGAATCTGCATTGTAACAGGATCCTCAAATGATTCATGTGCACATTAAAGTTTGAGAAGCTGTACACTGTGACAGAACAGACTGGTCTTCAGGGGAATTTACATATGGTTCAGCCCATTCTGATTCCGTTTGGTTTAAGGATGTAATTTGGAGTGGGAGGCAGGTGTAGGAACAGTCAAGGGGAGTTTGCTAATGATGGACTGGGCATGGATTTCTAAATACATGTAAATTGAGATTTCAATCTCTTTTTCACTTTCAATTCATTTTGGTATGCCCAATTAATATCCTAATATGATTAGTATCAGTCTTGAGGAATTTACTCCACATATTTCTGGCCTGTGATTAAACTTTATGTGCACTTGGCTGAATGCAAAAGAATTAGATTAGCAGAGGCCAAGGAAAAAGAAGCTTTAAGGAATGATTTATATTCTGATGATGCTTGCCTGTGGAGAGCTTAGCATAGGGAGGCAAAAATGAGTTTGGCAAACTGATCGAAGTTACATGAGATAATTAACTCCACTCATCACATCTTACTTCTCCTCATCTGTGTTTTCTTTGATTTCCATGCAAAGGTTTTCAAAGGCCTTTTTATGTTAAAAGCTTAGAAAAAGTATTCTGGAGTGTAACCACTATTTACTGTCAAGATATGACTGAAATTTAAAAGTAACCTCAAATACACATTTCCAGGTACATTGACAATAACAAGAAGTAAACTTCCAAACACAAGGTGGGAAAATTGCATCTGCAAGGTGGATGAACATAGCAGCAATTTTAATTTCATTTTATCTGTATATTGCACAAGAACTCTAATTCCTACGTAGCAATACATTTAAAAGAAACAAAATTCTTTCATTATGGGATCCTTTTCGTTCTTTCATGGGGCCCCAAATTTCTATCTCTGTTGGGACAAGAATGAACTATTTTAATACTTAATTTAGTTAACTTGGACAGCATGCAAGTTAAACTGGACAAAACCTACAAACCAAGAGCATTTTGATATTGCTGTTTTGCTGTAAATATTTATTTTATTCCAAAAAGATAAACACATGTTTCTAAATAAAGTGTGATAACTGAAAGATTTCAGAATTTATACAATTATATGAGTGACTGTGACAGCCTTATACATTAAACATCTTAACTAGCCGCAAGAGTTTCATATTGAGGCAGTATTTATTTGTAGTAATATGAAAAACAGTAGATTTTTAAAATTACACTTATAAAAGATAATTTAAGTGCAGCTACCTAATATCCTGCATATTTAAAATTTAGTAAACAGTGTGAATTGATAACTCCATTCCAGGACTGAGGACTAGCAATGCCTGTCAGTTTGGTTCCACTCCAATATCCTCAATGGCAGAACCAGAACAGCACAGAAAGGTGCTATGATTTTCCCCAGCCTCTCTTTTTATGCCTGATGATACACTCCCAGGTTCCCAGTTTGTGGACAATTGCTCTCACCACGTCTATTTTATTTGCTCCTTTTCCTCACTTATGTATTGGTGTCAAATAAACCATAGTGCTCCCGTGTGCATGTTGGTGCATTCCATTCACATTTTCTTGGAGATACACTCTAACAGTTGTTAAAATGATTCTAGGAAGACTTAGACCATATGTCATTAAATGTCAAGCATAGCAAATCCATAATTTGACAAATTTGGGTAATTTGATAATAGATGGGATATGAAAGAAAACAAATCAATCAGTGTAAATGATTTGATTAATTGTATTATACTAATATAAAAATCTGATTCGTTGGGCTGGGCACAGTGACTCATGCCTGTAATCCCAGCATTTTGGGAGGCCAAGGCGGGCGAATCACCTAGGGTCAGGAGTTTGAGACCAGCCCCGACCAACATGGTGAAACCCCATCTCTACTAAAAATACAAAAATTAGCTGGGCATGATAGTGGGTGCCTGTAATCTCAGCTACTCGGGAGGCTGAGGCAGGAGAATCACTTGAACCTGGCAGGTGGAGGCTTCAGTGAGCCGAGATGGCGCCACTGCACTCCAGGCTGGCCAACAGAGCGAGACTCTGTCTCAAAAAATATATATATATGCATATATATACGTACGTATATATATGCATATATATATATATGATTTGTTGAATTTCTTTTAGATATTTTAAGACCAGTAAGCTAGAAAGTGAATACTGGAAGTCTTAGGTACTGGTGTTTGATCTAGATGTATGTAGAATTGAAAAATATACTCTTCCTGCTGAAAAACTCTGGATCAAGGAATGCTTCAAATATCAGAATTGAATGGGTCATGTTCATCAGATTTATATGACTTGGAGTTTTTTAATATGACAATTGCCTGCCCTTCACTTTTATTCTCTAACTCATAATTTTAATTTTAATCTTCTAAGTCATCAACATGTAAAATGTCAAAAGATAAAATATATATTCAAAGTCACTTTTTCCAGGCTTTTGCAATAAACCTTGGAAATTACCTGCTGTATTTCTCTTTTTATTCTGCTCCATTAAAACTAAATTCATTCTTTATTCTTATAATGGCCATTCATCTCCTCTGACGGGTTTTACAAAACAAACTGAGACTTCTGTTCTTTCAGTTTTCTACTGCTCTTTACGTGAGGGGATCCTTCCAGTCATTAATGTTTCTAAAATACTGTAGTATGTATATGTATTTGTGTGATTGTCATTTACATATCTTATTTTTTGTTTAAAATCAGACATTTTAGAGTAATGACGTCCAATAGAAACTTCTGTGATAATGATAATAGAAGTGTCCTATATCTGTGCGGTCCAATATGGTAACCACTAGCCACATGTAGCTATTATGCAATTAAAAAGTAGCTAGTGCAACTGACCAACATAATTGCTAATTTCATTGAATTTTAAGTAATGTTCATGTAAATCGTCATGATATTGGAAGCTGACATTCGTCCAATGAGCTGTCTACCGTTTTCATAAGAGTTGATCCAGATGCTAATTATTCATTTTAAGTGATCCTCTATCTGCCAATTTACCTTTATTAAAATGTATGTGGATAAGGAGAAAGTTCATGTTGGCAAAATAGATAAAAGGCAAATAGCAATAATTCACATATTAAAAACTTGTCTTCGAGAACTAGGGATGATCTCCTCTCTTTAGTATTTTCTGGTGATAAAATTAAGAAAAATATAATTTCAACTGTGTTCCCTTTTCAATGTGCTGATAAAGCAATAGTTTTATCATAGAAACAGAAATACTACTGTGAGGCTTTGCATTCTTTTTTCCATAACATCTTTTCTAGAGCTTAATTGTCTTGGAAATATGAATCCCCTCAGGTCAGAAGCAAACCTTTGTCTAAATACCTAAGATTAACAAAGTTAAATGAAATGGTGCAACAGGCTACTTTAAAATTAACAGCACCATTTCTTTATTAAAACAGGGCTTCTTTGGAAACTTCGGAGTAAATCAGACATTTAGTCACAGAGTAGTTCCAGCTAACACCATCGACACCATTTGTTTTGCTCTGCCTGAACTGTCCCCTCTAACGAGACTCAGAGGACAGGCTTTTATAACTGGTCTCTGGATACACGATGGTGGACCCAGGACTCCCAGCACCGGCTTCTGCTTCCGGACTTGCTTCCCTACCTACTGTACCTTATTTCATGCCCCAAATAATGTTATTTTAGTTCATACAGGAGACATTTCATTAGGAAAAATATTGTCAGTGGATCACCATCTAAAACAATTCTGTGGTGATGGCCTTTGTAAAATAAAGAATCCATTTTTTGTATCAGTAATCATCTCTAATTGATCTGCTTACCCAATTAAGTGTTTCTCTTTCTTACAGTCAGATCCACCTGCAGATTTTTGATGACTCCCACATGTTCCTTTTAGTCACTATTACAGTCAGTGAGTCAAAACACATTCCAGAGTTAAGTCATGGCCCAGTAAGAAGGGGCAGCTGGGAGTTTGCTATTCTGAGGACTGTGTAATGAAAGGTCTATTCATGAGGTCGTTCACGTGGTAACTATAAATCAGCACCTTGGAATGCTGGAAAATTTCCAAAATCCCAGGAACTCATTTTGAGCTTGCACGCGGTCATATTTAATTTTAAAACATGAGGCCATTGAAGAAAGATAACAACAAATTTAAGTATACCTTTAAAAAATCATTCATTCACTTTACTACCCTGAAATTGGAAAAAACTAAATATTATTTTTAATATTCTGACTGTAGAATGTCAGAAATGTGTACATATTTCTACCAAATATTTTTGATGTGCTGTTTTCATTTGCCCATTCATCTGTTCATTCATCAAACAAATAAGTATTGAGTGCCTATTTGTGGCAGGAACTATTCTAGGTGCTTGGAGACATCAATGAATGAAAGACAAAAAGAAAAAGAAAAAATCCTGCCCATGGAGCATATTTTCTAACAGGAGATCATACATTGGATGAAAAAATAATGAAGAAGTAAATGGTATATCGGAAGACAGCAAGTGCTATAGAAAACATAGGCCAGGATAGTGGGAATGGTGCATGATGGAAATTCCTAATTTTAATTAGGATGATGAGAATCAGCCACACGGGAAGGTGACATTTAAACTAAGACTTGAATAAGTAAATATTCTCAGTGCTTTGGGAGGCCAAGGAAGGAGGATTGCTTGAGGTCAAGAGTTCAAGACCAGCTTGGGCAACATAGCAACACTCCATCTCTACAAAAAATAAAAAATTAGCTGGGCTTGCGGCACATACCTGTAGACCCAGCTACCAGGGAGGCTGAGGCAGGAGGATCCCTTGAGTCCTGGAGTTCAAGGTTACAGTTAGCTAAGATCATGCCACTGCACTCCAGCCTGGGTGACAGAGCAAGACCCTGTCTCAAAAATAAAATATAGAAAAGAAAATATACATAGTTATATTTTGTTAAAGGCAAATGTATCTCCTAAGGTTTGAGGCAGAATATTCTCTGAATGATCCCAGGCCCCCTAGTTGGAGCAACTATATTGCTGATTTTTTGCAGTCACTTGAAGATAGAGGAAACATACCGCAGTAAAATCCTCATATCTTGCCACTGTCACCAATGGGAAGTGTGTGGAATCACTCCTACCCTGGTTTATCAGTCTGCACCTTGTGGATTTCTGATATTGTTCTATTCTGTTCTACAGGGAATAGGCCAAGAAAGGAGAGCAGAGGGCAAAAAGTTCAGGTAGAACCGCAGGGCTGACTGAGGGCTTGGAGCCCACACATGAGAGCCAAACCAGGAATTAGTTATTATAAGAAAGGTACAGGCCGGGCACAATGGCTCACGCTTATAATCCCAAAACTTTGGGAGGCCAAGGTGGGCAGATCATGAAGTCAGGAGTTTGAGACCAGCCTGGCCAACATGGTGAAACCCCGTCTCTACTAAAAATACAAAAATTAGCTGGGCATAGTGGCATGCACCTGTCGTCCCAGCTACTCGGGAGGCTGAGGCAGGAAAATGGCTTGAACCCGGGAGGTGGAGGTTGCAGTGAGCTGAGATCATGCCACTGCACTCCAGCCTCATGACAGAGCAAGGCTCCATCACAAAAAATAATAAAAAATAAAAAAATAAAAAAAAAGAGAGAAAGAAAGGTACATGGGATTTGTGTTACCTAATGGGTTTGAAATTAGAATGTCAGTACAAAGCTGAAACACAAGAATCCCACTTCTTAAACTGAGTTCATGACTCCATGTATCTATTCAGGTTGGCATGGCTCATGTGACTGTCAATGCTCCAAAATAAAGACGTTAGAAGTTCACAAGTGCAGACGGTGCTATGCCAGAGAAGTTTGATGACAGGTATTGGTGATACAATCCTAGCAAGACTGAGTTTAAGAATAAAAAGCCCAGTCACTAAGGATTAGGGCATGGCTAAAAGAAACTCAGTGTTCTGGGGCAGTGATTTTGAAAAAATGGAAAGAAGGAAAGGAAGGAGGAAGGGAAGGAGGGAAGGATGAAGGGAGAGAGAAAAAGATGGAGAGAGGAATGGAGGAACAAAGGCAGGAAGAGAAGTGGGAAAAATAAAGCAGTTTTATGAAGCTTTTGAGAAGTAGCTAGAATTCAGTTACTCATGAATTCTTTTCGGTATCAGAGGCGAACACAGAATGGGAGCAGTAGTAAAATCCATAAATTCAGCAAATATTTACTGAACAGGTACTATGGACCTGCCCCTGTGCTTGGCACTGGGGCTACAGGTATGTGAAGACACAGCCCCTGCCCCTGAGTAGCTTATAGTTTAAGAAAGGTGGCAGGTTCATAAACAGATGTCAACACTAGGAGATGAACAGTGCTACAGTAAAAGATACAGGAAGCAACTACTTATGTCCGTGGGCCCACAGATGCTTCATAGAAATGCTGATTTTTTAAAGTGTTTTTGAAGCATGACTGGGAGTTGACCAAGAGGAGAAAGAACGCATGTGTGAGAAGGAGGGATAGGAGAAAGGGTGGAAATTCCAAGTAGATCCTGCAAAACCATGAAGGGATACGGAAAGTAAGCAATTTGGAAGAAAATAGGGACACTTCCATATGTTTGATGCTTAACAGCTCATTTCAATTAATGTCTTTATAGACCCTTGAGCTGGGGCCAGAGTGGGTGCTAGATTCTAAGCTATGAGTGAAACAATTCCAGCTGAGGTTAATTAGACTCAGCTGCCAGGTTAGGAAGACAGGTTTGCATGAAAAGGAAAAACTTGGTTTTTCTACTTTCAGAAATATGCTCGTTGACATATTTTAACAATTTTCGCCAATTAAAGGAGTGAAATATTTGGTGACTTTTCACCATCGTAAAAAAAAAACCACAATATTCTAGAGAAACCCTGTGTATTTCTAGATATTTCAGACATGGGCAATAGAAAAAAAGCCACTACATAAATTAGCTAATTAGCAATGTTACTCTTTAAAATTCAATTTTCAAAATATTTGAAGTTTTTAATGTATTTTTATTTTCAAGAGTTAAGCCAAATACTTTTATTTAAAATGTCTATTGTCTCTACATTATTCATTATAGACATTTAATATTAGAAATACTTCACTATATGAAATAAAATTTAATTATAAATTTTTAACTTTTAAACCTAACTTCTTATTTCTTTTTAATGTAGTTTCACATGCCCTTTAAAATATATAATATACATAATGCAATATAAGAATAACTTAACTAATATATGTGAAAACACAGATAATAATAACACATAAACTTTTCTCTTTGAGAAGTTACATTTACAAAGAGCCACGTGTTTCTATTTTTGGCTCTTTTTCTACAGCCATAAATATGGAGATAGGGCTAAAATAATGTTCTATGAATAAATTCTGCATGTCACTGTTATGATTCTTTATTTACAACTTCCTAACTGATGAAATAGTATATGAGGACTCATAACAGTACACGTAGTCCTAGCCAGAGGGTCTCAGGAATTGTTGAAGAATACCACATAACTTTGTACTGGCTAAGACAAACAGCCAGTCGTTCTATTTTTTGAAGATCATCTTTAAAAAAAAAAATCAGATTTTGCCAAACACAATAGGAAACTCACTCTGTTAATTGTTTTGTTTAATATTTCAGCACTTAACATTCTAGATAGTTTCTGACTTATTATGAGATATGTAATCATTCTCTAGTGACGTGATAAGACCATTGCTTTCCATACACTTCAGGGAAGAACTTGATATATCACCTCCAAATCTTTTTATGTCATCACTTCACAATACTTCTGACTCATTGCTTAAATATCTTCACTCTTCATCCCTAATAATGACATATTGCCTTTTGGGATATGGCATCAGAATATGAAGCCAATTGCTTCATAGTTATATTGTACGTGGGAAGCTATTAAGAAACTTTAATGTCCCTAGATTTTGCATAGAATAATTCAGATTAAAAACTTTGAGTGGAAGTTCAGATGGTCATACTTTTTAACTAATCAAGTTAAGAATTCTGGTGAGTTTAAATAACTGCTGCATTGGAAGTTGGAAACTATTTTTCTTGATGGTTTGCTGTGGATATTTGAATCGCTATCCTTGTACTGCATCAAAAGATAACCTTGTCTTTGCTCATTCCTGGTGTTTTTTGCTTATGCCATGCCAAAGAATGATTTATTCTATCTATAATTTTTAAAATAATTATATTTCCCAATGGAAAAATAATGAATAACACCATATGCAATAATATTCTATATACTACATGTGTTAAACATTAAATCCACTATAGCCCTTCATTTCTATACTCTTGTTATCTACAATTCCCACTCCTGTAAATTCCCATCTTTTTGTAAGCTAATTAAGCACAAATTAAAATGGAAGTCCAAAAATTTTCCCCACCAAATGGAAGGGGAAATAATTGTTGATTTCATGAAAGAGTGCAATTAGCAGAATTGAAAGAAAAGAGGAAGGGGAATTATTAAAGAAGTCATTGGGAAAAAATTTACTTTTCAGAGCTGAAAGAATATATAGTAGGAGCCTTCAAATTAAATGGACCACAGTGTTCCAATGAATTAGGTAGCAACACATGCAGTGAGATTATATCATAATATTTTTCATTGATCCTTTATTAATATGAAATCCCAGAAATGTCCAGATGTGGGAAAAGAGCATGTTTCCAAAAAAGAAATGAATGTCAAATGTCAAATTGGAGTCAAACTTTTTACTGGCAACTCAGGATGCTAGAAGGAAGCAGAGCAAAAAGTCTTCCATGAGACTGCATGTATGCAGAATTACACACAAAATATACTGCCAGAAATATTCAGGGAGCCCCAAACTGAGAAATTAACTTAAGGCTGTTGTAGATTCTTTATGTTGCAGAGTACATGACAGGAATAAGTCAAATCACCTTCACACCTCTCAAATTGCCACTGTGAAGGACCACAATCAGTAACGGTGGACCATTAACACAAAGTCCAAAATTTACAAACACACAGGAAAATAATTCACCATGAAAGAGATTCATAGAAAATGCAAACACAGAATTAAACAGTAAATGAATTCAAAAGATATTGAGCTGGATTAAAATATTTTTTAAAAGTGTATCATGAAAAATAAAAGATTGAAGCAACATATTATAAAAACCAAGAGCCAGTCAGATTTGGGAAAGAAGCGAAGACAATTTCCAAAATATTAAGTTTTTTTTTTTTAACACAGCAGATATGTTATACAACTAATTGTATATTGCTGAAGAGAGAATTAATGATCTAGAAGATAAATTCAAAGAATTTAATTATACAGAACTGGGCATAGTGGCTCATGCCTGTAATCCCAGCATTTTGGGAGGCTGAGGCAGGTGGATCACTTGAGGTCAGGAGTTCAAGACCAGCCTGGCCAACATGGTGAAACCCCATCTCTACTAAAAAATACAAAAATTAGCCAGGCATGGTGGCACATGCCTGTAGTCCCAGCTACTTGGAATGCTGAGGCAGGAGAATTGCTTGAATCCAAGAGGCGGAGGTTGCAGTGAGCTGAGATTCTGCCACTGTACTCTAGCCTCAGCAACAGAACAAGACTCTGTCTCAAAAAAAAAAGAAAGAAAGAAAGAAAGAAATTAATTATAGAGAATAGAATATAAAGCAGAGTAATAAATTTATGCAAATATGAAAGAAAGATTAAAAGGTAGGACGGACACAATAAACAGTCTAATATATATTTACTTGAAATCCCAAAGTAAAAGAATGGAAGAAAGGAAATATTCAAAGACACATGACTAAACACTTTATAGAACTGAATTTTAAAGGACCAGTTAGGTCCTTTAAACCTAACTGCTGTCAGATGCAGCATGCACAATGAAGGCATATCATAGTAAATAAAAAGGGTCTATACCTGTAGACAAAAGATAGTGAAAGTACGTAATACGACAGAATTACAGGAAAAGAGAAATGTAGAATTAAAAGAGAGAAGAGAATTTAAGTTTGAAAATTGACAACTGATAACCAACTGCTCAATAGTAAAAATAAAATCTGGAAGTGTGAAGCTATATTTTTAATATAATGAGATAAATAATTTTTGACTTCCAATTTTATATCCAACTAAATTTTAATTTAAGAATGAGGACAAAATACACACATGTTAAAACAAACCAAAACAAAGAGGTTTCTATTAATAAACCTTCATTAAAGGAAATTTTTAGAAATATGCTTAAGCAGAAATAAACAATATCACAGAAAAAGTAATTTGAGATAGAAGAGAAAATATTGGCCAGTGAAATTGCTGAGTATATGGGTAAATCTGAACAAACCAACTGCCTATATAAAATAGTAATAATATAGGCAGTATGGAGGAAAGGGTTAACTTAGCAGGCTTGGGATGTGCAAACCCTGTATCTCCAAAGAAAAGACTGGTCTTTGAACCAGCTCCTGGGAAACAACCTCCAAGCTCTGGAATATCAGGCCCGATAAGAGTCTTTGTGTACCTGGGGCACTTACCCAGGTCAGATTGTTTATGCCGACAATGTGATTTATGATGGGGGCCTTGGACCATGCTGTATCAGTTTGGTCTCTGGGAGAGCAAATGGAGAATGAGTAACTAAGGTCAGCCACATAGATGCTCCATATTTGTGTGAACAACCTCCAGCAAAAGTTGTGGATGACAAGGCTAGAATGAGCTTCCCTGGTTGGTAATACTTCATGCATTTTGTCTCACATTGTTGGTGAGAGAATTAAAGTAGAACCGTTTATAGAACTTTCCTGGGAGAGAACAATTAGAAGTTTGTGTCTTGTTTCTCTCAGACTCTGCCCTATGCCTTGTTTGTCATTTGCTGATTAATCTGTATGCATTTGCTGTAATAAACTGTAGTGGTGAGAATAACGGCTCTTCCGAGTTCTGTGAGGTCTAGTGAATAAGTGACCTAAGGCTGGACACGGGGATTTAAAACAAATTGGAACTAAAATATCAAATAATAATAACATAATGCAGAAAGCAGATGATCAATCAAACCATTCTCAAGTATTCTTCAAGAGCAAAAATTAAAGGATCAGCCTTACACCTTCATCAGTTTAAGTATTTACATTAAAGTTTTAGGAGTAAAAAATTAAAAAATACAAATAGAGTGATAAATTTTTAAACTACTAGACAAAAAATAGAAGCCCTGAACACTTCAAAAGAAAGAAGGAAAAGAGGCTGGGCACGGTGGCTCACGACTGTAACCTCAGCACTTTGGGAGGTCGAGGCAGGTGGATCACCTGAAGTCAGGAGTTCGAGACCAGCCTGGCCAACATGGCAAAACCCCATCTCTAATAAAAATATAAATATTTGCTGGGTGTGGTGGCATGCACCTGTAATCCCAGCTACATGGGAAGCTGAGGCAGGAGAATCGCTTGAACTCGGGAGGCAGAGGTTGCAGTGAGCCGAGATCGCACCATTGCACTCCAGTGTGGGTGACAAAAGTGGAAAAGGAAAGAAAGAAGAAAAGAAAGAAAGAAAAAGAAAGAAAGAGAGAAAGAAAGAAAGAAAAAGAAAAAGAAAAAAGAAAGCAAGCAGGAAGGCAGGGATGGAAGGAGGGAGGGAGAGGAAAGAAGGAAGGGAGGGAGGGAGGGAAAGAGGTAAAGAAAGGCATAGAGTAATTAGAGTATCGAAAACTGCAAAGTTATATAGCTGAAATAATTCTAAGTATTTTGGTAGTCTTCATAAATGTAAATGTCCCAACTCTTCAGTGGAAAGACAAGATTGTCAGGTTGGAATTTTAGAAAAAGTTAGGCATATACAACACAAAATAGACACTTGTAAAATATTGAAATATTAACCAAAAGAAAGTCAATATGGCTATTTTATTCTCAGAAAGGAAATAGACTTAAATGGAAAAAAATACCACGTAACAATAGAAATAAAGAATAATCTTTTAAGAAAGTAAAGGAAATCCACTGAGACTGAGAACAAAGTGAAAGTACAATTTTAGGGAGGTAAGCAAGCCCAGAAACTGTTAGTTCCCATACTAATCTAGGATGGTAGAACTTTGAAAAATCAGATAGATGAAAGCATGCAATTGATTCAGGATACTAGGCCCTGGGCTCATCTAGGATGGGAAGCTAGATCACTGATGCCTTAGGAAGCTGAATACCACAATGGACTGTACACATAGGAGTGAAAGGCTAAACTAAAAATATGCTTACTTCAATCTGGTCTGAGTGGATGGAAAATAATTTTATCTCCCAGGAATTCCTAACTCAAGAATTAGGGACTCTCACCCCAACCTAATTCAAGTTTGAGACCCAAATTCACATATTTGTGAGATCCTGAAAGCTTCAAACCTGTAACTTAATTTATACTTAATTCACTATGCAGATAGCGGAAGCAAAATATAAATGCTTTCTGGAAGCACATGCTTTCAACTGGGGTCTCAAAAAAGTCCCATAGATAAAGTTCCAGTGAGAATGAGCTCACAATCAAAAATCACAATAAACATAAGAAACAAGACTATATAAAAATCAACAAGTGTAGGAAGGCAGAATTATGCCCATGTAAACATCAATGAAGAATTTGAAAGTGAACTCTGCATACTCTGGGCATTTAGTTTATGACATATGTGGCAATTCAGGTCAGTTGGAAATGGATAGACTAGTCGGTGAATTAGTACTTAGGCAATAGTCTGTCATTAGAAGAAAAATTCGATCTTGTCTTTCATTATATACACAATTTATTCCAAATGGTTTAAAAGCTACATATAAAAATCCCCAACTCAAAACTACAAGAAATATTGGAAAAAATATAGGAAATATTTATGACTTCAGAATAAGAAAGGAATTTATAAGAAACACTTGAAATGAAAAAGAGAAAGAAAATATAAGATTCAATATCATAAAAATATTTAAACTTTGTTCTGTTGCAATAATATATTAGCTAATGTTAAAGTACTAAAAAAAAGAAATAAAATATTTGCAGTGCATATAACCCACAACATATTAATATCCAGGATATGTAGGAGGCATCTGCCAAGAAAGAGACAACCAAATTTAAAATTAGGCAAAGTATACAAACAACAAAAAAACTAGAAATGGATAATAATTATATGAAAACGTGGGGTACTATATTCACTATTTGAGTGATGGGTTCAACAGAAGCTCAATCTCAGCATTGTACAATATACTCATGTAACAAAACTGCACCGGTACCCCCTGGATCTAAAATAATGACATAAAGAAATAAATAATAAGACAAAATTGTTCATTCCTTAAAAAAAAATCGGTAGCACTACTAATAATTGAGGAAATAAAAATTAACATGATAATTAAACATAACTTTTCCCATCAGAATGGCCAAAAAATTTGTGTAACCATTTGTAGTTGTGGAGTGTATAAAGAAAGAGACCCTCTCATATGTTGTTGGTGGTAGTATAAAAATTGTATGATCACATGAGGAGACATTTTAACAGGGTTAATTAAAATTTAAAAGGTCAACCAACAGTTCAACATCAGTATTTATCTCTTTAATCAAAAGAAATACTATACATGAGTACAATTATCAATGATGGAGGATATTTATGGCAGTATTGGTTTTATTAGAAAAAAATGGATACAGTTTAAATGCCAATTACATAAGCGAATGACTGAATAAATCATGATTCATCCATTACCTAAATATAAAGTAAGATTGAGAAGAATGAGATAGTAAGGTTGGTATGACATAGGAAGTGTCTGAGATGTATTGATATGTTGTTGTGTTTTATTTAACATTTTATAGGAAGAAATCATTGTTGGTGTATTACTTGTATTATTGTCTAAAATAGGGGAAAACCCCTAAGAAATTGGGCAACTTTTTGATTAAATATATTAAATTATTTATAGTACTATGATTAGCACACCTATATGCTTAAGAATTGTTAAGCTGTAAAAAGTTAGGTTTAAATTTTGTATTGCAATATAAACTATCATATTAAAATACAGTGATTTGGGCAGTGAAACTAGCCTTTTGTTGGCTATTTAATTCCATGTATTTTAGAAATTACTGTTATCTCAATTTCTTTTTAATTTAGTGGAAATTTGCAAGAGACTTGCAAGTTTAAAAATATTAGTGAATAGAGTACTTACGGAAAGGTTCACATAAAATCCTACAACTTCAAAAATCCTGTTTTGAGATTTAGCTCAATGTAGCACATTTCACCATCTGAAGAGCAAAGTCTAGATTCTTCTACAGGTTTGCAAAGGAATTAATTCAATGTTTGTTCATATTGCTACTAAGCAATCTGTATTGGGTCCCAGTTACCACAGATTTTGCCTGAATTGTTTGCATTCCATCAGCCTTATAGGATGCAGTTCAGGTATCTTAAGTGATGTCGGAAGTTGTTAATGGCATACAGAAGGCTTTTATTAAGTATTAATTAATGGGCTGAATTCCTATTGAGGCCAGGCCATAGAATAGAATAAGAAATAATAGGAAATAAATTCTGAGGCACAAAAAGGCTAACTGAAAGCCTGGACATCACCACTACACAACATATCCATGTAACAAAACTGAACTTTTACCCCCAGATCTGTTTTCAAAAACACAAAAAATAAAGATGATAGGAAAACATTCTCTAAGGAGCATAGTCATCTCAACTCTAAGGGAGGATGTTAACACCAATTATATGTATGGCATTGGCACTAACAATGCAACCATGCATAAAACATCCTCTATGAATTCCCAACTTTTATTGTCTGGCCCAGAGTTTCTCAAATCATCCTCTTAGTATGATTATTAAAATGCAGATTTCTTAGTGCAAGCTTCAGTTTAAAACGAAATGAAAACGCTTGCTTCAAAAATGTGGTTTCTGCCCATATAGGGCTTACTTTCTGGCTAAGAATGCAGACAATAAGTAGGTAAACCATAATGTGGGACTGAAGGAGAAAAACTAGGTGCATGGTTGTTGCTATGGGACTACTAGGGACAAAGGAACCATTTCACTGTATTTTTTAAAAATTCAATTTGCTACTAGATTTCAAAGGAATTAGCTCTTGAGCCTGGCAAGATGTTTTCTGAGCTGTTTATGTGTTAGTAGGGTGTCAAGTGATTGCAGAAGTAATATCAATTCATTTTTTCTATTGCCAAATTTGTGACTCAACTTCAATAATTCTTGAAGTAAGTTACATGTGACTGGCAGTTCTCTCTGTGAGAGAAATGTCCCAACTGTGTACTTGTGTTTCAGATGGATTCAGGACATGCTACCCTAACATATGACACCCCAGCATATTGAATATTTTAAGCTGAAGGAATTTGAGAAACAGCACATGCAGCAAGTATTTTCTGACCTTCTGTTCTGAAGTAGGTCATGAAAACTCCACTTGAGATGTATCCGCCCCATACCAAAAGAAGAACAGCATCCTTTGGAGTCTCCAAAGACACAGGGACACAGAGAGGAATCTAGAACAGATTTTGCTGCCCCCCGCCCCCAGTTTACTACACTCAACTCATGTCTTTGTGCTATCAGTTCTCTACAATTTTCCATTCTCCTCAAACCAAGCATAAAAGCACTCACGTTCAACAATTCTTTGAGTCCTCATTTCCTTATAAAGTCCGCTGTGACACATAAAACTTATATTAAATCCACTTGTATGCTTTACTCGTTTTAATATGTCTTTTGTTGCAGGGGTCCCAGGAGTGAACCTGGGATAGGTAGAAAGAAAAAAATATTTACTATCTCTTATTTCCTCAAGACAATAGATTTGATGGCTTTTTTACCCAATATAACCCAGACTTGAAGAACAAGAAGATAGACCAAATAATAATTAATCAGGACCAGAAAAACAGTATAACAAAAACCTCAATGCTAGACAGGTGAGCAGTCATTATAATAAGGGAACAGAAGCCCATTGAGAATTGTTCTCTACTTTTAACCCCCCAACTCCACCACTCCAAGGAATCACTGTGAGAAGCACAAGATTCTACAAAATAGAAAGTTCTTAGGTGTCTTTTCTAAAAGGTGGGTGGTTCTGTACCACAGGCATTAAAGTCACAGATAAAATGACCCCACATTTTCCTCTTTGGCTGCTCCCCCAAATGCAAACTTTCCCCCTATTTCGCAGGCAACCTCTGCGTGTATCTACATGATTATTTTGGCATGTTTCACTCTGTATTATGATTTATTTGTTTGCCTTATTCATAACTACATACCCATATGTGCCCTCTGTGGAGTGTATCTCAAAATATTTGTTGAATGATTCAATTAATTGATTAATTTTACCACAACCAAGAAAAATACTAAGAATCATTAAACATAGTTTTAATTTGTGAGTATAGGGGAGTATGCACTTTCATATAGAGACTCAATATGATACTATAGTTGAGCACAAATTGTGGTGATAGGCAAACCCAAAATTAAATCCTGTATTGAGCATGTACAAGTTATGCAACATTGAAAAAGTTACTTAACCACTTTAAGCTTCAGTGTTTCACTCTTTAAAATAGTAAAGTTTTTTTTTTAAGTTTCTGAACTCAAAATTTTTTTTATTTTTTTATTTTATTGTTATTATACTTTAAGTTTTAGGGTACATGTGCACAATGTGCAGGTTAGTTACATATGTATACATGTGCCGTGCTGCTGTGCTGCATCCATTAACTCGTCATTTAGCATTAGGTATATCTCCTAAAGCTATCCCTCCCCACTCCCCCCACCCCACAACAGTCCCCAGAGTGGGATGTTCCCCTTCCTGTGTCCATGTGTTCTCATTGTTCAATTCCCACCTATGAGTGAGAATGTACGGTGTTTGGTTTTTTGTTCTTGCGATAGTTTACTGAGAATGATGATTTCCAATTTCATCCATGTCCCTAAAAAGGACATGAACTCATCATTTTTTATGGCTGCATAGTATTCCATGGTGTATATGTGCCACATTTTCTTAATCCAATCTATCATTGTTGGACATTTGGTTTGGTTCCAAGTCTTTGCTATTGTGAATAGTGCCGCAATAAACATACATGTGCATGTGTCTTTATAGCAGCATGATTTATAGTCCTTTGGGCATATACCCAGTAATGGGATGGCTGGGTCAAATGGTATTTCTAATTCTAGATCCCTGAGGAATCGCCACACTGACTTCCACAATGGTTGAACTAGTTTACAGTCCCACCAACAGTGTAAAAGTGTTCCTATTTCTCCACATCCTCTCCAGCACCTGTTGTTTCCTGACTTTTTAAAGATTGCCATTCTAACTGGTGTGAGATGGTATCTCATTGTGGTTTTGATTTGCATTTCTCTGATGGCCAGTGATGGTGAGCATTTTTTCATGTGTTTTTTGGCTGCATAAATGTCTTCTTTTGAGAAGTGTCTGTTCATATCCTTGGCCACTTTTTGATGGGGTTGTTTGTTTTTTTCTTGTAAATTTGTTTGAGTTCATTGTAGATTCTGGATATTAGCCCTTTGTCAGATGAGTAGGTTGTGAAAATTTTCTTCCATTTTGTAGGTTGCCTGTTCACTCTGAAGGTAGTTTCTTTTGCTGTGCAGAAGCTCTTTAGTTTAATTAGATCCCATTTGTCAATTTTGTCTTTTGTTGCCATTGCTTTTGGTGTTTTAGACATGAAGTCCTTGCCCATGCCTATGTCCTGAATGGTAACGCCTAGGTTTTCTTCTAGGGTTTCTATGGTTTTAGGTCTAACATTTAAGTCTTTAATCCATCTGAATTAATTTTTGTATAAAGTGTAAGGAAGGGATCCAGTTTCAGCTTTCTACATATGGCTAGCCAGTTTTCCTAGCACCTATTTAAATTGACACCCTAACATCACAATTAAAAGAACTAGAAAAGCAAGAGCAAACACATTCAAAAGCTGGCAGAAGGCAAGAAATAACTAAAATCAGAGCAGAACTGAAGGAAATAGAGACACAAAAAACCCTTCAAAAAATTAATGAATCCAGGAGCTGGTTTTTTGAAAGGATCAACAAAATTGATAGACAGCTAGCAAGACTAATAAAGAAGAAAAGAGAGAAGAATCAAATAGATGCAAGAAAAAATGATAAAGGGGATATCACCACCGATCCCACAGAAATACAAACTACCATCAGAGAATACTACAAACACCTCTACGCAAATAAACTAGAAAATCTAGAAGAAATGGATAAATTCCTCAACACATACACCCTCCCAAGACTAAACCAGGAAGAAGTTGAATCTCTGAATAGACCAATAACAGGATCTGAAATTGTGGCAATAATCAATAGCTTACCAACCAAAAAGACTCCAGGACCAGATGGATTCACAGCCGAATTCTACCAGAGGTACAAGGAGGAACTGGTACCATTCCTTCTGAAACTATTCCAATCAATAGAAAAAGAGGGAATCCTCCCTAACTCATTTTATGAGGCCAGCATCATCCTGATACCAAAGCTGGGCAGAGACACAACCAAAAAGGAGAATTTTAGACCAATATCCTTGATGAACATTGATGCAAAAATCCTCAATAAAATACTGGCAAACCGAATCCAGCAGCACATCAAAAACCTTATCCACCATGATCAAGTGGGCTTCATCCCTGGGATGCAAGGCTGGTTCAATATATGCAAATCAATCAATGTAATCCAGCATATAAACAGAACCAAAGACAAAAACCACATGATTATCTCAATAGATGCATAAAAGGCCTTTGACAAAATTCAACAGCCCTTCATGTTAAAAACACTCAATAAATTAGGTATTGATGGGACGTATCTCAAAATAATAAGAGCTATCTATGACAAACCCACAGCCAATATCATACTGAATGCGCAAAAACTGGAAGCATTCCCTTTGAAAACTGGCACAAGACAGGGATGCCCTCTCTCACCGCTCCTATTCAACATAGTGTTGGAAGGTCTGGCCAGGGCAATTAGGCAGGAGAAGGAAATAAAGGGTATTGAATTAGGAAAAGAGGAAGTCAAATTGTCCCTGTTTGCAGATGACATGATTGTATATCTAGAAAACCCCATTGTCTCAGCCCAAAATCTCCTTAAGCTGATAAGCAACTTCAGCAAAGTCTCAGGACACAAAATCAATGTAAAAAAATCACAAGCATTCTTATACACCAATAACAGACAAACAGAGAGCCAAATCATGAGTGCACTCCCATTCACAATTGCTTCAAAGAGAATAAAATACCTAGGAATCCAACTTACAAGGGATGTGAAGGACCTCTTCAAGGAGAACTACAAACCACTGCTCAATGAAATAAAAGAGGATACAAACAAAGGGAAGAACATTCCATGCTCATGGGTAGGAAGAATCAATATCGTGAAAATGGCCATACTGCCCAAGGTAATTTATAGATTCGATGCCATCCCCATCAAGCTACCAATGACTTTCTTCACAGAATTGGAAAAAACTACTTTAAAGTTCATATGGAACCAAAAAAGAGCCCGCATTGCCAAGTCAATCCTAAGCTAAAATAGTAAAGTTAATGATAGCAACCGCTTAGGCATGTTGTGGGCATTACCTGCAATACTGCATGAAAATAACTTATCACACTGCATAACACTCAAAATGAAACTAGTTTTAACAGCAATTTAAAACACAGGTTTAGTTTGCCAGCTAGGGAAAGTGCATTCTTAGAACACTTCTGTAAGATGTATCTATAATTAAAGTGAATTATTTTAAAGTATTTCTCTATGATGTTTCCAAGTTTTTCAAATTATCAGATGCAAGACAAATTGTACTTGCACACTCAGTGCCTAGTAGATATTCAATGATTACCATTTGAGTGAATATATGATTTCCCATTTTGACAAAAAGTGATTGGGTATGGATTATGCTTCGCAGGCATAAATTTAAATGATAAGCTCTGCAAAACATTGTATCAAATACAGTTTGCCATATCCATATTTTTATGACTTGTTGACAGAATAATTTTTTAAAAATGATCAAGGCTTGAAGAGTATGAGAAGCTGACCTATCAACCTGAAATGATAATTGAAGCAAAATATGAATGGCTTTTTAGTCAGTTAAAAGAATGGATGAGGAAATAGACACTTCTCAGTCAAACTTCAAGGATAGTTCAGTTGCCTCTTCTGGGTTTCCCTCTTCCAAGCCCCATTGAACTTTGATTTGTTTCTTTCAATTTTTTTTCAATTCAATCTAAAAATACCCATCTTAAATCATCCTTATACATTTTTCCAATTCCCACTACAAAGTAATGAAATGTTGCTTAGAAATATTTACTATGCTTTTTAAATTTACCACAACAAAATGCATTGAGTGCACTAAAATCATGGGAACAGGCATTGTCAATAGACACTCAACACAGTTTATGACATTCAAATGAAGTTCTTGAAAGAAGTGTTTGTCATGAGAGAGCTCAGTGTTTTTAGTTCTACACTGCTGATTTGTCCCTCACATCCTCTCAATTTTCAGGAATTCATTCATTCAAGCATTCATTTATTTATTTACTAATCAATCTATTTATTCCATATTTCATAAAACAAAGTGCTTTTGACAGAATTCACTATTCTTGCTTGGGATAACATTTGATCCTAGTATGTTCTAGGGATGTTCCTAGATCTCAAAGTCAATATCCACTTTATACAGATGTTTTTCTTTATTTATATGAACCAAAAGGGAGAAGCGTGTGCATTTACATTGTATAAGTATGCATGTATAATAGCTTGGAGGCTACCCTTTTTCTCCATTTATTCTAGAACCACCAAATAGATATACACACCACACTCACACACACACGAAGTTCACTAAAAATAAGTGCTTTTTCATTACTTTTAGCAAAAGTATGAGGAATCCAGAATGCTTGCCTTCCTTTCCCCCTACAATCAAAGCAGCTTGTGGGATGTTATCAATTTTATGCACTTACAAAGAAAACAGTGAAATTCCTTGACAATGCTGCTGGATATGATTGTGAAAAATGTTGCAATAGGAGGAAAAAAGTGTATGAGTATACAAGCCCATGCACTGATACAAGAAGAAAAGATTTTATAGCTTCATCTTGGCCAGAGCAACACATTTTAGCTTGATAACTATCTAGTAATTTTGGAGAAAATATTGTAGGAGAGACTATTAAGAGTGAAAAAAAAGTCTATGACAGCTGTTCCTCTTCTCCACTGAAAATAAAAGGCATTAAATATGAAGTTATTTATCCACTTTAAAAGTGCTTTAAAACAGTGTTCTAGTTGTGCCGTAACATAAACAGAGTTTGCCATCAGAACTTACATTTTGCACTTAAAGATAACAAAAGAAGAATTGAAGCAAATTGTATGTGTCTTCTCAGGTTACAAAGAGTACATATCCTTACAAAATCCAACTGAAAATAGCTAATTTGAATATCATACCAAAGTTTTAGTTTCTGAGACTATATGGTTTTATACATATTTTCTATTATTTCTCATTTACAACTATAAATGCGTTTGAGGTAAGAGTCTAGAAAATTTAGGGATGCAGTTGAAAGATGTTCAGTGTATTTTTACCATATAATATTTACATTTTGCAAATTTGAAAACACTAGATTTTTTTATGCAACATTTTGAAATTTAATTCACATGGACTTAAATACAAAAGAGGTAATGTAGATGTGTTTATGCATCAGTTAATCAAACCAACATTTATCAAGCTCCTCAGAGAACCAAGCTCCTGTGTGAGGTTGGGATGGCCTCCCAGGAATGGTGGGATAGAAATGGCTCCATCTTCACAGAGTTTACCATGTAACTTACATTTCTACTGTGCTTTCACAGTATATAAAGCATTTTTACAAACATGGTGTTGCCTCTGGCTTATTATTTGAGATACATGTTGTTATTCCTAGCAAATGAAATTATTGAAACTTGTAAATTTTAAGATTGAGATGTTCAATAACAATTTCAAATACATACATATGACATTTAACCATGAAAATAACCATTTAGATTTTATTGCACTTGATAGTTTTATCAGTAAGATTCCAATCTGTAGACAGGAACCACACAGTTATTTGAACAGGGAAAGTATATTTAAAATAATTATTAACTATAAATGGAGATTGGAGTAATAGACGATTGGCTACAAAGGGATAAAGAAAACTCTAAGGAATACAGAAATAGCAGATATAAGAAGCAGACACTACCTCTGGGGGGTAGGAGGGGAAAGAGTTCCCAAGAAAGAAATGAATCTGGAAATAGGCCCCTTCCTCCAAGGCTAGGATTCAGGCCTCAGTGGGGAGGGCACTACCATGGCCCACCGGATGGTGGAAACGTTCATAGAGGGGCTGCACTGGAAAACTAACTGAGAATCTCTTCCTTGGTATACCGGGGGAGGAACCATGGAGAGATTCCACATGCTGCTGGCTGCAGTGCACTGCAGAAGGCTGTCAGGAGAGATGGTACACAGAAACCAAGAACTGTTTCTCCTCCAGGATCTCTCTGGAGTCCTCCGCCATCAAGCTAATCATTTTGCTGGCTAGCAAGGGAGAAATATTCTATTATGACAAATATAGCCACAGAGAGTGGCTTTCAAGCTAAGAGGAATAGAATGATAATTGCTACGTTGGCATATCAATAACATTTAGATGTAGTATATCCTTTACTTGTCACAACTACACTACAAGGATACATTTTTTATTCTTATATCATGGATAAAGTCATTTAAAATATTTTATGTAATTTTTTAATGATTTAAGAATAAATTATTTTCTCTTATTGTGAGGCATAAAACTTATAATCTGGTCATTGAAAGCACTGAATTTGGCACCAGGTTGTTTGGGTCCCTTTTCTGACCATGAGACATTGGGCAAAATATGTTGGGAAAAATATTTAACATGCCTGTATCTATATTTCTTCATTAAAATAAAAAAACAATAAAAGGAACTTACTCATATATTACACCATATATTTCTTATGAAGATTATATTGGATGATGCTTTTCAACATGCTTAGGACATAACTGGTACATATATGACACAATGCTCATTTCTAGGTTATTGTTTTATTATCATATATTATTTAGTTACATCTTTCATTAAGAAATCTTAAATATCCAAAGAATAAAAAAGGCTATGTGCATTCAGGGAAGAAAATCAGTCATATACAAAGCAAGAATAGTTAAGCTGCAGTCAGAGTACTTTTCCAACATATGCAATGCTAGAGAACAGTAGAATTACATGTGCAGGCTTGGTAGGAGATTATTAAAATAAGTAATTGCGCAAACAAGCTAAGTATTTCTTATTCATATATATAGGCAAAAAAAATAAGATATTGAAAATGCCTGGCCCTGAAGTTCATCTACTACTAAATGGATACTGTCTGATAAGAAATAACTATGTGTCTCCTCATAAAAAAAAATTTTAATGAGCTTTGTTTTGTTGTTCTCATTATAAATCTAATATGTGATTTTCTACTGGAAAATAGAGAAAAGCTTAAAGAAAAGTTTTAAAGCACTCATAATTCTACCCAGAGAGAAACATGGGTGTTTCCTCCTCATTTTTTATTCTATGGATGTGCATGCACACAAGCATATAGAAATATACATTGTTGAAAACTGGCATTATACTGTTTAACCAGTTTATTAGTCTGCTTTCGTGCTGCTAATAAAGACATACCCGAGACTGGGCAATTTACAAAAGAAACAGTGTAAAACTTACAGTCCCATGTGGTGGGGGAAGCCTCAAAATCATGGCAAAGGGTGAAAGGCACATCTCACACGGCAACAGACAAGAGAAGAGAGCTTGTGCAGGGAAACTCCTCCCCTTTTTAAAACCATCAGATCTCGTGAGACTTATTCACTATCATGAGAACAGCATTGGAAAGACTTGCCCCCATGATTCAATTGCCTCCCACTGGGTCCCTTCCACAACACATGAGAATTCGAGTTGAGATTTGGTTGGGGACACAGACAAACCATATCATTCCATCCCTGGCCCCACTCAAATCTCATGTCCTCACATTTCAAAACCAGTGCCTTCCCAACAGTCCCCCAAAGTCTTAACTATTTCAGCATTAACTCGAAAGTCCACAATCCAAAGTCTCATCTGAGACAAGGCAAGTTCCTTCCGCCTGTGAGCCTGTAAAATCGAAAGCAAGTTAGTTACTTCCTAGATACAATGGGAGTACAGGTATTGGGTAAATAACACCATTCCAAATAAGAGAAATTGGCCAAAACAAAGGGGCTATAGGCCCCAGGCAAGTCCAAAATCCAGCAGGGCAGTCAAGTCTTAAAGCTCCAAAATGATCTCCTTTGACTCCCTGTCTCACCTCCAGGTCATGCTGGAGCAAGAGGTGGGTTCCCTTGGTCTTGGGCAACTCCACATCTGCAGCTTTGCAGGGTACAGCCTCCCTCCAAGCTGCTTTCACAGGCTGGTGTTGAGTGTCTGTGGGTTTTCTAGGCAGACAATGCAAGCTGTCAGTGGATATACCATTCTCGAGTCTGGAAGATAGTGGCCTTCTTCTCACAACTCCACTAGGTGGTGCCCCAGTAGGGGCTCTGTGTGGGTGCTCTGATCCCACATTTCCCTTCTCCACTGCCCTAGCAGAGGTTCCGCATGAGAGCACTGCCCCTGCAGCAAACTTCTGCCTGGACATCCAGTTGTTTCCATACATCCTCTGAAATCTAGGCAAAGGTTCCCAAACCCCAATTCTTGATTTCTGTGCACTGGCAGGCTCAAAACCACATGGAAGCTGCTAAGGCTTGGGACTTGCACCCTCTGAAGCCATGGCCCAGGCTCTATGTTGGCCCCTTCCAGCCACAGCTGGAGTAGCTGGGACATAGGGCACCAAGCCCCTAGGCCACACACAGCAAGGGAACCCTGGCCCAGCCCCAAGAAACCACTTTTTCCTCCTGCACCTCTGGGCCTGTAGAGGGAAGGGCTGCCTTGAAGACCTCTGACATGTCTTGGAGACATTTTCCCCATTGTTTGGGGATTAACATTTAGCTCCTCATTACTTATGCAAATTTCTGCTGCCAGCTTGAATTTCTTCTCAGAAAATGGGGTTTTCTTTTCTATCGCATTGTCAAGATGCAAATTTTCCAAACTCTTATGCTCTGCTTCCCTTATAAAACGGAATGCCTGTAACAGCACCCAAGTCACCTCTTGAATGGTTTGCTGCTTAGAAATTTCTTCCACTAGATAACCTAAATCATCTCTCTCAAGTTCAAAGTTCCACAAATCTCTAGGGCTGGGCAAAATGCTCCAGTCTCTCTGTTAAAAGATAACAAGAATCACCTTTGCTGCAGTTCCCAACAAGTTTCTCATCTACATCTGAGACCCCCTCAGCCTGAATTTCATTCCCTGTATCATTATCAGCATTCGGTCAAAGCCATTCAACAAGTCTCTAGGGAGTCCCAAACTTTCTCACATTTTCCTGTCTTCTTCTGAACCCTCCAAACTGTTCCAACATCTGCCTGTTACCCAGTTCCAAAGTTGTTTCCACACTTTCAGGTATCTACAGCAGCACCCCACTCTACTGGTACCAATTTGCTGTATTAGTCTGTTCTCACGTTGCTGATAAAGACATTCCTGAGACTGGGCAATTTACATAAGAAAGAAGTTTAATGGACTGACAGTTCCACATGGCTGGGGAAGCCTCACAATCATGGCAGAAGGTAGAAGACACATATCACACTGTGAGGGGCAAGAGAAGAGAGCTTGTGCAGGGAAACTCCCCTTTTTGAAACCATCAGATCTCGTGAGACTTATTCACTATCACGAGAACAGCATGGGAAAGGCCTGCCCACATGATTCAATTATCTCCCACTGGGTCCCTCCCACAACATATAAGATTTTAAGATGAGATTTGGGTGGGGACACAGCCAAACCATATCAACCAGTTTAATATTCTGCTTTTCGAATGTATTGATATTTTCGTATATTTTTATTGAGGTATAATTTACACAGAATAAAATACACAGCTCTTAAGTATACATTCCCATCTTTGTTGACATCCAACCATGTTCATCACCACAGAGTGCTCCCTTGTTGCCATCCCAGTCAGTCACTCCCAGCCCAGAAGTCCAGAAGTAACCACAATCTGATTGTAACCATATATCTTAGTTTTGCTTATTCTAGAACTTTCTAAAATTCAATCATACAATCTGTACTCTTTTGCTTTCTTCTCCTTGTACTCAGCATATTTTTGCAATTCATCCATGTTGATAAATGTTGTTTATATCAGAAGGTTTTTCTCCCCTTTCTTATTGATGATTAGTATTCCATTATGTGAACAATTGCAATTGATACATTCATTATCTTCTTTATGGACAGCTAGGCTATTTCTAGTTTCAGGCTATTAAGACTACAATTGCTGTAAACCATCTTGCACAGGCTAATTGTGGACATATAGTTTCACTTTAGTGGATTAATACCTGGGAGTGGACATATGTTAAGTCATTAATTAAATTTTTAAGAAACCATCAAACTGTTTTCCATAGTGTTTTGACCATTTTACACTCTAATCAGCAATGTGTGAGAATTTCAGTTTTTCTGTGTCTTCCCCACAATTTGTGACCATCCTTGTTTTAATTTCAGCCATTCAAGTGGATATGAGTTGTATTCCCTTGTAGTTTTAATTAGCATTTTCCTGATGACTGATGATATTGAACATTTTTCATGTGTTTTTGGGCATATTTATCTCTCTTAAGAAGTGTCTATTCAACTACTTGCCCATTTTTTAATTGGATGCTTGTCTTTTTATTATCTTGTTGTAGGTGTTCTTTACATATCAAAGGCATAAAAATCCTTTGTCAGTTTATGCGCTGCAAATATTTCTTTCTAGTCTAAGATTTGCCCATTTATTTTTATTAGTCTTGTTTAATGAGCAGAAGTTGTTAATTTTTATCAAATCTAATTTATCATGTTGTCTTTTATGGTTAAGACTTTCTATGATCTCTGAACCTCTTTCTACTCTAGAATTGCAAAGATATTTCTGTGCTTTCCTCTTGAAGTGTTATAGTTTTAGGTTTTACATGTAAATCTATGATCTATGTTGAATTCATTTGTATTTATAGTGTAATGTAAAAGTCAAGGTTCTTTTATTTCCGTGTGGATGACCACTTGTTCCAGTACCATTTTTTGAAAGGACTTTTTCTTAAAGAATTGCTTTGGTGCTGTTGTCAAAATAATTTCAACATAATACATTGTATTCTGTTTTATTGACCTATGTTTTATTCTTTCACCAGTATCACATTGTCTTGGTTACTATAGCTTTATAGTAAACATTAAAGCCATTTAGGGTATGTCTTCCAAGTGTGATCTCCTTTTCCAAAGTCCTCTTGGCTACAGTGCCAAAAGAATATATTGTTTTCCATATTCCTTTAGAATTAACTTGTGAATTGGCCGGGCGCAGCGGCTCACGCCTGTAATCCCGGCACTTTGGGAGGCCGAGGCAGGTGGATCACAAGGTCAGGAGGTCGAGACCATCCTGGCTAACACGGTGAAACCCCGTCTGTACTAAAAATACAAAAAAAAAAAATTAGCCGGGCGTGTTAGCCGGCGCCTGTAGTCCCAGCTACTCGGGAGGCTGAGGCAGGAGAATGGCGTGAACCCGGGAGGCGGAGCTTGCAGTCAGCCAAGATAGCGCCACTGCAGTCCAGCCTGGGCGAAAGAGCGAGACTCCGTCTCAAAAAAAAAAAAAAAAAAAAAAAAAGAATTAACTTGTGAGTTTTTTAGGAAAACAAGAAATCTTACCAGAGTTGTTATTGTAATATTATGATCAATTTGAGGAGAATTGACATCATAGCAACATTAAGTCCTCCAATATTTTAACATGGTGTATCTTCTCTTTTACTGGCAATAACTCAAATTTACTCCATGAATATTTCATAGTTTTCAGTGTAGAGTTCATGCACACATTTTATTATATTCACCTCCAGTATATTATCCTTTTAGATTTTTAATGGACATTATTTTTAATCAATTTTAGGTTCACAGAAAAATTAAACAGAAGGTATGGAGATTTGCCATACACCACTTACCCCTCCCATTCATAGCTTCCGTTATCAATATTTCCCACCATAGTGGTACATTTGTTACCTATGTCCGTAGATACTGTTTGTAAACCCTAATAGAGTTAGAGTGTTGAACATTTTATGTGTTTGGACAAACATAAAACAATATCCACAATTAGGGCAATACTGCCCTAAAAATTCTTTATATCCTGCCTGTTTATCCTTCCTTCCTCCCCTCCTCCCAATAACCCCTGTCAACTACTGATGTTTTTATTGTCTCCGTAGCTTTGCCTTTTCTAGAATGTCATATAGTTGGAATCGTACAAAAGGTAGCCTTTTCAGACTAGCTTCTTTCATTTAGTAATATGCATTTAGGTTTCCCCCATGTATTTTCATGCATTGATAGCTCATTTTCTTCTACATTGAATAATATTTCATTGTCTGGATATGCCACCGCTTTTTGTCCATTCACCTACTGAAGAACATTTTGGTTGCTTTCAAGTTTTGGCAATCATATGTAAACCTGCTATGAACATCTATATGTAGGTATTTATGTAGACATTAGTTTTTAACTCTTTTGGGTAAATACCAGGATCATGATTGCTCAATCATATGATAAAAGTGTGTTTAGTTTTATAAGAAATCACTAAGCAGCCTTCCAAAGTGGCTGTACAATTTTGCATTTCCACCAGCAATGAATGACAGTTCCTGTTGATCCACATCTCCACCAGAATTTGATGTTGTCTGTTGCTGGAGGTGGACGATTCTACTGGGTGTATAGTGTTCTCTCATTGTTGTTTTAACTTGAAGTTCTTTGACGATGATGTGGAGCCTCTTTTTAAGTGCTTATTTGCTATCTGCATGTCCTTTTTGGTGAGGTGTCTGTTAAAATGTTTGGCCTGTTGTTTAATTGGGTTGTTTTCTTATTGTTGAGTTGTAGGCATTCTTTGTATATTTTGGATAACAGTCCCTTATCAGATAAGTCTTTTGCAAATTATTTTCTCCCAGGCCATGGCTTGCCTTTTTATTCTCTTGATGCTGTCTTTCATGGAGCAGAAATTTCTAATTTTAATGAATTCCAGCTTATTTGTTCTCTCATGGATTATGTTATTGATGTTGTATCTAAAAAGTCGTCACCAAACCCTAGGTCATCTAGATTTTGTATTATCTTACCTTCTAGGAGTTTTGTAGTTTTGCACTTTACATTTAGGTCCGTGATCCATTAGAATTTTTTTATAAAACATGTTAGGTTTATGTCTAGCTTAATTTTTGTATATGGATGTCCACTTGTTCCAATACCATTTGTTGAAAAGTCACTCTCCATTGTATTGCCTATGCTTGTTTGTCTAAAATCAGTTGGCTACAAATTTTGATAAGTTGTATTTCTATTTTCATTTAGCTCAAAATATTTTAAATATCTTGAGGTTTTTTTTCTTTGATGCATGTCACACTTTCTTGCAGTATGTTGTTTAATATCCATATTTTTGGGAATTTTCTCATTTCATTCTGTTATTAATTTCTAACTTAATTCCATTGTAGTCTAAGGATAGACATTGCATAATTTCTATTCTTTTAAATTTAGAAATGTGTATTTTATGGCCTAGAATATGGTCTGTCTTACTGAGTGTTCCATGTGAACCTGAAAAGAATGTGTATTGTGCTATTTTTGCATAAAGTAGTCTATAGATATCTATTATATACAGTTGATTGATGGTTGTGTTCATCTGTTTTTGCGTTGCTATGAAGAAGTTCCTGACCCTGGATAATTTATAAAGAAAAGTGGTTATTTGGGCTTGCACCTGCTTCTGGTGAGGGCTCAGGGCACTTACAATCATGGCAGAAGGCAAAGAGGGATCCGGCAAGTCACGTGGCAAGAGAGAGCAAAGCAGGGATGTGTGGCACTCTTTTAAACAATCAGATCTCATGTGAACTCACAGCAAGAACTCACTCATCACCAAGGGCATGTCACTAAGCCATTCATGAGGGATCTGCCCCGATGATCCAAACACCTTCCACGAGGCCTCAACACCAACACTGGGGATTACATCTCAACATGAGATTTGGGAGGGACAAACATCCAAATTATATCAATGGTGTTGTTGGATTCAACTATGTTCTTACTGATTTTCTGCCTGCTGGATCTGTCCATTTGTTACAGGATTGTTGAAGTTTCCAACCATAAAAATACATGTATCTATTTCTCCTTGCACTTTTATCAGTTTGTGCCTCTCATAGTTTGATGCTCTATTTTTAAGTATATACACATTAAATATTGTTGTGTTGAACAACTGCATCCTTTGTCAATATGCAATACCCCTTTTACCCCTTATAAATTACCTTGCTGTCAAGTTTGCTCCATTTGAAAATAATATAGCTATTCCTGCTTTCTTTTAATTAATGTTAACATGGTATACCTTTCTTTATCCATTTACTTTTATTCTATATATCTCTTTGTATTTAAAGTGGGTTTCTTGTAGATAACATATAGTCAGGTCTTATTTTTTGATCTACTCTGACGATCTCTGTATTTAATTGGTATATTTAGACCACTGACATTCAAAGTGATTACTAATATAGTTAGATTAATATTTTTCATATTTGTTACTTTTTATATCAGTTGCTCCTGTTGTTTTTGTCTTCCACCATTCTTTTTATGCTTTTTGTGATATTAATTGAGCATTTAGTGTGATTTTATTTTCTCTCCAGTCTTAGCATATTGTACTTTTTTAAAACTTTTTTTAGTAGTTGTTCTCAAATTTGCAATATATACTTACAACTAATCCAAGTCCACTTTCTAACAGCTCTGTACCACTTCATGGGTAGTATGGGTAGTGCAAGTACCTTATAATACATAATAATCCTAATTCCTCCCTCCTATCCCTTGTATCATTGCTGTCATTCATTTCACTTACATATAAACATACATAAACATATAGCACATACATAAGCATATATAATCAAATACATTATTGCTATTATTATTTTGAATAATTATGTTAGATCAATTAAGAATAAGAAAAATAAAGATTTTTATTTAGTCTTCATTCATTCCTTCTTTGATGCTTATTCTTTCTTATGTAGATCCACCTTTCTGACCTATATCATTTTTCTTCTTTCTAAATGACTTACTTTAATATTTCTTCCAACACAATTCTACTGGCAACAAATTTCCTCATTTTTTTAAAATCAGAGAAAGTATTTCCTCCTGACTTTTGAAGGACAGGATACATAATTCTAGTTGGTGGTATTTTCCTCTCAACACTTGTATATTTCACTTCACTCTCTTCTTGCTTGCAGGGTTTCTGATGACAAGTCAAATATAATTCTTATCTATGCTATTCATTAGGTGAGCTTGTCTGTTTCTGTTTTTAATTGCAGCTTCTTTCAGGATTTTTTCTTTAATCTTGATTTTCTGTAGTTTAAAAATAATATGACTACGTGTAGACTTTCTGACATTTATCTTGTTCAGTGTTCTCTGCGCTTTCTGGGTTTGTGGTTTGGTGTCTAACATTACTTTGCGGGAAACTCTCAGTCATTATTATTTCAAATATTTTTTCTGTTTCTTTCTCTCTATCTTCTCCTTCTGAGAGTCCCATTACATTTTTTTTTGTAAGTTGTCTCATGGTTCTGGGATATTCTGTCCTGGTTTTTTGTTTGATTTTGTTTTGTTTTGTTTGTTTTTTAATTTGGGGCATGTCTATTGAGATATTCTCAACTGAGAGGTACTTTCCTCAGCTGTATTCAGTCTATTAATAAGTCCATCAAAAACATTCTTCAATTCTGTTATAGTGTTTTGCATCTCTAGCATTCCTTTTTGGTTTTTTCTTATTTTTTGTTTGTTTGTTTTTGTTTTTGTTTTTTGAGACGGAGTCTCGCTCTGTCGCCCAGGCTGGAGGGCAGTGGCATGATCTCTGCTCACTGCAAGCTCCGCCTCCCGGGTTCACACCATTCTCCTGCCTCAGCCTCCCAAGTAGCTGGGACTATAGGTGCCCACCACCACGCCCGGCTAATTTTTTGTATTTTTAGTAGAGATGGGGTTTCACCCTGTTAGCCAGGATGATCTCGATCTCCTGACCTCGTGATCCGCCTGCCTCAGCCTCCCAAAGTGCATTACCTATCTGATCTTGCATGCGCTCTTCTTTATCCATTAGGGCCCTTAGCATATTAATCATAGTTATTTTAAATTTCTAGTCTGATAATTCCAACGTCCCTGCCATATCTGAGTCTGACTTTGAGTTTGTCTCTTCAGATTATATTGTTTGCGTTTTATTCATAGTCAGACATGATATACTAGGTAAAAGGAATGCTGTAAATGAACCTTTAGTAGTATAGTGGTAAGGTGTTGGGGGAGAGGAAGGCTTTTATAGTCCTATGATTAGGCTCTGGTTAAATAGTTTCTCCTTGACGGCAAACTCTGTTCAGAACATAATTCTCTAGTTTATTTCAAAATGATTCTTTTTCCCCTCTCTGACACCAAAAACGTGAGGTGACTTTTTAATTTATTTGTTGTGAAGACCAGGTAGTGCTCCTGAAGGCAAAACTTACAAAAATGTAGGGGCTCTCCTATGACTGCGTGGCCCTGGGATTTTTAAGTCTCAGAGTAGTCCACACTGGACCTCCAATAACTCCTCAAGTACAGTTCACTTTTGCCTTCTCCAGCACTGGTTCTTGTAGAGGTTACTGTTTAGAGTTTCTGCACTGGTAAGTTTTGGTTCTGTGTATTTATCTATTAGTATCTCCAATCTTGACAGCAGTTTGCCCTGTGACCTCACTTTTCTGATAGATCTAAGAAGAGTTGATTTTTCAGTTAGTTCAGCTTTTGACTTCTCAAGACTGAGTGAGGGGTAACCTCCAAGCTTATTACATACTGGACCAGAAACTGGAAGTCTCCTTTTAAATGCTTTTAAGTGGTAAAGTTTCTTTAATTTTATTTTCTGATTGTTTGCAGCTAGTATTTAGAAACAGTATTTATTTGGGTATATTGTATACCTTGTGAGCTTGCCATATCTACTGGGTGTATAGCTATGTTTGTGGTTTTATTAGTTATAGTAATTTTTGGACATTGTTGAATATATGGTTATGATGGAATAATGAGAGCTGTACTTCTTCCTTGCTGATCATTTTGTCTTATATTTATTTTTCTTGCCCTATTATACTTGTAAGGCACTCTAATATGATACTAAGTGGAAGAGGTGAGAGTAGACATCATCATCTCATTCTTAATATAGAAAAAGCATTCATTTTATTGTGTGACATTAGCTGTAAGGAATTTTGTACCTGCTCTTTGTTGAGTTTCATATTAGTCTTTGTTGAGAGTTTTAATCATAAGTGAGTATTGAATGCTGCCAAGTACGTTTCTTCAGTTATTGCAATGATAAAGAACTTTTAAAAATTTTTTTAAATGATCTCTTTATTATATTGCTATATTTAAGTTTCTAATATGTTGAGATTTTTGAGTTTATGCTCAGGAGAAATATTGGTCTTTAACTTCTCTTTCTTTTAATTCCCTTGCCTGATGTTAGTATCAGGGTTAGGTAGGCTTCAAAAAAACATGTCAGGAAGTGTTTCTTCCCTCTATTTTTCTGAAAAAAATTTTAGGAAATATTGGTATTATTTCTTTATTACATCTTTGATAGAATTTACCAATGAAGTCATATACACTTGGATATTTTTCAGTGGGGAGATAATTTAAATTAAAATTACAATTCATTTACTGAATATAGAGCTATTTGTATATTTTATTTCTTGTGTTGCTTGTGATTAGTGGTATCTTTTCAAAGAATTGATTCACATCATCTGAGTTGTCTATTTACTGACAAAAAATTGATTATCAATGCTCTCTTATTTTTCCTTTTAAAATCTGCAATATCTGTAGTGACGTTCAATATTTCAGTCCTACTACTGATAATTTCTATTTTCTCCTCTATTTTAAGCAATCTTGCTAGACGTTAGCAATTTTATTAATTAATAAAGCAACTAGTTTTGCTTTATCTTTATGGTACATTTCTATTATATGGATTTCTAATCTTATTTTTCCTATTTCCATTCTTCAACTTGCTTTCACTTTATTTTACTCTTCTTTTTTCAGCTGCTAAGGTAAAACTTCTCTTTTTGCCTTTCTTCTTTTTTTTTTTTTTTTTTTTTTTGAGACAGAGTCTTTCTCTGTTGCCCAGGCTGGAGTGCAGTGGCCCAATCTCAGCTCACTGCACCCTCCGCCTCCAGGGTTCAAGTGATTCTCCTGCCTCAGCCTCCTGGGTAGCTGGGATTACAAGTGCACACCACCATACCCAGCTAATTTTTGTATTTTTAGTAGAGAAGGAGTTTTGCCATGTTGGCCAGGCTGGTCTCGAACTCCTGACCTCAGGTGATCTGTCCACCTCAGCCTCCCAAAGTGCTGGGATTACAGGTGTGAGCCACTGCACCCGCCCTCTTTATTTTAATAGATGCATTTAGCGCTAAAAATGTCTGGCTAGTTACTGCTACAACTGCATTCTACAATTTAAACATGTTTTTAGCATTATCATTCACTTAAAATTTTATTTTAATTGTTTTTCTGATTTATTCTTCTACTCATGGGGTACTTTGAAATGGGTTGTTTTATTTAGAAATATTTAGAACACTTTTAGGTATCTTATTGTTACTGATTTCTAATTTAATGTAATTGTGCTCAAGGAACATACTATGTAGGAATTACTAGTTTGCTATATATATAGATGGTTTTTTAATAATAATTATTTTATGTTCACTTGAGAAGAATATGCATTCTGTTATTAGGCTGGTGTTTTATACATGTCAACTAAGTCAAACAGATGATAATGTTTTCAAGTTTTCTACATATTCACCGATATTAGTCTGCTTATTCTGTCAAGTATGGAAAGAGATGTTAAAGCTCCCAACTATGATTGTGAATTTATTTCTTCCTTAGTTCTGAGTTTTTTAATTCAAGTGTTTAAGTTTTGTTATTAGGTATATATGGATTTAAGAATCCTATGTCTTCTTCATAAATTGGTCCTTTTTAATCACTGTGGCATGCACCATTTTATATCCTACACACTCTTAACCTCAAAGTCTACTTTTTCTGACATCAATATAGCCACATTAGTTTTCCCATTCTTAGTGTCTTCATGACACATGTTTTAAATGTACTTTTTATTTTTAATTGTTGTGGGCATAAAATAGGTGTATATATTTACGGGGTACATGAAATATTTTGGTACAGGCATGCGATGCGTAGTAATCACATCATGGAAAATTATGTATGATCAGGGGAACCCGCCCCCGATAATTCAATGTGAGTCCTTTTCTATTTTCCCTAAGTGTTGGCCGGTCTGAGAAATAAAGGGAAAGATTACAAATGAGAGAAATTTTAAAGCTGGGTGTCCAGGGGAGACATCACATGTCGGCAGGTTCCGTGATGCTCCCCAAGCCGCAAAACCAACAAGTTTTTATTAGTGATTTTCAAAAGGGGAGGGAGCGTACAAATAGGGTGTGGGTCACAGAGATCACATGCTTCACAAGGTAATAAAATATCACAAGACAAATGGAGGCAGGGCAAGATCACAGGACCGGGGCAAAATTAAAATTGCTAATGAAGTTTCGGGCACGCATTGTCATTGATAACCTCTTATCAGGAGACAGGGTTTGAGAGCAGACAAGCAGTCTGACCAAAATTTATTAGGCAGGAATTTCCTCATCCTAATAAGCCTGGGAGCACTATGGGAGACTGGGGCTTATTTCATCCCTTATCCACAACTATAAAAGACAGACGTCCCCAGAACGGCCATTTTAGAGGCCTACCCCTAGGAACACATTCTCTTTCTCAGGGCTGTTCCTTGCTGAGAAAAAGAATTCAGTGATATTTCTCCTATTTGCTTTTGAAAGAAGAGATGGCTCTGTTCCACCCAGCTCTCAGGCAGCCAGACCTAATGGTCATTTCCCTTATTCTCTGAACATCACTGTTATCCTGTTCTTTTTTGAAGGTGCCCAGATTTCATATTGTTTAAACAATTTGTGCAGTTAATGCAATCATCACAGGGTCCTGAGGTGACATTCATCCTCAGCTTACGAAGATGATGGGATTAAGAGATTAAAGTAAAGACAGGCATAGGAAATCACAAGAGTATTGATTGGGGAAGTGATAAATGTCCATGAAATCTTCACAATTTATGTTCAGAGATTGCAGTAAAGACAGGCGTAAGAAATTATAAAAGTATTAATTTGGGGAACTAATAAATGTCCATGAAATCTTCACAATTTATGTTCTTCTGACATGGCTTCAGCCGGTCCCTCCATCCGGGGTCCCTGACTTCCTTCAACAGTGTATCCATTCCCTCAAGCATTTATCCTTTGTGTTAAAAACAACCCAATTATGCTATTTTATTTTTAAATGTACAATTAAATTATTATTGACTATAGTCCCCCTGTTGTGCTGTCAAATAGTTCCTATTAATTCTTTCTAACTTTTTTTGGACCCATTAACCATCTTCACTTCCCTCCCTGACAACACCACACTATGCTTCTCAGCCTCTGATAACCATCCTTTTACCGTCTATGTCCATGACTTCAATGCTTTGGTTTTTAGATCCCACAAACAAGTGAGAACATGCGGAGTTTGTCTTTCTGTACCTGGCTTATTTCACTTCACATAGTGACCTCCATTTTCATCCATGTTGTTGTAAATGACAGAATCTCATTAATTTTCATGGCTGAATACTACTCCATTGTGTATAAGCACCACATTTTCTTTATCCATTTATCTGTTGATGGACATTTAGGTTGCTTCCAAATCTTGGCTATTGTGAAGAAGGCTGCAATAAACATGAGAGTGCAGATATCTCTTCAATACATTGATTTCCCTTTTTTGAGGAAATATACCCAGCAGTGGGATTGTTGGATAGTATGGTAGCTCTATTTTTAGGTTTTTGAGGAACCCCAAACTGTTCTCCATAGTAAATATACTAATTTACATATTTACTTACAGTGTACTAGGGTTCTCTTTTCTCCACAACCTCACCAGCCTTTATTAATGCCTGGCTTTTGGATTGGGTGACATGATATCTCATTACAGTTCTGATTTGCATTTCTCTGATGATCAGTGATGGTGAGCACTTTTTCATATGCCTGTTTGCCATTTGATATGGTTTGGCTGTGTCAACCATATGTTGAACTGGCCTTGCATCCCAGGGATGAAGCCAACTTGATCATGGTGGATAAGCTTTTTGATGTGCTGCTGGATTCGGTTTGCCAGTATTTTATTGAGGATTTTCGTGTCGATGTTCATCAGGGATATGGGCCTGAAATTTTCTTTTTTTGTTGTTTCTCTGCCAGGTTTCAGTATCAAGATGATTCTGGCCTCATAAAATGAGTTAGGGAGGAGTCCCTCTTTTTCTATTGTTTGGAATAGTTTCAGAAGGAATGGTACCAACTCCTGTTTGTACTTCTGGTAGAATTCGGCTGTGAATCTGTCTGGTCCTGGGCTTGTTTTGGTTGGTAGGCTATTAATTACTGCCTCAATTTCAGAGCCTGTTATTGGTCTATTCAGGGATTCAACTTCTTCCTGGTTTAGTCTTGGGAGGGTGTATATGTCCAGCAATTTATCCATTTCATCTAGATTTTTTATTTGATTTGCTGAGAGATGTTTATAATATTCTCTGATGGTAGCTTGTATTGCTGTGGGATCAGTGGTGAGCTCCCCTTTATTGTTTTTTATTGTGTCTATTTGATTCTTCTCTCTTTTCTTCTTTATTAGTCTGGCTAGCAATCTATCTATTTTGTTAATCTTTTCAAAAAACAAGCTGCTGGATTCATTGATTTTTGAAGGGCTTTTCGTGTCTCTATCTCCTTCAGTTCTGCTCTGATCTTAGTTATTTCTTGTCTTCTGCTAGCTTTTGAATTTGTTTGCTCTTGCTTCTCTAGTTCTTTTAATTGTGATGTTAGGGTGTCAATTTTTAGTGCTATAAACTTCCCTCTAAACACTGTTTTATCTGTGTCACAGAGATTCTGGTATATTGAGTCTTTGTTCTCACTAGTTTCAAAGAGCTTATTTATTTCTGCCTTAATTTTATTATATACCCAGTAGTCATTCAGGAGCAAGTTGTTTAGTTTCCATGTAGTTATGTGGTTTTAAGTGAGTTTTTTAATCTTGAGTTCTAATTTAATTGCACTGTGGTCTGAGAGACTGTTTGTTATGATTTCCATTCTTTTGTATTTGCTGAGGAGTGTTTTACTTCCCATTATGTGGTCAATTTTAGAATAAGGATGATGTGGTGCTGAGAATGTATACACTGTTGATTTGGGGTGGAGAGTTCTGTAGATGTCTATTAGGTCTGCTTTGTCCAGAGCTGAGTTCAAGTCCTGAATATCCTTGTTAACTTTCTGTCTCGTTGATCTGTCTACTATTGACAGTGGGGTGCTAAATTCTCCCACTATTATTGTGTGGGAGAACTTACTTTAGAACTTACTTTATGAATCTGGGTGCTCCTGTATTGGGTGCATGTATATTTAGGATAGTTGGCTCTTCTTGTTGAATTGATCCCTTTACCATTATGTAGTGGATGTCCTTTTTGTTGATGTTAATGCTATTCCTTTCTGTTTGTTAGTTTTCCTTCTAACAGTCAGGCCCCTCTGCTGCAGGTGTGCTGGAGTTTGCTGGAGGTCCACTCCAGTCCCTGTTTGCCTAGGTATCACCAGTGGAGGCTGCAGAACAGCAGAGATTGCTGCCTGTTCCTTCCTCTGGAAGCTTCATCCCAGAGGGGCACCTGCCAGATGCCAGCTGGAGCTATCCTGTATGAGGTGTCTGTTGACCCCTGCTGGGAGGTGTCTCCCAGGCAGGAGGCAGGCGGTTCAGGGAACCACTTGAGGAGGCAGTCATGTCCCTTAACAGAGCTTGAACGCTGTCCTTGGAGATGCACTACTCTCTTCAGAGCCAGCAGTCAGGAATGTTTAAGTCTGCTGAAGCTGCTCCCACAGCTGCCCCTTCCCCCAGGTGCTCTGTCCCAGGGAGTTGGGGATTTTATCTATAAGCCCCTGACTGGGGCTGCTGCCTTTCTTTCAGAGATGCCCTGCCCCAAGAGGAGGAATCTAGAGAGGCAGTCTGGCTACAGCAGCTTTGCCTAGCTGTGGTACCCAGCGGCTTTGTTTACCCTGTGAGGGAAAAACCACCTACTCAAGCCTCAGTAATGGTGGACGTCCCTTCCCTTACCAAGTTTGAGCATCCCAGGTCGACTTCAGAGTGCTGTGCTGGCAGCGAGAATTTCAAGCCAATGGATCTTAGTTTGCTGGGTTCCATGGGGGTGGGATCTGCTGAGCTAGACCACTTGGCTCCCTGGCTTCAGCCCCCTTTCCAGGGGAGTGAACGGTTCTGTCTCGTTGGCATTCCAGGTGCCAACTGGAGTATGAAAATAAAACTCCTGCAGCTAGCTCAGTGTCTGCCCAAACAGCTGCCCAGTTTCGTGCTTGAAACGAAGGGCCTTCTCTTGGCCAGGGGAGGGAGTTCTTGACCCCTTACACTTCCCACGTGAGGCAATGCCCCACCCTTCTGCTCGCCCTCCGTGGGCTGCACCCACTGTCTTACCAGTCCCAATGAGATGAGATGAGTAACCCAGTTGGAAATGCAGATATCACCCGCCTTCTGCATTGATCTCGCTGGAGCTGCAGACCGGAGCTGTTCCCATTCAACCATCTTGCCAGTCCCCTCTCTATTCTAAAGTTTCTATTGAATAATTTTAACATCTAAGCCATCTTTGCCTCCAGCTCTATTGACTGTGTTTTCTTTTATGGTAGGTCACGTGTTCTTGCTTCCTTTGGGGCTTCATGATTTTTTAATTGAGTACTGGACATCTTGTGTAAAGAACAGAACAAGCTGAAATAAATATTATGCCCTCTCAGTAAAGGGCATATTTATTTTGTAAGGTTGTTAGTGTGGGGTAAGTCAATTTAGTCTACAGATTAGCTATGTATCAGTTCTATGATTGTCTTTGTTATATTTAGTTCACCAGAGGATTTACATTAGTGAGTGGAATTGGAATCATTGTTTAGCAAGTCCTGGTAGTTGAGTTTCTGAATGGTTTGTCTTAGCTCCCCTGCACTCCTTTCAGACTTCCAGAGAACCCAGTCACCTGTGTTGGGGAGGGATGTGTCTGTCTGCTCCTCTGTCCCTAATTCATTTGTACATGGTCACTGTCTTGCACTCAGATTAAGGGACCAAGCTGATTGTGAGGTTTCTCTCTTCAATCCTTCCACCAGTAGATCTCATTGCAGCTGAGTGAACTTCTATGGGAGACAGTTGGTGGGCAGGCGTAGATCTTCTTTGTGCCTTGGACTTAAAAGGATTTTTAAATGTCACACTAGCCCAAATCTACTTTTAAGAATAATTAATAGCTCAGCTGTTTTTGTTTTATCTACATCTATGGTAGCTTCCTCCTCCCAGTGATGTGCTAAAGATGAAAACAATAATTGTCTCTAATCTCATAGATAGAGCTTATCATTTCTTTTTCATTTCAGTTCATTAGGTTTCTCCTATAACCTTGGTTTTCAGATGGACTTAAAACAATACTGTAATTCTATATTTATATGTATGAATGTAGAGTATTCAGCTCATTGTTATTTTAAGAATGTTTTCTGTTGCAATTTCCTGCATCCTAAGGGAAATCTGAAGTTGCATTGACATCTAATGTGAACACTTTTCCATGTTATTAAGTATTCTTCAAAAACATTTTATAAAAAAAGTCTGCTTATAATCATTCTATAATGTATATTAATTTGCTTAACAAATTCTCAATTTGTAGGCATTTAGATTGTCTAGGTTTTTGCCCTTATGAGAAAGATAAGTTTATATTTTTAAAGTCAGTTAAATATTCATGTGTTGCTTTGCCTCACTCCAAATTAATATATTCATATAAATTTAAATAATGAAACACTACACTTATCTATCAGATATGCAAATATCCAACTGTTTGACAGTACTCTCGTATACCAGTGGTAGAAGATTAAATTGGCAATAACTGTAATTTAGCCCTTTAGAGGGCATTTGTCAATATCTCTCATATGTATTAGAGGCATGTAGCCCTTAATATGTCAAGCACACACAGGTTTGAGATTATTGATTGCATCGTTTTTTCTAATAGAAGAATTCTGGAAGCAACCTAAACAACCACAAATAGGAGACTAACTAAATGGAATATGGTATGTCCATACAATGACCGTTAAGATTTATAAGATTTTCTTATGCTAACAGAAATTGATTTGCAACATTATTCAGTAAAAACAAAAAAAAAAAAAGCAAATGTGGAGCACTGGGTATATAATTCTCCCATTTGTAGAAAGGTGAAAAGTATTGTTTCATATATATACATGTTATTTGTACATGTGTTTTATTCAAATATGAACACATATATGTGCCTGTATACAGAGAACATTTCAGGATACATGAAAAACTTAACAGCAATCAGTTACCTATATTAAAAAGGATTGAGTGCTTTTTTAGAGAAGATGTTTTATGCATAATTTCTTGTGCTGTATGAAATGTTGACTCAACATATAACTATGAAAAACACATTTCTGTTTCTTATACTTACTAACTGCATTTAAACTGAGGTATTTAATTAGCTTGGAATATATTTTGAAATGAAGTATAATGTGAGCTTTTAAAATAATTTATTTCTAGTTACTTAGTTGGGTTTCCAAAGGCTGTTTGACAAATTTCTTCCATTTTGTTACCTTTACTAAACACTATTGTTTGATTCGGGATGGTTATTTTTATTCCACTAAAAAATAATGCTCATTTTTCTGCTAATTTCACAGCATTTAATTAATACAGCTTTGTAAATAGTAATTTTTGTGTAGGCTAGTGAGCCATATTTGTTCATAAGTTTTTTACTTCACTTTTTTTTTTCTTTTTGTATTTATTCTCCTGATGAAATTTAAAATTTGATGACCACCTTAAGGTGTTTTTCTGGACCACTCAAATTAAACTTTTTGCTTTTTTTCCTCACACTACTGATTTCTTCTCCTTCATAAACTTATCCCGTTTTATACATATCTATTCGTGTGTTACTAAGGCCCATGGATGTTTTGTTCATCTGTAAACATCATATCTAGCATAGCACTTCACACAGAGTTGTTCAATAAACATTTGAAAACTTTCTCAGTGAAAGAATGTATGACTGAATGACTGAATAAATCATCAATCTCCAAAATATTCAACTAAATTTTATTTCTCCTGCTTTTCTCCACTCTCGATAGTAAATGACACAGGATATATTTTAATCTAAGACTAGATCCTTGAATCATTACATTATTAACATAATATAATAATGTTATATATACTAAAGCTGTGTTCTTTTTATGTATATTTTTCAAGGAATATTTTAATTTTACATCCAATTTTATAACTGCAATTACAATATTTGTTTGGTTTTAATGCAAATAATGTCTTTTTATACAATAAGCTTCCCGTTCTTTACTCTTAACTTGGAATCTTCTTTTGTGAGCTTGCAGATATATTTTAGTCGCTTCCCCAGTGAGGACACATTAATCATTTTCTTTTTTTCTTGTTTTTTTTTTTTTTTGAGACAAAGTCTCTCCCTGTTGCCCAGGCTGGAGTGCAATGGCGCCATCTCGGCTCACTGCAACCTCCACCTCCCGGGTTCAAGCGATTCTTCTGCCTCAGCCTCCTGAGTAGCTGGGATTACAGGGGTGCACCACCACACCTGGCTAATTTTTTGTATCTTTAGTAGTGACAGGGTTTCACCGTATTAGCCAGGCTGCTCTCGAACTCCTGACCTCATGATCTGCCCACCTTGGCCTCCCAAAGTGCTGGGATTACAGGCGTGAGCCACCGCACCCAGCCTAATCATTTTCTTTATCTGATAATTTTTTTTTTTTTTTTGAGACAGGGTCTTGCTCTGTTGCCCAAGCTGGAGTGCAGTGGCATGATCACTACTCACTGCAGCCTTGACTTCAGAGCTCAAGAGATGCTCTTACCTCAGCCTCTAACGTAGCTGGGACTATAGGCATGTGCCACTGCACTGGCCTAAATTTGTGTGTGTGTGTGTTTTTGTGGAGACAGGATCTCCCTATGTTGTCTAGGCTCTTCTCAAACTCCTGGGCTCAGGTCATCCTTTCGCCCCACACACCCAAAGTACTGGATTACAGGCATGGGCCACTGCACCTGATCAGAAATTTTTTATATATTCTAAAATATGCCTCTATATTCTTCATACATAAATAACAGAAAGTTGTCTACAAATAGAGTTATCTGTTCAAATCTATGTCCATTACAAAAACAAACAAACTTGAAACACCTTTCACTTAATATTCCACTGTTTCATAGTGCGTATCTTACTGAAGAACTCTGAGATCAGTTGTCTTTTTTCTTTATTCATTACTTTTTAATCTTTAAAATTCAAAAATTTATAAGGGCATATCCAGATGTCTTGAGCCTTTGGTTTTGTCATCTCAGATCTTACTTCACCTCAAAAACTTTTTCTTTCCTTTTAAATTTAATATTTATTTCTGTGCTATTTTGCTCTTTCCTCCTCTGAAACAGTTATGTTTCTTTGATCATACCTCTTCCTTCATATTAATCCTTATCTAGGTCTTCATTTTCATCTCTTTGATTTTGCTCCTGTGTTATGGAAAAATTTCTCAAAATTTTCCCCATTACATTGATTGAATTTCATTTTTATATGTGCTCTTTTCTGTATCAAGTGCCATTTTAATTTTTCTGTTGAATTTTGCATTTTTTGCAGTCTATTTTAGTCTTCACTGTTTTCGTTATTTTATTTCATTTTATTGTCTCCTTAATAACAGCTAATCCACTTTCATAGAAGCTTCTCTCCCTGAATCTTTTTGAGCACATCAAGAATGTAGCTTGTATCTTTGTGACTTTTTCAGGTATTTTGGAATAAACTAATAAACTTGATCAGTTCTGTGCCTCATTCAGTCACTGTCCCTTACCATTGTTGAGCAGTGCCTCTTTATTCTACCTTGTCCACTTACTTCACTTGCATTGGGTCTTCATTGACTGAGGTCCACCATTTCCTTTCAATAAGATGAGTACATTTTTCTTATTGTGCCATCACTAAATACTTGGATCCTGTAATTTCTCCCATTGATTTTTCTTTTCCTTCTGAATTATATCTAAAATCTTGAATTACTGATACTGTGCAAAGTTGCTGAATAGAATTATGACTTCTATCCTATACCTTACAATCCTAACTTGTGTTTTCAGATACAATGTGTAAACTTCCTTTTGTATGGTACAAACCATGAAATATTACAGAGTTCCACCATCCCTTCTCTAAAGCATTGTTCCCTTAAAAACCTAACAACACATCCCTATCTTTTCCTTTTCTCTTGAGAGACATGGTGTGTGCATAGGTATATAATGATGGGGTAGGGGTGTAGCAGAGGCAGGGCTGTGGCTTGGGCTGGTCCAGAAGATGTTTACACGGAATTGGTGAGCCCACCTAGTTTTGGTCAAAGCAAACTTAGACTGTGGAGTGAGTCCAAGCCTCTCTCTATTATTTGGGGAAACTATTTGTTCTTCTCTGACTCAGAGTTTGTCCTATGCAGTATGTCATCCAAAACTGTGATTCACGTTTGTTGCTCACAAAGATAACCACAATTGGAAATTCTGTACGAATTTCAGCATATCTTCTCCAACTCCTCTTCCTCTTTGTCTTCTTCAAATTCTTGTTTTTCTTCAAATTCTTACTGTCTCTCTCTCATTATTAGTAATTAATGTTATTTTTTATTTTTTAAATTATTTTAATTGAAGGTTGACAAGAAGCCTATCAAGAACATCTGGACCTGCACCATTTTTTTTAACAAGGAAGCTTCCTTATTATACCTTACCTTTTTTCCTCCAGAACAAATATCATTGATTCTCTATAGTTCTTTCATTCATTCCTGTCTTTATTGTAAGGGATATGTCTGATCAAAATTATATTTATAGGACAGAGATGATCCTTTAAACACTGACGTAACTAGTAAAGAACAGTTTTACTTTTATTTTTTATATTGGGAGCCAGATCATTAGAAATCCTACTCAGTGTGTGCTCCAGTGGTGAGTCAAGACGGTCCACATTTGGCTCATTGGTCAGGTGTTTATGCATCCCTGTTTCCCCTGGACCATCCCAGCTTATGCCATTATGTTGGCATAGTTATTAATGGTGCTTTCTTCACTCCCCAAAGCCCCCTGGCTTGCATGATAAATTTATCACGGTCGCTCTACTTAACACTATGAGATATGATTTAAATATGAGTCATATGCCCAAAGACCTTATTCATACTTTATTAATACCATGATATAATTTTAATGGAATTAAACTTGGACAAGTGTAAATTATACCTGATTAAATTTAACTGCAATTCAATTACTAATACCCTAATTATGCTTACATGACACTTGAATGGGTCAATGGGTCATGCTACCTACAAGGGTCAAAGCAGATTGCCAAATCCTAATTGGTGGGCTAGTGTTTTGTGTATGCTAGCTAATAATATGAAACTTTCATATTCATATGTTTGCTCTTTAATTCTAAAAACCTTAGATGGGCCCCATTGGGTCAGAATTACATATCAGATGACTGAACTACAGTTGTCCCAGCATTAAAGTTCCCATACCTCCCCTGATAGTTCGCTTTGCTACCATGCAGAGACAGGGCCTTGCCAGAGCCTACCTATTGCAGGCCTACACTAAGAATTTATTATGGGGAAGAGTTGATCCCTCTCAAAACATATCACCCAACGTAGTGCTTGTATAGAACTTTTAGATTAAGGTCAGGATAAATAATATCCCAAATAATCCAAACATGTAGAGTCAGCAGAAATGAATTCAATTCCCACTTTTGCTGATTATTAACTTTTGTCCTTGGAGAAGTTATTTAACTTCACTCATCCTCAGTTTCTTTCTATAAAATGGTGAAAACACTAATATCTTGGGGTTGCTGACAGAATAAAAGAAAATAATAAAGGTAAATCACCTAATTAAATTGCTGGCACAATTTCTTTATAAAATGTAAATGGTTCTCTTAAAGGAAAATTAAAGAAAGAAAAAAATATTTACTACTTTTATTGGAAAGTTTTTATATTAATTAATGAACAAGAAAATAAACATGAGCCAAATCAATGTTGGTCTTTTATGTCAAAGAGAATAGTCTTCACCTAGCAAATGGTAGCACCAGCCAAAATAGAAAAGGGAGTGAATTCAAAATGTCTCATAGCCTAGAAAAGAAGCACATAGAATTTTGAAGTACCCTAACCAGATCAATTTTATTTCAGGTTATCAAGAACACCTACAAATAATGGATTCCTAAGTGGACCTAATGTCGTATATCAACTTAACCTAAGAGGGAAGTCTTTAGCAGTAGAAGGGCTTTGTATATGTTAGGGGCTCTGTTTTGCTAAATATCTTTCATTGTAGACTAGGATAAGACATAGATTGCAAGTTGTGAAGAAAGCAACTGTACTAGAAGGCAAAAGCAAGCTGTAGTAATGGGGTGGCACTGTTTTCATTCACTTAGCACAAAATGAACAAACATGAGAGAATGTAGATGTAGCTTGTCAAGGACAAATGCAACAAAGGTTTTAATGGAGTGTAGTTATATGATTCAATAATATCATACTGCTGCTGAAAATCTAGTGAGTACTTACTGATATTTAATAAAAAATATCCATACCCATGCTTTCTATTGTTTATCCATTTGTCTTCCAGATTAAAAGTTTTGTATTTTGCTATTTACAATCTGCTGTTAAATCTACCATTGATTTCTTAATTTCTGGTATTGTATTTCTCAAATTTTGAATATCTATTTCATTGTGATTTTGTCATTTTAATTTTCTCATGAAATTCTCTATCTTTTCATATGTTTTGTGTGTTATTTCTTATATTTTCTTAAATATATCAATTGTGATTATTTTAAAGTCCTTATCTGCTAATTTAAGTATCTACAACACCTGCTTCCTTGAAAAGTTTTTTTTTTTAGTATCAATGACAATATTCTGTCTCTTTGCATGCTTAGTACTTTTATAATTGAAAGTAAGCAGGGTGTATTCAAAAACAAAGCTGCAGATTGTGACCTTCGTCAGAGATATTAAATCTTTCCTCTGCTGAGCAGATAGAATGGAGAGCAGAGAGGCGCTGACCGCCTTAATTTATTTATTTATTTTTTTGAGAATCCGTGAGATCCTTTTCTCCTCAACATGGAGTCTGCAGGAATCCCTGCTCTATTTTCTGAGGTTTTTCAGCTTGGCTATTTAGCCTCACACCATGCGAAGCTTCCGAATTTGGCAAATGCTTTGAGGGGGAGATTGGCTGTGTTTGAATATACTCAAGGCACCAATTTTATCACTCCAAGCCTGATCAAATGCCAAAACCTTTGCTGGTTCATCTGTCTCCCATCTGCTAGGGCCAAGACAGATTTCTCAGCCTCCAGCTAAACCCAGATTATCAAGCCATTTCTAAAGACAAGCAGTTGTTGCACATTATTTTAGAGTCAGTATCCCTGTTATTTGAAGGCTTTCAACTGTTACCAGCCCTCCTCAGAGATACTTGTTTGTTAAGTAGCATGAAAATGTAGGCTATTCCACTTCACTTTTCTTGGGCTTTGTTTGGCCTTACGATTGTATCCTGCTATCCTGTGAAATTTTGGAATTTAGGAAACATCTTAGACAGAAAATAGAATTTGAGATCCCTCGCTTCTTCAGTTTTGTTGCTCCAGTCCCATGGAATTGCCAAAGGTTCTGCTGTTTTTCTGTTTCCAGCAGCAGTGTTCTCCACGGACCAAGCCCAGATTCTCAGGCTCCACCTGCATCCAAAATTGACAAAGACCCCCAAGAACAGCCTCAAATCCTCAACTTATATTTGTAAGGTTCTCGTCTTTCTTGAATTGTACTGCTTCTGGGTCTCATTGGTTTGGCTATCTCTGATGCCTTACATATATTATCTCTGCAATTGATGTCACTTTCTATTTGTCTTCCATGACAGCATTGGCCTGATGCTAATTACTAGCATCATCCCACTAGAAGAACTTAAGTAAGTTTCAGTCAAGTACAATACAGGTTGTAATAGGTGGAGGTATCTAGGCACTATCTATATCAGATTAGATAGGGAGTAAAATTTTCAATTTGAATGTACTAAGTTTTGTGATACAAGGGATCACCTTATGAATCTTTCTGCCTTTATATCTGTCTGTCTGTCTATCATGCATCCATCCATCTACCCGTCATTCATCTGTCTTGCTTTCATAGTGGTTTCATAATAATTGATTAAACTGTTATTAAATGAAGAATGAAATTTAGTGTCTAAAACCACTGTAATAATGAATGGTCAGAATCTAGGTCCTGATGTTTTCATTGTCTTCATGACTAAAATGAATGAACCAAATTACGTGATCACTAATTAATTTTATGACTGAACATTTTTGCTTGAACTTAGGTCAGTTAATTTATGTGTGCTCCTGTAGATTTAACATTTATTGCTCTTAATTATTACCAATTATTATACAGTGTTCCACCAAGGTTTCTTTTCCTGACCATTTTTTGTTGGTCTTAATGTATAATCATTGGGTTTTTGTACTAATATATACATTAGAAAATTTATTATGAGAAAAAAGTGAAAAAATAATATTTAATGTATATGTATTTTTATCAAATACACTTTTTTCCTGAAAAATCAAAAACAGCAAGTTTGAAGAAAAGTTATCATGAGTGAAACTTAAAGAAACATATCAATAAAATGGAAAGAGTAAGCAGTGAGTTTTTAATAAGGAGAGAGAAGGTGGGGAAGCTAGAAGTCAGATCTTTGAGTAATTAACAACCTTTAAAAAGAGTAAAATCACCATAAGCATCATTAGCAACTATATGCAAATATAAGAATAAAATTGACTATGTTTACATTGTAGGATCTATCTCCTCATAATTTAAATTGAACTATTGTGATTTCAGATCCAGTACCATTTTCTTTTGCATATAGCAAACTAAAGTAATAATTATTTTCTATGTAAATGTTATGTTGGAGTAATAACAATGTAAGTATAATAATTAATTTATCTATATTATCTCATTTCATCTTCATAACACCAATGGAAGGTTGGTCAGCTTAGTCCCATTTAGTCACAGATGAATAAAGTGAAGCTTAGACAACTTATGAAACTTGCCCAGGTCACAGAGTATATTACTGTCAAAGCTATGTTGAAATTCTGTGATTTAAATCAGTATTGTCCAAGAGACCTTTCTGCAATGTTGGAAATGTTTTATATCTGCACTAATACATAGCTACTATCCACATGTGGAGACTGATTTACTTGAAATGTAGCCAAAGAACTGAATTTTTAATTTTACCTAATTTTGATCAATTAAAATTTAAATGTCTACATGTGCTTAATAGCTATCATACTCAGAAGCACAACTCTAAATAATTAGTCTATACTGGCTCCTGGCCCTGAACACTCTTGTGGAGTATATAGAACACTATCTCAGAAAGTTGTTCTTAGAGTTAATATGCTGGAATATCACTCCTTGACCTACTTTTAACAGAAACCAATATTGTATATGGAAAAATGTAATATACCTACTGATTTTATTAGTAAGTATTATAGTAAACAGCTTACAAATAGGCATTTTATATGAAATAGAGTATATAGGTCAGGTGTTTCTTTAAGCCAAAGGGCAATTTCCTTTCTTTATTTGAGTTTGTCGTTAGGCCACACCACATTAGGAAAATCACAGAAGGGAGGAAAGATAAAGGAAGCTGGTTATTTTCTATTTACTGAGAATGTATGAGATGTTGTCATTTTTGAGCTAAATGGCAATGCTCATTGGGTTCTGGGTCAGATTGGCAGCATGTGTTTGGTAAGTCCTGGCAGCAAAGGACATTTAATATGATTCTCTCAGGAGCACGTGAGGTGACTCCTTTTCCCTGCTTGCTCTTCCTCATGCTGAATGATTTAAAGCCAATATTAATGAGCAGGACTCACACAGCAAGGGTGCTCTCTATTCTCTCTAGAATTCCTTTCCACCATTCTTCCTTGTTTTTTTTTTTTTTTTAACTAAACCAGCACAGCCTTTACTTAAGCCAACACTAGAGTAGTGTTTTGCTTTATATGTGAAGCCTTAAAAAACAAACTAATGTTTTACATATCTAAGAACATTTTGTCAAAGAAAAGCAATGTCTCCTCTTCCCAAGAATTCATGTTAATTATTGCACCAGAATAAATGGAAACTTTTTCCACCTGCTTTATTTTCATATTCTTGACTCTTAAAAGATTGAAAGTATTAAAACAAATGCAAGTAATTCCGGAACTTTAATCCATCCTTTTCCTCATCGGCACTGGTTCATTTGTAGCCTTTATACAGAAATTCAGAGTTGGCTGGTGGTCGTGGCTGTGGAAGGGAGTTTGATTGACTGCACATGTGTTAGAGCCATGCATACATTACTGAGGGCACTATGAGGCAGAGTGGCCTCAGAGACACTCTTCTTAAAAGAGTGGTTGACTCAGGCCCCACCTATACAGAGCTCAGTTCCTAAAAATAGGTGCCAAGTTGCATCCTTTAGACGCTCTGCTAAAATAAATTCAGCCGTCCCATCTACTTGCTTGATAGACCCTTCAGTGGAGCGGGCCTCCACTGCACCCATTGCTTTCAGGGGACTGGGAAATTGGCTGTACATGAAACAAGGGAGGAAGCTAGTCTGTGAAGAACTATAAAGATATATGATATTTCCACAAACTTGGGGTTAAACCTAAATATCATAAAAGGTAAGTGTAATATAGTCATTGACTATATGTCTGCTTCCTGGATTGTAAAATGTTCTCACTGGTTACTTAAGGTCAATGAAGACCATAGGTCAAATTGTAATCATTGTAAAAGAAAATATCCAGTTGGATTTTGCTTCTATGATAATATTTAGCATTGATTTAATAGGATAAAATTTAGAGCTTCATATGTTAGTGTCTTTGCAGAATAGCATTTTTCATATTTAATATTGAAGAATAATGAGCCAAACTTGATAAACAGTCATGAGTTAAAATTATACTTCAACTTACAAATAAGAGGGAAAGCACAGAAAAAAATTAGTTTGTCATTTATGAGCAGAAATGTAATGAATATATTTAAAACTATAAATTGTATTTCTTGGAATTTGTTGAGGGAAAGGAAGAGTTTACAACATTTTCAACTGTTACAGCTTGCTCAAAGAAATGCATGAAAATTATTCTTTTTCAGCCTTACTTTGCTTTTGTAGTTCTTGCTCCAGCCAGAGTCTCATCTCCTCTGGGAGTATTACTGGAATAAGACTAAAGAATCAGGTTCTTACATGTTTTGCAGAATTAAGAAAAGCACTGCCAGTTGGATCTGCCAGTCCTAATTATAGTAACTACAACCTTAAACAGAGAAGACTGAGATTTTACTTTAAAGATATCATGCCCTATATACTGTTTCAAATGGATTTTTCTTCTGTCTTCGATTGCCTGTGAACACCTTAATTTGGTCCTGTCGGGCCTTAAATGTTTAGATGTTAGAGACTGAAGTGATTTGGAAGAGACGTGATAACAGAATCTCTTAAGACACCAACTAAAAGCAAGGACACTTTAAGATTACATAATACAGGGTTTAAATTTAGCCAGCTGGTGCTGAACCAAAAGATATTTTATTTTTACCAGTGCTCTATTTGGTCACTGACAAGCTGTAGTTTGTTTGAATTATTTTAAAATTTTATGTACAGTGCACCAAAGGACAGGCAAAATATTTACCTTGGCGACATTCAGAGCCATGAATTTTAATATGAAAGAGCACCTGTTTTGAGTTTTAGAAGATAAAATTATTGAGTGGCAAAACTATTGGGTCAGAAATGAGAAAACTGAATTCTATGCTTAAGTATTTCTCTGCTCCTCTGCCTAATCTTTGAGTATTTTTTCTTCTTGCTAGCAACATATAAACTAACAACTAGGTCCATTTCTAAAAGTCAGTCCGCATTTCAGATGCCTGCACTATGGCAAAGTGCCAACTGTTTGGGAAAAATGCAGTCTGGAGTTTGGACTAAATGTTTTTGCTTTCATCTGGTGTTGGGCATCTTTAAGATACAGCTTCCCTCAACCACCTGAAAAATAAAATGAGACATTCTTTAATGATCTCAGAGGCTTCACTTGGGAAAATGTTCATGGAAAAATGTCAGTTTGGGCATCATTTCTTCTGTGATTACAGAGGAAGAGGAGAGTGTTGCCTTTCTTCAGCTTTAATTTGAGGTTAAAAGCCCACAAGGTTCATTGATAATGTACTGTTGTTCACAGTTGATAGCTTCCCACTATTCTCAGTTCCAGCCTCTCCCTTTACCTTTACCATGTTTGAAAAACTTCTCCACCTTAGTATTCTTTTTACTTACTTGGTAAAATACTACTTATGATTAGGCAATGTGGAGTTGGGCACTCCTGGTAACTTCAATACTGGGAACCGATATATTTCTGTCTCTCTCTTTCTCTCTCTTGTGCTCTCTCTCTCACACACACACATACACACAACTCTGGGTATTAAAAGAGACCATTTTTGTAAGACTTGTTTGATAGCCAGGAGTCATGTCTAGATTTATTAATTTATAGAACAGGGCAGACACTTAATAAGTGCCCAGCAGTGTAATTCCAAGATTTTTGATTGAACGATCTGTGAAGACAGAACTTAATTGACATTATATTGTCTTTTTTATTTGTTTCCCACCTCCTCTTATGAAAGCATTGAAGTTACACTTTGAAATTTAATTAAATTGTAATGTGTTTCTTCCTGTTTCTGAAACAAACACTTGCTCATTCACATAACAGGTTCATCCCTCACAGAACGGTTACTTCACCTTTTCTAATTAATTAATGACTTTTTTAGAACACTGATTTATTCCATATAGGTGCATGTTGTTTATATGACTGTGTGGCATGTTGTATTATCGGTTTTCTGACACTAATTCTGATATTAAGTGTTGTGTCTTTTCCAACACCAACCAATTCTCCAACTCTCTGACACCAACTGGCTGTCCTACAGTTCAATTCAGTTCGGACACTAGGTCCAGGACTCGGCAAAGACTCCACAGGTTGAAGGCTCAGTCCCATGAGGCTGTCCACTTCACAAGACAGCCACTAATGGAGTGCCCAGGCCACCAATCTTTCTGCCAACCTGACTAGTGATTAAGGGGTCCCCACAACTCCCTCCTCAGATGATTGGCTAGAATGGCTCACAGAACTCAGAAAAGTGTTCTATTTGTTATTACTCGTATATTATAGAGGCTATAATTCAGGAACAGACAGATGGAAGAGATGCATAGGGCAAGGTATGGCATTAAAGGGCAGAAGCACACAGCTTCCTTGCTTTCTTCTAACGAGCTATCCCCAGCACTTGGATGTGTTCACCAGTCTGGCAGCTCACCAAACCCTGTCCTTTAGGAGTTGTTATGGCGGCTTCATTACATAAGGCATGAGTGACTAAATCATTGACCATTGCTGATTGAACTCAATCTCCACCTCTCTGTTCTTTTCAGAGGCCAAACATGGGGTTGAATGTTCTAATCCTCTAATCACTTATTGTTTTTTCTGGCAACCAGCCCCTATCCTGAAGCTACTCCCCACCCCTACCCCCCACTCCTGACTGCCAAGAGTCATTCCATTAGCATAAAAAAGTCATTCTCGGGAGACTCCAGGGTTTCTATGCCAGGGACTGGGGACTAAGACCAAATATGTATTTCTTATTATAACATGTATTATTATGTCCACAATATGGTCTTCTCCTTTGACATGATACCTATGAATTCCAGAGTAAAAATTTCTTACTATTTATTTTCCTAGTCATTGGAATCCACCTCTTACAAATTTAACTAAACTATTTTTCCATTTGTATAATATAATCAGTAAGAGCACAAAAAACAATGACAATTAGGCAATGAAAAGAGCAGGTTTTGGTTTCTTGAAAAAGTTGAAAATCAGCAAATGCAATCAATTACGTGTATGAGTTTTTCACAACAATGACAATGTGGCCATATTTAATGACTCTTGGGGCTTTGTAGCATAAATAATGGCATAAAAATAACCTACCAGTGAGCACCACAGAAGGTAATCCACATTCTTGGTAGAATAGTTTTCCTTTTTAAATGTTCCAAAGATAAAAGAAATTTATTGGCCATGGTGGCTCACGCCTGTAACCCCAGCACTTTGGAAGGCCGAGGCAGGCAGATCTCTTGAGCCCAGGAGTTCGAGACCAACCCCATCTGGACAAAAAATACAAAAAATTAGCTGAGCATGGTGACATGCATGCCTGCAGTCTCAGCTACTTGGGAGGTTGAGGTAGAAGGATCACCTGAATCTAGGAGGTTGAGGCTGCGATAAACCATGATCGTGCCACTGCACTCCAGCCCGGGTGACAGAGTGAGACCCTGTCTCAAAAAAAAAAAAAAAAAGAAAAAGAAAGAAAGAAAGAAAAGAAAAGAAAAGAAAAGACATTGCTAACACAAAGACCTCAGTAACTAGTTCATTTAATGCCTTCAAATTCTAGATTAAGAAAGCTGAGGCACGGGAAGACTAGCTAGTAACTCATACATGGTTTAAGCACAGAGAACTAGAAACTAACTGTCTTGATTTGTTTCTGTACTTCATGTCATTTATATCATTTTGCAAATCTTTGTGCCAAAAGACATCAACCCAACCCCAGCCCACCCCCATGACTCCGGATACATTTCCAAGTATATCTTGAAAGGCCTTGTTTTTCTTGCAGTAGCTTTTTGTGGCTTTTCATTTTGCATTTCATGTTTCTCTTGAAATTAGGACAAATTGTGGAAAAGGAGACCTGTCTGCATATTCTGTTAAAACTTGAAAGATGATGACTGGCTTATTTTTAAATTTTACAAAGCATGTAAATTTGTTCATCTTTGTTAGCTGAGATTCTGCCCCAAAACCCCACTCTCATCACTGGACACATCACTTTTCACTACTCTTTTTTTGGCAGGCCTTCAAGTAGATCTTTGTCTTTTACATTTTTCGAATAGTATGCAGATTATATCCTTGTTGCCTGGTGAACCTAATGCCTTAGATAGGTCTGACTGTTCAAAAGTAAGGAATTGCCAAATTGCTCCCGGCATACGTATCACTTAAAATAAATGTAATACCAAAAGAGTTTATTGTGGGAAGTTTCTCTGTTATTCAAAGATCCAATGCATCTTCCCCTAAAATCTGAATATATCTGCATGTATATTTGTAAATGAGTTAATTTGATAGTTATCAACATAGAAAAGCTTTTTTAAAAAGCACGTATTAGCATTAATTTTAAAAGCACAGTCTGGCAATATAGTTTCAAAACATTTTCTCGGTGTTTTCCATTTCAAGTTTAATGTGGACTGAATATCAAATAATTTTTGAATAGCAATACTATACTATGTTATATTATTTTTAATTCATAGGAACTTAATTGCATTGAAATCAATTGTAAATAGATCTCACATTATAAAGTTACTGGGTTTTTTAAAACAATGAACATTAAATTTTGATAAGTAGAGTCACATTTCCCCCCATTTAATTGCTTTGTAACTTCATGGGTAATTTATCAATATCTCTGTCGTTGATTTTGTGTTTGTTTGCTTTGATTCAGCACTGCCCTAATAAGTCACCTTCATATTATCTAACTAGTAAGCCATTGTGACAAATAATTAGCAGTTTGTAAACAACAATAGAACTGAGTGCTCCTGGGAGAGAGTGAACTATGTTTTTGTAAAGCTAAAGATTACTCTTTGGTTTGTGTCTTGCAAGTTGGAGTTTTTTAATCTGGACTCAAGGGTCATATTATCAAATTGGTATATTCTTGGAAAAGGACAGAATGAAATAAGCATGTTCATGTTATTAAAATTCTGTCAATTCCAGTGACAAGCTTGATTTAAAATCCACCACCTCTGCTTCTGCGGCATCCAGAGCTATTTTCCTGGGCACTGCATAGGGTAGAAGTCAGCTACCAGTGTGGGGTCCAGCAGCAGTTTCCAACTGGAACTCAGGAAATAGGACAAGGGAGGCACTGAGGAAAAGCAACTGGCAGCAATCAACAGCTTGATCCCCTCCAGTTTTCCTCCGTAGCATCTCAGTTTGCTCAGAGCGAGCACAGAACTTCATTAGAGCCTTGACTTCGCTAGTAGAAAATATGCTAGTCCTCTGAGTCCTGGAGGACTCAAAACATTTATTTTTAGGAATGGAACTGTACTAGTGCATGCCCGCTTTCAGTCACTGACTGATTCTGGAATGGAAATAATTCCAAGATTCATCATCCCTTCATCATCCAGATCTGGACAACAGCCTCAACTTTTACTCTGCAAAATTTCAGGGAAATGAAATTTGGAAGGCATGAGTTTGCATTTAAGTCACACCCTTTGGTTTCTCAAAAGATCTAGTTCAGCTATAGCAGTTGTCAACTCTAAATTACTAGTTATAGTTCCTAATATCCACCCTTTAAATAGAAGCAATAAGTTGCCTCAAACTTCAATTTGCACCTCTTTCATTTACTTCACAATTTCAAGCCAACCAGTCACAGCTTCTTGACTTTGTCCCTATGTTATGTTATTGCCATTTCTTTCAGTTATCCTCATATATACACCAATGTGTATGTATGTGAATGTGTATGTGTATACATATATATTCTTTCCTGTAAAGCATAGTGCTGCCTATGCTTTTATATTGTTCTCCATTTCTTCCATATTCTCAAAGTCCATTTAGATGTTCAAAGAATGATGAATAGCCCTCAAATAACAACCAATAACCACAATATCACCCATAATAACATCTCTTTTTACTCTTCGTTAACCTTGAGTAGAGAGGCTGGGCATGGTGCCTCACACCTGAAATCCCAGCACTTTGGGAGGCTGAGGGAGGTGAATCACTTGAGGCTAGGAGTTCAACACCAGCCTAGCTAACATGGGGAAACCCCATCTCTACTAAAAATACAAAAATTAGCCAGGTGTGGTGGTGCGTGCCTGTAATCCCAGCTACTCGGGTGGCTGAGGCAGGAGAATCACTTGAACTGGGGAGGTGGAGGTTGCAGTGAGCCAAGATCATGCCACTACACTCCAGCCTGGGTGACACAGTATGAGACTCTGTCTCAAAAAAAAAAAAAAAAAAAAATTCAGTGAGATACTGACACAGTATCTTGTAATTATTTGTATTGAGGAAGTGTCAAACTAAATTATAATAATAATAGCACAAGTTTCCTATAGGCTTATTCTTCCAGGGGTGGATATATAAAAGGAGTTTCAGGGGTTGATATATAAATTTTCATTGTTGATACCATCTTTCCCTTTTCTTTTCTTTTTTCTTTTTTTTTGAGATGGAGCCTCACTCTGTTGCCCAGGCTGGAGTGCAATGGTATGATCTCGGCTCACTGCAACCTCCGCCTCCTGGGTTCAAGTGATTCTCCTGCTTCAGCCTCCCTAGTAGCTGGGATTACAGGCATGCACCACAACACCACCTAATTTTTGTATTTTTAGTAGAGACGAGGTTTCACCATGTCGGGCAGGCTAGTCTCAAACTCCTCACCTCAGGTTATCCACCTGCCTCAGCCTCCCAAAGTGCTGGGATTACAGGCGTGAGCCACCACACCTGGCCCATCTTTACATTTTGATCAATCCTTAAAATTAGAAAAATTTCACAAATAATGTGCTGTTTTTCTCTTTCTCCCTTTCCCCTTCCTTCGTTTTTATTTCATTTCTATTAATGACATCTGAACTATTTTCTGTAACCCCAGCATTATAACCAGCCTTGAAATGTATGAAGTGTTCTCAGTTTACCAGAATCACAGAAACATCATCTCCTAGAGCCAGAAGAGGTTCCAAATGAACTCCACGTAACACTTTACGGGAAATTAGAAAACACTGTCAGGTTAACTCTAACTGGTTGAACGCAGACTTTGGAACCAGACTGCCTAGTTTGAATTCCATCTCTTACCCTTACCTACTGATTGACCTTGGGCAAATTACCAACTCTGTGCCTCATTTCCTCATCTGACATCAGAGATACTAGTAGTATCTATCTCATAGTCTTATTTCAAAGATTAAATGAATTTATCTTTATAAAGTTCTAAAGCATCAGTCCCTGGCACATAGTAAGTGCTGTATAAGCTTTTGTTATTAATATTACTACTATTATTATTTACTATATGAGTATAATGTAACATAATAACTATTATCCATATATTCCAGGGAGCAAGATAAGAATGTAAAATAATATGTGACCCTATATGCTGAACATTGAAAACTGCAACACACTAAAAACCGTTTAAGAGAGAAACTGGTCTATGTGATTTAATAGGTTGTTGTGTTGTTAAAAACACCCTTATCTTTCACAGATGCACTCTTCAGCTCAAATTAAATTACTCTCCTCTCCTGGAGTTGTAGAAAGCTACTAAGTACCCCCTTCTTGTTATAATTGTTCTGACACTTGAAACAAATACACTTTCTGTTATCCTTGGTGATGTCAACATCATATTACTTCAAAAAACTGAATTCTTCAACCATCTCAACCCTAATGACTCCAGTCTCTTTCCTGACAAGGCTACTCGCAGCCACATTTTAAACCTTGTCAGTAATTTGACCTGGTTCTTAGACTCTCAATATATTCTCTCTGATCACAGTTTTCTTTCTCACATTTCTTCCACTCTTTCTTTTCAACTGAAACTGAGCTTGATCTTCAGCATAGTCTCCACATTCTTAGCATGTCCTGCACAGCAGCCCCTTCCAACTTTATTTACTTAATCTCTCCATGTCTTGAATCCACTCACAGCATCTGTGAAAAGATGGAAGAACTCTCACTCAGGAGCGAGGCACTGGAAGATGGGTCTGTGAAGACCAGACCGTTTATCATGGGAATCTAAAGGAGAGAGGGCAAAGAGAACCCAATAGTTGAAGAGGAAGCAAAAAAATCACAAGCCAGTGAAATGGCGCAATGCACCAGGAAAATCACAAGATCAGAAATCAGTGGGTATAGGGACAAGAAAGGTTGGAGCCTGCAATGGATGAGGGTATGCATTTCAAAACAAAGGCCAGAAACAATTCAGATGTGTTGAAAGCGTCTGACTCTGGGCTGCAGGAGTAGGTCTGAGAGCTTAATGGAGGGACGTTAGACCTAATGCCCACTCAGCCTGGGCCCTGCAGAGCTTCCATTGACCCCCGTATCACTCTGCCCCCAATTCTGGCTAAATCCATCAAACTGAAAACCAATTCAACATTTTCCCATAATGTGCTACTTTTGCTCCCATTCCCAGGCTGCTGTGTGTGTGTGTAAAGAGAGAGAGATTCATAGTTCTGCACATAAGCTAATACTCAACATCATTTATTCACCTTTAACTGACTCTTTATTATTATACATTTGTCATTTTTCCTGAAAATCCCAAATGTTCTCTATGATAATATACAACTGGAAAATTTAAGACTGGAAATAAGTTTGTGGGTAACATTTTTAAGCCATGTTACATTTTAAAAGTTTGGGCAACATACGATTAGAGATTAAATAGTTACTAGAGATGTGCATTAGGTGTAATACGGATGAAGCTGAGATCTGATGGAGTGTGTGTGGTAAGACAAAAAAAGGAAGACTGGGGATGGAGCCCTGGAGTCTATACATGGTTGGGTGTCAAGAATTTTGTGTGTGTGTGTGTGTGTGTGTGTGTGTGTGTGTGTGTAGACTGGCCACGATAGATGAGTGTTATTTGTGTGTCTAGTCACTTACCAAATCTATGCTCAGGTTTGACACTTTAAAGAACGACACAGAGAGAGCTGCAAAGCATCAGCATTTTGTGTTCCTCCTTCTGTGAGGCTTTCTGTAACGGCAACCTAGTGTCAGGATTAGCGAGGTTTGTGACATTTCCTGAGGCCCTGCACTGCTGGTGAATGGGACATAGGGCTTTGTGCCACATCTGCTTTCCTTGGCAGGCTTCCAACTCAAGAGTACACTGGGACATCCTGAAAACCTACTGAGGTCTTCTTCCTAGATCCCACAAAACTAGGAGGATATTGCTTCTGATTAAATGGTCCTCCAAAGAAAAATGTGGCTGGGGGTGGGTTGGTTGTGCGTAGGTATGTGTGTGGAGTGGGGTGGGTGTTTTCATGCCTGTCTGTACTTAGCTCACTGGGCTGGGGAGGCTAGTTATTTTCTTCTGGACTGAAATATGATGGAGACATGAATGTATTTGGAATTTTTTAGCCATAACGTTTCTCATTGCTTTGTGCAGCTATATAATAATGAGAAATTTTGGCAGAAGTTACATTTGGCAGAAAGCCCAAAATTGACTGGTTTCACTTTCCAAGCAAACATTTTTGCACAGTTCTAATTTTCACCTGCTCATGTGGTACCCTGCTGAGACTTTTGGGTGAAGAGCTGAATTTCTTTGTGGGAGAGTCACAGGTTTACATGCAAGACATTTATTTTTGCTCCTTCCTGGAAGCTGTAATTCCAACTTTCACATAACTTCTCAATGTTGCTTAATAACTTCTATTGCAGAATTTAAAACTTGTTTTCTACACTTCAAAAAAAGTAGGAGAGAGAAAGTAACAAAATCTGCCAATGAGAACCATGAAAAGACAAGCATTAACTTTTGCAATATTATTTCAAGACAAATTCATTCAACAAATGCTTAATGGGCACCCACTGTTTATATGTCAATATGTTAAACATTAAATACTTGTGAAGTTGACTATTTTAATCTCAACTATCAGTTTACTTCTCGGTGATCTAGAAATTTTAGTTCTAGATAAAAACAGAAATTTAGTAACCAGTTCTGCAAAAATATTAGGGAAGTCTCTGCCACTCACTATTAGGGAACATACAAGCATATTATTTTTGAAAATATTTTCTATTTTTCCCACCCTTGCATGTAAGGAGCCTGAAACGAGCATTTCTGGCCACTGTGTGGTGACCAGCCTTCCATATTCACAGCTTCTTTAACACTGTGAAAGCCTAGTTTCATATGGAATTTGGCAAAGAAACCCAATTGCTTTTTACATTCCGTCCCAACTTTCCTCCCCTTATCTTCTACTTCACTTGAGTTTAAATACCATTGGTGTAGGAAGATTTCTGTTTGCAAGTGTTAAATTCTTTGTTGTTAAATTCATCACTGATGTATCTGTCTTAATGTGCACGGGAAAAATCAGGTTTCAATTTGAATAACATTTAATAAAAATAAGTTTGCCCTTTAAAAACAGGAGTAAAATAAACAGCATAAATGCGTTCTTCCATGTATGGTACATTTATAGCATTAGGTTTTGAATCTGAGAGAAAAGAAACAAATGCCTATGTCAAATTTTTAAAGATAAATAACTGTAAATAAATTAAGGGATGACGATACTGACTAATTATACACTCCATGTGTATCATAAGCAAGGAAGACTATTAAATTACTTCCACTCTTTGGACTGTTCCTAGTACCAGCATATCATTAGGAAACTGACATCATCTCTTTCTTTTGAAATTACGTGCTGCATTTATAGGCAAAGGGTATTTGGGTCATGTTACTGGTTACAGAGGAGAGTAACCCAGCATCTGATTGCATCAGAGTTTTGATACATTAAAATTATTATAGTTTTAATATGTAAACATTCCTGTTCTAAATTTTTTAAAAACCTGTTTAAGATGTATACAACATTATTCAGTGTCCCTTAGAATTATGAAAGAGAGGAATCAAAATGCAGTTGTGAAAGTACAAATATATGAACAAGAGGCCAATTACCTTTTCACTTAAAGCACATTAGAAAAACATAAAGCTTTGGTGAGAATAATGGTGTCCTACATTGATTCTTAACATTTCGGTTTAACATTAGCCAGTTAAGTAGAAATTTTATGTTCCTACTCAAGATGAAGTAATTAAAGGCCACATTGTTCTGAAAGTTTTCAAGGTTTGAGATACTATTTTTCAAAGTACATCACTGCTCTGAAAGAGTGAATTTACTTCCAGAAGAGTAGGTTATTCACCAAGCCATGCTGCATTATTTCAGCATTTTCACTTTCCTTCTTGATTGCTTCATTTTCCCAAATAATGTTCGGTAAAGAAAGTGTGTTGAATTAGTGTGGCTTCCTTTCTTTGATCAATTCTATCAGTCATTAAGTTCAAAAGAAAAAATATCAAAGTATGCTGCTGTTCGTGGACTTAGGCAGAGAAAGCATTTTAAACAAAGACTTGAGATCATTGAAAACAGTTTGTGTAAATTCAAGGATTGATTTTTCTAAGACAAAAATTGGATTGAATTAAATACATTTTATTATTCAAACAAGAAGTGTGATTAGTAGGAGAAAAGCTGCCAGGGTGTCATGTATAAGTTGGTGAGAGTTGGATTTGATGATCTGGGCTTTCTTTTAATATCTTTTGTCAAAATAAATTTCAGATGCTAACCTTAAAAGAGGGATGAAAGTTGGGATGAAGGTGAAGAGAGGAAATTCCTAAAACACATTCAGATACCTCTAGTTCCTACAGAATGCTTTTAGCACAAAAATGATTTAAGGTAATAATCAGTAAATGATTAACATTCCTACCTCTGTGTACATTCAAACAACTTAAAGATAAGCCTGCCAGGAAGACACTTTTCAAAGCCACAGATTATTAAAGCTTAATCTCCATTACATTACCTTGGCGTATTTTTTGCTCTGTTGAATGCCAACAGCATACTTGGAATTAAACAAAACAGTTCACTACACATGACCCAGCTTCATATGGAATTTTACAAAGCCTATGAAAGAAAGGGTTGATCATTTGAGGAAAAAGATTTTAAGCTAGTATGCACAGGTCATCCCCATCTACCAATGCACTGCTTTGACCCAGAATTAAATCACTTTCTGTGTATTCTGGAGGCCATAATTGTTTTAGGGGCACTAGTGGATATTTTAACCAGTCCCTCAGAGGCACGCACACTTTCTATTAATCATAGACTGAGCCTGCCTACCGTCTCTCCATGGCTGAGGGGTGAGCACATTTGCTTGCTGTTTCTCAAGTTTTCATTCCAGCTTAGACAACCAGAAAGAAGATGACATTCTCGCCACAAGGGCACAGACCCTTAGTAACTAAACCACACATAAAGGAGGATCTGGAAAGCTGAGAATCACAAGGAAGTTTGGGAAAAGGAAAAGCACAAATGAAGCGGTAGGAATGAAAAAGGGATACATTAGAAAATTAGGGTCAGAAAAAAAAGTTATGTCAAAGAGGTAGCAATTCTGTAAGAAACAGAATTATGTAGAATGATATGAAATTTTTGGATTTTCTAAAACAGAGACTTTAGAAAGAATAGGATAGCAACTAGTTTAAATAGAATGAGTAATGAAATTAAATAGAAAGGAGATGCGTATTCAAACTAACCAAACATAACAATATATTTAGGGGTTTTCCTCACAATGTAGAGTTTTTCAACACATGGGTACTAAGCACAGTAACGGTAGAATGAATCATCAATGAAGGATACAGTTTCCTTCTCTTTACCTTTGGTAGGTTGCCACAAAGCAGCAGGGACTTAAAGACTGGCCTAGTGATCACCTGGGCTGGTCTAGGTCACGGCCAGTGTTCACTGTGCCGAGCCTATTTCTCAAAGGTCCCATAGCAAATTTTTAAAGTGAGTAACTTTGAATGACGATTTTATGATTTTACCTAAAAAACATAGAGCAGGAAAAAAACATGAGGAACCATTAAGGGGGCGGGGTGGAAAGAGCAGATCTGTCTCTACAGTGTAACGTGCTAGAGTGATTTTCATGAACTTTACATTTCCAGTGGACTTTCATGTTGCTTGTCAGTGAAAAATTGGTGGTTCACGGCCTAGTGCCAAAACCACAGATAAACGAACACTTTACATGTCATATACATTCATAAAACCTGTTATATTTATCTTTTTAGAAATAAGGTCAGATCAATACTGTATTTCTTGAGAATCTTTCTAGTGTTATTCTTTTTTTTTCCTCTTCAAATGGAGCATGACTGACTATAATGGTGATTAATTTGTCTCCAGGTCTGACAACCATGCCTAGCCGACAGTAGCTGGGAAGTAGATGTTTATAGAATGCAGGACTAAAGCCCTAAGAGGAAAATGTACCATATACCTGCCGGGTGTGGTGGCTCACGCCTGCAACCCCAGCACATGGGGAGGCCAAGGCAGCTGTATTACTTGAGGCCAGGAGTTTGAGACCAGCCTGGCCAACATGGTGAAACTCTGTCTCTACTAAAACTACAAAAATTAGCCGGGTGTGGTGGCGGGTGCCTGTAATCCCAGCTACTAGGGAGGCTGAGGCAGGAGAATTGCTTGAACCTGGGATGCAGAGGTTGCAGTGAGCCGAGATCATGCCACCGCACTCCAACCTAGACAACAGAGTGAGGCTTTGTCAAGAAAGAGAGAGAGAGAGAGGGAGGGAGGGAAAGAGAGAGAGAGAGAGAAAGAAAGAGAGAGAGAGAAAGAAAGAAAGAAAGAAAGAAAGAAAGAAAGAAAGAAAGAAAGAAAGAAAGAAAGAAAGAAAGAAAGAAAGAGAGAGGGAGAAAGGAAAGAAGGAAGGAGGGAGGGAGGGAAGGAAGGAAGGAAAGAACGAAGGAAGGAAGGAAGGAAGGAAAGAAGGAAGGAAGGAAGGAAGGGGAAGGAAGGGCAGGAACGGTACCATATACCTTCAGTATATACCTGTGATGCGGATTTAGACAAGGGGACATTTGGATGAAAGCGCGACACCACCTCCCATCCCCTGGAGCACAGTAGATCACTTGAAAATGAGACCAGTGGCCCCTGCTTTGCATTTTCCCTTCCTTGCAGTTAAGTTTATTCCCTTCTCTGTTCAACTGGACCTATCCCTAACCCCTTCTTAAGTTTGATCTCTATGGTGACCAAAGCAATATAGCTGAGGAATTTGCTTTGATTTCTAATTCTAAACTCAAGCTTGTAATAATGAAAAACAGCCACTGATAGCTGTGGAAATTCAGCTTATTTATTTCCCTTTGATTTATCCTTAGATTATGCTGAAGTCAATGTCTAGAAAGGATTTAAGTGCATATATTTTAGGAAGCAGAAAAGAGTTTCATACCCTTAATTAAAAATTTACCTTGAAATAAAAATGTTATATTTTAATGAAAATATATTTACGTAAGAGACTGTGTAGAGTTGAAAGTTGTATGCAGAAATACTTGAAATCAACTCCGGGTTCAGCTACTTGCTATATGATATTATCTTCTGAGTGTTACTTCCTCAACACTAAAATGGGAATAAACCACCCATCATATATGGTTGTTATGAGAATTAATGGGATAATACATGTAAAATAATTAACACATTATGTTCATTAACTGATAGCTATCATTATTATAATGTAATATACGTCTGATTGTACTAGAGAAATGTCCAACAAGAGACTTATGCTGTAAAAATATGCACACTCTACAGGCATTTGTAATGATTCTAATTTATTAGACTAGTTCAATGAAATTTAAGTCATTTTATTCAATTATTGATTTTTTTAACTGGCCAAATCTCTAAGCTAACCAATTAATTTAAAAATGTTTAAGAGCAGTATGATTAGATTTTCGTATATGCCCAAACTAGCAATATTTTTATACTAATGATTACCTAACTTCTGATTAAATTTTCTTAATTCATAACTGCTCTAGTACCAGAAGTACTTCCTATGAGATGATAGGAGCTGCAAAAGACACAGGACATGTCTATAGAAAAAGAAGTGACAGCAGGTAGAAATAACAGTCCTATTATTCAGAGAGATTTGAATCTAAATGGACACTTAGAGTCTTATCAGGTAGGCGGACATTTCTTTTTTGGGACATAAAGAGTAATTTCAGAGATGGCTCCATCACATAGTGGTTTGTGTATTTACGTGTCTGTGCAATTTAGGGAGCTGGAACTGAAATGTGCCTTTAAAAGTATCCAGTATGTAGCAATTTGTGACTTGGACAGACACATGTATGTGTACAGTGAATGCTTGTATCAGTTTCCTGTTGCTGCTGCAAGAAATTACCAAAAAATGCAACAGATTCCAATAGCACTCATCTATTATCTTACAGTTCTGGAAGTCTGAAGTCCAAAGTGGGTTTCACTGAGAAAAAAGTAAGGTGTTGGCTGTGCCAAGCTTCCTCCAGAAGCTCCAGGGGAGAATCTGCTTCTTTGCCCTTCCCAGGTTCCAGAAGCTGCCTGTATTCCTTGATTTGTGGACCTTATTCCCATCTTCGAAGCCAGCAGTGTAGAATATTCAATCTCTTTTCTCTCCCATTTCAGTCATTGCATCTCCCGTCTCAATGCTCCTGACTCCCTCTTTCACTTACAAGGACCCTTGTGATTACATTGAACCCACTTGGATAACCTAGGATAATCTTCCTATCTCAAAATCCTTAACTTTATTATATCTGCAAAATCCCTTTTGCCATGTAAGGTCGCATATTCATAGGTCCTGGGGATTAGGATGTGAACATCTTTGGGGGACCGATGTTCTGTCTACTACAATGCTAAATCTTGTCTTCTTCCTCTAACAGGCAACTGGATTTAAAGAATCTCTTCCAGTATCTGGTGAACCAGGAGAATACTAGCTAGGACAGACTTAGTAAGAAAGCAGGAACGAATCCTTTTTATTACCATGAGAGATCTTCTTTTGTTAATGTATAAAGCCCAAATAATCAAATGAATGGATGGATTTTTGGGAAGGTAACAAGTACACATACAATAACACAATGCATTTTGGGGGAATAGGATCACAGGGAGGTTAGTTTGAGAAATGGAATCTGAGTCACTGTGTTCATTTGCTGGAAAAAAATGCTACAAGATGGTTTTTGTGCTTACTTCCACTCATTTTTATTCCCTCGCCCTTCTTCTCCATGTTTTTTAAGAACTCTGAATTGATGCAGGTCTGTGCTGTACACTTGCTTTCATTTTATTCTCCATCTATTTCTTGGTTTTATAATATTCAAATGAGGATAAGAATATATAAAACTCAAATTGATTACAAATTTTACTTGGCAGTAGCATTCTGAATGCTTAAAAGAGATGAATTTTATTATTAGCTGAGGGATTTGCAAATATTAAGAATTATAGAAAAATTTATTCATGCTAATGGCTCTGAGCCTATGATATGTGTATTGGTATGCTATCCTGCACACAAATCCAAGCTGGATTATAGATCATGTATTTAAGTTTGACAGAATTTAGTTTATCATTCTCCCAATGTAGTTCTCAATCAATTTTTTTTTTCAAGAACTAAACAGTTGACTTCTTTTTAATGCATCCAGAATAAAGCAGCAAGGCTATTGATGTATCACCTGAAGTGTGCTTGCCTTCTTGAAGCTGGTATCTATGATTGCTTCAGCTTTGCAGGCTTCCATGGGACTCACCAGCACACTTCGCCTGGTTCTTAGGTGGCATTAAATGAAGGCTTCTTACATTGATTTTAGCAAATTTCAAAGAAAAAATAATAAATTCTGGTTTCTCTGCTCAACAGTTTAAATTATTGTTAACCTTAGAATTTATTTTGTGTCACAATAATACACTGGACTAACCATCTGGGAATATTATGGATATTTTTATTGTATATGCAGTATGAGTCAGTTCATAACAGAAAAAGGCATCTCTTTGTTGTTTGGCTTTTCCTTCATTTATTTACTGAGCATAGTGATTTTGTTTGTTGTTGAACAACTGTCCTTCTTAATAGGTAGCATCAGAATTGGAGTTGTCACAGAGCCTGGGGCCAGATTGCTGAGCTTCCCTTCTCAGCTCTGAAACTCACCCACTGTCTGAACTGGTGCAGGTTTTAGAACCCGTCTCTGTTTCCTTATCTGTAAAATAGAGATAAAAAATAAAATAGCCTCTATCTCCTGGTATGATTGAGAATATTAAATGGATTCATATTCTGACACATAGAAAGCACTTTATACATGTTTGCTATGAAGTTTTCACTTGTAAATCATTCTTTGAAGTTCTTTATCCATTATTCAATATTAACATTTTTTTCTGGCCCATCAGTGTTCTTTATTGAAAACAAACACGCGTATTTATTATAATTATCATTTTCCAATTTTTATTTTCTCGCATAAATTTTTTTTACTTTGAATTTTTATGCTTATAAAGTCCATTTGAAATCATTTTATGAACTACTTCTATTTCTCCAAAGATTCATAATTTTTAAAAATATTTAACTCTTTAGCCATCTGGTATTTCATTTGCAATATGCTGTGAGGTGGGGATTTCTTAATGTTTTCCTCAAAATCTTTACCCAATTTTCCCAGCACAATTTGTTGATAGTGCTTCACAGTTTCATCCCCTTTCTGCATCTTTCTCTCTAGCACATATTCACATGGCCAGCTCTTTCAGGATTCAGTACAGATGTTCTATTTTCAGGATGCCTTTCCTGACACCTGCCTCACTAACATACCCAGGTGGATTATGTCCCCACTATAGGCTCCCAACTCAACTGGTACAAACCTATTACACATTGGCTATAACACCCTGTCTCTCCAACTATACTGAAAGCCCTGAAAGATAGTGAATGTATCTTATGCTTTTTGTAGATAACCAATATTTGTTTAGTGAGAATGAATATAAATAAACCTTATCAATTATATGATTACTTATACAAACCTTATTAATTATATAAGTAATTATATAATTCAAAATCATTTATTTTTGAACTTTCATCTGGCAAGATGTAGAAAGATATGTTAAAGTCACCCGCAGCTATTATTTTCCCATAAAGGTTTCCTTTTCCTTGTTATTAATGGCCTTTTACTGTTGCTGTACTGTGCTAATTAGCATGTAGTGGTCAACAGTTATTCCAGCTTCATAGTGGGATGGTATCTTTTAGCTATGGAATGGTCTTCTATCTCATTTAATATATGAATAATTTGTTTTTAAGGATACTTTGCATGAAAGTAGCATAGTAATGATGACTTTTCTTCATTTATATTTGCCTGATAATTTATTGTCCAATATATTTTTTAATTGTAGGGTTTGTTTTGCATCTATTTATTGCACATGGTACACCATTAGATTACTTGTTTTCATCCTTCGATGTGAAGTTTGACCTCTGATTATTTCTATGACTAATACTTTTAGTTATAAATAAATAAATACAACCATTTTTATGTCTACCTTATTGTTTAGGTATTATATTTTGAGGGCCTTCATTTTCCTTTGGGCTGCCTTTGTTATTACATGGTCTGTGTTTGACTTTTTGTTGCCCTCTCACATGGTTATCAACTTGGACCCATGTAGACTCTGGTTCACAATACTAAAATTTCAGTAACCAGTAATTGGTTCTCTAATTACCTTTAGTGTTCGGCGTTGTAAAGGAAATATCTAAGGATATCTGAATTTTGTTTCTTTACTACAGACACTCTTCATGTATCTGGATAACTGCAGAATTTTTCTTTTTCCATGAACTTAAAATGTTCACCAGGATTTGCCAATGTGTTGGTATGTTTAAATTAACTTTATTCCTGGATTGTGGTAAATATTTTCAATCTATGCCCAAATTTCATTTTTGGCAATTTTTTTTCTTCTAGTATAACTTATTTCTTCTATCTACTTCCCCATCCTCACACTGAAATGCCTGTAGTATGGATTTTCCTCTGTTTTCCATCTTCGCCATATTTCATATTGCTGCTAATATGCTATTGATTTTCTTTTCTGTACCATATATTATCCTATTTACTGCCTTCAATGTGTATTTTAATTTTCAAAATGCTTGAATATCTTTAGTTCTTTTCTCGTCTTTGACAGATGTCTTGTCTTCTGATTTAATATCGGCCAAGTCTCTGCTAAAAATCAGACGTGGCTCATATCAGCCTCACAACCCGGACACTGTCAAGTAGTCTCTGAAAGAAATAAGGAGTTCAAAGTGCTTTCCATTTTGTTCTGCAGACTTTTGCATTGTCCACAATGGGAAGGGAGAAGGGAAAAGAAATGAGATGACTCACACAAATTTAAGCAATGTTTAAGCCACTTTTAAAGCACCTAGTATTAATGTATCTCTCATCCAGTATTGTCAATTGTATTGTTACACCGTCATCCTTTCCATAAGACTGTCCGCAACTACAATTTAAGAATGTATCTCTCATATTTTGAAAGTAATAGGAAATATTTACATTTAGAAAATGTGATGAGATGCAATCTGGCTTTAGAAATAAGATTGTGACAAAGATTGTGTCAAATAAGATTGTGACAATCACAAAATAAGATTGTGAACCCAGACACAGTAGGTGTCTTCTGCATAGTTTTTTTTCAGGATCTGACATTATTTTTGAGCAACACATTGACCCTAGCTCTATGTATCAAGCCATTGACCTTTATTTCCAAATTGTAACTCTATGAAAATTTTAGGATCATATTTATAACTTATTTCAGATTTTTGGATGATTGCTTAATAGGAAATGAGGATAGATTTTTCACTTCTTAATGTTGTAAGAACATATCATTTTTATAAATCACTGAATTCCAAATTTGAAATTTCTTGTACAGCTAGTTTAGGATGGTTCATAACAAATCTATCAATGATCCTTTTGAAATATTTCTATATATTAATCTGTGCATATCCATAAGAATTCTTTATCTGATTATATAAATTGTAAAATTAGGAGAAAATTCTAGAATGTATATTACATTGACTATTCCTCACTGTTTTCTGTCTCTGACATCTTACCAACTTCAAGGAATCACAGAGGGGTCGCTATTCAATCCTTTCTGTTACGGAATGCAGACCTGTGAATAATTGGTCAAGAAAGGAAGAGTGTTCTGCCTTATAAATATTGTACCAATGTGTGTTTTTTAAATGTTTTAAACATGGACTCTCCATAGAAAGTAAAATTCAGGAAGGCATAATGAATTTCTGTAGCCTGGTCAAATTTTATTAATAGATTTAGTTTGTTTTTAAAAACTGCAGAAGAAAAGCATATATGTTTGAGGCTTGAGAAAAAAAGATCTCTAGTCACACAATTTCTCATGATTTAAGAATGTAGAAATGGGCATAAGTTGGATCTATCTATAGTATATGACTTTTTATATTATATTGAAATTAAAATGTAAATATTTTTTCCAAGAACCTCAAAACCCTTAAAAAAGACATTCTTATCCTTGTTATCTAATAGCCATGATAATAGATTGTATTTTTTAGTGTTTTATTTTCTTTCAAAGTGCCTCTCTATGTTTTTTCTGCTTTGTGGGATGTATTTTATTACACAAAGAATGAATATTTTGAATAGATTATAAATTATTTTCTTATATGTGAATAAATGCATGCTTTCTATGTTTAGTGTGCAATGAATTCTAAGCCCAGCTATACCATTAACTCAAGATTTGGGAGAATTCACTGAACTTCTTCGGATTTTGGATTACTCGTCTGCACAATAAATTACCTCTAAGCCTCAGAGACAAAAACTTGCAACAAAATGATTTTGTTGTATTAATATTTATAATGCTTTCTAACAGAAATAGTCATTTGAAAATTTAATTTTCCCCTTCCTCCTTTTCACAGAGTACTTTAGCCTTTTAGTTTGTTCCTTTCCTGTCTGACTTGCATGCTTAATGGTTTTATCATTCCCTTTTTTTTGAGACGGAGACGGAGTCTCGCTCTGTCGCCCAGGCTGGAGTGCGGTGGCGCGATCTTGGCTTCACTGCAAGCTTCGCCTCCCGGGTTCACGCCATTCTCCTGCCTCAGCCTCCCGAGTAGCTGGGACTACAGGCGCCCGCCACCATGCCTGGCTAATTTTTTGTATTTTTTAGTAGAGACGGGGTTTCACCGTGTTAGCCAGGATGGTCTGGATCTCCTGACCTCGTGATCTGCCCGTCTCGGCCTCCCAGAGTGCTGGGATTACAGGTGTGAGCCACCGCGCCCGGCTGAGAGTCTTTTCTATGATGGCCATGAGCAATGGAATCCAAATCAGGCCACTGATTTCTTTTTGACAAATAATATTGGGCATTTTGTCATTAAAAAATGATAAAAATCAAATATTTGAAAGCTAAATACTATTTGTAAATTTTAACCAAAAAAAAGCCTGAACTTCTATTAAGATTACCAAAAGAATGGCATCTTTTATGGATAACACACAAAATAAAATTTATATTTTAATGTAGAAAAACTTTAGAGTGTTATGTTCAATAAAATCTATATGACATTCATTCACATCAAAGTAAGAACAGCACAGCTGAATGTACACTGAATTCATCTGTGCAGATAGAGAAGCCACAGGGAAAAATAAAGAGCTTTTCCTCAGCATGTGAAAGTCTTTCAGTGATTTGTGGGAATCTCTTTTTATCAGAATCAAGTGGAGGAGTCTTTTGTATGGCTATGAGGTTTTGGATGACAGGTGAATTTCAAAGATAGCTGGCATTTGTCATAAACATAATCAACATTGTACAATCAGCATTCATATAATACCATGTCTTATTCCTTTATACTTTGTATCTTTGTGATAGTATGTTAAGTATTTTTACTATTTTAATTACAATATATGAAAGTGTTTACTGAATAAGAAGTCTCTATGGAAAACCAAATACTCTAGGAAGGTGTCAAAATGAAAATGATTTTTTAATTTTTTCTAGGCCACAGAAATTGTTCTCAACTGCTGTTGTGTACATAAATCTTGAAGATGCTAATAGAAAAAGCAAGCAATTCAATAAGATGGTTCAACATGGGGACTCAGAGTTGAGGGAGGAGAGAGGAAGAACAGGGCACAGAGGGAACAGCTTGGCTGTCTTTTACTAGAGGTTATTTGGGCCTTGGTTGATAGTGATTAAATTATAACAACCCAAATAAGAAAGTACTACAAAGAGCCCTACCCTGTAAGTCCCAGAAACTACCAGCCCTAAGAGTGAAGGCAGGAGATGCATGAATGAGTGATGCATATACATAAACTCATATACAAAAGCACATGTATACATACCTATAACATGCCCTTGAAATGATTTTGGAATCAAAACCATCTAAGAGTGAATAGTAAACCACCAAGCAGAAGGATGACAACAAAGATCACTAGATTAAATAAGAAAAACTAGTTTTGAGATCAGTTCTGGCATACGTAAGCTAAATAGTTGTGGAGAATCACATAACAATGGAGGGTCCTTATGTTCCTTTCACATAAGGAAACATTCAGGCATACGTTTTCTTCTGCCTAAAAGGAGTTGATTAGATTGGGTTAGGTTCGATGATCTCTAAGATCATTCTGTTTCTTACAACTGCTATTCTGTGATTGTGCAATCAGTCTTTAACACTACTTCCAGATATGTAATTCCTCCTACCCTGCCTTTTTGCCAAGTAGATGGCTTCATGGGTAAATATCAGGCTCTCTGAAATGGGTGCCTGACAAAGCTGTTTCTAATGATACTATTACTTCTTTCTTATGTAATACATGCCCCTAAGAAGAAAAGAAAAAAAAATCCACAGCCTATAATATTCACAATATTTGCATATTTTAGCTGGACATATCTCCTTAAAGGTTGAGGGGTGAGGAGAGAAGAAAGGAGCAACCCTTAGACTTGTTAAAGATTTTGTCAAACCATATTCAAATCTGCCGCTTGTTAAAGGTGTGATCCTTGGAAAGTTTTTTAATAGGCGTGACTCTCATTTTCTTATATAAATTTTTAGAAATAATATTACCTACCTTACAAGATTGTTAGAAAAGTAAATTTGAAAATGCACACAGAATTTAGCATACATTCAAAACATAGTGCTTGAGGAATGTTAATTGTTATTATATATCTGTTACTAAGTTTTTCTCATCACAATAATTGCAAGAGTTGGGGGGATAAATTTTTGCTGTTTACCTAAGTTTATGCTGTTATACACACATTTTGTAACTTTGCTTGAAAGCTTGAAGGAGATGACCATGAGACATTGAAAATATTGTGAAATGCTACAGTCCATTTTACGAGATCAAGTATTTTAAATGCTTCACCATTTATAAGGTGATGCTGTTTTCTTCTTAAAGCTTAACACACATGTGTAAGCATGCTCTGTTTGCTTTCAGCGACTGCTGGCCCTAATAAGCCTGAGAGTGGATTTGCAGAAGACAGTGCTGCTCGGGGCGAGGGTGTGTCAGACCTCCACGAAGTGGTCTCCCTGAAGGAGCGGATGGCGAGGTACCAGGCAGCTGTTTCCAGGGGTGACTGCCGCAGCTTCTCTGCTAATGTAAGCTGCTCCTAATGGTTTTGCACTAGGCAATGTGCTTACTGTCTGTCCCAATTCCCTCTTTATATTTGAAATGTAAGAATACTACTGGACAGGGGGCTAAAGTAGAAAGAGCACAAAAATAGTGTGTGAAATAAATCCAGACTATCTGAATTTAAGTTTCAACTGTGCTACTTATTACTTGTGTGAATCTGAACTACTATTTTTATTTATTTTTTATTTTTTTTGAGACAGAGTCTTGCTCTGTCATCCAGGCTGGAGTGCAATGGCACGATCTCGGCACCCTCCACCTCCTGGGTTCAAGTGATTCTCTTGCCTCAGCCTCCCGAGTAGCTGGGATTACAGAGCATGCCACCATGCTCTGCTAATTTTTGTATTTTTAGTAGAGACAGGATTTCACCATGTTGGCCAGGATGGTATCGATCTCTTGACCTCGTGATCCGCCCGCATCAGCCTCCCAAAGTGCTGGGATTACAGGCATGAGCCACTGTGCCCAGCCCTGAACTACTATCTTAACTTCTCTCTGAGCTTCAGTTTCCTTGACTGAAAAATGGGAATCATCATTTATCACACAGAGTCTTGGTGAGGAATCAAAGAGACAATTTATGTGTAAGCCATAAGGCGCTGTATAAATGTGTTATTATTATCATCATTAGCACTTAACCTGTAGATATTCTCCTCAGGAAGGTCGGGAATTAATTTCAAATTTTAATAACATGGGTTTGCACGCCACCCTCCTTGGTCTCATATATGGTTCATTGAAATTCACTGGCAGTATAATTTCTTTGGCTTTTCTCGTTTCTCTGTATGCACTAAATCCATTAGGAAAGGTTTAATCAACATAAAAATGAGAGAGATTAGCAATGTAGACACTCTGCTAAACCAATTATGATTATAGGAAACTGCAGGATTCAGTAAGACCACCAATTTTTAGAGCCAATGCATTATAAAGTCATATTCAAAAGAATTTTGGGGTTCTGTATTCTGTGGCCTTCAACTTAATGGAATATAAGAATGTTCTTTTATAATTATAATCTCCAAATTAGCCTAGTTGTGTATGAGAGAGGGAGACAGAGAAAGAGAGAGAGAGAAAAGCCAAAAAAGGTGGTGTATTAAAATAGCTACACTTAACATGCTTCTTTACAAATTATTTAGAGACAAGGCTGACTGTGCCAAACTCATTTAAAAAATGCAATTCTAGATGACATTTAGGTTTTCACATAGTCATTAAAATACATTTTAGACACAGCTTAGATTTGGAATAAATGTGCAGAAGTGACATAAGTATCTAGATCACTTCCAAAATAAACAGTGGCACTATAGTACCTCCTGCCAGTCTTCTTCGATGGCACCCCCTACTGGATCATTGAGGAACTTATTCGTGTTCTAAATTAGAGAAATGATTCACGAGGAAACAGTTGATTTTGAAAATGCCTAAAGACTGGTTATTTAGTAAACAATATTTGATTTAGGAAGATTGACCTTGCCAGGTACTAAGAGAATACACATTAAAAAAGTGGTATCAAGGCATGATATATATTTATGATGTGTTTAAAAAGGGAATGTTTACATTGGACACATAGGGAAATTAAATGATCCCATTATTTAATACAAAATCAAAAACTTTAGGGCTAATCTCAAAATGTCTACATATAAAGAATTTAGTAATCTTCTCTTCCCTGCAAATTTTATAGACAAGAAAAGCAAGAGAAAGTTACTTATAGATTATAAAATTAGGTAGTGAGGAGGCCAAGCTAGATTCCTAGTCTCTTGACTCTTGTGCTCTTCTAACTGAATTCAACTTCTTCCTCTTCCCTAAATGAGAAAGTATTTTTGGCCCCCAAAATACATATTATAGTATATGGTTTGGCCCTAAGCAAATATTGTGAGAAAGAAGAGCACATATATTATCTCAGCAGAATCCTGGTAAATATCTAAAGCAAAGCAAAATAATTGTTTATTTAATCATGTGCATGAAATGCTTGTTCAAGCCACCCCCCCACCCCCCCACCCCTCTGCACACACACACACACACACCAAAAAAAATCATGAAAACTGCCTGTGACTAAATCTGTATCTCCACAATTAACCCAAAATTTTAAGTGCAAAATCTGAAAGTCACAGAATCAGACCCAAACTGAATCTACTATATCTCAATCATATTTACACATGTAAAGACAATATATTTTCCTTGTCTCAGAGTCAATCAGATGGCATTTGGTTGTATCTAAATGAAAGTTATGCCCATGAAACAGTGGTGGTCTATAGAAGCCCCCTAAAAGAGAGGGAGAAGTAACACTTGTTGAGCAATGAATTAAAATGCCAGATTCATTTTCAAGTCTGTGCAATTTTATTCCCTTTACCTTTTTTAATACTCACAATAAATCTGTGAGAAAAATATTTCTATGCCCAGTTTATAAGAAAGAAAACCAAGTTCAAGAGCTGTAGCCCAAGGTTTTAATTGTCAGGGCTGGAATTAGAAGCACTGTCTGTCCAACTCCCAAAATTATGTTATTTCTGTTATGCCCTATAAACCAAGAACAGTTTTTTTGTAAAAAGAACTTGAGGACTGTGTAATATATTTACCTAGATTTAACTGTTAGGTGTTCAAATTAGCATATTATTATCAGCACACCCATTAGATTCCAAACCTTATTGCTGAGCCAAATAATAAGAAACACAGAATAATAATAAACATAAAAAGTTTCAACACAAAGCAATTTCAGTTATGGGGTCAATGATAACAACATTCATTAGTTGGGATATTTAGAGCATGACACTAAATAAGGTAAAGTCACAGGAACGGTCCCCACCTGAGCAAGGAAGCATTACTCCCGGTTATGACCACAGACTGCTTCTTGGGCAGGTCCTGCCATCTCACATGTGTAAACTTTCATCTACCCGCAAGTGGAACAAGGAAACCTTAGCACCGCCACTGAACCATATTTCAGAAGATTTGTCTCACTTGGGTGAATGAGCAGCTGCAGTAGCGTAATGATAGTACCAGGGGTAGCAGGAATGGTATTAGTACTACTATTAAAAATAATCCGCGGTGGCTCACCCCTGTAATCCTAGCACTTTGGGAGGCTGAGGTGGGTGGATCACCTGAGGTCAGCAGTTCAAGACCAGTCTGGCCAACATGATGAAACTCCATGTCTACTAAAATACAAAATAGAAAGGAAGGAAGGAAGAAAGAAAGAAGGAAGGAAGGAAGGAAGGAAGGAAGGAAGGAAGGAAGGAAGCAAAGAGAAAGAGAAAGAAGGAAAGAAAGAGAAAGAAGGAAGGAAGGAAGGAAAGAGAGAGAGAAAGAGAGGGAGGGAGGGAGGGAGGGAGGAAGGAAGGAAGGAAGGAAGGAAGGAAGGAAAGAGAGAGAGAGAAAGAGAGGGAGGGAGGGAGGGAGGGAGGAAGGAAGGAAGGAAGGAAGGAAGGAAGATAGCCAAGCATGATGGCGGGTGCCAGTAATCCCAGCTACTCAGGAGGCTCAGACGGGAGAATCACTTGAACCCAGGAAACAGTGGTTGCAGTGAGCCGAGATCGTGCTGCTGCACTCCAGCCCGGACGGCTGAGTGAGACTCCATCTCAAAAAAAAAAAAAAAAAAAATCAACTGTATGAATTTTTGCATGTGTAATGTAGTCTGTTTCTAAAGCGCAGGAAAGTAATGGGTATATCTGTTTTGTTTTGTTCTTTTGAGACGGAGTCTTGCTCTGCTGCTCAGGCTGGAGTGCAGTGGCACAATCTCGGCTCACTGCAACCTCTGCCTCCTCAGTTCAGGCAAATCTCCTGCCTCAGCCTCCCAAATAGCTGGAATTACAGGCATGTGCCACCATGCCCGGCTAATTTTTGTATTTTTTTAGTAGAGACGGGGTTTCCCCATGTTGGCCAGGCTGGTCTCGAACTCCTGACCTTGTGATCCACCCACCTTGACCTCCCAAAGTGCTAGGATTACAGGCATGAGACACCACACCAGGCTGGTATATCTGTTTTTTAATCCATTTTATAGATGAGAGGCAACCTGTCCAGTATAAGAATTGATCTTTTTGTGAAAATGCATTTACCAGGAGAGCATCCGGTCATAAGCATAATACTAAGGCTTGCCAGATTAATTTGCACATGATTGGGACATCAGAATAGTTGTTTGAAACAGCAAGGTTCTTCTTAATAATTACCTTAATGTCTATAATTTGATACTTATAGATTATCTATATATAATTTATCCAGGAAAGCCACTTATATAAATTAAATGGCAGAAGGGGTAAAATAAATATTGTGGCCTTAATTCACCCTTCCCCTTTTTCACTGTATCTTAAATTTCAAAAGGGGTGCTGTACATTTTTCTGACCTTAACATATATCAACTAGAAGTAATTGATTAAGATTTGCATTTAAAGTTTGTTGCAGAATTTGATACAATATATACCTAGTTCATAGAAGAGCACAATCATCTCTTCTCAAAGGGCCACCACACATATTTTGAAATATTTGATAGTCCACATAAATGAGGAAACGTTATTAACTTAGTAAAGCAACAACTTGAGTACTTGCTAGTAATTTAGATAATCCTAATATTAGTCTATAATATTCTGGAGTATGGGAAACCCAAACCCCAAGATAGGCACTACATTTTTAATATCTATTTGAAAGACTACTTATTTGGTTAAAGATCCAGGACCCCCAAAGTCCCCAGTCCATGGTATAGAAACCTCTCAGCTCCTGGGTCCCCAGTTACTTTCAAGGTCTTAAGGCTTTGAGGGTTATGTCAGGACTGGGTCAGACCTCAGGAGACCTGCTCTGATTTGAAGTATTGCCAAGTCTTCCAGTTGCAAGCAGACCTAGAATCTTCCGGGAGGAGGGAAGGCTGGCATGGGGCCTGTTTCCTTGAGAATTATCCCATCTGGGCTTGAGTGCCTGCTGGGCTCTGGAATGTGCTGAATCATCAAAACCAATGCACCTGAGCTACTTCTGCACTTCCCGAAGGGGCATAGGTCTCACAGGACTACTCAGGTGCTTTTCAAATTGCTTCCAATGATACCTATCAAAATTAGTTTTCTATGGAACAGAACAGAGCCCTCAGAAATAACGCCGCATACCTACAACTATCTGATCTTTGACAAACCTGAGAAAAACAAGCAATGGGGAAAGGATTCCCTATTTAATAAATGGTGCTGGGAAAACTGGCTAGCCATATGTAGAAAGCTGAAACTGGATCCCTTCCTTACACCTTATACAAAAATCAATTCAAGATGGATTAAAGATTTAAACGTTAGACCTAAAACCATAAAAACCCTAGAAGAAAACCTAGGCATTACCATTCAGGACATAGGCGTGGGCAAGGACTTCATGTCCAAAACACCAAAAGCAATGGCAACAAAAGCCAAAATTGACAAATGGGATCTAATTAAACTAAAGAGCTTCTGCACAGCAAAAGAAACTACCATCAGAGTGAACAGGCAACCTACAACATGGGAGAAAATTTTCGCAACCTACTCATCTGACAAAGGGCTAATATCCAGAATCTACAATGAACTCAAACAAATTTACAAGAAAAAAACAAACAACCCCATCAAAAAGTGGGCGAAGGACATGAACAGACACTTCTCAAAAGAAGACATTTATGCAGCCAAAAAATACATGAAAAAATGCTCATCATCACTGGCCATCAGAGAAATGCAAATCAAAACCACTATGAGATACCATCTCACACCAGTTAGAATGGCAATCATTAAAAAGTCAGGAAACAACAGGTGCTGGAGAGGATGTGGAGAAATAGGAACACTTTTACACTGTTGGTGGGACTGGAAACTAGTTCAACCATTGTGGAAGTCAGTGTGGCGATTCCTCAGGGATCTAGAACTAGAAATACCATTTGACCCAGCCATCCCATTACTGGGTATATACCCAAATGACTATAAATCATGCTGCTATAAAGACACATGCACACGTATGTTTATTGCGGCATTATTCATAATAGCAAAGACTTGGAACCAACCCAAATGTCCAACAATGATAGACTGGATTAAGAAAATGTGGCACACATACACCATGGAATACTATGCAGCCATAAAAAATGATGAGTTCATGTCCTTTGTAGGGACATGGATGAAATTGGAAACCATCATTCTCAGTAAACTATCACAAGAAGAAAAAACCGAACACCGCATATTCTCACTCATAGGTGGGAATTGAACAATGAGATCACATGGTCACAGGAAGGGGAATATCACACTCTGGGGACTGTGGTGGGGTGGGGGGAGGGGGAAGGGGTAGCATTGGGAGATATACCTAATGCTAGATGACGAGTTAGTGGGTGCAGCACACCAGCATGGCACATGTATACATATGTAACTAACCTGCGCAATGTGCACATGTACCCTAAAACTTAAAGTATAATAAAAAAAAAAAAGAAAAAAAAATTAGTTTTCTCATTGGTGAAATGACAGTGATAGATTAGAACCCTTCTAATGTTAAAGCCCCCTGATTCTGACATGCCTGTGCTCAGAGCTGATGCCTGGGGTGTGCTAATCCTGGAGTAGTGTAGCTGCTGGTTTTCTGCCTGTTCTTTGAGGACAGTAATGAAGACAGACAGATGTGGATTGAAATTCCAGGGCCAGCACTTCTGTTCTAGCTGTGAGAACGTAATAACTGTCTTACTTCTCTAAGTCTCAATTTCCTTATTTTAAAATGTGGGTAATAGGTGTCCATATCTCACAGAATGACATATTCTGTCATTTAATACATACAAAATCACATAAGTAGTCTCATTATTCATATTAATATTTTTACATAAGGAATATTCTGAGGCTATTTTGTTCATCCTTAATAATTTTAAGTTTTTGGAGTAAAAATGATTTTAAAATTATTCTTAATAATGTGTTCCCTATATAGATGTTTGGGATTTTAATGACAACTTTATTGAGGGTTAAAATTGAGTCCATTATTCTTATACCCACTAGTCTGTATATTACAGGAGAAATACCGTGCAATCTAATAGGTCTTATCTGCAGACATCAAAATTTATCTGAGATTAGAAGAATTAACTCAATACTTTGAAAATTCTTCTGACTTTATATCAAAAGACTGATAAATGAGAAAACAACCCAGAGAGAATATATTTATTAAGGTTTTTGTTAAAGACATACTGAAATAATGGTGTATGTGAATATCTTTTTAAGATACTGTCTATCAATAAATGTCAACTATTTTTAAAATAGCTTCAGAATCCCATCCTGCACAGCTGTAAAGCTGAATTTTCCTTTTTCTTAAATCATCCTAGATGATGGAAGAATCAGAAATGTGCGCAGTGCCTGGTGGTTTGGCCAAGGTGAAGAAACAATTTGAGGACGAAATTACTTCTTCCCGTAATACCTTTGCTCAATACCAATATCAACATCAGAACAGATCTGAGCAGGTAATACTACTACAGGTGATGGGTAAATCAGGCATGGTTGAAATGCTCTCATTTTGGTGCCAATGTAGAAATCTCCTTTCTTTAGTGATACATTTATTTTCATTACTCATTAACAAACACTGTAGCTTTGAAATGTTCTAGAAAATCATCTTTAAAGCATATATATGTATTTATTTACTTACTTGAAGCATTTTTGCCAAATTTCTAGAGACTGTGCTGGACATTCTACCTCTCATCTTCTAATGTTTCAGACATAAATGAAAATTAAATAGTCTAGGTTAGACAACAGGTAAATTGAACTGTTGAGAGCAATGTTTATACTGAGCCTCTGCTTCTAGGTTATAATTCATAATAAACTAGCTGCTGGTTATTTGCATAGATTAAGTTGGAAGCATTATTCAGCTGTTTATTGTGGTGGGGAGTTTTCTGTTTTCTTTAAAATCCTCAAACATTGAATAGTAGAGCCCAGATGTTACATAAAACCACATAATATGACCTCCAAATGTTATCTTATATAAATTTTTTTCCCATTTCATTGATTTCATTATTTCATTATTATATATCACAAAATACTGTCATGAGATTTAGTGATTTTTGAATGTGAGAATCTTAGTAATAAAACTCATCAGACTTTGAAAAATGTTAATAGTAATTACACTGTAAACAGGTGTACTTAGGCCCATGTTTTCCATGAGGAAGGAGGCAACTGAGGTATTTCTTAAATTTTGTAGTGAGAAATGAAGTGGATGTATTTTTTTTTAATCCCCGGGACATATAGAGTTGCCTAAATTTTTTTAAATGAAGCAATTGCGTGCTATGTGTGGCAGGGGATGAGGCGGCATATCAGGTAGAATGATTAAAAATCTCATATGTGAAAGATTATTTGTTTCCTTTTTCTGGCTCTGGCTGCAAAGTTAAAAATGTACAATATAGGTAGCTCAATAAATTTATGGCAAGATTTCTTTTTAATATTACCTAAAGGAAACTTAATATAAATAAGAAATTAAGATTAAGATACTTGTGATCTAATACATAACTGTTGCAATGTAGGAGTCTTTGAGTGTAGATGTGTGTGTTTAAACTGGTCAACAATACAAAATATTACTATCATTAATAGTTTAAATAACAAATTCTACATAGAAATATCAGTAATGAATTTATAGATCCTTCACTTTGAAGGGAAGCAGTGGGGACTATGGACTATGGGGCTTGTGGATCTGGGTTTACACACCACCTCTGCTACTTTTCAGGGTTACACAGACCCAGGGCCACCTTCATGGATGTGTGACCTGTGCAGTTGCACAGGGTCCTGTACTCCAGGCACTTTGTTTAACACTCTTCTGTCTCCATTTTAAAATTCTCAACAACTTTTGAACAAGGGACTCTACGTTTTCATTTTACGCTGGGTCTGGCATACTATGTAAACAGTACTGCACAGACCAAATTCATAACCCCCTCAGTCTTCAGTTTCTGATGAGTAGGATGGAAAAACTGTTGAGTGATTTGCCTATCTCATTAGGTTACTATGGAGGTTTAATGTGACAAAGAGCAATTTATGTGAAAATATTTCCATATCTGTGAAACTTGATATTGGTTAAGACTCTTTAATACTGCAAAAGACAGAAAACCCCCCAAAAATGGCCTAAACCAAAAGAAATATTACAGGTTTACAAAAAATAGTCTTGGGGAAAGGAGATTTGATGTAAGCTCCAGTGGAGTACCAGAGCTGGCTTGTATCAACTCTCCAATTATTAAATTTTGGGGAGTTTTGGAAACCAGACACTATCTTGCTAACAGCTTGAAATCAGCCATAGTGAGAATATTTACACCAGGAAAATTGGCAAATGCAACAAATCCTTCCTTCCTTCCTTTCTTTTTTTTTCCTTCTTTCAATAACACTGTCAAATATGTATCACCTTATCATTGATGTAGGGGCTTAAAGTATGGTCCTAGCAAAGTGGCTAAGATCACAGATATTGGAGCTAGGTCATTTGGGTTCAAATTCCTGCTCCTTTATTTATTAACTGTTTGACATTAGACAAGTCTCTTAACATCTTTGTCTCTCAGTTTCCCTAAGTATAAAGTCAATAGTATGACAGTATCCACCCCATGGATTTGTTTAGAAGAATAAATGATTTAGTATTTGTGAAGTGCTTAACACATTGCCTGGTCCATTGTAAGCTCCACACAAATATTTGTTCAAACAGTAAACAAAGTATCACCTTTATCAGATTTCTTCTTCTTAACCTCTCAGAATCACTTCCACTGCGTTGGCCCCATTCTCATCCAAGTTTCCCCCAGGTTGTAGCAAAAGGAGTGCAGAGAAAGTAAGAATCATTTTCCCAGAAGTCCCAAGAAAAAGGCTTATAGCATCTTGTTGGCTCCGAATGGAATATACATGCTCCTTACATATCTAATTGCTGTAGCAAGAGGATGCTGATTGGCTTAGACCTCTGTACCTTGTTTCCCTAAATGGAAGTTCTCAGCATATGGTTTTCAATGAAGAATATATGCTGGGTAAAAACAAAATCAAACAAAAATATATATCTACTCTACGGTCCTTGCAAATGTAGTTTATTATTATAATATATGTAGTCCCTGCTCTGCGAATGTGTATGAAAGTAATAAAAATCATGCCCTAGAATTCTGAATATTTGCATGAATCTGGAGCTGTAGTGACTTCTCTAAACTTCAGTTTCATTATCTACTTTTAGATAATGTTAATAATATCCGATAATTCCATGAGGATTGAATAAAGTTAAGCCATAATGCAAGGCAATATAAATACAATATAAAAGAAACACAGGTAAGAATAAACTAGTAAACACCATTTGTTGAATGAAGACCGTATGCAGAAGTCTGTAGGAAAGTAAAAGAAAAAGTCATTTGTGGCCAGGTGCGGTGTCTCATGCCTGTAATCCCAGCAGTTTGGGAGGCCGAGGTGGGCAGATCACCTGAATTCAAGACCAGCTTGACCAACATGGAGAAACCCCATCTCTACTAAAAATATAAAATTAGCCAGGTGTGGTGGCGTATGCCTGTAATCCCAGCTACTGGGAGGCTGAGGCAGAATAGCTTGAGCCCGGGAGGTGAAGATTGCGGTGAGCCGAGATGGTGCCATTGCACTCCAGCCTGGGCAACAAGAGCGAAACTCCATCTCAAAAAAAAAAAAAAAAAAAAAAAAAGGAAAAAGTCATTTGTGTCTTATTTTAAATGGCCTTAATTTGTAATCCTTATTGGAAAATTGAGATAAATGTCAAATTTGGCTATAGCAGGGAAAATGTAGAAAAACTATGTCTTAGATAGTCCAACTTTTAATGCTATCTAAGTGCATTCTAAAAATCACTTCTTTTATCAGCAGGGATTTTGGACAAGATGTTTGCTGGTAAACACAGGTAGTTTATTCTGTCTTTACCTAAGATGTTGTCAATTCTGATAGTGTTTTCAATCTCTTTGCTGTTGAAAGTCCTTGAGATTTATTTCCCTGCTATTTGCCCCTGGCCAAAAAATATTTATTTTTTTGACATATAGTAATTAATATTAATTTGGAAATCAAGTTTAATTAGAGTTAAAAGAAAGAACATTTGTTCTGGATTTCTGACAATATTTAATGCCACAATTAGTAATAACTTAATAAGGTATAATAATAAAGTCCAATCTGTCTGTTTGCTTCCTAATGTACTGAAGTCAGATGTTTCAGGGTAATTAGCTGACTATTTGGTAACAGTTTGTCTGGGAGATCAGCAATTGGCCTAAACAAATTTTGATAATTAATCTATCTCTGAGATTAAAGATCCCTTCTTTTGCTAATGGATTAGACTGTTTTACATCTAATGGAAGGGCAGTTCTGAAATAGAAAAAAGGGGTGCACAATATAAGAACATTTATTTATGCCAGACATTTTAAACTTAGGATGATGTCCCATGTATGTATTCTAGACTTGCCATGCTTTTATAGTTCTGCCTGTTAAACAGTTAGCCATATTCCTGCTAGCCGGCAGAGTATGCCTATGAAAATTAGGAAAAGGAGCCACTCTGGGTCTCTGAAGGAGAGAGTTAGGTGGTGGGAAGGGTTGAGCTTCTTCAAAGAATAGGTTGGGGAACCTTTATTAGGTTGCCTTTGCAGTTAATACTAGCCATTTTTAACATTACCCATTTCGATTTTGTTTTTCATAACAACCATTAATGCTTCCAGTAGATATAAATTAAACCCAACCCTCTTTAAGGGATTATAAGTCACTCAGCATATCTCCTGTTTTTGTTTTAGGATTGAATTCTCAGTGTTTTATGCTAGTGAAAATCAGTAGGCCCTCAATGCTAGAATGAAAAGGACAACTTGAGAGGGGTGTCTTTTTATCCACTCACTGTAACAGTCTCCATTTGGGAAAAACATTCTAAATAATCCATCTACTCAACTTTAAAAGGGTATCTCTAGATATGCTGGAACAGATATTAGAATAAATTTGCTATTGATGTAAAATTGCCATTGCCTCTCTCCTGAGTTACTTTTCACTTGCCCACTCTATGGTTTCTGTGTGGTTATTTTTAGGACTTTCTTCCTCTTTTTTTTTCTTTTTCCTTATTTATCAGCTGTGTTAAGATATAATTTGCATACCATAACTTTCACCCATTTTATGAATACAGTTCAATGATTGTTTAGAATATTTACAGAGTTGTGCAGGGTCACCACAATCTAATTTTAAAATATTCTCATCCTTGCAGAAAGAAACATTGTACCTATTAGCAGTCTAGGACTTTCTTTGTGGCCACATTCTCACACTTAGGATTTGACTTTCATCTTCTTAAGTGAATTTCTTTTTCCTTTTCTTTCCTCCATATTTATGCAGTACTGAGGAGCTCTTTGTGTATTATTTTGTGAAGCCCCAGAAGCTTCTTCTTTCCTCAAGTTGCTTTTTTTTTCCTAAGTAGCATAAGTAGGAAAGAGCAGATGGAGCTCCAAAAATTTTGGAAGTAATAAGTGCAATCCAGTGCTGAGGTATTTGCTTTCATATGAAATTGCTGCACTGAATCTATATCAAGAAGAAAAAGCATTCCTGACCTTTGCCCTGCCACTAACTCTGATGCGCTGAGTGACAGTATATATCTTTCCTCATATATCTGCTATTGCAAAAATTAAAATGTAAATGCTAGGATTCTGTAAGATTATGCAGATTTGGAACAATCTCTAGACAATGCTAGGTCAATAAAAAACATTTTTGACAGCTTGTGACAGATATAATCTGACTACTGTGTGTTTTAGACTCTTTAAAGGTGACCTATAATTATTTTCCAGCAAACTAAATATATTTTTATCAGCTAAATGTCCACATTGCAAAACATTTCTCATCTAAGTCCTTTAAACCTGCCTATAGCTCCCTGCCACGTACATAATTCTTCAAGGTCGTAGATTGCTATTATCAGCCCCAACCTAACCTAGATCTCTATCAACATACAAGGTTGTGACCAAGAATGTATCTTGTATTGTCTTTTAATTATGAGCACTATTTTAAAGTGATTCTTATAACTTAAAGTACCAGCACTCAAAATGAGGCAATCTGGAGTAGTAATTGGGGCTGCTGGCTCTAGAGTCAGAGAGACTGTGTTATAATCCCCTGAGTTACCCATCTATTTTAATCCACTTTGTGCTGCTATGACAGAATACCAGAGACTGGTTAATTTGTTATAAAAAAGAAATTTGTCGGCTTTCATTCCCGGAGGATGAACAGTCCAATGTCAAGGTGCTGGCATCTTGTTAAGGACCTTCTTGCTATGTCATAATGTGGCAGAAAGTGAGAGGGTCTGAAGGAGCAAGAACAAGAAGGGGGAACTCACTCTCACTCCTATCATAATGACACTAGTTCACTCATGAGGTGGTGCCCTCATGACTAACTACCTCTTAGAGTTCTCACCTCCCAATACTATCACAAAGGCAAATACATTTTTTGATATTTTGAGACAGGGTCTTGCTCTGTTGCCCAGGTGGTAGTGCAGTGGTGTGATCTCAGCTCACTGTAACCCCTACCTCCCAGGCTCAAGCAATACTTGCATCTCAGCCTCCTGAGTAGTTGGGACCACAGGCATATGCCACCACGCCCAGCTAATTTTTGTTTTTGTTTTTGTTTTTTTTTTAAGAGATGGGGTTTCACCATTTTTCTCAGACTGGTCTCAAACTCCTGAGCTCAAGTGATCTACCGACTTGGCCTCCCAAAGTGCTGGAATTACAGTCATGAGCCACTGTGCCCAGGCTGGCAATTGCATTTCAACATGAATTTTGAAGGGGATAAACCTTCAAACCATAGCACCATTTAATTTCTTCTAAAATAATAACAGGTCATTTTAAGAATAAAATGTCCATATAAATCTTTTAGTATATTGCCTAGCATATATTAATTGATTAATAAACCCCAGCTATTATCATTAAAAATATTGACCCTTAAGCCAAGAGGGGACATAATCAAGTGGCAATTATTCTCAAAATAGCGTATGATTCACAAATGTGTATGTAAAAAGACAAAGAAGGATTATCATGTTCTGTGCCTCACACCTTGGCTTTCTTTTCTGTTCTTTAGCCCTGGGAGATAATAGTTTTTTAGGAGCTCCATTATCCAAAGATTAGCTTGAAATGAGCATACCTGTACGTGTTTTGAGCATATGTCATTGTGGAGTAATCAGTAACTCTAGTGTGTGTTTTAAAAATTATAATAGCAAGTCTTCTTTTGAAGAAAATTGTTTAACCCCAACTATAATAAATGACAAGATAAGGTGGACCAAGAAAGAAATATGCTTCAAACACTCTATATAGGTATGTTGGAGCCTCACAATAAATAAAAATTTGTTTTCTTAAGTGGGAACAAATAAATAGCATAGCATTGCTTTTGAAGACTGCTTTATTTATAGTATAGTGGCAAGATACTACTGAAAGGAAAACAATATAATTAATATACAAATTGAATTAGGTAGGAGAGGAAAAGCTATGCTGTTTGAAAAGAAGAGAAAAAGAGGAAGAGTTGAAGGGATGTTGATTTTTTTCAATGCTTACAAGTGTGAGTGTTGCATATGTGGTTTCTCAGCACATTTTAGTTGATGTATGGAAGGGAAAGAAAAGGTAGAGGAAAAATCTACCTTGTAACATTTTCTGGTTTGTGCAGTTGGAACAATGAAGGTCAGTATATTTCTATAACGGTCTTAATAGAATAAAGCCAGTGTCTGATCAACATGCTCAGAAATAAGGACCCTTATTTGCCAGAGAACTGTTGCTTTTTTTTCGACACAGGTGATGGAATCACATAGACCTTTCTGCAGATAGGCCAGCAAATACTCATGAACCTTCCACAGGCTGAGTGATCATAGCAGGGTCTCAGCTTGATCTCAAGAAAACAAAGAACAAAAACAGCACAAACATTGTTCTCAAGAGGCATATAAATAAGGCTCATAGACAGATTAGATTCAGCAGTCTTACTCTGGTAAAAATTAAAATTCTCATAACAAATCTTTCACTGAATTTTTCCTTCCAAATCTAGGCCCTTTAATCTGTTTATCCTCTACAGCTCTTTCTTGGTGCCTGTGGCTGAGTGGGCTTTGATGATGAAAAGAACACAATAAGATTAACTTTTTAATGCTGAAGCGGAATTGGAAGACCAAGAGTTTGCTAAATAGAGCAAAATAGCCTCAACCATTTATCATCAGTAATATTCATACAGCCAGATCTGCACGAGCTGGTTGATGCAGAATTCAGATGACTGAAATTATCTATTAATGGGACGTCTCAGTTCCTGACTATGCCATACAGCAAATCAGCTTTGCTCTATACTAGTAATTCGGTTTTCCTTTCAATTCTGCAAGAAGTGGAAATGCAAACGCAGATCCCACTGGGGGTTTGGAGATACATATTTCAGGAATTGACTTTTTTTCACTACTCTTGCATTCAAAATTATCTTTGCCATGCTCATAATTGCCCATTTTATTACCACTTTTCAAAACTGTGTCCATGGCGCTGCTTCCTTGCCATTTTGCAGCTGGTTTTCTCCTACTACTCAATCTGTGTCTCTTCTCTTCCTACCCACATCCACCTTCCCTATAGCTCTGTAGATTGTGGCAGGATCCCATGCTCTTTTTTGTAGAAATTGAATCAACAGAATTATATTCTATGAAGAAGATTCTTGCTCAAGTTATGAAGTAAATTAACTGCATTTAGAACTGCCTAGACCAACTGTGTGGAAAACAAAAGCAAAAACACAAAGCAACCACACGAGGACTTGCACTTCTCAAGATGAAAGATAGAAAAGCCTTTTCTTCAAGCCCCAACAAACCATTCATTTTTCCCTTGCCCTCATAAAAGCCTGCATGAGACTGATCTCTCTAAAATGCACCCCACACTCTTCACAAAGCCCTACTCCCACTCTACCCAGGCTTCTTTGGGTTATGCTACAGGGATGTAGTGGTAGCAAGTTTCGAAGAGTTCTCTGTCTGTAGGTTCCCACATCTCTCTGGGCCTGAAACAGGGCATCTTTTCCAAGCTTCCGAAACATCACCTCCTACCCTTATCATGACTCTACAAAGATTTGGAATCAAATCATCCTCCTTGTTCAGCTGGGGCATGGAATCCCAGTGGGAACTCTGAGCATTTAAGCCCTCTTTATGCCGGGTTGTACACTGGAAATCCCCAGGCGGCCCAGGTAATTGATTTAATTGTTCTGGAGCATGATCAAGGAGCAGGGGGATTTGATAGCTCTCTAGGTGATTCTAATGTACAGCAATGACTATGACAGTACAAACATAAGGCAGGATTTGCTATCCCAGGGTTGACCTCTCCCTTCTTGATTTCTGATCTGAGGCTTATTGCGTGCACACGTCATTCTGTTCACACTCTGATAGCAGGGACCTTCTTCTTATGTTGACATTTCTCTTGAGATAACTACTGCAGTCAAAAAATAGAATAGGAGACTGTGAAGAATCCAGAGAAAGCAAAGGCTTAAAGAAATCATGGTAAAAATAATAAATATTAGCCAAGCAAACAACCAATTTACTGATACTCTAATCCCAGGTAATTCCTTTGCTGGTGGTAGACTATATTGAAATAGTAGTTTCTGCATATATATGACATATTAGAATATTAAAAATAAACTAGCCTATAATCCCAGCACTTTGGGAGGCCAAAGTGGGAGGCCAAGGTGGGAGGATCGTTTGAGGCCAGGAGTTAGAGACCAGCCTGGGCAACATAGCAAAACCCCATCTCTACAAAAGAAAAAATGTTTTTTAATTAGCCAAGCATGGTGGCTGTGCTTGTAGTCCCAGCTACTCAGGAGGCTGAGGTGGAAGGATGACTTGAGCCCAGGTGTTCAAAGCCACAGTAAGCCATGATCACACCACTGCACTCCAGCCTGGGAGACAAAGTGAGACCCTGTCTCAAAAAAAATTTTCTAATAAAATAAATGATAGAATGATATAAATTAACTGAAGGAAAATATGTTAAAACATTAAAAGTAAACAAAACAATCAGAACAAAAATAAAGGAATTTTTTTAATTTATTAGATTGATACACCAATAATTAATTAAGACTGAAACTTTACTTCATTACAATTTTTTTTGCAATCTTTCATTAAAAATTTATTTTCATAGGGTGATGCAACCTATACATCTAACGTGTCTTGGGTTTGTATCTTTGATATTTCTGTACCAATAATACTGTTTCATGAAAGACAGAGCTTTACTTAATTATAAAGTAAAAAACCTTATCAAATAATGTAGTGAAACTGCCTATAGTCTTTTAGATCTTAACATAACTAAACCACTGTGTGGACTTTTCCTGGGATTGAAGATGTGCCCATAAAATATAATCAGACTGTCTTCTGTGTTCTACTAACATGAATCACATTACATTATAGCCACACACTATAACTCTCAACCTCTGCTAGTCCCAAATGAAGCCGCTGGTAGTTGCTAACTGTCTGCTGAGGCATGATCATAAAGTTTCAGTCACAGTCCCTTTGCAACTTGTAAGAAGCCATTTCACCTTCTTCCTGCAGAACCTATTGGTATATGAGTTACACTGCTAATGCGTAGAGGGATTGACTCCTCCTTCCCCTATGGGAACATGGTAGGCCATTCCAGTACAACATCATAAAAGGAAACTCATTCCCAATCCACAATGTGAAGACACAGGCAGACATTCTACCTGTGTCTTTTGCAGAACACCTTCTTGGGGAAATGGTGCAGTCTGTACAGTGTGTCCATTCAGCTGGGTTCTTTTACTTTGCTGAAAAAAAACTAAGTACACTAATCTTCCTGGTGACTTGGCAGGTGGTTAGAAACATTAACGTGTAGAGGGTGCCCTGGCCGTTTTTCTCAGGAAGTCAGAGCCTCAGTGGATAGCGCAAATATCCATTAGTAAGACTGAGTTGCAAGCACAGATCCAATTGCTTTGAAAAAATCATCATTGGTTTCTTTTCTTTCTACGATTCATTTTACTTATTTTCCAAAATAGGATTTGTAGGAACAGCATTTACCCCAATTATTCAAGTACCAATACCACAACTTTTCTTCTTAATAGCATCATGGGCCTTCTGTCTCTATAAACCTATTTGTTCCTATAGAACCTATTTTCAATTTCATTTAGAAAAGAAATGTATGCTTACAGATACATCCTTCACTCCTTTAAAGTAAAATAAATTGGGGTTGCTTTGGGGAAAAAGAAGTGCTGCTGTTCTCATCACAAGGCCCTGAGTTGTTGAGGAAGTAGCACCTAGACCCTTTCCCCCAAAGACAAAAGGTCACAGCAAGAGTTTCCTCCATACTTAATTAGGTGATCTCAAAAAGTATTTGATGTTAATAAAGATGTAAAATACAGATCTTTTGACATAATGGAATTTTATATTTTCTTTGATCACAGGGAGTGTACATCTAGGGAAAGTTGAAATAGAGGAGACATTTTGCTATTGCCCTTTCTATCTGAAGGCTCATATTAGCTTAACAATATAAAAACAGATCTTTTTGTATAATTATATAAAATAGAATTCTCAAGTGTTTAGACAATATATTCTAATATGCTAATTAAATTTACTCTATTTTCAAATTGCTATAATGAAATGGCAAGCCCCAAAATTTTAACTTCTTAGATTTTGCTAGTTTGTCAGTATCAAGGAAAGATATAACAACAAAAGAAATCATTAATGTTATAGACTCATTATGCTTGTAGAACTTAGTGAAATCTGCAAAATGCTTTTTCCACGTAGTTACTTTTATGAAAATGGGTGCTTTTTGTTAGACTTGACAGAAGGTATAATTAGCTCTTTCTGCTTCTTCTGGGTCTGTATTTCTCAAAATAAACCCATCTTCATGGGTCTTTGAAAATGATTGGATTGAGTCAAGCTTCTCTATTCTTTTTGATGTTCATTTAGTTATTAATTTGCATAATTACAAACAAATTATCATGCTAAAAAAACTGGAAGAACACAAGGCTTGAAAAAAGTAAGAGACATTAAGAAGTTCTGTTCCTAGAGCCATGCTGTTGTAGACGTATGTTAGGGTAACTTCATTTTTGCCTAGCTTCTTCACAGATCTTAACAACACAGAATAAGGAATAAGGTTACATCTTCTGCTAGGAGCTTTTTCTTGGACTTGTTCTTTTTCCTTTGCTCCTGGGTATCTACTTAGGCATGGAAAGGAGGAAACTGTTCACCTCTTCAGGAATGAGTGGAGGCCACTTAGTTTCTCACTCTTTGAGAAGGACAGTACACCTTATGTACCTACCACTAGATGGATACCAGATGGGGAGCCAAGAGCTCAGTCAAACTTGCTTACCCTTGGGTGAATATCAGTGCCCTCTAGGGATATTGGTACAACATTCTGTAGCATTTGAAATTTATTCTTTTTCCTCAGAGTACAAATTACAATAATCTAATAGCAATTCAACGTATAGCAGTGTTTAAAAACATTGGGAGAGATTGTTGGAACTTCAATGAAGTCAGTACTTTAGGTTGGGGTTCATTTTGTGAATCTTTTACCATAAACACTTTGTATCATCATTCTAACACTGTAAACAAATAACCCCCACCGTCATAGTTTCTTTTTTGTTGTTGTTTTTGAGATCAAGAAAGAAGTTTTCATTTCTTCCCTGAATTCCTTTTCCTTCCCTTCCTCAAAATGTGGGCCTTTCATTTCTACATAAGGGATTATGATAATAAGAAATAGTATCATCAAGTCTATATGCTAAGTACCTCACAAATGCATGTTGAATGCATCACTTATTGACTTTAGGTGTTAAAAATATTAATTCAAAATATCTTGTTGATGGGATTCTAGCTAGTATACTATATTCATGATATATCTTTGATATTTTAAAAACTTGCATAGCATTCTTCCCTAAACCACTTTTACTGGTTAAATTCATTTGAAATCAACATGTAGAATGCTAGCACGGAAGAGCCGTGAAGAAATTTGACATTATTCAACTGTAAAGGGCCTTGTACTTTACTTTTCCTGAGACTTAACAACACTTGATCAAAGGTAGCCCTTCCTGTCTCCTTCAGTGCTCCCTCAGCCTCTGTCCCAGCAGTTTACCAGCGAAGATACTGAGACTGAAATTAGTTAAGACTTATTTACGTGATTTCTTACTTGAACCAGTAATGAATTTTGGCCATAACGCAACAGTCCTACCACGCCAATCTCTTACAACCAACTCCCCTAGTTGCTCGTAGATACATTCATTAGTGCAATTACAAATTATTACCTTTTCAGTTTTCCTCATTTTCCTTATTTTAAAGAAAACACAAGTTATCATTTTTTGTCATAATTAATAACTGCCCTGTGATGCCATGTTTGTGCAGATAACCTTGCAATGCTTAGATCCAAGCCAGATCTGTTTTATTAATTTTCTTCCTTCTTATTTGGATTTTATATAAGGATTTAAAATGTCATCTCTCCCAGTGAAAAGGACTGATGGCCATAAAAACTCAGAGGGACACTGAAAGAGGGAGGGAGGTCTGTATAATTCAGTATAACAGCAACTCTTTATGATACCCTTAACAGGAAAACTGCACTGTCTCAAAGTCTTCCTACATGTCCTTGTAACGTCTCATGGAACATACGTTACCAAAAAATAAGCCCAAATCAGTTTTTTTTAGTAAGATTTGGATAGTGCTTTCTACTATGTTATGTATTGTCAAAAATGAGTGGCACCCCTTTTCTTGTGCTTTTAACTGGTTTCCATTTGGTTAAGAAGATCTCAGTGTTCATAAATAATATTTCTTAGGAAGGCTAATGGACAGTTTTCTTTTTTTTTTTACATCAAAACCATTTTCTATTCTACCACCCAATGAGGTCGAACCAGCCACCACTAACAGAAACTGCAAATACCATACACTCACTCTCCTAGCTTTCCTAATGTCTAGGATCCAGGTGTGCAGAAAAGACTATACTGATCATCTCCATCTTGGGCTTTGCATAAGAGGTTAGTGACATGAGAAGCAGGGACCATAGACAATCAATTTTGATAATGGCTGGTGGCAGGAGATTACTCCAATTTCAAGAAATTTATAAGTATTTCAGAAGCAACATCCAGTACACACTATTGATAGCATTGTCAGTGAATGTGTCTGGGGCCGGTGGCAGCAACCAGAGTAAGTTTACCAGATGTCTCTGCAACTATATTCTGTACTGTTACTGGATACAAATCCTCCTAGTCTTATTCTCCAGTTTCCTGGAGATTTCTTGAGATACACTCTCCACCCCTGCCACCCATTGCCTCTTCAATAAATTCCCTTTTCTGTTTAAATCAGTCAGACTCCAATGCTTGAAACTGGGAGCTGTGACTGATATAAAGATAAATTATCTACAAATCTTAATGTTTTTTACTGTCAAAATGGGAATCATACAACAGTATCTTTTAGGCAAAGAAGAATCGTGGAAAGAATTGTGTAATAGATTAAATCATTATAAACTGACTGTTCACTAGGTATGAGTTCATGAAAGACGAAGTGTAAATAAATTGGATAGGTGATCACAAACCCGCTCTCTGGCTATATCTCTACAGAATATTTCCACATGTCAGGAGCCAGAATGGTTTGGAAGTGTCACAATACATACAGGCTCCTTTTTCCTTCTCTCTTTGAGTAACCCCCTAAATCTACACCTTCTCTGGTGGAGAAAAAAAAATGTACATATTGGGAGATTTGCTTCTTCTTTAGTTTCTGGACTTAATTCTACAATGAAATTCTCTGGTAAAATTCATTGATGTAGCTGAACTCTAGTTTTACTCAGTCTTTTGGAGGGCCTTGCTTACTACCAAATCCTGAATTACTAGGAAAATGTCTGACACAAGTGTGCAATAAATATTTGTTAAGTAAAGATACCAAACACTTTGGTATTTGTAGCACTGGTGAGCCAGGTTTTTAAAAATATACTAACTTATTTCTTCTTCACAACAACCTTCTGAGATAGGCAGTATTATTATTTGGTTTTTTGAACAAGAAATGGATGCATGAGAGGTCTAAGTAACTTTTCCAAGAAAAGTGAGCAAATGTGATACTAACCCAGGAAGGCTGACTCTAGAGGCTGGGCCTTAGATTTATTTACTTTTCTAAGGAGCTGATAATCATTAGGCACCCACCATATGTCAGGCACGAAAGATTCAATTATGTGTATGACATTATTTTGCACTCAAGGAGCTCACTCTATTAGAGAGACAGATCGAGAACAAATATTACAAGTGCAATGTGTCCAATTCTATGATAGAAAATATAAATGAGGCTCATTGGAACCCCAGGAAGTTGTGATAAAATTTAGTTCAGGTGAAAGATGATTAAGAAAGACATCTGATGAGGGAGAATGTTTCAGCTGAAACTTGAAATAATTTTTCATGCCTATAGAATGCATTCTATGCAAAGGGACAATTTGTGTAAAAGGTAAAACAGCATGATATATTTGTGAGTGTAGTGAGGAATAATTGAGGCATAAAGCTGGAGATTTTGGCAAAGGCCAGATAATAAATAAAATTTTATGTCATGTTAAAGAATTTTTACTTTCTTCTAAGGCAATCAAGAGCCATTGAAGCAACTTAAACAGGAGAGTAAGATGAATAGGTATGTCTTTAACACAGATTATTCTGGCTGTATAAGATTGATACAAAGCAGGTTAAGGTGAGATGGAAGAAGATAAATTAGGAGACTACTGAAATAGTCCAGATTAAATATATGAGGACTTAAATGGGCCTGAAGTTCTAGGGTAAAGAGGGCACAGACTCAAGGGTCATTTAAATAACAATAGATAGCATTGGTAGGACATAGAAATCAGTTGGATATTGGTGAGGAAGGGATGGTAATCAAGAGGTAGAGTTCTGTTTCTCGATTTTGGTTGGTATTAGTTAGCATAGGACACATGTTACCTCTGTTTTTCTTTTTCTTTAGAATATTTTATTTTTTTTGTAAACTTTTTATCTGTAATTTCATTTCCCTGTAAGACTCTAAGTTTCAGCCTTTTGTTGGACATTTATGTTTATTTATATCCTAGTGTCTCTGGTTTTAAGATTATTTGTGTCTATGTTGGATTGAAATATTATATACATATATATCTTTAATATACATCTACGTAAAACTTCTGAAATGCATTCTTTATTGTGAATTGAATGTCTTTATGTAAGCTGCATTTTTAGTTTGTCAAATAAATATTGTTATTTATATGACTAATATGTTTGACGACTCAGTTGAGAGTGCATCTTTTATATGTTCTTTTTATGAATCTTCAGAATTTTGGGCCTCTGGAATATAGCTCTATAAATAATACTTTTAGAGCAGGAGGAGACAGAGTTCTAGCAGCTAAAACTAGCATTGCTTATTCAGAATCCTCCCTTTTTTGACAGCAAAATTTTGTACTTTTAAGCCAATTATTTTCTTTATTAAAAATGATTCTTTGCTCTTTCTAGCTAAATATTACCAAAGCATAATCGTTTTGAGTCAAAGAAGAGTTAAAATTAATGGAATGATAACACTTCTCTCAGAAATTTATGCAATATATCTGCATAATTCATGCTTTGGTATATATTTGGCATTCTTGTTTCAAGGGAATTTCAAGCTAACTGAGCCTTTTTATATCATTAATTATATATATATATATTTACATATATTGCATAGATAGAGATATGATCACAGGAATGTATTAAACAATACTGACAATGCCTAGCCCAATGCCGTTGAGATAACCAATGTTCAATAACTATTGTTTGAATAAATAAATGCATGAGTGAAGCTCTACAAGGTCACTCTTGTTTAAAAATTTAGTGCTTTCAAAGAAAAAAGTCACTACATTAAAATGTTTTGAATGTTTTAACATTATCAGTTTAAGAGCTAATAATCCAACTAGCATACTCTCATAACTTTAGGCAGAGTTACTATTGAATTAAGTAAAACTGGAGCCTTTACTTCTGAGCATATTGAGTCACACAAAGAATTAGGACTTGGAATTGCCTTAACTCTTCTTTTCCCTTAATGTTATTTTCCTATTTTTATAAATAAAAAATGAAGATAAATAATTGTCTTTCAGTGTCATCATAAATATCTCAACATAGTTATTCAATGTCATAGTAATTCTGCCCAATGCATCCCACTACAGTTTCTATATGATCCTTGACAACATGTCAAATCCATTAACTCAGTGAATAACAATTCACAAAACAACATAGAAACGAGTTTGTTTAGCATCATGAATATCTTTTTCTTTTCCTATGTTGAAAGAATCCTTACCTCTGTGTATGTGTTTGCTCTCTTTGTACACAGATTTTTTATTTTAGATTCAGGAGGGTACATGTGCATGTTTGTTACATGGATATATTGCATAATGGTGGGATCTGGGCTTCTAGTGTATTTATTGCTTTCTTGGTACAGACTTCTTCTTGCTCTGATGGTGTCAGCTACCCTTTACAGCATCACAGAACTGCACATATTTTTCCATAGATGTTCTGATCTATGAACATCTGTGAAGAGACTCCTCTTTCTGAGTGCACTTTGTAAAGTGATTGATATATTATTGCTAGTGTGAAAGGGATGACCAACCAAAATGACAACAACAAAAAAAATCATAGGTTTATATGGAAGAATTTGGAATCTCAATTTTGAAAGCAGATTAAAAATTATAAAATTTTCACACTACTAAAAAAAAGTGACTACTGTATTTACCCATGTATTTACTCCTTGACATTTTATTGGCTATCTACTGTGTACCTGGAAGCTAATCATTGGGATTTGAGGATGCATGTGATAGACAGAGTTCTGTTAAAGGAGAGAATCATATTAGCAAATGATGACTATGAAATGTGATAGGTAGATAATACAGATGTGTGCTAATATCACAGGAATAGAAAAAGCAAGAATAGTGCACCCTGTATAGAAGTCAGGAAAGGTTTCAAAAAGAAAGTAATTTTTGAGCTAAGTCTTTAAGAGGGTATAATGAATGTGGAAAAGCCTTTACATAAAGCTCACACCTTAGAGATGTCAAGTTGCATATTGTAATTTTTAAGAGAAAATTAATAAAAATAAAAAGAGAAACCTCAGGGCAAAAGGAAAAAATTCAATGTTTGAATTTTAATGTATCTAAATCCAGACAATCACAATGGTCACCCACAAATTGCTATGCTCATCACTTAAAAGAAAAAATGAACTGATTATTCTTTCAAAGCTTGAATCCACTGACATTTTTGCTCACATGAACAGCCTGTTTTTGGTATTGTTTATGTCTGTTTGACAAAGATGTAAATAACATTAATATATCATAACTGTTTCTAGTTTTATTAAAAATGAGATTAGTAAAAATGCTGTATTACTGGCATTGAACATGAACTTCCGTTTTTTCCACTCTAGTGAGACAGTTACCCTCTACTATTCTGCCAGTCTTTCCCCATAGGTTTTTCTATTGGATATACTTCCAAGAGTCACAATAATAGTGAGTCGCCATAAAAAAAAAAGTTTTTTTAAAGCCTGTCCTTTTTCCTTACTCATTGCACTAGAATGAGTTTGCAATTTTATTGGGAAATTTACAATGTCTTTCCCTATAATGATATAAGAATGAAAAGTTGAATAGGCAGGATACGAACTGCTTCCTGTGCAGGAGAAATCTCCTTAGAAGATGTGCATATCAACAATAGATTTTTGTGATATAGTTGGTTAATATATAAGCTGACATCAGACTGATGTGAGCTATGCAAACACCATAATATTGTCTTGCTGTTGTACTGCATTTTCTTTTTTAGATTTCAAAGTTAGAGCATATACATCATCTCTTTTTCTTTCCTTTAATGCCTCATGAGATGAAAGACATGAGTTTAAGTGTGACTTCATGATTTTTCCCAAGATTATAACATACCTAGTAAAGGAAAGAGTTAGGACTAATCTCCCATTCCTGAATACTGGTTAATTGACCTGTGAACAAAATAACATTTGTCTCTTGCAGACTGGTCTATATTTAAATTTAATTTTCAGCAACCAATTTTATGAATTATTGGTGTGAATTTATGAATGGTGACCCGAACAGAGTTGTTTATAACATTTTATTTAATTTGATTTCTGCCTGAGCATTACGATGATCCAGCTTTCTACCTAACCCTATACTCTATAGACACCAACAATTAGAAAGTCAGATTTTAAATCCAAACTAAACTAGTTGCAAAATATGCAACAGTAAATGGTAGAAACAAAAGCTTGGGATATTTTAAGGAATATTTTATGTAAGTTACAGTAACTAGAGGGCAGTAAAATTGATGCATTGATGCTAACATACCAAACTAGTATGGCAATTACAGTTCTATTTGGAAATAGCACATAAATGCTGAAGTAGAAACTTACGACTTTAAACAAAATTTATGTACATTTGTACTGTTTATTTTGTGTCATCTCCTACAAGAAAACATATTTACAGATGATAGGCATAGATTGTTTTTACTCAAGTAGATACATATTAACTACAAAGTGTTTGTCCCAGAAAATAACTTTTAAAATATGTGTCAAAATTACATTTATTTACAGTTTTTCTATTCCAAATATTTTGCATTTTTCTCAACACAGAGATTTATGTCACTAACTCTACTCTTTCAGATTGGTGGCAGGTATCTGAAACTCAAATTTCCATGGGTACCAGACAAGTTTTGTTGCTTTTTTTTTTAAATGTCATCTTGCTCTTAAATATTAGCAAGTGATAGTGATGGTGGCCAACTACAAGGTATATGCCCAACTAAAAGCCAGACTCTGCCATGTTAAAATATGAACACAGTGTTACCATGTCTTCAGAGTTTTTAAAAGCAGAAAAAATTTTTTATTTTTGTAGATGTTACCTAATTCGAAACTTTAAAATCACTGTGTGGGCCAAATAAAGCACATCCCCAGGCCTCAGCGGGCATGTAGGCCTCTAGGCGGAGACATGATTCTATAGAAATGATCACGGTGCCCCTCATAGGGACCTTGGTTCTGATCAGGTGCACATTCTCCTTTGCTACTTCACTGTTTAATTGGTACTTCCTATTTCTCAGTGTGTGCATAAGAAAGCCATAGAATATTCCCACTATATGCCTAATAGATGGAAAGACTTGTCACAGAGGTAAAGAGCTGTCATTAGTGCCCATGCATTTTTTTTATATCTGCAGTTGTCAATGATTGTTATTGCTGTCTCTAGCATAATGCTATTGGTAGCCTCAAATAAAACTTGATTATGCAAGGCACCTTGTTATATGGAATTCTGATTCTTTGAACTTGAAGGAATGAATATGGATCCTTCTCAAGAAACTAAAGCACTTTGTTCATTGTTCTATCCTCAGTTTTGAGAACATTCCTCGCAAGTAGGTGTTTGAATAGAATTAATGTATCAGTGAAAGTTTGCTATCTTATTCATGTATGCATTCCTCACTTATTCATTATGTGAACTTTTCCTTAGCACAAACTGTGTGTTAAACATATTATCAAATATCACTTGAAATATGTGGATTATTAACTATGCCTAGGAAGCATTCTGCTTGGAAAAAAAATTACAGTGGTCTTCAATTTAATGAGATACAATCTACATTTAAACGTGTAAGTCCATATTTTGTCTTTGGCTTTTTGTAGGACTTCTAGGAAGGCCTCAACATTTTTTTCTTAATTCTCCTTCCTAGAAAAGCATAAGATCAGATTTTACTATAACATCTCTAACTACATGACTAACTGCTCCTTGGTTGATGAGATTTTAAACCCTGTACACCAAATACCCTTGAGGGAAAAAGTCTCATACATCTACTGGCATTAATTTTATACCAATTATTAGTTTAAGATATTGGGATTTGATAGTGTAAAGTGTTTTAACTTACTGCAAAAAACGTTTTAGTATACTATTTTAATTAATAATGATAATATACCCATGCTCACTTGACTATTCTATACTAAGACAAATTTTTAAAAGTCAAATCTCAAAAATAATATTTATTATTCATTTGGATATCAAGATAAAAGTGAAGTCCCACCTTCAGGCACATTCAAAAACATGTTATTGTAAAGAGTCATCTGTCTGTATCCTTATTTTTGAATGTTAAGATTTTTAGCAGTATGCTAACTGCTTCATCATATCAATCAATCAATCAATCAATCAATCATATACTTGTGTCAGAATCATATTCTGTAGTAAAAGCAGGACTGGATCACCAAAATTAATAGGAGCTCCAAGTTTGCAATTCATTCAGGTTCAACTGTTCTAACTTAACCAAAATTAAGAGTAGTTCCACATGTGAAGATAGGGAGACATAAACTAGCATAATAATTTATATTGGTTACATTTAATGGTTATATTCTTCAACTGAACTCTGGATATGTCATTGTACTGGATGGCCAATTTGAAGACTAGTATGTCTTTTTGTAACATAAAAATGTGGCTTGTAAACAACAAAAAAAATACATATATATTTTTTCAGGCTCATCTTTCTCATACTGGGTAATACATCATTAACATTTTTGCTTGCTAAGTGTAGCAGGCAGAATAATGGTCTCCAGATATAACTATGTCCCAATCCCCAGAATTTGTGAATACATTAAATTACATGGCAAAGGAGAATTAAGTTGCAGATGGAATTAAGGCTGCTAATTAGATGATTTTATGACAATGAGATAATATTTGCTTATCTGGGTTGGTCCAATGTAATCATAAGGGTCCTTAAAAGTGGAAGACAGTGTCAGTTAGATGGCAGTGTGAGAAGTTCTCAGTCTGATAGAGGCAAGGGCTGTTAGCCCAGGGAAGTGGGCAGCCTCTAGAAGCTGCAAAAGGCAAGGGAATGGATTGTCCCCTCCAGCCTGCAGAACAGAATGCATGCTATCTGATACCTGCCAACACCCAGGAAGACTCATTCAGGGCTTCTGACCTATAGAAGTATAAGATCCTAAGATTATGCCATTTTAAGCCACTAAACTTGTGGTAATTTGTTATAGCAGCCAAGAAAACTAATATACTAAAGAATCTCATTTTTTTTCAGAAATTGTCACTGAAATTGCACAAATAAAAAAAGTTAAAATTTTTACTTTTCTTAAGGCATTGTCTGTCTGTCTGTGTGCTTTCAGGAGGCAATTCATAGCAGCCAGGTTGGCACTTCAAGAAGCAGCCAGGAAATGGCAAGAAATGAACAAGAAGGGTCCAAAGTACAGAAAATTGATGTTCATGGAACAGAAATGGTAACTATTTAGAAAGGCAGTACTTTCAAACAGTTTCCAGGACTGTATGGAAATTATGACTTTGTTGTAAGCATTTGCATTTATTGTCACTCATGTATCTAGTATCAATACCTATCAGTGTTTCTTTCTCCACTTTCAAGTTGGAATTCTTTTAAAAGTAAAATAGGGCCAGGCGCGGTGGCTTGCACCTGTAATCCCAACACTTTGGGAGGCCGAGGCAGGCAGATCATGAGGTCAGGTGTTCAAGAGCAGTGTGGCCAACATAGTGAAACCCTGTCTCTACTAAAAATACAAAAAAAGTTAGCCAGGTGTGCTGGTATGTGCCTGTAATCCCAGCTACTCGGGGGGCTGAGGCAGGAGAATCACGTGAACCCGGGAGGCGGAGGTTGCAGTGAGCCGAGTTCGCGCCATTGCACTCCAGCCCGGGTGACAGTGCAAGACTCCTTCTCAATAAATAAATAAATGAATGTAAAATAGGCACCCTATAAAAGTATGATTCCTCTTCGGATGTCAATTCAAATATATTCTTTTATAAGCGAATCTATGTATTAAAATAAATGATAGCAGCTTAATTAGCATCTCTCAATGTACACTAAAGTCTTGGGTGAAAATCACTGTAAAATGAAGAGTATTATTTGTAGTACTAAAATAATTGACTTCTTAAAAACAATTTATTTTCAAATTCTCTTTAAATACAGGTCTCTCATCTTGAAAAGCACACCGAGGAAGTAAACCAAGCATCTCAGTTTCATCAATATGTTCAAGAAACTGGTAAGAGTCTGGTATTATTGGTTCCAATACTCCTTTCTCCTATTGATGTGTTTGATTTTGAATGGATGACTTCCAAAGCACAGTCCTCCCCTCTGAGTAACTTTAGTAACTATGACTCATGGTTCCAGGGAGAGCTGAGTAGTATTTCTACAAATAATTAGATTTTGCCTGTGGTCATAGGTGCAATAAGTTTCTAAAATAGTTTATTGGCCATCAGTCCTATGATATATCCATTCTAAACCCTAAAGCTAACCACCTCTGAATTCCTTTTTGCCTCAGGGACCTACAGTAAAACTTAATGTTTATCAAGCTCCCTGAGAATAGAGTTGTTATCTAGACTGAATTAATTTTAATAACAGATTTAAGTACTATTAAGTCTGGCTCTCCAACCTGTAGATATGAGATTAGACTACAGCCAAATTTCTGCAAGTTTGCACAAGACTGGACATAGTTTGTCTTGTCTATAAAAATGGAATGGGTTTTGCTACCCTGAAGAGCTAAAAAAAAAACATTTAAGCCAACTGTGACCGAAACTTTACTTGATTACATGACTATATCTTTATTTTGATTTTGTTGCTTAAGGAAGTAGGTCTTCTGAAATTCCTTTTCTTGTTTTATACATTTTATTATTTTTTCCTGAGCATAAAAGTAGAACATACTTGTAGAAAATTTGGAAAATCCAGAGATAACCAACATTTTTCTTCCTGTATTGTCTTACTATAGTTCTTCCTATATTCCTAAATTACATAATGAAATAATGCCATATGCATGCTTGTACCTTGAATCTTTTTACTTAATGTACACTGTGAGAAGTTTCCCATAGCATTATAATTTTATCTTTTTTAATAATTTCTGTAGAGACAGGGTCTGGCTATGTTGCCCAGGCTGGTCTCACACCCTTGGGCTCAAGTAATCTTCGCACCTCAGTCTCCCAAAGTATTGGGATTACAGGAATGAGCCACCATGCCCAGCCATAATTTCTTCTTAAACATAATTTTTAGTAATTACATAGTAACCCTGGTGTGTTTTTCTGTTTGTAGTCATTGATACACCTGAGGATGAAGAGATTCCAAAGGTTTCGACTAAGTTGTTAAAAGAGCAGTTTGAAAAGTCTGCCCAGGAAAAGATCCTTTATTCTGACAAAGAGATGACAACCCCAGCCAAGCAGATTAAGGTAAAGTCATTTCTTTACACAGAAACATACTAAGTGTAAGACCAAGCTTAAATGTGTAACATTTTCAAATTATTGAATACTTGAGGTGGCTTTTCAACAAAAAAAAATTCTGAACTGGCATTTATTCAGTTCTGTAAGGAGAATATTGACCTGCATGCAAAAGGAGGTAGAGTAAAAACTTTTCTCACTAGCAGAAAATAAGGGATGAAAAAATTATATATGTTCTAAAGTCTAATAATTAACATTAAAGTAATTAAATCAATTTTAAATGCCAGATGCTTACTCTGTTCTGTTTTAAATTCCAAGGAAAATGAAACAACCCTCAAAAGTACTTTAAGACTTTTACTGTTTCCCTCTAGATTACTCTGCATACCACATTAAGGGAAAAAGAATCACGATTATGTGTAAATTTTAAAATATTGAGTCCTTGTTGCATTGAATAGCAAATATAACTTTACAAGTAAAAATGGATTATAGGAGAGATAGTGACAAATATTGACTATTATTCCTAAGTTGGTCTTTAAATGAGTATATCACATATTGTTCCCAATGGAGATATCATAGGAGGGTCCAGGTTACAGACCAATGAAGGGCAGTGCCTAGGAAGCCTCTGCCACTACACTCACCTTTATAAGATTTGATTTTCTCTCCCCTAAAGACTGAAAGTGAATATGAAGAGACTTTCAAGCCATCATCAGTTGTGAGTACCTCTTCCACTTCTTGCGTTTCAACCAGCCAGAGGAAGGAAACATCAACTACAAGATATAGTGATCACAGTGTCACTTCCTCAACTCTGGCACAAATTAATGCTACTTCTTCAGGAATGACAGAAGAATTTCCTCCTCCCCCACCTGACGTACTTCAAACTTCAGTAGATGTGACAGCATTTTCCCAGTCCCCTGAACTGCCCAGTCCTCCTAGAAGACTACCAGTCCCCAAAGATGTATATTCCAAGCAAAGAAATTTGTATGAATTAAACCGTTTATATAAACACATCCATCCTGAGTTAAGAAAAAACTTAGAAAAAGATTATATCAGTGAAGTTTCTGAGATTGTTTCTAGTCAAATGAACTCAGGGAGTTCAGTCTCAGCAGATGTGCAACAAGCCCGGTATGTTTTTGAAAACACAAATGACAGTTCTCAAAAAGATCTGAACTCAGAAAGAGAATACTTGGAATGGGATGAAATTCTGAAGGGAGAGGTGCAGTCCATTAGATGGATCTTTGAGAATCAACCATTGGATTCCATCAACAATGGCTCTCCTGATGAAGGTGATATTTCCAGGGGCATTGCTGATCAAGAAATCATTGCTGGTGGTGATGTGAAATATACCACATGGATGTTTGAAACCCAACCCATCGACACACTTGGGGCTTATTCTTCTGACACTGTAGAAAATGCAGAGAAAATTCCTGAGCTAGCCAGAGGAGATGTCTGCACAGCTCGGTGGATGTTTGAAACAAGGCCATTGGACTCAATGAATAAAATGCATCAAAGTCAAGAAGAATCAGCGGTAACTATCAGTAAGGACATAACTGGGGGGGATGTCAAGACTGTGAGATACATGTTTGAAACTCAACATCTAGATCAACTTGGACAGCTTCATTCAGTGGATGAGGTTCATTTACTGCAGCTTAGGTCTGAGCTCAAAGAAATTAAGGGAAATGTTAAAAGAAGTATAAAATGTTTCGAAACTCAACCATTATATGTTATTAGAGATGGTTCGGGCCAAATGCTGGAAATTAAAACTGTTCACAGAGAAGACGTTGAAAAGGGAGATGTAAGAACAGCACGGTGGATGTTTGAAACACAGCCGTTGGACACAATTAACAAAGATATCACAGAAATTAAAGTTGTCCGAGGAATATCCATGGAAGAAAATGTCAAAGGTGGGGTGAGTAAGGCAAAGTGGTTATTTGAAACCCAACCTTTGGAGAAAATCAAAGAGTCAGAAGAGGTCATCATTGAAAAGGAAAAAATAATAGGTACAGATGTCTCCAGAAAGTGTTGGATGTTTGAAACCCAGCCATTAGACATTCTAAAAGAAGTTCCTGATGCAGATTCTCTACAACGTGAGGAGATAATAGGTGGTGATGTACAAACTACTAAGCATCTATTTGAAACACTTCCAATTGAAGCATTAAAAGACAGTCCTGATATAGGAAAGCTTCAAAAAATCACTGCCTCTGAAGAAGAAAAAGGGGATGTTAGGCATCAAAAATGGATTTTTGAAACCCAACCTCTGGAAGACATTAGAAAAGATAAAAAGGAGTACACACGAACAGTGAAACTTGAAGAAGTTGACAGAGGAGATGTGAAGAATTACACACATATCTTTGAATCAAACAATTTAATTAAATTTGATGCATCACATAAAATAGAGGTGGAAGGAGTTACAAGAGGTGCTGTAGAGTTAAATAAATCTCTCTTCGAGACAACACCACTGTATGCCATTCAAGATCCCCTTGGAAAATATCATCAAGTAAAGACAGTCCAGCAAGAAGAAATCGTAAGAGGTGATGTAAGAAGCTGTAGGTGGCTTTTTGAAACAAGGCCCATTGACCAGTTTGATGAAAGCATTCATAAATTTCAAATAATTAGAGGAATATCTGCTCAAGAAATACAGACTGGAAATGTGAAATCTGCCAAATGGTTGTTTGAAACCCAACCTCTTGATTCAATTAAATATTTTAGTGATGTGGAAGAAACAGAAAGTAAAACTGAACAAACTAGAGATATTGTTAAAGGGGATGTCAAAACCTGTAAATGGCTTTTTGAGACCCAGCCAATGGAGTCTCTTTATGAAAAAGTTTCGTTAATGACCAGCAGTGAAGAAATTCATAAGGGAGATGTCAAAACTTGTACTTGGCTCTTTGAAACTCAGCCACTTGATACCATAAAAGATGACTCTGAAACAGCAGTCAAATTGCAAACTGTAAAACAGGAGGAGATCCAAGGTGGGGATGTTCGTACAGCATGTTTTCTTTTTGAGACAGAAAATTTGGACAGCATACAAGGAGAAGAAGTGAAGGAAATCAAGCCTGTTGAAATGGATATACAAGCTGGAGATGTTTCCAGCATGAGGTATAAATTTGAAAATCAGTCCTTAGATTCTATAAGTTCTAGTTCAGAGGAAGTTTTGAAAAAGATCAAAACCTTAAAAACTGAAGATATTCAGAAAGGCAATGTTTTAAATTGTAGGTGGCTTTTTGAAAACCAACCAATTGATAAGATAAAAGAAAGCCAAGAAGGTGATGAATGTGTTAAGACGGTGACAGACATACAAGGTGGGGATGTAAGAAAGGGGTGCTTTATTTTTGAGACTTTTTCTTTAGATGAGATTAAAGAAGAATCTGACTATATCAGCACCAAGAAAACAATTACTGAAGAAGTAATACAGGGTGATGTAAAAAGCTACAGAATGCTCTTTGAAACCCAGCCACTCTATGCAATTCAAGACCGAGAAGGGTCCTATCATGAAGTGACCACAGTTAAAAAAGAAGAGGTAATTCATGGAGATGTGCGAGGAACAAGGTGGCTTTTTGAAACAAAGCCATTAGACTCTATTAATAAATCAGAAACTGTGTATGTTATTAAATCTGTCACACAAGAAGACATTCAGAAGGGAGATGTTAGTTCTGTCAGATACAGATTTGAAACTCAGCCACTGGATCAGATTTCTGAAGAATCACATAATATTATGCCCAGTATTGACCATATACAAGGTGGCAATGTAAAGACAAGTAGACAATTCTTTGAGTCTGAAAATTTTGATAAGAATAACTATATACGAACAGTAAGTGTCAATGAAATACAAAAGGGCAATGTTAAAACATCTACTTGGCTATTTGAAACCCACACTATGGATGAACTGAGAGGAGAAGGGTTAGAATATGAAAATATCAAGACAGTCACTCAGGAAGATGTGCAGAAAGGTGATGTTAAGCAGGCTGTGTGGCTTTTTGAAAATCGAACTTTCGATTCTATTATGGAAGCACATAAAGGTATCACAAAAATGACCAAGGAAGAAATCCCTCCTTCTGATGTCAAAACAACCACATGGCTCTTTGAAACAACACCACTTCATGAATTTAATGAAACTAGAGTAGAAAAGATAGAAATTATTGGCAAGAGCATTAAAGAAACCTTAGAAGATCTCTACTCTCAAAAAGTTATCCAGGCTCCTGGAATCATCATTGAAGCTGATGAAATAGGGGATGTTCGAATGGCAAAATACAAGCTAATGAACCAAGCATCTCCTGAGATACAGAAAGAAGAAATTATCAGGGCTGATCTCAGAAATATAATGGTGAACCTACTTTCCAAAAGGGACTGTACTGAAAGAGAGATTTTGATTAGTGAAGAAGAGAAGGGAAATGTTAATTTGACTAAAACTCAATTATTAAACAGATCAACTGAATTTCATGCTGAAAAAGAAGAGATAGTGAAAGGTGATGTACAACAAGCAATAAAAAACCTGTTCTCTGAGGAAAGATCTGTAAAGAAAGGCATCTTAATTCAGGAAGATGAAAAAGGAGATATTAACATGACTATCTATTGTCTTCTTCATGAAAATGATGGTGACACAATTGAGCGTGAAGAAGTAATAGGTGGTGATGTCAAACGTACCATTCATAATTTATTGTCTTCCACATCAAACAATAAAATATCTGAAAGGGCTAAAATTGATGCCTCTGAGAGAGGAAATGTTCAGTTTTTCACAACCTGCATAGAAGCTGGAGCTTTGGATTATCTGAAACAACTCCACACAGAGTCAAATGAAACACTGACAGCTAAGAAACAAGAAGGAGAGAAAGAAATCATTGGTGGTGATGTTGAAGGTACAAAACTGTTACTGAAGAAAAGGCAGTCTCTGGTTGAACGTACTGTTAGTGAAACTGACATCATCCCTGGAGATGTGCATAACACAGTTAAGGTTTTTATGACCGAGCCTCAGAGTACATTTGGTAAGATACCCAAAGAAGAGATTATAAAAGGTGATTTGACATCAACCCTAAATTCCCTCAGCCAGGCTGTAAATCAGAAAACAGTGACGAAAACAGAAGAAATTATAAAAGGTAACATGCTAGCCACACTCAAGTCACTTAAAGAATCAAGCCATCGATGGAAAGAATCTAAACAGCCTGATGCCATCCCTGGTGATATTGAAAAAGCTATTGAATGCCTTGAAAAAGCTACAAATACAAAGACAGAAATTCTGAAAAAGGAGCTTCTCAAAGATGACCTGGAAACATCACTAAGGTCTTTGAAAGAAGCACAAAGAAGTTTCAAAGAGGTACATAAAGAAGGTGTAATAAAAAAAGATGCTAAAGCTGTGATGGCAGGATCCTCGGGAGAGCAGAAAACAGATATTCATCAGGTTGCTGTCCAGAGGAACAAAAATAGTCTTCTTCAGCCAAAGCCAGGTCCATTTGAGCCAGCGGCCAAGTGGCAAGGGGGAGCAGATACTCTCAGTCAAACTATGGGGAAATCTTGCCATGGCAATTTAGTAGAAGAAAGAACTGAGGTTAATCTTCCAAAAGCCCCCAAAGGCACTGTAAAGATTGTCATAGATCGTGAACAAAACAATGATGCTCTGGAGAAAAGCCTTAGAAGACTATCTAATTCACACCATAAATCTAATGTTTTGGAATCAGGAGACAAAACGGGTGTCTGGACTGATACTACAGGAGAACAGCATCTTAGAGATGAATATATGAGCAGACAATTAACTTCAACTGTGTCAGTTAAGAATAATCTAACAACTAAAGAATCAGACAGGGCAGTGAGAGAGCTGAAGAAGGATGATGTCTTTAATTCCATCCAATCTGCTGGTAAAACCGTTGGAAAGCAACAGACATATGAACTGAGAAATGACCACCAGAAAATGGAGGGTTTTCATATAAAGAGTCCTAAAAAGACCAAAAATATTAAAATATTAACTGATACACAAAGCTCCAAGCCCAGTCCCACCCAGCATCCAGTCAGCATGCCAGTTGGAGGAACTTACGACCTTTCAGGGGACTTTCAGAAGCAAACTTTGTTAAAGCAAGAAACAAAATATTCTAATAAGGATATAAAGAAAAAGAATATAAACCTTCAACCAATGTGGCAGCTTTTGCCTGTAGAGCAAGACACATCCAATGTAACAGAAATGAAAGTCTCTGAAAAAAGTCACAATACATTTAAGGCAACCAACAAAAAGCGGGAGACTGATGTTCACTTGAAAAGCCAGGACTTTCTAATGAAAACAAATACTTCCACAGGCTTAAAAATGGCAATGGAAAGGTCCTTGAATCCAATCAACTTTAACCCTGAGAATAATGTAAAAGAAAGTGAGTGCCCCCTTCCACCTCCATCTCCACCTCCTCCACCACCTTCTAATGCATCATCTGAAATTGAATTTCCTCTTCCTCCTCCACCTCCTTTGATGATGTTTCCTGAAAAAAATGGGTTTCTTCCCTCACTGTCCACAGAGAAGATAAAGGCTGAATTTGAAAGTTTTCCAGGCCTCCCTCTTCCTCCACCTCCAGTAGATGAGAAATCTGAAAGAGAAAGTTCATCGATGTTTCTGCCGCCTCCTCCTCCTCCAACTCCATCTCAAAAGCCAGCACATCTCCTTTCCTCCTCTGCTCCGGAAAAGCACAGTGGAGACTTCATGCAACAATATTCCCAAAAAGAAGCCTCGAACTCTCAGAATTCTCAGGCTAAAATCATAACAGGAAAAACCGGTGTGTTGCCACCTCCCACATTGCCCAAACCCAAACTTCCCAAGCATATAAAAGATAATAAGAACGATTTTTCCCCCAAAGTTGAACTGGCAACCTCCCTGTCAGATATGGAATGTAAAATTACTACCTCAAAGGATCAGAAAAAAGTAATGGTGATGACCAGCAGTGAACACACGGAGACAAAGCAGAACGTTATTAGTAAGAGTCTTGATGAAAGAAAACAATTATCTATTGACTCTGCAAACTGTCTCTCACACACAGTTCCAGGAACTTCAGCACCCAGGAAAAAACAGATTGCGCCTCTTATAAAATCTCATTCATTTCCAGAGAGTTCAGGACAACAAAATCCAAAACCTTATATGAGAAAATTTAAGACACCTTTAATGATTGCTGAAGAAAAATATAGACAACAAAAAGAAGAAATTGAAAAACAGAAACAGGAGAGTTCTTACTACAACATTGTTAAAACTCAAAGCCAAAATCAACACATAACAGAGGTGGAAAAGGAAATGCCATTACAAAAAACCAATGAGGAGGTTTCCCTATCTGGAATTGATTCAGAATGCACTGTGGTTCAACCCAGCCCAGGCTCTCAAAGTAATGCTCGGATACTAGGAGTGTGTTCTGATAACCAACTCTCCACAACATCGCCAGAAACAGTCGCTGCCAAGAGGCTCCACCATGTTTTAGCAGCTTCAGAAGACAAAGATAAGATGAAAAAGGAAGTTTTACAAAGCTCAAGGGACATTATGCAATCCAAATCAGCTTGCGAAATTAAACAAAGTCACCAAGAATGTAGTACCCAACAAACACAACAGAAGAAGTATTTGGAGCAGTTGCACTTGCCCCAAAGCAAACCAATTTCCCCAAATTTCAAAGTTAAAACCATCAAACTTCCAACTCTAGATCATACATTAAATGAAACAGACCACAGCTATGAAAGTCATAAACAGCAATCTGAGATTGATGTTCAAACCTTTACCAAAAAACAATATCTGAAAACCAAGAAAACTGAAGCAAGCACTGAATGTAGTCATAAGCAATCTCTGGCTGAAAGACATTATCAGTTACCTAAGAAGGAGAAAAGAGTGACAGTACAATTGCCTACAGAATCCATACAGAAGAACCAGGAAGATAAGCTCAAGATGGTTCCCAGGAAGCAAAGAGAATTTAGCGGATCTGACAGAGGGAAACTTCCAGGAAGTGAAGAAAAAAATCAGGGACCATCAATGATTGGTCGAAAAGAAGAGAGATTAATAACTGAAAGAAAACACGAACATCTGAAGAATAAATCAGCACCAAAGGTCGTCAAGCAAAAGGTTATCGATGCACATCTTGATTCACAGACTCAGAATTTTCAGCAAACACAAATACAGACCGCTGAAAGTAAAGCTGAACATAAAAAATTGCCCCAGCCATATAATAGTCTGCAGGAAGAAAAATGTCTCGAAGTCAAGGGCATACAAGAGAAACAAGTCTTCTCTAATACTAAAGATTCAAAGCAAGAGATTACACAGAACAAATCTTTCTTTTCCTCTGTGAAAGAATCCCAGCGGGATGATGGAAAAGGTGCCTTAAATATAGTGGAATTCTTGAGAAAACGTGAAGAACTGCAACAGATTTTGTCGAGAGTGAAACAGTTTGAAGCAGAGCCAAATAAAAGTGGCCTTAAAACATTTCAGACACTATTAAATACTATCCCAGGATGGCTGATAAGTGAAGATAAGAGAGAATATGCAGTTCACATTGCCATGGAGAATAATTTAGAAAAAGTAAAAGAAGAAATAACACATATTAAAACTCAAGCGGAAGATATGCTTGTGTCCTATGAAAATATAATTCAGACAGCCATGATGTCCTCCAAAACAGGAAAACCGGGAAATAAACCCACTAGTCTTGATGAAACATCATCCAAAGTATCTAATGTTCATGTCAGCAATAATAAAAATAGTGAACAGAAAGAAAATAAAATTGCCAAAGAGAAAACAGTACAGCACCAAGTAGCAGCTCATCATGAAGCAACTGTTCGTAGTCACGTGAAAACCCATCAGGAAATTAAACTTGATGATAGCAACATTCCTCCTCCCTCTTTAAAAACACGCCCACCGTCACCAACTTTTATCACAATAGAATCTACTGCCCGACGAACAGAAAACCCTACTAAGAACGAGCTTTCTCAGTCCCCTAAAAAGGACAGTTATGTTGAACCCCCACCAAGAAGGCCCATGTCGCAAAAATCTGAAATTCACAGAGCAAACACTTCCCCTTCTCCACCCAGGAGTCGCTCTGAACAACTTGTCAGACTCAAAGACACCACTGCAAAGTTATCCAAAGGGGCCATCCCATGTCCAGCAGCAACCCCGGTTCCAATTGTAGAGAAGAGGTCTGAAATCATCATGTCTCCTGCAACACTTCGTCGTCAAATTAAGATAGAAACTCGTGGTAGGGACTCTCCACCTACAATCACAATACCAGTAAATATAAATCATGCTGCTAGTGGTTCCTTCAGAGAATCTGTGGACGCTCAAGAGGAAATCAGGAAAGTGGAGAAGAGAGCTACTTATGTTCATAAAGATGGACTAAATTCCACTGATCACATGGTGCCCGACACTGAAAGTTATGATGCAGTTGAAATCATCCGCAAGGTTGCAGTGCCTCCTCGCCTGTCAGAGCACACACAGAGATATGAAGCGGCCAACCGAACTGTTCAAATGGCTGAAAATTTCGTGAATGACCCTGAAAATGAAATAAACAGATGGTTCAGGGAATTTGAGCATGGCCCAGTTTCTGAAGCAAAGTCAAATAGAAGAGTTTATGCAAAGGGAGAAACAAACCATAACATACAACAAGAAAGTCGTACATTTTGTAAGGAGGAATTTGGATTAACATCTTTAGGAAACACGAGTTTTACAGACTTTTCTTGCAAACATCCTAGAGAACTGCGAGAAAAGATTCCTGTTAAGCAGCCCAGGATCTGCTCTGAAACCAGGTCTCTAAGTGAACATTTCTCAGGCATGGATGCATTTGAGAGTCAAATTGTTGAGTCGAAGATGAAAACCTCTTCATCACATAGCTCAGAAGCTGGCAAATCTGGCTGTGACTTCAAGCATGCCCCACCAACCTATGAGGATGTCATTGCTGGACATATTTTAGATATCTCTGATTCACCTAAAGAAGTAAGAAAAAATTTTCAAAAGACGTGGCAAGAGAGTGGAAGAGTTTTTAAAGGCCTGGGATATGCAACCGCAGATGCTTCTGCAACTGAGATGAGAACCACCTTCCAAGAGGAATCTGCATTTATAAGTGGTAAATGAGCTTGCAATGTGTTAAAGAAGATTAACCATTTAAAGGCATGTGTTCCATAGCCAAAATGATGTACAGTTAAAAAGAGTGCGTGGAAACAACCAAACAATATAACCTAAAACTAACAGCTTCCCATGTATGCTTATAGACTCTTTATATGCTTGCTTTTACAACATTCTTTTCACAAAAGCATAGAGTATGATTTACTTGCACTGTGTGAGAATAACAAATACTATTATACAGATTACTGGGACATATTTGTCAAGGTAAATAAGGCTTTGGATAAAGCAACAGGTATAGCAATAATTTTATTTCATGCAATTATTCTAGACAATAATAAATAATATCCTTTGGCCTAATATTGACATATTTTTAACTGCCAGGTTTAAATGATATTTGCATTGAGTTCAATACAGACTGATAGAAGTCTGAGACACAATTTACATTCTTCATGTGTGCTTTAGTATTTTTATTGATCTGTATCTCTGACAAAAGTGTGGGTGTGGAATTAGACCTTTTATATATTCAACTATTGCTACTGAGTTGGATAGAGTTAGTTTTCTCTGATGCCACATTTTTTTCTAACTGATTTTTTTCGCTTTTCTAAAAAATAAACTAAATCACTGCTCAATCAACCTCATTCACAAATGAGCGTAAACAATGCATTTAAAAATTTTGATTTTATTTGGAAGGAGGGAGGTTTAAATCATATGGACTTAGTACATGATTTTTAACATCAAAGAACAGCTCATTTCCCTACTTCTTGCAATTAATGAGGCTTCATGATAAAAGAATTTTATATAATTAATGTGCATCATTAGTTTAGTCCATTCTTTTAGACAGATTGAAAGAAATAGCAAGCTTAAAAATAAAAACTGCTGAAACTAATAATTATGCCTCCATCATATTTGCAACATATGTGTCTAGTTTATCAGGTTAATATGGTTCTTAATGTGCTTGCTTCTGGCATAATTAAGCAAAGCTGTCTAATTAATTTCAAATACTCAGCTTCTGTTAAGATAGCTCAAAAACACATAGAACATACAAAGAAACTTGTGATAAACATAAAAATGTGTCCTCTACTAGAACCAAATAAGCAAAGGAGTTCACTCAGTGGCCCAGATTGACCATCTAGGCACTAAAGTAGATATAATTATTTGTATAATGGAACCTGAGCATATTTTCTTTTATAAATAACTAATACCAAAGCTTAGTCATTCTCACAGGATCGCTGTGAGGACAAAAAGCAATTCTGAAGTGAAAGTTCTGTGTTAGTTTTAAACCACTATACAAACACTGGTTAGTAATAGAACCACTATTATTCATAGAGGCTAACATTTACAGGAAAGCCACAGGAAGTGAGCATAGGTGCTTTAGAGGAGCAAGAAAAGATGTAGGAAAACTACATAAGCAGATGCGAGAATCCAAAAAGCTCCACAATCTAAAGCCAGTTAGATTGAGGACAAATGACCCTGAGCATTTTACTGTGTTCAGGAGTCTCATTGCATTACAATTAAGAGTTGGTATCTTACAGTCAACTCTAAGTCATCAAGAAAATATTGAAGCAAATACAGTGTCCTTGGCTTAAAAAACATATGTATTTTAGAAAGATCTATCTAAAATGCTTTAAGAAGTAAAAACTTTTGACCAGCTTAGGTACAAGCCTTTATATATAGGGAAAACTCAATTACCTACAATGATAAGTTATCTCAGAGCTCCCCATTGCTGAGTATTTTATATGTATATATATATAAAAAATATACTCACATATATGCACATATATATGTTTGTAATGTACTTATATGTCTAATGAACATATTTTACTCATGTATGTTTTTTTAAATCATAAATGTCTACTCGTACAATCTATAAATGGTAGAAGCACTAGAGTAATGTAGACCATCCTAGCAGACCGTTAAACCTGATGATAGGTTAGTCTCTGTCCAGAGAAACATCATAAGGACAGTAGTCTTAGAGCTTTTCTACTTTAACCGCATGGCCAGTTAATATGTGTTTTTGTTTTGTTATGTTTTTACAATATGATTGAAGATAACACTACAGAAGGCTTTGTAAATTTTTATTTTTAGAAGCTGCTGCTCCAAGACAAGGAAATATGTATACTTTGTCAAAAGACAGTTTATCCAATGGAGTGCCTAGTGGCAGACAAGCAGAATTTTCATAAGTCCTGCTTCCGATGCCACCATTGCAACAGTAAACTAAGGTAAAATGTTTAATTGTCTTTGCCACAAATATTCCAGGAGCTGCACTCTATGTATAGCCTCATATCTCTAGGAGGATGCACATTTTTCCAGATCTTGTTGCTGCGTCAGTTAACACAACCACACAGGGAGATTTGCTCATGTTCTGTGATGTATTTCTGCGACCTTTTTCCTTTAGGAATTTTACTTTTCTAATCAAATCCAAAAGCATCCCTTTTGTCTGAACACAAAAATCACACAGATGAGTAAAATTAAGAGTTACTCTGCAAATCAAGATTTTTAAGTTAGTGTGTTAGTCTAAAGTCTAGACTCCAGATCAGGAGGTAGCACACATTTTCTGTTAAGGTCTAGATCATAAGTAATTTTGGCTTTGCAGGCCGTACTGCTTCTGTCACTACTCAATTTCTATTAGAGAGCAAGAGCAGCCACAGATAACTAAACAAATGGGTGTGGTTGTAAATAAATGGGCTTGGCTGTGTTCCAATAAAACTTCATATACCAAAACAAGTGGTGGGTAGGTTAGAATTTACCTGTCTTTGAGCTAGACTAAGTTTTTAAAAATGAAATTGAAATTTAGAAAAATATCAGTGACAGGTAAGAGAAAAACTCTGTTTTTTCTCTGGAGCAAACAGAAACACCCTATCCACACAGTTAAAATGCATTCATTTTCCAAAACTCTTGAAGTAAATGCATTTAACTGAATGTGACATTTGGTGTGACTGTAGTCTGAGATGCTAAAATTGATTTTTTTTTTTTTTGGCTAAATCTAATGTGCATCTCTCACACTATATTTTTTCTGACTTTAATTGACAATGTCGAACACCCTCATGGCAACATTTTTTTCCCTTGGTTTCCATAACAACAGAGTATAATGGCTTTTCCCCTACTCTTTGTGTGCTCCTTCTCAGGCACCTGTGTGGGGGACTCTCTGTCCATTACCAAGATGTAAGAGGTCCTCACAATTATGTTATGGGAATTTATTCTTCTCAACGTTTCTCTTCTTTCTAGTGAATCACATCCACTCCCATGATTTAAATAATCTATGTGGTAATGACTCTGAAGTCTGTACTGCTAGGCCAAATCTCTCTGTGCATCAGATGCTTATATCTCAATGACTGATATACTTCTCCAATTAGATTTCTCATAAGTACAGCAAACTCAATATGCCCCATTTTCTTCTATCTAAATTCCTTCTTTAACTTACAGTCTTTATGCTACTGTATCAGTAAATGACATTAACATTAACTCAGTGACCAAAGCATGGAGTTATCTTTGGCTCCTTCCTTTCCTTCATTCCCTACATTCAAGCCGTCACCAAGTCCTGCAATTTCTGCCCCATAAATACCTCTTAAGCTATATACTTTTCTCCATTCCCATAGCAAGTATCATCTATTAGCACCACTAATTTCATTATCAAAACATTTAAAAATTACATCTGCCCTCCCCATTTTATAAATTATTGTACCACATCTTCAGTTTCAGATCATATAGCCACTACATACCGTGTTATCTCCCTCTTTGCCCTTATTTCATCTTAGTTTTCAGGTTGCAAGATATTAATGCCCACCACCAATGCTTACCTTGATGTTTCTGCAGTTGTTCTGATATTAAAGCTTGGTTTCTAGTAGACTCTTCTAAACTCTTCATGGAAACAATATTCGTTGAATTCTTACATGCTGATAACAATTTGTCTGTGACCTTTATAACAAAAAGTCAGTTTTGCTGAAATTAAAATCTTTGGCTTATACTTTCATTGTATTCTTTGATACATTATTTTATTTTCTTCTGGCATAAAGTGTTGGAATAGCTTGATAACGATCTAATTTTATTTTCCTTATAAGATGTATATTTTTTCTTAAATATACCCACAGATTTTTTTCTTTTTATTATTTAAAATCTAGCAATTTTACTAGATTAGTTCTTGGCATTGGTCATTCTTCACTAGTGTCAGTTACCCAGTGTGCTCTTTCTGTATGTTGTTGCATGCTTTTTTGTATCAAGAAAGTTTGTTTTAATTATAACTATTTAATATTTAATCTGTTTTATTATATAGTTTTTTCTTCAAGAATTCCTATTATCTATACCTTGAATGTTTTTTGCCTATTTTTATTATCTGTCTCTTTCTCTCAAATTCTTTTCATATTTATTTCTTTCTGATTATTGAAAAAGTTGTTTTCATTCTTCTGTTTCTCTTAAGCCACTTTTTATTGTGTTTATTTGCTCTTGTATTTCTTTTAGTTTAGTTTTGTTGCTGATATTTTTATCTTTTATTTCTATTTTTTCTGATTTCTGGCACCTCACTTATGAGATTTTAAATTCTGATTCATGATGTTCTTTCAGGTCTTTTATCATGTTCTTAATGTCTTTTAATTCATTTTGAAGTCATAGGTTAAATTTTTGATATATTTTTAGGGCATGTTTTTCTGGCATGTTTTCATTATCTACAGGGATATTATAATGCCCTTTGCACTTTTATTTTCTTTTAATAACTTCATATATTATTTACCTTGGTACATTTCTGTTTCTCATTTTTATGTAAAATTAGTTTTCCCAAACCTTAGAAGGATAAAAATCAGGATGGTTTTTCTAACTTCACAGAGCTACCTCTTTTAGTTTTCATATGCTGATCAAGAAAATAAGGCAGCTTGATTTCCAGAATTCCCTGGCTTGGCTCCTCTTCTCCATATTTTTCAGAACCTTCTCTTTCATTTCTGTAATCATTATCCTGCTCAATCTTGATTCTACTCTCCTATTTTTTCTCACTTTGGGATTCTGTTTAAAAGGGGAGCCCAGTTTTAGGAGTTCAACCTCACTAGCCTCTTCAAGTCTTCCTTACCACAGGGACCTTGCACTCATTGTCTATTGGAGATCACAAATCTCCTCAAAGTTTCAGCTGCTGTTCTCTGATTGGCATGTGATACTTTCCAGGAAATATTAGTTGGTTATTTTGTGGTCTCATATTTTCAGGTCCATCAGACATCTTCCTTGCTCCCTCTGCTATCACCAATACAGATGAGACCATCATGCTGGCCTTGTGACTGTTGGTGGTTTCTCCTTAGTTCTTTGTATTTTGATGTTGAGGGGGCTATCTTGTCACTTCATTTAGTTGTAAATGTTCCCCATGGGTTTTAAGTTTTGCTATCTTGTTGATGTATCTGTTTTTATGTGTAGATTCATAGATATTTCGAAAACTATGCTCCTGCCTCTGACTAGAGTTCATTTTAATTTTAAATCACTCAATTTGTTAATCTCCTTAAAGAGGCCACATAAGCAATTGTTAGGCACACCTTCCAGCTCGTTCAAAATCCAGTTAACAAAGAAGCTCATATTGTTGATTTGTATGTGTTTGCTACTCAGGATTTATTGGAAATTACAACGCCTCACATAAATCATTGAATTAGCACAAGTTCAGTCCTATCACTCTGCACCATGTATAACCATATGTGCATTACCCTATAATACCTATTATGCCAATACCTGACACACATCATAAAATTCTAAACACTGCAAGACATACATCATATAAAGTATTGGTGGTAATATTATCTAACAGAAATGTTCAACTAATAGGGCCATTCCCATTGCTAGTAACTTAAGTTTACTAGTCTGTAACTCATTGAAATAATTAATCCCCAATTCCCTATGAACTTACAGTAAATACGAACTGCTAAGTGTTCTTTTTCTTTTTGGCAGTTTGGGAAATTATGCATCACTTCATGGACAAATATACTGTAAACCTCACTTTAAACAACTTTTCAAATCCAAAGGAAATTATGATGAAGGTTTTGGACATAAGCAGCATAAAGATAGATGGAACTGCAAAAACCAAAGCAGATCAGTGGACTTTATTCCTAATGAAGAACCAAATATGTGTAAAAATATTGCAGAAAACACCCTTGTACCTGGAGATCGTAATGAACATTTAGATGCTGGTAACAGTGAAGGGCAAAGGAATGATTTGAGAAAATTAGGGGAAAGGGGAAAATTAAAAGTCATTTGGCCTCCTTCCAAGGAGATCCCTAAGAAAACCTTACCCTTTGAGGAAGAGCTCAAAATGAGTAAACCTAAGTGGCCACCTGAAATGACAACCCTGCTATCCCCTGAATTTAAAAGTGAATCTCTGCTAGAAGATGTTAGAACTCCAGAAAATAAAGGACAAAGACAAGATCACTTTCCATTTTTGCAGCCTTATCTACAGTCCACCCATGTTTGTCAGAAAGAGGATGTTATAGGAATCAAAGAAATGAAAATGCCTGAAGGAAGAAAAGATGAAAAGAAGGAAGGAAGGAAGAATGTGCAAGATAGGCCGAGTGAAGCTGAAGACACAAAGAGTAACAGGAAAAGTGCTATGGATCTTAATGACAACAATAATGTGATTGTGCAGAGTGCTGAAAAGGAGAAAAATGAAAAAACTAACCAAACTAATGGTGCAGAAGTTTTACAGGTTACTAACACTGATGATGAGATGATGCCAGAAAATCATAAAGAAAATTTGAATAAGAATAATAATAACAATTATGTAGCAGTCTCATATCTGAATAATTGCAGGCAGAAGACATCTATTTTAGAATTTCTTGATCTATTACCCTTGTCGAGTGAAGCAAATGACACTGCAAATGAATATGAAATTGAGAAGTTAGAAAATACATCTAGAATCTCAGAGTTACTTGGTATATTTGAATCTGAAAAGACTTATTCGAGGAATGTACTAGCAATGGCTCTGAAGAAACAGACTGACAGAGCAGCTGCTGGCAGTCCTGTGCAGCCTGCTCCAAAACCAAGCCTCAGCAGAGGCCTTATGGTAAAGGGGGGAAGTTCAATCATCTCTCCTGATACAAATCTCTTAAACATTAAAGGAAGCCATTCAAAGAGCAAAAATTTACACTTTTTCTTTTCTAACACCGTGAAAATCACTGCATTTTCCAAGAAAAATGAGAACATTTTCAATTGTGATTTAATAGATTCTGTAGATCAAATTAAAAATATGCCATGCTTGGATTTAAGGGAATTTGGAAAGGATGTTAAACCTTGGCATGTTGAAACAACAGAAGCTGCCCGCAATAATGAAAACACAGGTTTTGATGCTCTGAGCCATGAATGTACAGCTAAGCCTTTGTTTCCCAGAGTGGAGGTGCAGTCAGAACAACTCACGGTGGAAGAGCAGATTAAAAGAAACAGGTGCTACAGTGACACTGAGTAAAATATCTATGGCCACTGACAGTCCACACTTAGGCACTGAGAGATATTGATGTTCTGAAATAAGATTTTATGAATTTGGATACCCTTTTGAGGAACTTGATGTAAACATGGTGTTCAGAAATCTCGTGTCTATCTCAATGGGATATTTCTTGTATTACACCTTGTCATTTTTTTCACAATTTATTTACATCTACTTTTGTTTGAACTGGAATGAAGAGATGAAACACTATGGATATGTTTTCCATTCAAATGGCACTTTAGCATATTGTTCTGTTTTCCTGTAAAACATCATGGGTGTGATTTTTATACTGCTGCTGCTTGTCACAATTATTATAACTTCTCTGTAATTTCCTCTGAAATAAAATTGAATCACCTGAGGTGCAAACCAAAATACTTCTGTAACTTTTTTTGATATATACTGTCATTCTAAGTACATATACTCCTTGTGACTTGGGAAGTATTTGTCTTGAGGCAAGTATTTACCACCCACACTAAAATAATGCTGGAAAAAATAAAATACTAAACTGAAGGCACAGTATTATTAGAAAGTGTAACATTTTCATTTTCTCTTTTACTCTACATTTTAAAGATACGAGGGTTATTGTTCTTGAAATAATTACCTATATTAAATTATCATAGAATGTGTCTATAAACATTTGACGAAAAATGTTGATTTTCCTCCAGAATAATGTGAAGTCCATACTCAGAAATTAACTAGAAAGGTTTTAGACATTACTTAAATAAATTATTCACATTGCATTTGTATTGCTTGCTCTGTGTAATGGATAAGTATAACAATCATATCACTACAGTTTGTCAGGTTTTCTTCTTATCATATTTGATGAATATTAAGTTTTTCTGTTATGAAAACATATTCCTCTAAAATTTGGCTTCTAAATTTTCTACTGCCTTTGTTCTTCCTCAAATAAATTTTATGATTCTGAAAAAAAATGAACATAAATAAGTGGCTTTGCATAAATTTGTAGTGTACATATATGAAACAGGACTTATCCCATATTCTCCTACGTAAACACAAACTATTGACATTCTATAAATATAAAACCAAAATGCAATCTTGGAAACTATTTCTTTTCAGAAAGACTAACAAATTCCCTCTTGCTAGTATGTTCTTAATAGATATCTAAGACCTACATTGCATTAGTTCCCTAGGGCTTACATAATTAAATATCACAGACTGGGTAGCTTAAACAACAAAAAATATATTTTCTCACAGTTCAGAAAGGTGGAAGTACAGGGTCAAGTTGAAGATAGGCTTGGTTTCTCCTGAGGCCTCTCTCCTTGGCTTGCCAATAGTCACCTTGTTGAGGTCCACACATAGTCTTCCCTCTGAGCACTCACACTCCTAGTGTCTCTTTCTCTTCTTATAAGAGTACCAGTCCTTTTGGACTAGGAACCACTCATTGGACTTCATTTAACCTTACTTGCCTTTTTAATGGATGTATTTCCAAATATAGTCATATTGGGGTTTAGGGCTTCAACATATGAGCTTTGTGGGAACACAGTTCAGTTCATAACAAACACATACTTTTACCCGATTAAATGAAATACTATGAAAGTCTAGCAAGAAAATGGCCAGAGCTACAGAAGTAAATTTTTTGTTTAAACTGAATTACTGCACTTTACCCTTCAAATATTCTGAATGACACAGCATTATTTCTATAATCATTTATAGTAAGATAACACAATAGTTTTCATGCAGAAAGAAATAATTCGTGAAAACTCATGACATAGTATTACTGTATAGTTTCTTAGTGTCAGTGATCCTTTTAAAGAATGTGACTCTTGCTTTACAAAGGTCCTCTTGTTGGACTCTTCCTACTGAATCTTGGTAGCCTAGTCCCCTCTTCAATTATGGTAAAATTTAAGATTAAAAGTAGCTGCTGTGCACACCAGGGAGAACAATGAAAATAATGATTGTTCTGATTTTTCATTTAATCAACAAGCAATTTTGTGCCCTCATCTTTTTTTAAAAAAAATTTTTAGGTACATAGTAGGTATGTATATATGTATGCAGTACATGAAATGTTTTGATACAGGCATGCAATGCGAAATAAATACATCACAAAAAATGGCGTATCCATCCCCTCAAGTATTTATCCATTGAGTTTCAAATAATCCAATTATACTCCTTAAATTATTTTAAAATGTACAGTTAAGTTATTATTGACTATAGTCACCCTGTTGTACTATCAAATAGTAGGTCTTATTCATTTTTTCTAATTTTTCATACCCATTAACCATCCCCCCTTCCTGCTACTACCCTTCCCAGCCTCTGGTAACTATCTTCTACTCTCTATGTCAATGAGTTCAATTGTTTGATTTTTAGATCCCACAAATAAGTGAGAACATGTGATGTTTTTCTTTCTGTGCCTGGCTTATTTTACTTAACATAATGACCTCCAGTTCCATCCATGTTGTTGCAAATGACTGGATATCATGCTTTTATATGGCTAAATAGTACTCCATTGTGTATATGTAACATATTTTCTTTCAAGAAAACATTTTTAAAAAATTTTTAATCAGAAAGAGGCATTGTATTATGATTATTGGCTGCATCACCTTTCTTGAATGACATGTAGGAGTTTACAAATTCAAATATGCAAATACAATTTTATTTAGTAATGGTTTCGCTCTAATTATAACAAAATCTTCCAGCTAAATAGCAAGCTTTAGGATCTAAAATGTAGCTAAACACACAAATCAAAAATTCAGTGAAGTTTTCTTATTGTTGCAGTCAGTGTATTATTTTTCTAAAGCTGTCATAAGTAAGTACCACAGACTGAGTGACCAAACAGAAATTTATTTTCTCACAATTCTGCAAGTCGGAAAAATCTGATATCAAGGTGTTGGCCAGCTTGGTTTCTTCTGAGGCCTCTCTACTTGGCTTGTAGATAGTCATCTTCTTTCTGTGTCTTCCATGGCCTTCCTCTATATGTGTCTATGTTCCAATTTCTTATAATGTTCCAACTCATATTGGAGTAGGGCCCAGCCTCATGACCTCATTTTACTTTAATTACTTCTTGAAAGACCCTATCTCCTTAAAGAGCTGAATTCTGAGATGCTGTGGCTTAGGATTTCACCATATGAATTTGCGGGGAACACAATTCAGCCCATAACTGGTAGTAACCATGTTTAATCTTTAGGGTTTTTTAAAAAATACATGGCTATTAATGTTATGTAACAACTTCCCATAATCTTTTCTTGGGATTTACGTCACAGAACTATGTAATATATGATTTGTGTTGTAAAAATTAATATTTCCATAAACAAAATTATGTTATAAAGGAATGAAGATGGATCCATGATTGACCAAAAGCTGTTCCACAGGAGGCTGTGTGATGGCAGAGCATAGCATATAAGGGGTTTTGCATTATTTATTCAAGACTAGACCTTCCAATGAATCTTGTAAAAATGTTCTATTTCCCATAAAATTGTGCTGAATTGTCTTTTTTGCAGCTTCCACACAATCAATCCTTGCAACAGATTTGGGGCTCTGGGCAACACATTCTTTGGATTGGGACAATAGTTTTCTCACAGCAACACATTCTTTGGATTGGGACAATGGTTTTCTCAAATTACAATAAAACTGACAAATGCAAACTTACCACCCACTCCCTAATGCACAACCATTTTACGCATCGGGAATATTTTCTCCCAAGCTAACAATTTTCTATAAACATCTCTAGAATAATTTCTAAAGACATATTAATTTTTCAAGAAACTGAAAAATAGAAAAACAATACTTTCTCTGCTGTGTTTTGATAGTTACTGACTACTGGTTACTATCCAATTGGGAAATGGAAAATTTTTTCATTGCCAAGAAAAAGAACTTACAGAAAGATAATCACAGATGTTAAAGTAAAAGAGAAGTGCAATACATTTTTTTCTTCCTGGAAATGTTACTGAGAACTGAGAGTGACTTCTAAATCTAATGTAAAAGTTTTGAATTCTGAAGGTATTAATGATAATACGAAATCTTACGGTAAAAAAATCAAATGTAATGGAGATCAGAAATAGGCAGCAGATACAATATTTATATTCAAAATAAGAGCCATGAGAACATGTGAGAAGTGCTGAAGAGTACTAAGCCTCAACCCTCTAGAAATCAACTTTAATAGAAGACATGAAACATTTTTTGGTAAATATTGTCTAAAAATGATTTAACCTCAATAATGATGGAGTCCTTTAAAAGTCTAATTTAAGCTACCTGACATTTACTGTGGATGTTTTTCCCAAAAGATATTATGAGAAATTTTAAAACTTTATATATTTGTATGCAAATGAAGTGGCAGAGGGAAGATAACGTAGAATATCTACAGTGTGGTCATTTTCCTCGACGTAGTACCGATTTATAGAAAATAAAATGGATGGAAAATGGATAGAAAGGCTGACAAATAAATACTATGGCATCACCCAGTCAACAGCCATTCCACAAGCATTTATGGGACCATTTGAATGCACTGGAAGAGTGATTAAGAAAACAATAGATAAATTATGGTATCTTTTGTGTAAAGCTCTCAGACAAGGAAGAGACATTCAAAACATAAAGTGAAATAACTCAGTACAGTTAATGCTTATGAATGTAGGAAATCCAAGAAAATGGATAGCCACCGAGTCCTGTTAAATTGGAAGACAGCAGAATAATAGTAAACAGGTGGAAAAGTGTTTTGGGTTTAAATAATCAGTCTTCACTTTGTCATAATTTACTTAGTTGTAATTATGTGATTGTGGATTCTATGATACACAATCAAGATTCCTCTTCAGGAATGATTTACTGCCACATATGATCAAAGCGCTGGCCCCAGAAGGGTATTAATTATCAGCTCCCTGCCAGGATTGCTTTAGCTAAAATAACTGACTTTCCAAGGTGGACTATTTTCGTTTTTTGTCAATGGAAGGACAACTCAGCACAACTCTTAAGGCTCACTGTCACTCCAGCTCAGAACTCCCTATAGAATTGGCTGAGGGTGCATCTCAGGTCAGCTTCTGCCAAATCATGCTTCTTTCCCTTCCCTTTCTTTCCCTTGATACCAAGAGCATGCTCTAATAAACCTCCTACACATTAATCTCTGGCTCAGAATCTACTTCTTGGAGAACCCAACCTGGACTAACTGGTATTAGGAGTGGCCCAAAAAGCAAAGACTTGAATGGTATCTTGGAGCTGAATTCTTTTCTGCCTGGCTGGCAATGGGCACAAGGTGGCAGTGCGATTGTTAAAATTCTCAGCAGTGGTACACTAGCATGACTTTACTGGGTGAAGCAAATGCCTAGCTGGTACCATGTATCAAATATCTGAGACATGCAGGGAAAATAGCGATTACGAAGAAAGTGGAACTCGGAAGTCGTTGCTAAATGCTGAGAAAAAAGTTAACAAAAAGATGAATAATTAAATCAACAATTAAAAGTAAGAGTGGCTGAGCTCCATGGAAAGTTAAACTCCCTAACACAGTCAGGGACTTTTTTGGGAAAAAATGGGATTTTGAACATGGATGGTTGTATGTTGGTTGATACAACCAAAAATATTAAAATAGCAGATTCCTCTGAACCTACAGAAGTGGCCTATTCCTCTCTTTATTATTATTATCGTTGTTGTTGTTGTTGTACTGCAGCATTATCACCTACACTTTTACTTAAAGATGCTAAAGATGCATCCCCCCCAAATCAACTGGGTAGTTCTGCTGGTCTTTGTGGGCCTCACACAAGCATCAGCACATCTGCTGGGAACTGTGTTCTAGGCTCTGCTTGGTTGGGGCACATTACCTGGGACAGCTCTACCCTAGGTAATTTCATCATCCTCCTGTGACCTGCAAGTTACTCTGAGCATGCTCTTTTCATGGCAATGGAAGAAGTAAAGGAGAAGAGCAGTGACACACTAGGCTCAGAACTGGCACACAGTTTACTGCTGTCTCATTCTAATAGCCAAAGCAAGCCTTATACTCGAAGAAACAAAGTGAGACAGCACTGCCAATGTGTGTGAATGCAGGGAGTCGTAAAGAATTGAGGCCATCAGGGCAGTATACATCATAATTATTTAAAATCAATGTGTTTTATTACAATACTAGTTCAATATACAGTTAACTTTTTGTCTGTTTCACGATGTGGCTGGGTTGTGCTGTAGGATAGAATTTCACATAGGTGCGGCCCATGTTAAAAGGCAGATAAATCCCACCTAGGAAGAGACCAGTAAATGATTCAAAGTTGCTGAAAACAGATAACATGCACACCAAGTTCAGGTGCTAGAGTATTTACTTACAGCAAGACAGAGAGAGTACACAAGATTCAGGCCCTTGCAATGTTAAGGCTAGTAGGTCCATTTTGAAGATGACAGTGGCCCTTTGGCTGCGTGCACCCCACTTCTTGCTGCAGTAGATGGATCCAAACCCTTTTCCTGCAGTGTCCGAAATACAGGATTTGGGGGAAGAGGAGGAATGTGCTGAAGGGACACAGATAAACACATAACTAAGCAGTTCTGAGAAAGGTTTTCATGTGTCAGATATAGAGGGAACGGGGATGTACTGGCTGAGCTGTTTGCATGCAATTAAAAGCACGAGTTAGCCAGCACATCCTGTACCTAAGACTCTTTGGAAACACAGTAGAGCTGTTGGGCTATACTTGGACACTTCCCTCACATTATCATATCAACTTAATATCACTTCTAATAAATGAAAACTTAAAAGGCTCAAAGACGCAATAATTGGTAATGACCACTACTGTATTCACCATCTTTTTTGCTGCATGTTTTGTAAAATGGTGACAGATTTTTATTTACTAGTCTTCAAGGTAGTCCAATAACCCCTGTTAAATCATTTCCTTCAGGAGGAGGGCAGACTGGTTAAAGAATACTTCTGGTGAAAACACCTTTCTACGTTGTTATTTGTCCATATAGAAGTTTCCTTAAACAAAAATTAACCTAAAAGACAATTCCAAAATAATTCATTATTTTCTGAACTCTATCTAACCTAAAATATTTATTGCTCAATAAAAGCTTCAATGGCTTTTAATTGAGATGATATATAAAACATAATTAACACTAGAAATATCTAAGAACAAATAATGAAAAAAATTAGTAAATGCCATTCCCTAGCTCATTAGCTGATTTCTTTTCAATCTTAATCCCTGAATTTAATATTGTGTGTGTGTGTGTTTGTATGTGTGAATGTGAGCATGTATGTGTTCAATAATGTCCAAATTATAAAACCATCGATATTAACAATTTTCAATGCTGTCCAGCCTGTTTTTAGCAAGCCAACATGTTCAATCTTCATGCTATCAAAATCACCAATTCTGAATACACATTTGTTATAAATTAAAAACCTTAGTTGGATAAATATATATCATCAAGTGAGTAATGTTTATGTTACCAGTTGCCGTTCAGATTATTCAGTTTACTCCTCTCAACTATGTTAATACCTGCATTGATTTGTTGTTGTTAATGTAGTCATTGTGCTTATAAGCAAATGTACATCCGTTAACATAATTTCCTATAACCACACTATAGTTGTTCAAAACATTTTACTAACCTCTGTTATCAACTATACTATTCCTAGCAATTTTATTCACATCCAAGGCTTCAATTATCTCTTTAATACCAGTAGCTCCTACATGTATATTACCTTCTGGGAGCTCTGTTCTGAACTCTAGAATCATATAGACAACTGCCTACTTGATAGTTTCTTATGGCTATTTCAAACGAACCTTAAGTCCAACAAGTCCTGATCAGAGTGTCACCCACCTCTAACCTCAAATTTGGGTCTCTGTGAGCATTTTCTTAGACAATCTAGTTGCTAAAACCAGAAAACCAAAAGTCATATTTTATACCCTAATTTCTTTCATTTATTTACAACTTAAATCTTGTACCAAACCCAGTTGATTTTTACTAAACATCTCTGACTCTCACTTTTCCTTCCTAGCACATAGTACATTTGTAATTACACATGGTCTTGCAAATTATTTGATTAATACCAGTGACATCCCCTTACCCCCGATACGGTTTGGCTCTGTGTCCCCACCAAAATCTCATCTTGTAGCTCCCATAATTCCCACGGGTTGTGGGAGGGATGCAGTGGGAGAAAATTGAATCATGGGGTCGGGTCTTTCCTGTGCTGTTCTCATGACAGTGAATAAGTCTCACGAGATCTGATGGTTTTAAAAAGGGGAGTTTCCCTGCACAAGCACTCTTCTCTTGTCTGCCATCCATGTGAGAGGTGCCTTTCACCTCTTGCCATGATTGTGAGGCCTCCCCAGCCACGTGGAACTGTAAGTCCAATAAACCTCTTTATTTTGTAAATTGTCCAGTCTCGTGTATGTCTTTATCGGCAGGGTGAAAATGGACTAATACAGTAAATTGGTACCAGTAGAGTGGGGCACTGCAGAAAAGATACCCGAAAAGGTGGAAGCAACTTTGGAACTGGGTACCAGGCAGAGGTTGGAACAGTTTGGAGGGCTCAGAAGAAGACAGGAAAATGTGGGAAAGTTTGCAACTTCCTAGAGACTTATCGAATGACTTTGACCAAAATGCTGATAATGATATGGGCAATGAAATCCAGGCTGAGGTGGTCTCAGATGGAGATGAGGAACTTGTTGGGAACTACAGCAAAGGTGACTCTTGCTATGAGTCACCTTTTTGGCAAAGAGACTGACGGCATTTTACCCCTGCCCTAGAGATTTGTGGAACCTTGAATTTTGAGAGAGATGATTTAGGGTATCTGGTGGAAGAAATTTCTAAGCAGCAAAGTGTTTGAGATTTGACTTGGGTGCTCTTAAAAGCCTTCAGTTTTATTCATTTACCAAGATATGGTTTAGAATTGAAACTTATGTTTAAAAGGGAAGCAGAGCATAAAAGTTCAGAAAATTTGCAGCCTGACAATGTGATAGAAAAGAAAACCCCATTTTCTGAGGAGAAATTCAAGCCGGCTGCAGAAATTTGCATAAGTAATGAGGAGCCAAATGTTAATCCCCAAGACAATGGAGATAATGTCTCCAGGTATGTCAGAGGCCTTTCAAGCAGCCCCTCCTATCACAGGCCCAGAGGCCTAGGAGGAAAAAATGGTTTCATGGGCAGGGGCCAGCATCCCCCTGCTGAATGCAGCCAAGGGACTTGGTGTCCTGCATCCCAGCTGCTCCAGCCCTGACTGGAAGGGGCCAAAGTACAGCTCAGGCTGTGTCTCCAGAGGGTGCAAGCCCCAAGCCTTGGCAGCTTCCACGTGGTGTTGAGCCTGAGAGTGCACAGAAGTCATGAATTTGGGTTTGGGAACCTCCACCTAGATTTCAGAGGATGTATGGAAATGCCTGGATGTCCAGGCAGAAGTTTGTTGAAGGGGCAGGGGTCTCATGGAGAACCTCTGCTAGAGCAATGTAGAAGGGAAATGTGAGGTGGGAGCCCCCTCACAGAGTCCCTACTGGAGCACCACCTAGTGGAGCTGTGAGAAAAGGGCCACCATCCTCCAGACTGTAGAAGGGTAGATCTACTGACAGCTTGCACTGTGTTCCTGGAAAAGCCACAGACACTCTATATCAGCCCATGAATACAGCCAGGAGGGAGGCTGTTCTCTGCTGAGCCACAAGGGTAGAGCTGTCCAAGACCAAGGGAACCCACCTCTTGCATCAGTGTGACCCGGATGCAAGACATGGAGTCAAAGGAGATCATTCTGGAGCTTTATGATTTGACTGCTCTGCTGGATCTCGGACTTGCATGGGGCTTGCAGCCCCTTTGTTTTGGCCGATTTCTCCCATTTAGAATGGCTGTATTTACCCAATTCCTGTTCCCCCTTTGTTATCTAGGAAGTAACTGACTTGCTTTTGAATTTACAGGATCATAGGTGGAAGGGATTTGCCTTGTCTCAGATGAGACATTGGAATGTGGACTTTTGAGTTAATGCTGAAATGAGTTAAGACTTTGGGGGACTGTTGGGAAGGTTTTGAAATGTGAAGACATGAGATTTGGGAGGGGTGGGGAGTGGAATGATACTGTTTGGCTCTGTGTCTTCACTGAAATCTCATCTTGCAGCTCCCATAATTCTCATTTCTTGTGGATGAGACCTGCTGGGAGATGACTGAATCATGTGGTTGGGTCTTTCATGTGCTGTTCTCATGATCGTGAATAAGTCTCAGGAGATCCGATGGTTTTTAAAAGGGGAGTTTCCCTGACCATGCACTCTTCTCTTGTCTGCCACCATGTGAGATGTGCCTTTCACCTTTTGCCATGATCGTGAAGCCTCCCCAGCAACATGGAACTGCAAGTCCAATATACCTTTCTTTTGTACATTGCCCAGTCTCAGGTATGTCTTTATCAGCAACATGAAAACAGAATAATAAACTCCCATACTAAATAGAAGCTTTACAAAGACAGTGACTGGGTCTAATTTTACTCTCCAAATTTCCCCAATTATTAGCAAAAAGTTTGGCATGTGGTAGGCATTTGATAAATTTTGTTGGAAGAGTCAATCAACCTATAAATCTAAAACTTGAAACACAATACACACTGTCTTAGAGTAACATATGGAAATGGGTAAGAATATCTTCTGGATTTTTTTTAGATTACTGTATATGCAAAGTGGCACACAGACCATGCTGATATGTCTAAGCAATAACTCCAAGAGAACTAACTGCAGTTCTACTCCCAGATTGCATATCTAGATGCTAATGGCATCCTTGGGCTGATTTCTAGAAGAAAGGCTGAATGTGTAGATTTCATTATTACAAATAAGGATAGGCAGATTTTACAGAAAAATATGTTTATTATCATAAAATTGCCAAAACAAATTCATTAATTAAGAATAGACAAATTTATATATATATAATATACACATCTATGAAATTTGTATTAATCCCCAAATAAATTCATTAATTTAGAATAGACAAATTCATATATGTATTATATACACATATATACACACATCTATGAAATTTGTATTAATATTCATTACAATATCCTTTAAAGTATACATTTCCCACATATTGGAAGTTAAGACTTTCTGCACATTAAGTTGTATATACAGCACATTTAAGATGGATAGTCAAAGGTTGCAATGATGGTAAGTTTTTATTTAGAGATCACATTTCAAAAGATGTACCTGTATATAAATAAAATGGTGTTATAGATAGAATTTTAAAGTATAAGAACTTCTTTCAATTTTTTAAAATATAAGAGCCTATATGGTAACAACTGTATTTTTAGTGGCTATAGAAGTTTATATAATTATAGTTTATATCACATGGTAACATGACTTATGTCACTGAATCTTCACAACAACACTACATTGTAGGTAAACCTTTACGTCAGTCAAAATATGAGGAGACTGAGGCTTAGATGGTTTAAGTATTTAACCCAAGGTAACCCAGTAAATTATACATAGAAGAGATGTTACTATCTCTAGTTTATATTCAAGAAAAACAAGATTCAGAGATATTGAGTTGTCTGAGATCAAATGTATAATAAGTACTGAGACACAACAAAGACCTGAAAAACAGCTATTGTTTGAAGTTCCATAGTCTTTCCTCCAATTAAGCAACCTCTGTGGAAAACAGTGTAATTTTCTGTCATGCATTTAATTTTTATTCACAGGCTTTATTTGTATGCTCTTGCATTTGTAATTGCATATAGTTGTGCTATATACATATGCATATATTTCACTTATGGATATATGTATATATATGTGTGTTTGTATACATGTAAATGTATTTACATGAATGTCCTAGAACTGTATGAAACATCCAATGCTTAATCAAAGTCTTATTCATAATTTGGCTGAAAAATGTCATAATTTATATGTTTTTGGACACATGTAAAGGCAATATATTTAGAAATGTAGCATATTGATAATTTTAATGAATTTAGAAAACCCACAAAGCCCATAAGTTTGATAATACCCTTAACAACAATTAAAAATGGGGAAAAACAGGTCTGGATACATGTCCATAAATGAGTAGTATGTATTCAGCTTCGCTGTGTTCCAAGCTCACAGCAAGGACAAACAATATAGGCCTTGATCTCACTTAGTCCTCACAAATATCGCATGAGTATGGTATAAGATTTTATTTTTTCTGGTGAAGAGTCTATGGATTAGAGAGATTGAGTTACTTGACTAAGTTTACCTAGGTTGTAAGTGCTGAGACACAGACTGAAATTAGTCATAGCCGACCAATAAATTCCATTATATATGGGATTTTCAACATACATCTGTCTTCTCAATACTTCATCATGTGTGAAAATGGATTATATATACAAAATGTTCACATATATTAAAATATAAGTTTGCAGCAGTAGCATGCCTATGAGCATATACATTTATATATTATACTAAAGACCCATATATATATGCTATATATACACATTGCATTTTGTGTGTTTGCATGTGTGTGAAAGGGTATCTATGTGCATATGTGTTTTTGTATACACACACACACATATATTGCACCATGAGTATAACCGGGTATCTATGCCTATACATTCCAAAGATGTATTTATAATGAAAAGTAGAGACAAAAAAAATAAGATCACTTATTGAAAATGTCATCAACTGCCTGGAATGGAATGAAAGAAATACATCAATCCTCCTAACCTTAAAGGCAAGCAGAAAGTAGAGCTGCTCTTTTCAAATCGATGAAATTAACAAAAGCAATTGAACGTGGCAAAGAGAAGATGTCAGGTAAGAATCAGCATATGTGAGAACAGAAGACTGAATAACTTAGAGAAAGACATCAATGTCTCTGCTGCTAGTGATGACCTCACTCTCCATGAAGCTATAAAACATGGCAGCGGTTGTCCCTGTGACAGGAAATGCCAGGACTTCAAAGCTTCAGCCCTGGTTATGTGAAACAGGGCAGGAACTATTTGCCCTAAATACTAAACCTTTTAATTTTAAAAGTTTTGAAATATTTAAGCTAGAAATACTTCCAACACTGGATGATGTTTAAATGGTTACTTTATAAAGAAAAAAAGAAGAGTGTGTGCCTATTTTTTAATTCATAAGAAAATTATTAAATCACTAGCATTTCAAAGAACCCATTTTCAATTACCCAGAGAGAGATTGCCTACAGAAAATGTTCAATTCCAGGCTGGCGTCTCCAACCTACCCAGACCACTGCCTCCCTTCCACCTTCACCTGTGTCCTCAGGGAATAAGGAACTTCAATATCAGCAGAAGTAAAACATAATGGCCACATTTACAGAATAATTTCCACTGATATTTTTATTCCAAGGCAGAAGGAAAAGAGTACACTTGTGCCAGCAAGTATATCTGGCACACTGTGGATTTCTGCTGCTCCTGCGGTCAATTGCAGTTTTTTTCCGAGATCCAGCTAAAGGTTTCCTCTGTAGTCCTCCTTTTCAGCTTTCTCCCGCCCTCAGGGCCTGCAACCACCTACTCCCATGCCAGCTTTTCCACTTGTTTCATTAGTTACATCATCTTGCCTCTGTCTACCTTAACACTAGCATGTGACAAGTACTGAATGAATGAATGTCATAGGTTTCCATGGGCAGCAAATAGCAGCACTATGCAAAAGATTCTTCAATCCTTGTGCCCAAATGGAGCTACTAATAGAGGGCAATGGGATAAGGAAGATGGGGGAGGAAAGAAATATTTATGGAATGCTTACATTTTGCCAAAGTTCATGTTTTTGAAAACAATAATGTATCAATAGCCACTTGATATGTAATTATGTTAAAACATGTGGGATCTATTTTAGTATTATCATTTTGTAATTGAGGTAACTGATGTTCATTTACTTTTGACAAGATACTTCTGAGATAAGGTGTTTTTATCTCTATGCAAAAAAAACTTGTCTTGAAGAGGTTAAACTACTTTACCAAGGTCACCCATCTAGGAAGTGATGAGCACAGTAAGCTATAAGACCACTGGGAAACTAGCTAAAAATTAGTATGCCTTAACCAAATCTGGGGGATCTGGGAAGTAAAGATGTGTGGAAAATGGTAAAAGAGAAAATCATCCAGCGTAAAAGTAGGTTGTTTTTTGTTTTCATTTAAATGAGGGTGGTAATGAATAGATGGAGGAAAAGTAAATTGAGTAGCAACATAAATAGGGGGCTCCATTAGTGATAACAGGTGAAAATAGATGGGTTCAGATTCTGGGACTGAAACCCCAGAAACAAAGATGGTAAAGAACATACAGGTTAGATTCAGTAACCTCAGTTGTAACAGATAAACCCTGAAAACTCAATAACTTAAGACAAGACTATTTTAATTATTGCTCATATCCCAATTTAACAAGGGTTGGTGAGGAAGAGGCTCTGCTTCATAAACTCCTTCAGGAACTCAGTCCTTCCAAATAGTGGAAATCCTGTCCTCCTCTGGGCCCTGGAGTCTTCTCAATTGATAGGCAGAGGGTAAAATGAATGAGGCTCACCTGTGGGAGGCTTCTGTGGGCCAGGCCTGGAAGAAGTGTGCATCACTTTTACCTGCATTTCATTGGCCAGAACTCAGTGACAAGACCACACCTACCTGTAAGGGAGCCTGGACAAGGCAGTCAATCTCAGGCCCAGGAAGAAAACAGAAACATCCACATAAGAGAACTTCTGCCACAAAGAGACAAAAGGAAGGCGAGGTTTGGTATCTTTTTTTTTTTTTTTTTTGGAGATGGGGTCTTGCTCTGTCGCCCAGGCTGGAGTGCAGAGGCGGGATATCGGCTCACTGCAAGCTCTGCCTCCCGGGTTCATGCCATTCTCCTGCCTCAGCCTCCAGAGTAGCTGGGACTACAGGCGCCCGCCACCATGCCCCGCTAATTTTTGTGTGTGTGTGTGTGTATTTTTAGTAGAGACGGGGTTTCATCGTGTTAGCCAGGATGGTCTCAATCTCCTGACCTCGTGATCCGCCAGCCTCGGCCTCCCAAAGTGCTGGGATTACAGGCTTGAGCCACCGCGCCCGGCTGAGGTTTGGTATCTTTTAACTAAATACTTATTATTCTTTAAAATTTGTAATTGTCTGGCTTATAGTCTTTCATTTAGTAAGCCCTCATAGATACTTTTATATGTATGAATGAATCTGAGTGAAAGCAAACATGGGGATAACAACTGCAAGGTTGAGCAATATGCACCAGAAGGATATTCTAGAAGAGCAGCCGTACATAGCTTCAGGAGTTTCGGGAGTTAGCAACAAGTGAAGTCAAAACCAGGCAGGCAGGTGTTTTATATTACAGAACTGAAAGTAGGAGATCAGGCAGGGGAGTTTCAATCAAACCTAAATCTGTAGAAGACCTAGGAGTTCAAAGCAGCCCCCAGCTGTAGAAGGGTTGGGAGCTGCTCAAAAGGATACACACGGCAAGAGAGAGGCTCCAATAAGGACTCAGTTACGCAGTTATGCGAGCAAAGATCCAAAGCACAGAATTGCTCCTTTGGAACAAGTGAGGATCCCAGGTGTGAGACCCGAGGAGATGACTGACTTAGTTACTCTTCTCAGCCTTATATTCAGGAGTTTTTCAAAACACCCTGCCAGAGACTAGAGAATTCCTGCTAAACCTACAAGAATGGGGAAAGCGGAAAAATGATGAGAATAGAAATTACTAATGGGTTGGCAAAAATATGGCTCCAGCCTCAAATTCTAAGGGGGGAAGGGATAAGTTGCAAAGTCGATAATTAGTGTTTTCAGATAAATGTGCTGGGGAAAAAGCATTCTAAATTCAAACGCAAATGGGTTTAGCATTGGCATTTTCTACTGCTTTGCATTATCTGTGAACTCTGTCTCTTTGCTGGAGCAGAAGATGGGAAATTTCACATTTTTGGAGCCAGACAATGGCATGTGACAGACCCATGGATTACTTAACGTTATAGCTGCCATTGCTACCACCACTGCTACTATGCTGCCTCTTCTCCCTCTGCAGGGACAACTCTTGGTGTGTGGCCATCTAAAACAATTTAGCCCTGCCGTTTTCTCCGTATTTTGCATATTCTCTTATGTTCTTCCTGGCAATTATTCAAATTGAGTGCCTATTTAAGCTTTAGAGATGCAAAAATTTGGGAATACTTTGGCAGTTGTGCTCTTTACTTTCAATCCATGTCTTTGTGTTATCAAAAGATGCATATTGTGTTCTTGTTAAGAGAACAGAAAAGTGGTCTTTAGGGCTTGGATTCATGGAATAGAATATAGATATTGTTACTATACAAATGGGTATATGTTTTTTCTTTCATATTAAAATGCTATTTATAGAGATACCTAGCTTTGATGTCTAATCAGACACAGATGTTTTCTAAAGTCTGTTTGAATTCTAATTGTTGAAATACACTTCAAACATATTAATTAACAAGTTAATTCTATTCTATTAGATATAAAATTACTAGTACCTACAATGAATAGTATGTTGAATGATTAGGGAAAACAGGAATGGTTTCTGGCTGTGGAAGAGAAACTGGAGGTTTGTTTATTTTCCCTATCAAGTACGTGATTTATTATGCACTAACCAGGAATATAATTAATAGATTCTGGTGTCACCTTATTATTCTAAGAGTTGACTTTTTCAGTATTAATTTAAAAAATACACTGTTGGTCTGTTATACAAAATGAGCTTATACTTTTGAACACTTTGTTAGACTATATTTAGAGGTATAAATGTGTTGTGCATAAACCCCTCTAAATAGTGTGACAAGGATCTCCTATGCCTTTAAATTTTACTTCATTTTATCATTATTCTGGGTAAAATACAGGGGTCTCAGAAGCTAAGTTGTGGTTAAATTTGCCTCATCTTTTCTGATTTCCATCCTCCTGCCTTTTTAGGGACCTTGTTCATCAATCACGCTTCTTGTCTCCTGGAACTTCCACCCATTCCTTTTGTCTTTCTTCTTCCCATCACTTTTATTTTAAAGGAAAACAATAATCTCTAGATAAAGTATCCTCCTTTAGCTACACTGTGTCTCCTCTCCTTCCCAAGGAAGCAGCCTGAAATCATATTTTTTGTTGCAACTGATTCCTCCTCATTTTTCATACACAGCTCCACCAACTATAAACTGGAATAGCCCAACCTTTACAAGTGGCATCCTAATTATTGAACCTAGCAATCACTTTTCAATCTATTTGTCTCTGGCCCTTTAAGCTTGCTTCAATAACACTCTGTTTCCAGGTCCCATGAGTATTTTCCCTTGTTCTCATGACTCTAAATTGAATTTTCATATACTCTACTGACCTGCCCAGACTTGATGATCTTTCTCATTCTCCTCTTGGCATTTGGAACTTCTGTGTTTTCTGTCGTCCTTAACAGTATCTCCCCTTTTGTCTTGAGGATCTTGGGCATCTTCCTGCATGCTGGAATCCCTCAAGCTGTGGAGACTCTTCTTAAATTTGGTCACCCGGAAATAGCCCCAGAAATGGGAGGACTGGTTCATTTCAATTCTATTTTCTGCCATGTCTGACATCATTGACTACTACCACCATGAAACCATCTTCTGCCTTAGTTTCTATGATACACACCTCTCCTGGTTCTCTTCTGATTTTCTAGTTGCTCATTCTTTGCCTTTCCCGTGTGTTGCTTCTCCTCTGTCCCTCCCTGAAATGTCTATTCCCCAGACGTTTCTTTTCAACCCTCTCTCATTCAGTCATTACACATTCTACCTGGGCAATTTCATCCACATGCATACTCACTTTGTATAAAGAAATCCTACTATCATATAACTAACTCTCAAGGCCGGACTCTTGAACTCTGGCTCTGTTTTCCAATTGTTTAACTCTTCCAAACACACACACACACACACACAAATCACAGTATGTTGAAGTGTTCTCCACAAACATTCCTCTTTTGTATGTGTATCTGCATGTTATAGTGTGTTAATCTCTCTCTCTCTCTGTCTCTGTCCTTTCTCCCTAGAAGCTTTGTCTTTTCCTTTGACAAGGTTAACTCATATCTCATATGTGTCTCTCAACATCAATTTAAGCATATTTTCTCACCACCCTAGACTGACTTAGGTTCCTATCCTCTACATTTCCTAACAAATTGTAAAACATCTTGAGGTTGCAAATGTGTCTTTATCATGTCTGTATCCTCATTTACAAGAATAAAGAAAGACAAGGATAGAAAGCGAGAGGTGCGGACTTGGGATTCAGTCATACAAATGGAAGTGGATGTGAATGAAGTTTTCTAGACAGAATATATAAGGACTGATGAATTGAAAGCAACAGAATTGTACATGAGCATGATAATATGTTAGGTTTGCAGAATACATTATTGAACTTTGTATGTGGTACCAGTGAGCTTTGGATTTAAGACAGAAAACATTTGATGCTGACAAACTAGTAAACAAAACAACAGATAAAAGAGAAGCAGGAAAATACTTGCTCAATGAGTAACATAAGTCAAAAAAGTAAGAGCAGCCCAAGAGGCTTTTAGAGATTACTACTCTGGTTTCACACTGACAAAATAAGCAGGAGAATTTGAGGAAGTATTTAAACATCAACAACAAAAAAGAACTGGGTAAAATATTGGAGAGGAGGTGTAATGCCAAGAATAGGATGGTGCTTATGGAAATTGGAGTAGGATAATCAGATAAAGAATAAATGTGCTCAAGTAGATGTGCCAGAGGCATGTGGGACGAGGATTAAGACTGGAAGAATCAAATGTCTGAATAAGAAAGAAAAGATATTGCCAGTGGCATATTTCCCTTTTATCTTTAATGTTTAGACTCGGAATGAGTTATGAGGATGTATCAGTATCCTATTGCTGCTGTAACAACTTACCACAAACTTAGTGGCTTAAAACAACACAAATTTATAATCTTACATTTCTGAGAGAAAAAACTCCTTAAATCCAGATCTCCACAGGACTGTGATCCTTGTGGTGCCCCTAGGAGATAATCAGTTTCCTTGCCTTTTCCAGCTTCTTGATGCCTCCTGCAATCCTTGGCTTATGTTTGCTAGCAAAGTAGCAATCACACTATTTCACCATATTTATCTTAATCACATCTGCAAAGTTCCTTCAGCCATGCAAGTATTAATTGTATATTCACAGGTTCTGGGGATGATAATGTATATATCTTTGGGAAGGGTATGATTCTGTCTACCACAGAGAGTCAAAAGGTAATAAAAATTAGACAAATATCTACATTTCATTAATTCATTCATTTAGCATTGGAGAGACTCTTGTACATTTAAAACCCATCCTTTATAAGAAGAGGTTCATGCTAAGATTTTCACACTCATAATCATACTTGAGTCTTAACCCTGTGAAAGAGAGAAAAGATATATCCATTTTATAGATGTTCACACATGTGTATAAGAATTTAGTGACTTACCCAAAGTTGCACGGCTAGTGAATACCAGATCTAAAACAAAGCCATGTGTTCTAACTACAAATCAAGTGTTCTTTCTATAACTATAAAACATTTCCTTGTGATTATAAAAGACATAAAAAAAAAAGATTGGATTCACCAGAAGTTTGACAGCAGAAAGAAATGAAAAGGTAATTTTGATATTAATCCATCATTATATCTTTCCTAAATACATTCTTCATGTTGAATGAAAGTGAAAAAGTTGAACACGTTTCCATTTGTTTCAAATCTTGTATTTAAGGCAGATGCTCAGAGTGGTCTAGGAAGCAGAGGACGTAGAAACCGCTACAGTCTTGGTTTACTGCTTGTCTCTCCCCTTCAGGTTTGAAAATACACATTACAAGGTAGCAAGCACAAATGCCCAGAGGGTCAAGCAGGGTCTCTAAATGAGATAAGCAGATTGGATATTAGAACGCAAGCTCAATCATAAATAGTAGCTAATATTCATCTTCCAGAACAGAGAACAAAGTGGGGTGGCAAGCCTGTGGCAAACTTGAGTGTGCTTAGCTGATCACAAGGGGATGGCTTTTTCTCAGCACTAGGTGCAATATTGTTTTTTGTAGAATGTGGACACAGTGTTGGCAGATAATCATCTTTTTTAAAAGGGATAAGCCAGAAATTAAAATTTTTATATTGAACCACCCAGATTTTAATGGTTAGTATTTTAAATCGTTTCAAGACACTAAACGGCCAGAGAAAACATATATGAAGACCAGAGTCCACAGTGTTGCAAATTTATAATTTCTAGCATAAGAATATTGATTGTACTAGACTTATTCATCCAAAAAAGCATTGAAATAAAAGAATGAGGAGGCATTGACAGGTAGCCAATGAGAGGTTGAGAATGATTTATTGTTTACACTGTCCTTTCAACATTCCAAAATATGACATCTGCTCCTTCAATATCCTTTTTAAAATTTATTGGTGGCAATTTTGATGCCATCAATAATTATTATTATTTCAAAAGAAAGCAAACAAATGGAAAGAAAACAGAGTGAGGAATAGATGCAGTAATAAGACAAATATTCTTCTTTGATTTTTTTTTCTAAAAACTACACTCACACAAAAAAGTCAAAATCACCAAAAACAAACAAACAACACGTTTTACTCTTCAAGATGTGATGGGAGAATCTGGACAATCTATCCTTCAGTATAGTGGGAGGATATTCTAACATTCCAACACAAGAGCTACATCATTTTTAAGAGATGACAGCAAAATAGAAGAAAAATCAAATGAATCCTGTGTCCTGTAAGCCAAGCTAAGAGGATATGTAGGATTAAGTGAGGATCCTCTCTGCCAAAAGCTGCTGGGCAGTCAGGGCAGATCAGGGCGGAGAGAGGTCCAGCAGCTCTGGCGCCAGTGAAAGCTTGGATGGCCTTGGCAACGGCAAGTTGCTACTGTGCAGCAGAGGAAGCTGGGATCCTGATAAGAATTTACTTACTAGGCTGGACGGAGGGACAATGGTTCCAGTGAGGGCTAGTTGGCAACAGATGGAGGAAGACCATTGTAGTAGTCCATTCTCACGCTGCTACAAAGAACTGCTCAAGACTGGGTATTTGCAAAGAAAAGAGGTTTAATTGACTCACAGTTCAGCATGGCTGGGTAGGCCTCAGGAAACATACAGTCATGGTGGAAGGGGAAGCAAACACAGCCTTCTTCACATGACGGCAGAAAGAAGTGCCAAGCAAAAGGGGGAAAATTCCCTATAAAACTATCAGATCTCCTGAGAACTCATTCACTATCACGAGAACAGCATGGAGGTAACCACCCCACCGGGTCCCTCTCATGACACACGGGGATTATGGGAACTACAAGATGAGATTTGGGTGGTGACACTGCCAAACCATATCAATCATTTCCTGTTTTGTAACTTCTGACAGTGTAGACAGAAATGAGTGAAGAGTGCAGTGGCTGTAATGGTGGAAACTCACTTTGAGTGTGTTGGTCTTCTTGGTGAGGAAGGCCACACTGAGTGGTCAAAGGCTTGGATGTTCGTGGGGCTGGGGTAGTCTCCACAAGCCAGAATTTTCAGTGGTAGAAGTTGTGTCGGCCAAGAAGTGCTTCCACCATGGTTTGGAATTTGTATAATAGTGCCCATTCCTCCTATTTTGATATAATTTAAATAACTTTCATAGAAAATCAATGTAATCCCATCATCAAGAGATAATCACCGCTATTTACAGAATATATATATAAAATATATATTGTATACATACATACTGTAAATCATATTAATATACTATGTAGTTTTATTTGAAATGTGTAATATATATGTAGTTTTATTTATATAAAACATCTTCTATAAGTATATATAAATATAACTTTCATATATTTTTCATATATATCTTATATATTACCTATTATATATTGTATACATATATAATATATAAATAAGTGAAAGCATTCTGAGATCTGCTGACATCTTAAATGACTTCTTTTTGGTTTGCACATATTGTTTCACTCTTTCTGCTGTAAATTTATAGATTTGAGAAATGCACTATGTCATGTAACCACCATTGTAGTATCATGCAGAATATTTTCACTGTCTTAAGAAATCCATTCTGCTTCAGCCATACACTAACTCCAACTTGAACTCCTGGAAATCACTGTTGGTTTATTATCTCTGTAGTTTTGTGTTGTCTTGAATGTCATACAAATGGAATAGCACAGTATATAACCTTTGCAGACTGGCTTCTTTCATTTAGCAGTATGTATTTTAAGATTCATCTATGTCTTTGTGTAGCTTGTTAGCTTATGACTTTCACTTTTCATTGTTGAATGATATCCCATTGTATGAATATACTATAGTTTGTTTATTGATTTGCCTATTGAAAGACATCTTGGTCACTTTCAGTTTTTCTGATTATGAATAAAGTTACTATAAACATTTGCATGAAGGCATAAACATTTTGGGCAAACATAACCTTTCAAATCAGTTGGGGTGATACTGAGGAGCCTAACAGTTAAATCATACGGTGAGACTACGTTTAACTTTGTAAGAAACTGCCCAGCTGCCTTCCAATGTGACTGTACTACTTTTGCATTCCCAACAGTAATGAATGAGAGTTCCTGTTGCCCTGCACCTTCACCAGCAGTAACTATTGTCAGTATTTTGGATTTAATATGTATGTCGTGGCATCTCGTTGTTGTGTTAATTTGAATTCCCTAATGACATACGATGTTGAACATATTTTCATGTGCTTGTTTGCTATCTAGTTATCTTCTTTGGTGAGATCTTTTGTTTCTTCAGCTCTTCTGTTCATTTTAAATTTTTTTTAATTGTTGAGTTTTAAGAGCTCTTTGCATAGTTGGGATACAAGGCATTTATCAGATATGTGTTTGGAATGTATTTTCTCCCAGTTTATGACTTGTTTTTTAATTCTTTTTTACTGGGTGTTTCACAAAGCAGGGTTTTTAATTTCAATAAAGCTCAACTTATCAATTTTTCACTGTCATGGAACAAGTTTGTTTGTTTTTAACCTGCTGTTTCCACTTAACAATATGTTTTAAACATATTTCTTGCTAATAAATATACATTTATAGTATCAAAAAGCAGAAAAAATACTTTCAGACACAGAGAAAAACAAGGGAGAAAGAAATGTTTTCTAAGTTTATTAGGCATGAAAGTACAAAAAACATTTCTTTTATGAGTGAATAAATATGTTATTTAAAATTCAACCTATATTATATTCTCTCTATATTTTTGATGATCTCTTTTTAATTTAATTTCTGTTCTGCTATCACTGTTGCAATGTCAAGGTGAATGTTGAAAACTGATCAGAATGTTAACATGTCTTTGGTTATGCTACTAAAAGTATAGCCTAGTTCTTTGTAATATAAAATAAAAAGCTTTAAAACCTAAGAATGGACTCCAGAGAGAAAATGCGTAGTGTGGAAGTGAATTTGAATCATAGAATCCCTGAATTTAAAGATAAAATGTAAAAGAAAGTTCAAGACTCTGGGTTGTTTGAGTCCTTTGTATCTTGGTAATAATCAAGACATGGAGGCTTATTACTAATAAAAAGGTTGCATTTAGTGTTCTGTTCTAGAATTTGTACACAAGCTGTCTTTCATTTGCAGTAATGTTAATCAAGTAAATTAGTATGTAATATGCACCCAACAAAAAAGATACCTTGCCTTATGCCATTATCTGTTTAATCTTCTCAGTTTCCCTTCAAAGGAACTATTATTAACCTAATTTTACAAATGAGAAGACTAATGCTCTGAGAAGTTAAGTAATCCAACATCACACAGCTAATAGGTGATGGAGCTGGGTTTTTAACCAAGGACTGACTGATTGAAGAGCTGAAGCTTTCTCAGCTACTCATACACAAATAATTATCATGCAAACCAAGTGTGTCATATATTTGACACAAACACTTCTCATTTGGGTGGGAGATAAGGCAGAATAGACATAAATATAGTGCCTGGTATGTGACAAAAAATAACCTCATATGATATGATAATGAGTATAATGAGAGATCAGTAAGAACTGAAATAAATTGGTGAGACAGAACTAGTAAGCTGATCAACAAGTCAACTTTCCTTTCCTTCTGGACAGCCGGAGTTCATTTTTCAGCATACTTTCTAGTTATTCTGGTCATTACTATATATCATTTCCAGGCCTGGCCCATAAGAATCACCTATATAATCTTTAAAATCTTATAATACAAGCTGATAGATGTGCTTCTATCAGCCTGTATCCTTGAATGATTGAGTACGGTAACAACTACCTACCCTCAATTAGATTTTATGAGTTCAAGAAATAAACTTCCACTATATTGAACTAATGCTATTTCTAAGTTTACCTATCACGATCAGCTAGTATTCTTCTGACTAACACATAAATTAGTACCAGAAGTGGGGGGCTACAAAACAAAAACCTAACATAGGTAGCACTGCTTAGAAAATGGGCAGCAGGCTGCAAGCAAATTAATCTTATGAGTTGGAAAGATGTAGAATAATAATACGATGCACAGGCAAAATAATTGGAAAAATTGTCTGCAATAAAATTTAGGTGCCCACTGAGCATTTAGAATTAGGAGAAAAAGTTGAAAAACACAATCATAATACTGTACATTATTTGTTAATAGCTAAATTTAGGAAGGTATTTGTAAAGAGAGAGAGGAAGTCTGTTAAGAATTGGTCAGTTTACAAGCAGTAATGAAAGAGAATAGTGAAAGTCCAAAAAATTGGAGGTTAAAGTGTTAAAAAAGTCATACTGGTTCTAGTCTTCACATATCAGGGATTACAATTTAAAAACAGAATGAGCAACTTGGTCCACTAAATTAGTTTAAACATGTGTTTACCCCACTCATTTATGTTGACCTCAAGGAACCTTCCATTGGGTTGAAAGCTAAGGGCAGAAGGGTAAGGATAAAAACATATAAATAAGGCTTGAGGATTATGTCTAAGAAGAAAACTTCAAGAGTGGATACTAACAAACACAACTGTCTGGAAACAACAGCATAAAAGCCTATTACATTTTTGATAAGTTGTATCGTCAAAGAAATTAGAAGCTCACACTTCTGAAACAACTACAACAACAAAACTTTGACACTTTAGGTTTTAAACAACCATCAAGCTCCCAAACCTGCACCAGCAAGAAGAAGTCTGCAAAAACAGGACAGACATATGCAGCATCACCAGCTTCAAATGGGATCATAGAGAATAATTTACAAGGAAGAACTTCCTGCAGGTGGAAGCAGGGCCATACAGAAATATGCACAAAAGAGTTCCTCCCAGAAAGTAGAATCAGGGCCTCATTAAGGAACTTCCCCTCACCCAGGATCAGGAATTTCGCAAGGTCCACAGTAAAGTTTTCTTGACTGCTATGCACCAGTATCTCCTTAGTATATCCCATTATAACCCTTTCTAAAAAGATAGTTTTCAATTGCTACTTTATATGCCATTGTTCATTGAGTATTCATGTCAGATAACTTGTCTTTTAGTTTATAGTTAATGAAGAGGCACATTAGATTCTGGTAGATAATAATGTGCACATCTTGATTTTGAGCCAGATGCAGTATCTTGTTGGGAACTGGTTTGTTTCTGACCATAGAGGGCTTGAGTGAAATGAAAAAGGACAGCAGAAACTGAGGAATTGTTCACTGAAAGCATTTCTCTTTCCTCCTGGGTACATAGCTAGTCTGTCACCCCCAAATTCTCTTGCAGTTGATGTGGCCATGTCTATGAATTCTGGCCAATAAAATGTCCGTGTAAATGACACATGTCACACCTAAATGATCCTTCTTGCTCTTGCATGCCTTTTTCATCAGTATATTGAGTTCCAGAATGAGTTTGAAAATTATATGTTGAAGATGAAAGTGCCTACATGACTGTGTGGAGCAAACCCCTTTGTCCTTTCTCCTCATATTAATGGAAAAAGAATGAGTTTTAAAAAATCCCCTTGTGTTACACCCTTGATATATTATAGTTTATGTGTTGCAAGATAGCTACACTAATGAATACTTTAGAAAAGAGTTTTTGAAAAAAGAAGGTGGAGAAATGAGCCATGAAATTTACTTGCAATGACGAAACATATCTGCTTTAGCGGGAAACATATGAACAAAAGTCTGAGACTCCATTGAGCTTTGAAAGGTTATATGGAAGTTGAGGCAAGTTAACCACCTCAACTTTATAATTACTGCTACTATAATAATAATAGTGTTTATCTACAAACCTAATGTATACTGAACAATAATCTTCCAGATACTGAACTAAGTACTTTGTACATATTATCTCATTTAAATTTGAAAGTACTTCTAAGAACTAGATATTATTATTATCTTTATTTACATAAGTGAGGAAATAGAGACATGAAGATATAAGAAACTTGCCTAGATTTCACATTTCATAAGAGGTAGACCTAGAATTTTAACTCAGGTTGATCTGTCCCCAGAACCTACATTTTTAATTCATTCTATTGCCTAGAAAGCAAAACACTTTAAAACTTCTCTGTAAATACTCATTTGATATAAATAAAAATTTGCATGGAATGGTTGAGGTTTTGAGGTTGAGTATTCCAAAATGATCTAAATCATGCTTCTGTTAAACGTATTTTCAGTTGATCACCAAAACCAGGATCCATCTTATTGTAGCTCTATCACATGTTTATTGTTTAGATAACCCGAAAAATATATAGCTCACCTGTGTTTGTATCAATTTGTACTAATCACTCCACTTAAGTGACTATAGACATAACACATTAATGACCCAATGGTTAATTTTCATTAATTTCTCATTAAAAGTCAAGCACAAAACTGTACTTTCATATATTTTAGTTATTTTATTTCCTTCTTTTGACTAATCTGAAATTGTGCCTAATTCAGTTACTCTGTTACAATCTAGAAAATTGTGATGTTCTTGCCTTCAAAAGCTAAAGCCCAACAAAGAGGATCTATGGTCCAGTACCAGTATCAGCTGTTGGAAGTTATCTTCTAGCTCTAATGCAATCATTTCTTCTAGATTTCAAAGATTCCTATTCACTTCCCAGAAATAAAAATTTTTAAGGCCAAAAAGACATTAATTAGTTACATTAAAATACCTGATTCAATGTACTATTAAGAGATTTCCAATTTGCTGCAACCACTTGAGATTTTCTGTAACATCTAATGGATAGCCCTGTTAGAACATCTTTGGTAAACTTGACTGTGGGATGTAAACCTGGGGGTGCTGTTGGCTTAGTACTGGATTTATTCAAGGATAATTACATAAAAGACTTAAAAATCACAGGATAGTGGCTCTCTTGAGAGCTGACCAAGCAGGCTGAAGGAGATAAATACAAGCAAAGTAAAATACATTGTCATCTTTCTTATATAAAATAACATTAATTCGATATAACATATTTCTAGTACCTAAAGCCTAATAGAGATGTTAAAAATATATCATGCTGGGAATCTGACTTATCTTACCCTCTGCAGTCATGTTTTGTAATGCCCTTGTTATAAATATTTATAATTAATGTCTTAATCGAACAGTGCCTGATAATAATCAGAACTGCTTTTCTAAGAATGAAGTACTCAAGTCAAGTACTATATAGGTTTAGCTGCTGAGTATAATTTTAAAAAACTGAATATGATATATACAAATAAAAAATCTCAACTAAAACATTGAATAATACAAAAATAGAAGCCATTATTACTAAATTTTTAAAAATTAAAGACAATAACGGTTTTTGTATTCGGATACTCACATAAAATTATTAAGAATTCACATCTCTTGGGAGATAAAAATAATCTATAAAGGAACAGAATTGTAAGTAATTTCAGAAAGGATTGCAAAACTTGGACATAAAGATGTGGACTGTAAGATCTTTAATGTTCACATAATCTAGATTTTTTAAAAATTGTGAAGTGTGAAACTGTATTTTCATTTTATAATTAAATGAATATTAAGGAGATTAATTTTTTTCTACCATTAAAAAAACATATCCACTTTTTCTAATAATTGCTAAAAATCCTTTCTGTTAACAGATAAAGGCAATTAGGCACGTTTGAGTCTACATGCAATATAACTGGTACATTATACGGTATTAAGCTCATAAACATGCTGTCAACTTTCTGATTTAAGGGGTCAAAAATTCTTCACATAGCAAGTATATAAAATATTTTTTGAGCATTTTACTTTAAGGACTTCAACAGGGAGATGTGCAAGTCTGTTATATTTTTCCTTGTGAATGTGAAAGTGTTCTATGGTGCTCACTGGGTCTCTGCGTAGCCAGCAGGCAATAAAACAGAAGCAACAATGGCTTGCATGATTCACTTACCAACTAAATAACATAGCCTATGCCCCCCTAGCATCACCAGGTCAACAGCCAGTACTAACCGACTACATCACAGGTATTGAAATATTCTTGGCGACTTGATGTTATAACATTTAGAGAAGTGGATTTAAAATATCAATCCTGTAATGAAATATGATCCACTGTTAAATAGACACCAAAGGTTACTGAATATAAAATATGCATGCAGCTAACCTCCATAATAATATGACAAACAACAAAAAAAGAAATTGCTAAAGGAAAACACTATAGGTTTATCTTCCATACGGTACAAAGACTAAGGCAGACTTTCGGAGCAGATAAGATTTTTTTAAGAAAAAAAAGCTTGGCAAACTTAATTTCTAGAAAGTAATTATCAAGCTGCATGGTAGCATAAAGTCCTATTGATCCAAATTTCTCTTTCTGTATGAACTTCACAGACTTGCATGACTTGGCATCAGTAAAAGCTAATGATGATTCGTGCTATTAGCTTCCATAGCTCCAGTCCCTAGGAACTCAGCTTTGACCTTTTATTAGCAGTTTTCTCCCGAGGCAAGTAGGATTATTCTCTAGGCTCACTTCCTAATCACCCTAGAACACCTGGAGAATTTGTTAAAAGCCAGACTGAGTGAGGGTCTGGGACGCTAAAAGAAAGTGAAGATTCAGTCTAAGGGAAGAACGCTCTTGCCTGTGTAATCTGGACAACAATCCTGGGATACCATAGAAAATAAAATTACTGTTAGAATTCAACTTATGTAAAGTTAAAATAGTCATAATTGCAAAAATTCATGTTAAATATTATAGTTTGGTTTCAACTTTTAGCATCATTTCTCCCTGCTCTTCCCCACAAAACCCCATGTAACATTTATACATTCATTTTTCCTTGACCAAACATTTATTGAGCTCTTATCACTATGCTAGACACTTAAATAGCATTCTGTTATGGTAATACAGGAGTCATTAATTTTTTAAAATTAATTTTATAGTGTCCTATGCTTTAAGTGGCTTCAGAACCTAGTATTGACTAATGAAGCCATAGAGAATGCTTTACAAATAACTTGAAAACTCTGCTCCTTTTCTCCTTCCTTACTCCTTCTTGCCTCTCACTTCTTCCTTACTCCCCCTTCCCCGACACACACACACACACACACACACACACACAAGCATATGCCTTCCTTCTACTTTTCCATGTCATGCTGCACCAATGTCATATGTAGCTGCTGTTAAGTAATCACAGCTTAAAGAAAAAAAAATTCATTATTAATAGACGTTGGATTTTCTTACTCAAGCAAATGACCAAATTTTAAATTATAAAAATTGAAAATGGAATCTAATGAGGTAAAGAGGTATCTTTTCCGCAATTTTGGTAATGACTTGATTTCTATAACATTATAAACAAACACTCAAATGAAGGATTGCATATCTTTAAACATGCTTTTGTTTTAAACATAACAGTAATAAAGACTGTCAATAATTTAAGACTTTATGAAACTATGTCAATTCAAGTTTTTTATACAGCCTTCTGCATAAATCATGACTCTACCTCCATTTTAAAATATTGAACGTAAAGAAACGTAACTCTTTTCTAATGTAAATATCCCACTTGAATTATCCTTTCCCCATTCTGCGTGGATCAAATGGTTGTCACCCTAATCGCCCTACCACAATTCTTTTTAAAGGAAACCAAAGATCTTCTCACCCATTCTCACCATCTCTTGTCAATACTTACAGTCAAGAGTTGATTTTCAGATCAAATTTCGCCCCCGCTCCAAAATAAACACTATCCTTACTTTTTCTTAATTATAAATGATCTTCTAGGCTTGTTGCCCTACTATACTCTTTCCTTCAAAATATTTTACATTATCTTAGTTTCAATGATTTCCTCTTTATTGATAACTCTCAAATCTCAGTAGCAAAGAGTATGTTGTGGTGGTAAGAGTACAGGGCTAGGAATTTGAACACTTGCCTGTTTGGAGTCCTGTTTCCTACAAAATTTTGATGAATGATTTTCTTCTTTTACTTATATTTGTGTGTGTGTGTGTGTGTGTGTGTGAGATGTGTGTGTACACACAGGTCCTGGTATAAAGAATATTTTTAAAAATGCTAGTTATGATTAACTTAGTAGAATCTAATCTATTCTGTTAGTTTTCATTCTTGTCTTCTCGTTTTGATTTTGCTTCAATCTTTCAATGCAAAGAAAACCTAATGTAGCAATCTTATAATATGAGCACAAATATTTATTTTATAGAAGTTTTATAGTTTTTAAATATGATAATTGAGGTGTTCTGTATTTGAAATTATCTAACAAGTTATATTATTTAGGGAAATAGGCTTTATTTCAGGTGTAATTTACATCCAATAATAAAACATAAAAGTCTGCCCTTCATTTAAATTAAGATGCCAACCATTAAACTTGCATATTTTAATAATATTGGAAGTGGCATAGTGAAGGAACTAAAGGAAAAACATTCTAAGCTGGGCAACATCAACAAATAAAGTGTAACTGATAGTCAATTTATCCTAAAATTGGTAAAGGAACTCTTTGAAACTTAATATGTTCATCTTTAGAAATAGATATTACATATCCATAATGAACAGTGCCATTGTAAGAATTAAACTAATTCACATTTGAGAGAGGGTAGTATTTATCATTAAATTCCAATTCTTCACCTTTTAAGAAGGGCTTTTCTGCAAGAGTCCATTGTGGCTTGTAGTTTCAATTATAAGTTAATCCTCATCTCTAAGAAAGGCAGCTATAGGTTTTATTTTGTTTTTAATCTCTACTTTACATATAAGGAATACTGGGAAAGTTTAAGTGACCGACCTATGATTACTCACCCAGACATAACCAGAGCTGGAACTAGACCAATTTCTCTCACTTCCTATTTAATTTTCTGCCTGCTAGATGTAACTTTTGTCATAATGGATCCCAATGAAGTATTCAGTTCCTATTCCTAATAAATATAGATTTTCCACATCAATTAATATGAAGTTATTTTACATACTTTCAGGATTAGGTCAATCATTATTGACCATTATTGCTGGTACTGACCAAGCCAATTTCTGTCACTATTAACAAGTGGAATGAATTCTCTCATTGCACAAGGAGAAAAACAGACATATCCGTAGGCCAAAAAAAGTTATTAAATTTTCTTATTAAACAGTCATATAATTAAGTAACACTGGACTTTCTGTCCAATATATCCCATGAAATTCATAATAATGCATGAAAACCTACTTAACATGCAATCTTTTCAGATACTTTAAAAATTTTGTCTTGGTTTTTCATCTTTACTGATTTTAAATATTTCATGGTTTTCACCATTAGTACGTTGTTAATTATGAAGTGTTTTTTCTCAGAGCTGCTTATACAGCATTAGTGATATGGTAGCAATAGTGATATGAGATATTAGTGTTATATCTGTATGCAGACTGTTGATTTTCTTTAGCTTTTTTGCTTCTGTAGGATAGTCATTTAATTGTCTTAATCTCTAAAAACACGGTACATAGGACCCATGTATTTTCAAGGATAACTGTTGCAAAATATTGAATAACATGGAAAGATGATATAAAATACTGGAAAATAGCATAATTGGCAGGGCATGGGAGAATGGTTAGAAAAATCATATTGATACTTGTGCAAGCACATTTCTGCAAGTTTCCACATAGCTTACAACATTCTAAAGTCAAAATTAGCTTTTAATGGAAAATCATTCAAAACTTACCTTTTATCAGGCATATTTCTAAACTGTCATTGCATTTTAATTTTGATTTTGAGATTTAAGTTTTAAGATTTCTACATTTTGCAAATATCAGCTCCTCCCCATGAATAAAATATATTTTTGAATAAATATATTTTTCTTTCTCTCCCAGATTTCAGCTTCACTCTTTTATTCCTTTATTATTCATTTTTCCCCTTTATTACCTCATATAGTCAATTAGGGTGCTGATTTTATGTCATTGCACAATAATAAAGAACTACATATACAATTTCTGAAAACAAAACAACAACAAAAACCCCTCTCTAGATTAAAAATCTAGTGTGGTGTGGTCCATATTCTCTGTTTTTAGCCTTTAAAAAAATGAACTTATCTATTAGCACAGCCAGTTCTTTTAAGAAGAGATCATCTGGCTCCCAAACTACATTGGTCAAATTACTGAAGGGGAGGAAGGCATAAGAGAATTGGAAAAAACAGTGATGATATGCACATAATTTCTATAGTACTAAAAGATGGCAATACACATCTATTTTGCAATCAAATTTTCCTCATAATGCTAATAAAATTTAGACAGGGTTTGTTTTGGTGATCACAGGATATATGGAGTTTTTAAAGAGTAAGGTAAGTGAAGAAAAGGGTGATTATTATTGCAAACAAAAAGGATCCCTTAAAAATACAATTAGCAAGAAGAGCTTCAGCATCATAGCTAAGACACATTGAATTCCAGCAATTTGTCAACTATGTAGCTGATATACACACTTGATTTTTGACCCTCACAACAACGTTGTGAGGTGGGTATGACTATTTATCAGAGGGTCACTTTGGGAAGGTCCCAAGCTTATTACAACCTTCATGTACAACTTTTTTTTTTTTTTTTACTAGAACATTGTAATATAAACTTATTGGTAGAACTCTGAGCCATTCAGACATATTTGTACTAAAGAAACTAAAAATGTTCCATAAGGGAAGATCATTACAATTTAGGGGAGAGTGGTGCAGAAAAACATTTTGTGGCTTTTGTTTTCTTTTTCTTTTATTGCTAAATAACATTACTTCGCTAGTGTTTGAGTCAAACACACATTAAAAAAAACTATTAGAACATTCAGACTTGATTATCCAAAGAAAAAGGAAAAAAAGGAAGCCAACCAATTAGGGTGGCTGCTTAAATTATCTTTCCCCATTCTCAAGGTTTTTTGTTTGTTTGTTTGTTGCGTTTGGGGTGGGGAGGTGAGGGGCGTTTATTTGGAGGGAAGACGGGGAAGGTCCACTCTGCCTACAACTCCGACATTTCTCCGTGTGCCTCTTTGCTAGCTGGGGACACTTCGTGGCTGATTACTATGAGGAGTGGTTCGAAGCCTAAGAAGTAGTACTCTTTTCAGCTGCCAAAGGGAGAAGGACGGGGGCGCTGTCTGGTGACTGTTCGCGTGATTCCTTCAAGGCGGCGACCACCTCCTGGGATTCGCTCTCCAGCCGCGCCGTTCGTACTCGGGTCCCGCGACCCCTCCCCGCTCCCCCCTCGCCCCAGCGATGCCAAGACGCTGAACCGCAGGGACGAGGCTCTGGGGACAAAGTCACCCCGCGGCGCCCTTTCCTGCCAAGCCGCGGGCTCCTGGCGGTCAGAAAGCGCCCCAGGCCCACCCCTGCGGGCCCGGCTTTCCCTCCTCACCTAAGGCTCCGGGGCCACGAGTCCCCCATCCTGCGCCCCTCCCGCGCCTCCCCCATCCCAAACCCCAGCAGCGTCGCTGCCTCTCCCGGAAACAAGCCCGCTGAGCAAAGGCGGAGGAAAACCTTGGGCCTTCCGCTCTGATTGGTCTCCCCCCGCCGAGCGGGGCGAGGCAGCGATTGGCTGCCGGGCGTTGTCAGTCGCCGAGGCCAGAGCCATCGCCGGGGAAGCGCAGCCGGGCTCGGGTGCTTCGGCTGCCGCCGCGGCTGCTCGGCTAGTGCAGCTGGGCGAGCTCGCGCGGGCGCCGCCGCCGCCTCTGCTGCTGCCCACCCCGCCGCGCCGCCGGCGCTGCCGGTCTTGCAGGCGGCCGCCGGGGAGGGGCGGCCGAGAGAGCGGAGCACGAGGAGGCGGGGGCGGCAGAGAAGTGATGCTGGCGCCGGGGATCGGGGCAGCGGCAGCGGAGCAGCAGCATCTTCGGGACCCTGGCTGCAGCGTCCCTGTGGCCCGCGCGCCAGCCCAGCGGCCGGAGACCACGCGCCCCGCGGGTAAGGTTCTGTCCGGCAGCGCCCGCGACGCCCCCGGGACGGCTGGCGTGGTCTTTGGGGGTTACGAGGCGCGTGGTGGCCGGGGCATCCCGACGAAGGTGTTGGGACCCGGACTGCGTGTCCCGACGCTGGGCTGTGCTACTGCCCGCGCCCGTGCGGCTCCAGCTGGTGCGTTCTCCCTTCCGCGCTCACAGACTTTGACAGCGCGGGGATGGCATTGTGTGAGTGTGGATGTGGATGCGTGTGTGCGCGCGCGCGGCTTGGGGCACTTTGCAGCGAGAACAGTGGGTCCCCTCTGCGTGGCCCGACGTCCTTCAAGGACCCAAGCTGGGCTGGAGTGAGTAGGATGCTGTTGGCTCGGCGGGAGGTAGAACGCACGGAGCGCACGGGAAAGTCCACCGTGGCTCGTAAAGAGCCGAGCAAATTGAACTTTATTGCGGTGATTAAAAGGAGCTGTGGACCTGGCGCGCCAGGGGAGAGGCGCGTTCCACGAGGCTCCCCAAAGTCCCACTTTGCCCCGGGGACTTCGGAGGGGAAGGGAAGAGAGGGAAAAGTAACTGTTGGTCCACATTGCTGAAGAAAAGGAGGAAAGAGAAGTTGGGGGTGGGGGTGGGGGTGGAGGTTACTCTTGGGGGAGTGGCGACTTTTAGGTGTCTGAAGCCCCGCGTGGGAGGCTTGCTACACTTTTCTGGAGCGCAGACTTGAGGATGGAGAGTCCCACTCTGAGGTACTGGTAGCGGCTCCTCCTGCCTGGTGGCGGCGTAGGGCGCAGCGGGACAGCTTGGTGGAGGCAGAGCGGGGCTCCGACGCCCGACGGCCCGGCGTCCAGGTGGGGCCACTGCCTCCCCAGGCCGCTTTGGCCCGCTGACCTCCCAGGTTGAGACCCGGCCTGGTGCGCCTCTGGCAGCTGCCAAATGCCTGGCGGCTCCGCTTTCCGACAAAGTTCAGGCCCGCTGGGGTCTGGTCCATCAGACCTAGGACACGTTAACCACGCAGAGTAACCAGGTTAGGGTACCCAGCTGCCTCCAGAGCGTTTTTGTTTCATATTAGATTATCTTATTTGATAAAGCTGTTGAGAGTTCCACCCGTGCTGCAAAGCCTTCCGCAGAAGGCGAATTCTTTGCGCTGCTGCAAATGGATGGTGCTACTGGGCCAGATCCGAATCTCCGTAGTTCAGTGCAGTGGGTTCTCCATCCCTGCTCAGGACGCACAAACTTACTCTTGGCGATTGTTTTCTATGTGGCTCCTTGTCTCCGTGGGAGTATCTGCTTAGGAAAGTTCTTGAAATACCTCAATACTAAGGAGCTCTCCCCACTGTCTCAGATGGGGCGAGGCTCCGGTACTTGACTGGCGTTGGGGTTGCAGCAGGGAATGGAGGTGGAACATCAGCTCCCTGCCTGCCAGCTTTGGTAAAACAAAAATTGGCTCAATACAGGGAGGCGGATCTTGAACTGGGGACAGCATTTTTCTTGTTATGTAGCTCCGTAATCTCTTTCACTAGAGGGATCTTTTGTCCCAAAACAAAACAAATCACAACACAACAAAAATACCCAAAACCAAACCGCAGAAACCACTTTGATTGGGCTCATTTCTGATTTGGTAAACCAGAGAAAATGAAAGTAAGGCACGTAATAGAAATGCTATAGAAAATCAGGAGGGAGCTGTCCAAATATGTCAGGCATTTTTCGATAGTTATTTTTCATTGTAAAGATTCTATTTTCTCCCAATTTAACAACTAAGTTATTTTAAAGCAGATGAATAACTTACGATAAACTAGTAGTGATGTTAGTTTTGGGTCCAAGGATGGTCTCATGGTTTTCATCACTTAATTGTTGTGCTGTAAATGGATTTTTTTATTATGATTTTAGTCACACATACTGCATTTGGACTAGTAAAAAATTGGTGCTAAGTATTTTCTTCTTAGCATTCATCATGTCTGGCTTAAAAGTGTGGTTTTCTGATATGATTAAAGAAAGTATATAGTTTGTGGTGGTTGTTCTATACAAAATTTACCTGCTTCCAGGTGATTAATATTGCAATATTTTAGTTATTGAAACCTTCAGGACTTTGTTAAGGTTACTAAAACAGGCTAAGCAGTTTATGTTAGTTTTGTGTTTCTTTTATGCAATACTATGTGCTGGTAAAACTTTTTGTTTTCCTCATAGGTTAATATGGGGGAAATAGGATTAAAGTGTGTTATACTTATTAATTAACAATTTTAAAATAAACTTCAATTAAAACTAAGCTATCAGTAACAGCCAGTACTAAAAATGGAACTTCTAAGGAAAATTTTAACGACTTGGCTAAGAAAGTGCTTTTTCACCTTGACATCAAGTAACATTTTATATATCCACTGCATTATGTATTGGAGTAAGCCACAAGTCTTAAAATGGAATTAAGAGCCTTTGTGCTCATTTTAAGGTTGTGTGTGTACGTGTGTGTGTGTGTGTGTGTGTGTGTGTGTGTGTATGGAACTTTTACTTGGAGGAAATCTTTTTTTAGATAATTTTAAAACGAGTAGGACAAATATAATCAAGTACAGAGAATTGTGTCAATGGTCATAAATATTAGGATAAGGCCATAGGAAATATGTTTAAGCATAAACAAATGATGCAGAGTTGGGGTTGGGGGTGGGCACAGGCTTTAGGGAGCTAATGGGTAGTGCCAGCCACTTAATTTATACAAGCAGTTCAAATTGTACCATTTCTGCGAATGTACTTAAGCTTTAACTTGTTTTGCTTCAGGGCAGCCCATGAGCTTAGACTGCCATATATTCTAGATGAATTTTAGTAATACAAGTAATGTCAACTTGTGAAGACCCTAGGCCACTAAATTCACTTCTTGACTTGTACAAAATTTTAATTTTAATACTCATCGGATAACTTTTCTAAGAAGATCACATCAATATGAATAGCAATGCTAATAGATACAATTATTTTATGAAATAAAACTTATTTAATTTGTCAGATAGTCACGATTAGTGTTTGTACGTGAATAGGTAAGAAAGTGAGGTTTATAGCGATTTGTTTTAATTAATAGTGAAATCATTCTTTTTCTAAAACTAACAATGTTAGGGGAATTAAAAACTTCAACTGGTTAGTAAATCAGAAGTTCATTCTCATTTTTTCTTTGTCTCTTTCAGTCTGTCTCTTTCTTTCGCTCTCTCTCACCACACAAAAACACATGCATACTAGAAAGGTTCTCAGAAGGAATTTCGCCATGCTGCATTTGAAACAAATTGACTAATCTATTCTGAATGATGAATGTGCATCATAAAGGAATATTCTCGTTCTCTTTACTAATCTATTATTATGATACTGGTTTATTCAAATAACATTTAACAAATTGTACTGTGTTCCTACTATGTGCAAAATACTGTTCTGTTTGCTTTGACTGTGTGAATGAATACATACACTATTGTATGAATTCAATGAATACTTGTATGAGTAAATCACACAAAGATCCCCACCCTTTTGCAGTTTATATTCTATTGGGGTGCAATAGATCATAAAAATATAGTGATAACTTATATAGAATATTTATCTCCTACCAACCTGTTTATTCTAAGATCTAGATCTCATGGACCAATCTCTTTCCATCTCATTTTCTCTTGAACTTATATGTCCCCACTCATATATACCTACACAAATTAATGTAAGAATGGAAAACTAATACATATTGATCCTGAAGCTATGTATGAGAACAATAACACTGCGTAATATGTGAGGGTTAAAGGCAAAAAAGAGAGATCTAAAGATGATTATTCAGCAATAACATGATATGATATCTGTCCTTTAAAATATCTTTAAAATCAAATTATAATATTTTCAGAGGAACTAGAGGACAACATTATCTTTTAATGTAATGGTTCCAAATTAACAACATTTAAACAAAATAACAGTATTTATGACTGTGCAAAGTCAAATCTACAGAACTTCATTCAAAAGGGATGAGTGAATTTTAGTAGTTAGGAAAGATTCAAAAGCATGTTTGTAATGAGAATTCTTCTTTCTCTTCCACATTGAAGGTATCACATTTATGTACCTCTGTAAAAACTGATTAAAAAAAAAAAACTAGGTTTTGAGGTCAAAGTTTCCTTAAAGTTTATGCATCAAAAAAATAAAAAGACTCATGATCTGATCATCTAGTAAGAAATGCTGAAACAACAATTTTCAAGTAAGCTTGTCTTTAATTAAAAATAGATTTGCGTATGCAGTCAGTCCAATTACAGATCAAACTTTGCTAAATTTTACCTAGATCCCAGGTTCTATTCTTTTATGCAAAAAAAGCTGTACAATTATGATTCCAGTTTCACTTTCTGTGCTTCTGTTTCATTACTTTCTTTGGGGTCTTTAGCTTACATCTCAGAATTATTACTTATCCTCATATGAAGAATGGAACCTAGCTTGACTTTCAAAAACCAGTTTGCGAACAATATTTTCATATTAGACAGAAGCTGAAATTATACTCCGAAGAAGTTATAGCACATAATGAATTAGTGCCAACTTATTCACAGGTCGTATGATTACAGGACAATAGTGCAGGGTACATCATTCAAGAAAAGCCTTCAAGATTGCTGCTACCCACCCCAGTTTTAGGAGATGGAGAAAGACTTTCTGATATTGTCAACTCAGTATTTTATTTCTCCAGATTCAAGAATGCATTCAGCACTCATTTAAGCCTTTATCTTTTTTGCCCTAGTTTTTCTTCTTTCTGCCTAAATGCAAAACTTTAGGAAAACAATGTTTTTAAACCACAAGTAAACCAACAAATGGTTACCATATCTAGCACACTCCAGCTGATTATGAAACTGTTAATGAGAGCTAAGCAGAAATCAGGTATTTAGAGCTGGGAAGAACCCAGGTGATTCTGCAACTTCCTCTATGTGTAAGGAAGAACTTTACTCCAGGAAGTTGATATTTATTGCCAGTTCATTTGAGGTAGAAGATCTAGAAACACTATTTGTTAACGATGAAGTATATAAGTTAACACTTTGCCAGTTGCTCATTAAACAGTTCTACATTTTGTAAAATAAATAATAGAAATGACTGCATCTACTAGTTTGTGCATTTTATTATTTTAATATCTGACATACTATTACATTGTGTTAATATTATGTTGGGACCAAGAAAATGAGAAATTGGGATACATTTAGAGATGTCATCTAAGATTTATAAGGCTGGACGTAACTTTGCAAGTAAAATATTTGTATTTACTTCATTCTTTATGTCTATAGCATACAGATGTATATACTCTATATACATATATTTATAGACTCTATAGAATTTAGTTTATAGAATATAATGGATAGAATAGAATTGCTAAAATAGGATTTCTTATTTCCCTCTTCTTACAGGACCTTTTATTTCCCAAGGTCAATCACTTTGGATTTCAATGTGATTGACAGATGAACTTCAGGGACTCCAGAAAATACCAAAACTGTGTGCAGTTTTTTGTTACTGTTTTTCTTGAATGTTCTAGAATGAGAAAAAAATGCTTAAGAAAATTTAAAAGCTACTGCATTTTTTTTTTAAAAAGAGCAACAACAGAAAAACAAAAAAACTAGGTAGAGAGGGATAACTTGCATGGATAATGAGAGAATTTTAAACAATTAAAAACCTCTTTCTTGGTTCTCAAAGAAAAGAAAAAAACAAACCTATTGCTAGATTCTCTCAGAAAACACCTTCCACAGGGGTTTGAAGAGACATATCATTCTCCTAAAGTACTAATTTGAAACAGAAGAGATGGTTTATAACTGATATACTGCACTTAGTTTTAATTGTACTTAGTGTTTTGTTTAGTCTTTGGCTATGAGATGTTTCCTAGACACATATAGATGACATCAGGGCTGAATCAATTCCTCACTGAACAGTAAGTCATGTGGGTAACTTTTCTAGGACCCTAGCACCCAGGCAAAAACAACTGCCAGAGGTAGAGGTTGTTTGCAAACAATTAGTTGTAAATTTAGATACTACTAGACAAGAAGAATTATACTAAATGTTCACAAATGCACCATGGCTTTGTGAATAGGGCATATGAACTAATAGTTAGGCCTCCTCAATTCTGTATCTGTCTATGCCAGTCATAGGGCTTGTGAGTATGTGTCACAGTTCATCACTACTTTAGTTTTTATTTTTATAAAATAGTGATAGCATCACTGATTGCTTGAATTCCAATTTTTGAGGAATTAGATGAAAAATATGAGTAATGCATGTTGATTTCTCTTGAGTGAACACAGCTAATGATAAACAGGAAAGGTGCTGTATTTTAAAATAAGCAACAATTAACAAATAATAGATTGCATTGATAAAATTATTTTAGTTATTATTTTGGCCTAATTTCCTTTATGCAAAGAAATAAAAGATAATCTTTAGCTGACTAAAATACAAAATAGGCAGATCCTGAAATTATTGAAGGCAGCTAAAAATAGTCATTTTTTCCCCTCTGTTGGTTCCTTCTTTCTCTCTTGGTCTCTCTCTCTCTCCATATATATGTATTATTTATAAACATATATATATGTGGAATTTATATAACATATATTCTTTTTTTAACTTTATATATTTTATTTATTTCTTTATTTATTTTGAGATGGAGTTTCGCTCTTATTGCCCAGGCTGGAGTGCAGTGGTGCCATCTCGGCTCACTGCAACCTCTTCCTCCCGGGTTCAAGCAATTCTCCTGCCTCAGCCTCCCGAGTAGCTGGGATTACAGATTCCCGCCACCACGCCTGGCTATTTCTTTTGTATTTTTAGTAGATACGGGGTTTCACCATGTTGGCCAGGCTCATCTTGAATTCCTGACCTCAGGTGATTTGCCTGCCTTGGCCTCCCAAAGTGCTGGGATTACAGGCATGAGCCACTGTGCCCAGCTGAACTTTATATTTTAAATGTTATAAAGAGTTATTTCAATGCTGCCTGAAAATTTCTCCTGATTTTATGTCATTGTAAGCCAGGAATCAGAAGCTATTAAAATTCAAAAGCTTCCTAAGGGACATTTTTAATAAATGTAAATAAGTAGAGAAAAAGAGTAATACTAAATGTATATATATATTCACATATATACATACAGACAATCACAGTTAAATTCCAAAGAGATTGTTGTAAAATGTACAGATATTCTAAAGTTCATCTACAATAACAAGTAGGTTATAACAGCAAAGGATTTTAACATAAAGAACGCATTAAGGGAAGTTGCACTTTCAAGTATTTAAAGGTATTACGAGTGATGATTAACATGCAGACAAACATGCAGAAGAGAATAAATGACCTCAGATGCAAACTCTAAAATATGCAAAAATAAAGCACAGTATGAAATAATCACAAATATGTGGGGAAGTACAAAATGATTAATATATGGTTCTGGGAAAACTGAATAATTATTTGTGAAAAATGTAAACTCCCTACCTCACACTGCATTCTAAAATATCAGATGAAGGGAGGGTAAACATAAACTCTAAGACAAGCTAAGAGCAAATAAAGACTCTATAAACAGAAACATAATGGGGAAAAGATTTTACCTTATAAAAGTTAACAACTTTAAGTTAAAAATACCACAATTACAAGTAAATGGAAAATAGAGGAAGTACATTCAACATCAGTGTCTTCTTCTATTAGAAGACTTCTCTCAATATAGAAATTCCTAGTTTATGTTCATCTCCTTTAGTGGACTGAAAGCTTCTTGAAGAAAGAGGCTCATATTCATCATTTTATTCTGAGCGCATTGAATATAAGTTGGGCACAGTAAGCATTATCATTGGCTACTAAAAATTATAAGTATCCTATCTAAAGGTTGATCAAGGCAATGAAAAACAAGATGGACTACAGATACTCCTAAACTTCTGGTAAGATTCTTCATTGATGTTTACAGAATTCTTCAGTTGCATGCTATAGAAATCAGTCATGACTAAATTAAGGAATAAGATCCACAACAAAGGAAGGTATTTTGAAGCTTATAGAATCAAAAGAAAATGAGAGAAAACAGAATGGCTGCAGAGAATATGAGAGGAAATGATGAAGTCCTTTCTGGGTACCATCACTGATGGGCTAAATCAGCATCAGTACTTTTTCTGATCATGTTTCTGTGTGCTTCAGGCTCAAATTCCTAGAATAGAAAGTGTGACTTTACTAGCTTTGGTTTCATGACCATGCCTTAGTCAGTGGATCATTGGGCACTTTGATTACCAGTCCTACCAAGACCACATTCTTTATGTTTGTTTGTTTGTTTATTTATTTATTGAGATGGAGTCTTGTTCTGTCATCCAGGCTGGAGTGCAATGGCACACTCTCAGCTCACTGCAACCTCTGCCTCCCAGGTTCAAGCGATTCTCCTGCCTCAGCCTCCCTAGTAGCTGGGATTATAGGCATCCGCCACCACACCTGGCTAATTTTTTATTTTTTAGTAGAGATGGTTTCACCATGTTGGCCAGGCCAGTGACAAACTCCTGACCTCAAGTGACCTACCCACCTGGGCCCCCCAAAGTGTTGGGATTACAGGTGTGAGCCACTGTGCCCAGCCAAGACCATAGTCTCCTGCCCAGTCCAAGATCAAGGGACTGTAAATAGCAGAAGGGAAAAATGTCTCCTCAATAGGTAAAAACAACAGACATCCACAGGGTGTATCAAGATACTTAAAAATACTCTTTGTTTCAGTAATATCTCTTGTAGGAATTAATTCCATGGAATTAATCAGAGACATTTGTAGTAGTGTGATGGTAGAAATAAACTATTTGGCCAACAAAAGGGGAATAATTAAATTGTGGCATACACTATTAAATCATTGATTTTCAAATGTTGATAACATTGGAAAATGGTGATGAAATAATAGTGAAAAAAGCAGAATACAAAATTTAGTATGAAGAAGGACTCTTGATTTACATTTATAAAAATGGTTAAATGAAATATTAACATTTGTTATTTTTGCATAGTAGGATGATAGGGATTTCATTTTTAAGTATATGAAAATGTTTTTGCTGGGAACAGGCACTACTTTAATGATCATTAAAAAAATCTATACTAAAAAAAACTGTAAAAATGGGTGAAATGATAATGGCTTTGGGCTCCAGACAGCTGTACTAGAAACAAAACATTGGAGTGATATGCTTAATTTTGGAAGGAAAGGACTAAATTGTACAAATTTCTGTTTTCTACATTGTTACTATATATTCAGTGATATCTGGTTAATTTCATAGTTGGTAACTTTTCAGGGGTAATTTTAGACTTTGCTTTTCACATCTTTATCTTAATGTAATTGAACTTAAGATGTATTTGCATTTTGTAATTAAAATAAATTTTTTTATTGTCATATCAGGTTAAAAAAACAATAAAAATAATTGCATGTGTTTGTATATACGTGTATCTTATCAGTTGTCCTAATTTGTATTAACTCAAGCTTAAATTGAGACAATATGAGCTATTCTAGTCTAGCCCAGTTATTTATTAAATACAATTAAAGATTCTGTTAAATATGATTATAATAAAGCTAAAAATCATGCTTCCTTACATAAATCCAAAAACAAATATCATGGAAAGTTTTGATGTTTTTTCTCTTGGCTCATATCTGTAGCTCACAAATTATAACTGAAAGAAGAACAAAGGGTTTGGGCAGAGAAATAAATGGAATTTTTCTAAAAGCATAAATACGTTATCTTGTAATATATTTTTGAGCAGCACTTTGGTATATTGACTGAACTCTGCACAGAATGATTTTGATGATCTCATGAACTATATTTGAGCAAATAATAAAAATATTGGAAAAGAATAAAAGAGGAAAAAGAAAATTGGTTGATCATTGGTTGCCTTGTAGCCATTGCCCTCTTCTGGTTCATGAGAATGTACAATCTGACAGCTGGTTTCTTTTCAGAACATAAGGTAGGGCCAACTTTGTAGTTATTTTTTCCTTTTGTGAAATTTATGTGTTTAATTTTATAATAGATAATATATTATACAACTGGTTCCAAAAACACACAGTAAAAATTCTCCCTCTCGTATCCTTCCCCATATACTTAGTTTTCATTCCTCAAATAGGTAACCACTCCTACCAGTTTCGTGGTGTTTGTAATTGTTAACTTTATGTGTCAACTTGACTGGTCTAAGTTGCCTAGGTAGCTGGTAAAACATTATTTATGGGTATGTCTGGGAGAATACCTCTGGAAGAGATTAGCATTTAAATCATTAGACCAATTAAAGAAGACTGTCCTCATCAGTATGAATGGGAATCATCCTGAAGGAAGCAGAAAGGTAGAGGAAGGGCAAATAGCTCTTTCTGCTTGAGTTGAGACATCTGTTTTCTCCTGCTCTTGGAAACACACACATACACACACACACACACACACACACACACACACACACACAGAGAGAGACCTTGTTGCTGCCATTTTACTGGAGAACCCTAATACAAATTTTGGTACCAGGAGTGGGATGAAGCCTCAGGATATTGAGCACTATCTTGCATAGTCATGACTTCAGGGGAAGTCATTTTTGTTTCCATGAGCAATTCAGAGTTTATCCCCTCAGACTGAGCTGGAAAGGCCAATGCCACTGTGGGTTGGGAGGTTGTTACCAATAGGAGTGAGAGGCTGCTTCTACTGGAGATGGAAAGGATGCTTTCACTGGGTTGGGGAGACCTCTTTCCCTGACAAAGAAGACTCATCAGAATTTATAAGCTTACTGTCCCCAGCTTCATCAAGGTCTTCCATACCTTCCCATCCCAATTTACAGTATTCCATTCTTCCCCAATTAATACCCTTACTTTACTAGTAGATACTCTGAAAGGCTGGAAGTTGAACTTGTAATTCAGCTAATCCCAGGATGAAGTTCTGTGTTTGATTTTCAGCAATTTCAGCCCTGCAGATACAGGAGATAAAGCTCTCCTTCATGGGAGAAGAAGAAGCTCTTAAGTCGTTTATGCAGCACTTGAGCTGGGAATTCAAATCCCAGAGCTCACCACTTTGTCTAGCAACATGATTATATCCCTTAGTTTTCAAAAATATTTGAAAGTATCATGTACAGAGTCCCTTAGCTCTTTGTTTCTTGTAAGTGGTTGATTGGAAGTATCCAGTGCAGTATTTTATGTATTGTTATACTCAGTGTTCTCTTTACCAGTGGAAATAAGGCATTAAATTAGCACCAATAAATCTAATCAGATTAGAGAGCTAAATCCAGAGATCCCAGAACCAATTCAGAAAACTTATCCTTAAAATTCTGTTCCTCTAGAACCACTCTTGGCAACAAAATCTGTTATTCAGGGCTCTCTAGAGAAACAGAACCAATAAAGTATGTGTATGTGAGCATACAGAGAAAAAGAGAGACAGAGAGAGGAGAGAGAGAGAGACAGAGACAGAGAGACAGAAAGAGGGAGAGACTATAAGAATTGGCTCAGGAGAGACAGAGAAAGAGAGAGAGATTCTAAGAATTGGCTTATGTGGTTAGGGGACCAAGAATTCTCATAATCTGCCATCAACAGGCTGGAAAATTAGGAAAGCTGGTAGTATTCAGTCTGAGTCTGAAGGCCTGAGAATGTGGGGAATCAATAGTGTAAATTTATGTTGAGTTTGAAAGCTCAAGATCTAAGAACATCAGTGTCCAAGGACGGGAGAAGATAGCTGTCCCACCTCAAGCTGAGAGCAAATTCACCCTTCCTCTGACATTTTGTTCTATTCTCACCCTCAAAGGATTGCATAATGCCCATCTAGGTTAGTGAAGATGATCTTTGTTACTCAGTCTACAGATTCAGATGCTCATCTCATCCATCTGCACAGGCACACCTAGAAATGTTTTACCAGCCACCTAGGTATCCTTTAGCTCAGTCAAGTTGGCACATAAAATTAACCATCACAGTATCTTTCCAGATACTGTGCCTATGCACATACAGACACGAAATATTTTCTCACCAATTTTTAGACAGTTGTTAATATATATATATATTTTGCTTCCTGATTTTTAAACACAGCAATCTTGGAGGACTGTCAAAGTTTACAAGAGCTTCCTCATTCATTTTCTCAACTCCATCATATTACCTTTGTTGAAAGTGCCATAATTTATTTATTATGAGACAGTTCCTACCTGATGAACAATTAATATTTTTTCTGATATTTTGGTTAACACAACCAATGCTGTAAAGCTCTTGTGCATATTATTTCACACGTGTACAAGAAACTAAAGGACCTAGAAGTGGAGTTGCTAATTTAAAATGTATGTGTGCTTGTTCACTGTGAAAATGTATGTGTATTTATTTTCACATTTGATTATCTTGCCTTCCTTGTCTTCAGTTGCACGGTTAATAATGCTGAATAAGGCTGGACCAAATACCTGGTTTCATGGCATTTGTCTAGAGGCCCCTACCCAGGTTTGCACTTATCTATTAGCGTGCTTTGTGTGTATACACATTTATTGTGAACTAATCTCATTTGATGATCTTTCAGCATCTGTTTAACTATCTTGACCACAAAGATAGCCATGAGAATAAAGAATTTCTGTTAAATTGTTCCTTAATTTCAGATTTTCTCCTTTGCCATCCTGCGGTCTACTAGACTAAATTATATGAAGAATATGAGGACTAGTTATTCACCTACTAAATAACAGTGTTAAAAATAATCATGTTCTGTGTTGGCAAGTATGCTGTGAATCTGGTGCTTTCAGATACTCTTTGGTGCAATTGAAATCGGTATAGCCCTTTTGGAAAACAATTTGGCAGTATGTGGGGAAAATAATTATAAAAAAAATTCTTACTGTCTAATGCATTAATACTACTTCTAGGAATCTATTCTAAGGAAATAGTACAAAATATGGAAAAGGTCATATGTTTGAAGATGTTGATGAATGTATTATGTATAATAAAAAATCAGAAATAACTCAAATGGCCAACAATAGACTTATGCACATACATTTGAGAATAATATGCAACCATTAAGAGTAAATATGTGATTGTAATAAAATATAAAATGATTATAATAAAATATAAAAATGCACATGCTTTAATGTTTCTTGGGGATAATATGGTACAAAATTACGTACAAGTCCTACTTTAAATAGGCAAAATATACACATATGAACACTGAAATTATAAATATGTTGTAAAATGGTGAAAATAGAGATGATTTCCTCTTTATTTTTATGTCCAGTTTTCTAGAATATTTTATAACTTTAAAAAATTTTTAAATGAAAAAACAACTATTTTCCCTTTTGACTTTAATATTTTGCACTGAATATTAGTCATGGTTTTTGATAGTTTTAACTTATTTCTCACTATTCAGTAGTGTGAGATTTTTCATCTCCTTATATAGGTGAGTTTATCACAGAGTTTGCATGCAATACAGTGCATGTTGTCTTCAAAACTGTTCTTTCATTGTCTTCTATGTAACAAAGTGCATCTTAATCACGGAACTTCCTTTCAGTCTCATTTCTCATGATATTCTTTTTCTTTTAGAAGAACAAATTCAGACATTTTGAACATTCTCAGCTAGCTTCCTGACTTCTCAAATTAATCTAACACTCTTTGCCCTGCTCAGTAAGCACTTATGCTGGTCTTTCTCTTTCTTAAACCCACTAAGCCTCATGGTTACTATTTAAACATTTTAAAGAGATACTGTGTCTCTTATAATTGGTATTCTCTTTTAGAATAATTACTTAGAAAAAAGGCAATTATGATCATATTTTGTAAAAGTTTACCCAATTGGACCATCTCCTAATCTTTTTAAAATTCTGCATATTTCATTGAAATAAATTTAGGGAAAATTAATAAGATAGCAAAAATATTATATTTACCCCACAGATTTGATATATCCTAAAAAAGATTACCCATGGTAGTGGTATATGTTCAAAAAAAGAGCAAATAACTAAAATATAGTGGAAAAGTTCCCTTTATACACGAGTTAATTTGAAGTGAAATAGGAAGAAACAGTGTGAAGTATATATGTTTCTTCACTGTCTCTTTGGGGAATGAATGTGGTAACATTATCTCTCTTTATTGAAATGCATTTTATATCATAGCCTATCTTATTCTCTTTGCTCAGTTGATTATCACATTATCTTCAAAGTATTAAACTCATAGTTAATTTCAGAGAGACTACAACAAGAATATGAGTGTCATCTTATGTCTGAAGCATAACATTTTGTAGTTCTATGTACTTATTTTTCCTGTCAAGTGAAATGATTTTGGATTTCTCAGTAATAAAGATGTTATTTTCTAAGAGTGCACTAATAAGTAGATGGAATCATTTTGAAGTCATGGTGGACAGTGAATGGTGAGGTGGTTATCAAAAGGACTTGCGTCTGCCCCAGCCCCTGTTCATGGTTTGCCAGGACTGTCATCAGAAAATATTAATAGATGGAATGTTAAGGAACCCATTCTGTTTTGCTTATATAGTGCTGAGCCTCTTTCTTTTTCCTCTGCTGTACTGTTTAGGGATGTCTCTTCCAAGATCTTCCCTTCCCTTTTCCTGTTCAAATTCAGAGATTTCACTCTCTACTCCTCTAAATTCCCCACTCGTACCAGTTGATAGTTAAAATAGTTGTGAGTCTTGTTACTAAAAAGACCTTCAAAAGCTTTCCAAGATAGAAAAACATATTCATTTAAAATTGATTTTATTGTTCAATGTTGAGTCCATGATTAGGAGTAAATATGATATAACAAAACTTGAAAATAAAGTTAAAATATTAATTTAGTAAATGGGAAAATAGTTGCTATCCCATCAAGCATTTTGTGGAGAGTAATATTAGTAACACAAAATAATTGTTGGAATGTTACTGTGTGTTAGAAATAGAATTGTTAATCTTTTTATAGGCATTATATTATTGAATACTTAATAAAACCTTAGGCAGTAGATGTTACTATAATAATATCTCTATTTTATAACTGTTGGGACTGAGAAAGACATATAGGTTATATAATATTTACAAGCTCAAAACTGAGTTTTTGATAGAGCCAAGAATTTAATACCAGAACCTCAAACAAAACATGTACTCCTTTTGTTTATTAGTTTTTGAAGTAGAATGGTATCTATTACTAGAAAGGAGATGTCAACTGAGCAGGCCTAGGGTAGTCTAATAAGGGAAAAAACTGCCCTATCTTTCTTAGACATCGACTGTAATTTCTGCCTGTATTATTCATATCTTCTGTCATATACTTTACTATGCTATTTTATTATTTTCCATTTCAATATAAAATTGAGAAATGAAGTAACTGATACTTTAACATTCCATGTGAAAATCCCTCCAATAAGATTCCTTCTATGTAGTCAGTTGAAAAATGAAATGAAGAGATTTGGCTACTACTATCTAATGTTTTTTTTGAAGGGTATAGGTGAAGAGTAAGGAGTTGAGCACATTTCTTCTAAGATTTTTTTTAAAAGGCTCATTTCCTGTTAGCTTTTTCCCCTTTTCTTTAGTTGGCAATGGGAAATGACATCCTGTACTTAATCTTCTCTTTAAATCAGATCGGATATGAGAACTATACAGTGCCATCAGTGGCCTGGCAAGTGACTTGATGGCTGATCCTTTTCATCTGTACGAAATCCTGAAAATAACCAAAAATATCTAAAACAATGATGTCAGTATTCAGATTCTCAGTGATAAACTCCTTTTGGACTGTGGCATTATGCTTGGACCCTTGTTTCCTAGATGTTTTTAGTCATATTCATTGTCATAGTGATATCGGCAACTTTACCAGTTGCAAATGTAACATATTCAGTAATACCTGGCTTAATATCCAAGGTGCCATGAGTCTCAAACGAGTTCTTTTCTGTTTGTTAAAAAATTAACCCTATTAATGTTTTATGTCAAGAAATTGACTTGTCATAGCTCATAATTGAAGGAAATCACAGCAGAGACTGTTAAAAGTAACTTGGTCTATATTTGGTGCTAGATGCTCTAGAGCAGAAAGGTTAGATTTGGCATTAATCATTATTCCTCAATTTTTCTTTCCTCACATTTGTTTTGCTTTCTTTTCAGTTACTTTTTATACATTCAGGGCTAGTTCTAAGCTAAATTAATGTACTGTAAAGTTTCAAATAAATAGCAAGAGTTGAGAATTTCTGAGAATGAAGAAATAGATAATATACAAAAGATAGAAACTTAGAGTTTATGGACCTTAAAATTACATACCTACTTCTTTGGTATTATTCTATGTTTATGAACCACTTTTTGTGTATGTGGCAGAATCAGTATATATTGCACACAAAATTTCATGTCCTAGTGGGACTCCATAGCTACACTGATCTACCTCTTAAAAATTATTTAGGCTGTTTACTAATCTCAGTCATCTAATGATTTAAAACATATAGCATCTGTATTCTCTTTTGCTTTTGAAATCACATTTATAACTCTAAGAACCCAATTCATTAACAATGAAGGGTAAAATAATCTGCAAAAAAGTTAAGTTGATAGTTTTGACAGATTTCATTAGGCAAATACATATTTGACAAAGTTAATAATATGGTACTTTCATTTTGACTTTTAAAATAGGTATTCAACAATGTGGAAAAATATTTAGATAATTCTTATTTATAAATTTTATTCAAATGTTGGTTTTCAGTAAATGGTATTGTCCAAAACAGGCAAAAACCACAAGTCTACTAAACTGAATATTTGGATACTGCATGCATGCAGTACATACTAGTTTTAACAGCAATGTCATGTACATACCACAAAAGAAATAAGGAAGAATATATAAAAGATTTTCTGAGTAGAGATAACAAGCAAACTGTTTTCATTTATCAAGTTACAATTAATTTTTTACACAGGATGCATTATTTTCACTGATTAACTTATATTTGTATTGGTGAGCCAGTATCTCAAAAGCAATAGACAAGAATATATAAAAGATTTTCTGAGTAGAGATCACAAGCAAACTGTTTCCATTTAGCAAGTTACAATTAATGATTTTTTTTTCAACAGGGCACATTATTTTCACTAATTAACTTATATTTGTACTGGTGAGCCAGTATCTCCCTTGACAGTGTTTGTTTATTTACGTTTGAGAGAGAGGGAGAACATAAACAGTGTTACATCTCAGGTAGTATGATTGCTATGAATAAAAACAAGACAGAGAAAGGGCAAAAACACTGATGGAAGGATAGGAAGTGTATTTTTGAAGGGGTAGTTAAGAAAGATTATTTGCAAGGTGTGCTATTTGATCAGAGACCTGGGTTAAATGAGGGCCAACCCATGATAATAATTTAAAGAAAAATCTTCCAGGCAGGGTTTTTGGGGAAGGAATCAAACCGGTATCCTAGAGGCACCTCAGGCAATCTGGCTCCTGGAATGGCCTAAGTGGGAGTAGTGGTTGGAGATAAGAATTCCCTAAGTGTGGTTGGGGAGGTAGCCAGGGCCTGCTAGTGAGCCCTTTGTAGAATGTAGAAAGGATTTTAGTGTTCTATTTAAGGGTTTTGAATGGGAAGGTGGGGTAATGTGTTCTCTGGCTGACATAAGTAGAATTGATAACAAGAAAAAAAAGAAGCCTGCTGGAAGATGAGTTAAAGGCCATTTCAGAGACCTTGAGGCTTAGACTAGACACTCTTCAGTTGTGTTCAAGCACTTCTGGAAGTTATTTATTTTTTTTGCTAATGTCTCACATTTGATTCAACATTTTATATAAGGACAGTGGCAGAAACTAAGGTGCTGTGGACTGATTTGGGAGCAGTTTTGTCCATTTATCATGGTTGTGCATTTTAGTTTTCCTAAGGCAACTTATCAATAATTAGGACATTAAAATATTTAACTACATAAAAGTTAAATATGCTAAATAACATTTTCATTTTCTCTTTAGATTTAAGTCCTACTATAGCATTTATCATTTTATTTGCCTTTTCTTCATTTGGTTATTGCTTGCTGACATGCAAGTATTGAGAGGAGATATATGCTATAGTTATACACAGAATGTTATTGTGTACATAGATTTTAAAAGTTTTGTGTCAGTTCAGAATTTGAGTTACAAAGGATAGATATCCAGTTAAAAATAGCTTGCAAAGCTGCGTAATACAAGGGGCAAATTCAGGCATATCTGGATAAAGAGTTTGAACTAGGGAAAATGAGATCATTCCATAATTATCTATGGGTAAAATGGTAAAACAAAGAGGGAAATGTAAATATTTGAATCAAGGAAAGATTATATGAGTGTTCTATGTTCTGTTTTTATTCTTGCATCTCTTTTGTAATTTTTAAAATTTTTTCGAAGTGAAAAGTTAAAAAAATGTAGATGCACCAGGACTTAAAATATTTAAATAATCATATGTAAACTATAATATAGCTCTATAAAAATAAATATATACTTGTTATTTTTATTGAGATCAAAACTCAAACTTGAAAATGTCTGTAAAGGTGACATAACATACTTGAAAAAGAATCATATTAAGATTATGAATTGGAAATGCTGTAATTGAAACTAAGTATTCACTGAATGAGTTTAATGGTAGATTAGATCCAATAGAGAGATCAGCGAGCTGTAACTTGAGGCAGACAAAACACTAAATATTATAGCAGGAAGATATAGCAGGAAAATAAAAGGAGTGTAAGAGAAGAAATAGTGGGAGGACCTTGTATATGCATTTAATTGTAGTTCCAGAAAAACAGGAAAGAGGCAGAAGCAGTATCTGATGGGATAATGCCTGAAAATTTTCCAGAACTGTTTTTAAAAAGTCAGTTCAAAAAGAAAAGAAAAATAAAGTAAACCACACTTAGGTACATCATAATAAAATTCCAAAAACAAAAATAAAAGAGAAAAAGAAAAATTTATGTTGACGGATTTGGAAATGTTCTTAAAGCAAAAAAAGTAATAAAGCCAGTTTCAAACAAAACTAAACAAGAATCCTGAGTTTATTAATAGCAAACCTATATTAAAAGAGTTACTTTATGTAGTAGGAAAATTATCCCAGAGACGTAGGAAGCAGTAAAGAGCAAAGAAGGTGGTAAATGTATGGAGAAATCTAAATGAAATTTGGTTTCATAAAATAATACTGAAATTGAATAAATTGAATGGAGAGAATAAAAAACAAAAATAATATGAATCAAGGGGAAATTAAGTGAAGTTAAATTGGTTCTTTGGCCCTTAAATTATTTGAACAAGGACGTAAGACTTTGATAAGTTAAGGATGCATGCTGCAATTTTTAGAGTAAATCTAAGGGAGCACAAAAGTGTATAAAAATAGACAAGAAGTAAAATGCTCAGTACAAAGAACACTCAGTCTAAAAGAGAACAAAAAAACCGAGAGAAACTGTAACATAGAACAACAGGCACCAATAGAAAATGTAAGATGGTGAAGTCACATCATAATATTTTGATAATGACATAAAATACAGATTGATTACATGGTCTTGTTTAAGGATATAGACTGTCAGATTGCATTTTAAAAATTAAACTGTATCCTGTTTTCAAAGGAATATCTAAAACATTAGGTTATGGACAGTTTGAAAGGAAGAAGGTGGGAAAAACTATCACTCTTCACTTTGATTCTGTTTGAGCAGTGACAGTTCTTTTCAAGATAGCACAACAGTTTAGGCATGGCTAGTTGTACCACCATAAATCAGGAAGAAATGTCATGGTACTGTTACAATTTTTTAAATTATTCTGATAAAACATAAGATTCAATTCACAAAATATACATAAGTAGGATAATTAAAAATACTACAAAGAAGGGGTATAAAACATACCATTACATTACGACTACAGTTCTATTTTAGTAGTTTTATTCTATTTATCTGGAATTTATTTTTCCCTCTCACTCCCTTAAAATATACTTAACTTCATTAAGCAGTTTTCCAATGTAATAATCTGATAGAGTAATTTGCCAGATGCTACAACAACTTGGATTAAACAAGTCATGATTTTCTGCTTATTCATGGAAAAGCCAGAGTACCACCACTTTTGCCATCTTCTGTGGAGATCTTACTAACTCTCCCCTTGGAGTAACTTGTACATTTTTGCCTGGCTGTTCCCTACTTTTTATAGAAGAAGGCAGAGGGCATATTTTGAGATCCACATCCCAATCCCTAAGCTATCATTGAGTAAATAACTAAGTGTTGATTCCAGTAGCCTTACCTACAAATTTGACAGAGTATTCTTGACTATGACCAATGTGTTAAACGAGTAATAGAATAGTTTTAATTTAAACATAAAGAGATACCTGTATATAGAAAAACTAAGGATATTTTCAGTATCTTAAGTCCAGGCTGGACCTCCCAGTCCAAGGGGATTCTACAGACCCTAGTTCTTTGAAGACCCTAGTCTAAGAGGTCAGATAAAGTGTCCCTCCAATACAGATCATCCCATTCGTTTCTTGAACTGGTTAAAGCAGAAAGAAAAACCAGTTCTCAGCCCAGTGTTTGGAAGCTGTCATATGGCCTCTCTTGGTTTGAGACTGTCTATCAGTGCAAGGTGGTCTCTGGTCCTATTTCTGTTAATGAGTTAGGTTCTCCATCACTGTGATCCTGACAGATGCACAACAAGCTAGTTTTCCAACAGAAAATATCCTTCCTTTAGAGACTTCTCAAAGTCCAGGTCACTGGGAGTCACTTAGGTTTTCTTTTACCATTATTTCCCCTTGGCCAAAGAAAAGTAAAACTTGTCTCTTGATTGCATTTATTTAAATCCTGTATTATGTTAAGAGTATGTCTTCCCACTCTGCACCCAGTAATAGTAACGCAGGTTTGTCAGTAGGCTAACATCCTCAGCAAGATCATATCGTGTTATGAGCATCACTGGATGGGAGATTGGAGGGTCTTAATACTTTACACACAAAAGACTTTGTCACCAATATTAATGTGATGTGCTTTTGAACCGAGCTTAGCAGTGAACATTTTCAAATGCTCCCTACTCATGTATATATAAATGCTGCTTGGCACAGGTTTCCAGACTTAAAATGTTGAAGAATAAAATAAAAAAAAAAGTTTGGGAAAATTCACTTAGCTGCTGGGGAATGGAAGAGTCTCCCATAAGGGGAAAGAAGATTGCTCAAAGGATGTTTTGCCCTTTAATAATTTAACGTGGCTTCCTATCAGCACTAGACTGAGTCTGTCACAGTGACTAGCATATACAATGTTACTTTTACTTGTATAACATTATAAGCTAATTGGTGTGTTCCAGTGTTTTCTTTAACAAGTGTTTCTCTGCTCATATATGTTTGCCAGCTCCTCTGATAAAGACCTAATTTGTTCCAGGAGTTGATGTACCATTCATGGTTTTACCAAATTAATTGTTGGTTTGGAATCATACCACGGATTTACTTTGTTGTTTTCAAAGGCGAAAATATTCAAAACTGTGAATCGTCATTTATTTACCATTTTAAATTAGTCATTTTATTAAGAATTAATATTTTGTCTTAGCTTGCATGCAAATAAGACACATTTTATGTGGACACATTTTTTTTCTGAGTGTGATAAGGCTGTTAACTTGGATGCAGACATGTTTTGGTACATTTATATTGACTAAAATAATGACTCTATTTTGTATTTTAAAGCCCTTTGAGATTCTGAACTTCCTTCTTCTCACAAATAAAGGTCATAGAAAAGATACTTTACATAAGTTATATGGATATATAACCTCATAGCCTAATAAAACTCTCTTAAATCTACACAAATGGGTTGTTACATATTGACTATCCATTTCTAATTAGAGAGCTGTTTCATGGCTCAGCTCAATGTGTCCATTAGATTACCAAACATCTCCAGAGCAGGAATGTTTAATAAATTATCTCTTAAGCATTATTAAAATAAGTCATACATATTTAGTAAGAACTCTTTTATAATAGTGTGATATATATTCACTGATTCTTACAACCTAATTGAAATATTAGTTAACTCTTTAAAAAAAGAAGAGCTTGTTTGACATAATAAAATGTAAGCCAGAGAATAATAAACTGTTTTTTTGCTCCACGTCAACCCATATTTAAAATCCCTGTTTAATATTGTGGTAAGTGTAACTCCACCTCTTATGAAGAAGGTCCTGGAAGAGTTGTTAATCTATACCCAAAATAAAGTGAGAATTATTTTCATATAGACTTAGTTTTTTCTGTTTGTATGTCAACAGAAAACACTAATTTTTTTTTTAGCTTGGGTTGGACATTTTCAGAGTGTATTAACCTATGGCCTGTGACATATTAGGTATTTTTTTGACAAAGGTAGGATAAGCAGTAGTGGTTGTCACCAACTTTATTATCCTCCACTTGATAATTCCTGCTTTTCAGGGCTGGCAGGGAAATCTTCCCTGCTCATCACAGTTCTGTCTGGAAAATGGAAGTAGCATCTTAACCTAGCTCAGAAAAGTTGAAGATCAAATGAGGTATTTGTACCTTGAATATAATTATTATGAAATTCAAAATGTATTTTCTCCCTCCTCTTATCCCTCCTATACCAAGTACAGTGCCATTTAACTCAGTAAGTCGAGCAGAATTTACTCCATCTCACAGACCTGACTTCACAGTCTTCATGTTTACTTCCAAGGCAACAAGTTTATGCTGGGAGAGCTTTTGAAAATGTAATGATAGATTTATTTTCACACAGGTAGAAAAAATGTTCCACTTGGCTTGATATAATAGGATATGTTTTGAAGCATTTCTACCCATTATATTATATTTCAAAGTATATTTTGTATATTTGACCTATTAATAAAATGCAGATGTTTTTCAACACTCAGTCTTTTACATATTTACATAATTTTTCAGAGTGTAAGGAGAAATGTACTGACCAGAATTTTCTTTCACATTTAACCAAGGCTTGGAAATAAAAATAAAAAATCCTGTTGAATTTCTAGCAGTTATATTTTTTTTTACCACTACTGTGAGAACTGATAGAGATAGAGGGGAAAATGGGAGAACTAGGGTATTTGGTGCAAAAGGTGCCATGCTAACCTCATTAGAATGTTTTCTTTTTCCTTGGGAGGAGATGGTAAGGAATGCTTTTTGCACGCCTAAGATATGAAAATGGCATGTAGAAAAAGAATAATGAAAACTACATTGGGGTGTGCATTCAACTCACAAAAACCTTTACTATAGGATTTTTGCATAGCACAATGTTGCTTGGCCTGTAGTAGGCAATTGAAAATGAATTTTTGTGTAAATATCAGTCTTGCTAATTTTACTTAAGTATGACTTAAAATATTTTGCCATCACACCTGCTATCTAAAGAAGAGTGGTATCTACCCCTTCTAAAAATTTTCCACACATAACCCACTCAGCATCAGCCATGCTGTCACATGTCATTGCTGCAAGTCTTGTCACTCTCCAACTGAGGGCTTTCCCTCAGCCCCCATGCAGGGCAGGTTGGACACGTCCAGAGGTTAGGTCTTGGCTAATAACATATTGAAATTGGAAGTAAATATCCAGCTCCCTTGTCCCCAAGATGAGATAAGTCTGAGGCATGTTTTATGTTGTCTGCCAGCATTCCCTAGCTAGGCAGTTGCCCAAAGTAACAAACTACTCAGCAACACACACTTGATTGGCTTCCACTCTTCTTTATCTTTCTTCTGCATTTCTTATGGGTGCTTCCTGAGATCAGCTCCCAAATAAACTACTTGCACTCGAGTCCTTGTCACAGGGTCTGATTTTGAGAGAGTTCAATCTAAGATACACACCTTCCACAAAATTTTGAAGGCACTAACAAAGGGAATATCATAGCACAGATACTGAAAGGATAAACTGGTTTTGTTTTGTTTGTGTGTGTGTTTAACAATTTCGAGTTTCTGTCAATCTTTTGAGACTTGGCAATGTAATGATTCCATTTTCCTAAGCCGTTAAGGATTGAGCGGGGTGGATATCCTAGGTTGAGAGGTGTAAACAATAAAGAGAACAGCTCTAATTATTTCACAGTGAAGCACTATAGGCATTTAGATGGCTACATAAATAATGTGTTTATGTCGGAGGACAGACTGGAACATGTGGGCTATTTCAGCATTGATTGAAACATAAATGAACATTGCAGACAATGTTACAGGATCCAGATAATCAGCTCAGCCACTGGCATGGCATTTGAGTAGACAAAGGAGTGGACAAATCAGGCTTTGAAGGGAATCATGTGCAAATGGGGCTCAGCGAGCCTCTTGTGGGCTCCAAGTATGGAGAAGGAAAAGCCAGGCTCTTCAGCTCTGCCAACACAGCCCAGTCACATTGTTCCTGGAGGTAATTTCCGAAAACACTTAAAAACATGTGAGCTTCCTGAGCACCCATACCAAGGCGGTCTGGTGAGCTTCTTACAGCCATCATAAAGAAGCCTAGTCACTTATCTGATTTCCAAAAGACACTTCTATATTCTCCTTGAGTAAGGTGTTTACAGTTTTGTGTGGGTATATATTCCATATTTACATCCAGCATATATTCTTCCTTACAAAATCAAAAGTCAGATAATTAAGAATAACTTTCATCACAGTAGTTGTAAGTAAAGGAATCATTGCATCATATGATTTTTATACAAAAGGTCGCTGCTTCTTGTGCATGAAGGGAATGATAGTTTCTTTCCTGACACATTGCAGAATTTAATCTTGAGACTATTTCATGTAAATGTGGGAAAACTTATTTTCAGAATTTCTGGAAGGTGAGTTTTCACATTGCAAATAGATAAATTCCAACATGAGGGCCTAAATTTCATCATTAGAAGCTAAATATAACCTGATACAAGTTCTGTGAGTATACCCAAGATCATTTGCTTAGTTATACCCAATACCAAAATAATTATCCCATGTGACTGATTTTTGCACTTTCAATATTCTGATCCTTACATTAACAAAATAAAGGGCCGGACGCGGTGGCTCACGCCTGTAATCCCAGTGCTTTGGGAGGCCGAGGCGGGTGGATCATGAGGTCAGGAGTTTCAAGACCAGCCTTGCCAAGGTGAGGAAACCCCGTCTCTACTAAAAATACAAAAATTAGCCAGGTGTGGTGGCGGGCGCCTGTAATCCCAGCTACTCGGAGGCTGAGGCAGAGAATTGCTTGAACCTAGGAGATGGAGGTTGCGGTGAGCCGAGATCACACCACTCCAGCCTGGCCAACAGAGCAAAACTCTGTCTCAAAACAAACAAACAAACAAACAATTAAGCAAAATAAAATACTACTGAAGCCCAAATAATAGCAAATGTTTACTGAAGTTCCATTCCCTAAACAAGTCTAGATGTAAATAGGATTTCTTCCTATTTTTATGAGTGTGTCCCATTATTACCTTCTCTGAAACTTTCTGCAGTCAGGCTCTTATCTTATTTAGAAATTTGTTTTTTAGGAGGGAAGGAAAAAAAAATCCAACTTAAGTTTCTGCACTTATTTTCTATATAAGGTTATAAAGTTATTCTTTAAAAACGAGTTCATTAAGATTTCATAATTATTTAAGCTTAACATTTGTTAATCTTAATTATCCTTTTTGGGTTCAGGAATGCAAGCCAACTGCACTCGTTGGCTAAGGAGAGGAAAGAAATTTCTTCTTTAACATCCTGGATTCCCTGAGGTGCCTGGGCTTTTGGCCAGCCTCCCTGGGAGAAATGTTCAGCTGCTGTGGCCTATAGACTCCTGCTATACAGAAGCCCAGAAATGTCTCTCTCACAGGCTGAAAATCAGCCACAGAAAGCCAGCTGTGTACAGGATAGTAGGATCCCAGCAACCCAGAGGATCAAGCCTATCAGAGCCTGCAGGGGCCCATTCCCTGAGGAGAACACCTTTCTTGTTACCTTTGCTCTCAGAGGAGCTCCAGCCACTTCTATTTATGTTGTGAAGGAAGCTTACTTCCAGTGGAGCCTCAGCCAGGTCAGATGGGCTTTAGAGAACTTCAGCATTAGACACCATTGTCTTGCTCTGAGATGGTTTTTAGGACTCTTTGTGGGGAATGGTAATGGCCAGGGCACACTGGAGGTTGACCTCCTTTTGCTTATGATGGCTGTTTGGAGCACATTAACAGCAAAGCCAACATTAATCTCCATGTCCTTGACATCGTTTCTACAATAGGCAGATCTGCATGTAAGTATCTCTAAACATATAAGGGAGCTTTTCTAAATGTTCCCTGCTTTCCTCACTCTAGTTTACATGTTGCAATTTTCTTCTCTGATAGCTGAAATTCCTTTCTAGGAAGCCTACATCGGGTATTATCCTTTACTAGTCTGAAGATAATAATCATGCACAAATGCAGCAAAAGCTTGAAATGGTTTTCAGTTATCAAATACCTATGCAAACACAGAAAGAATAATAAAATTTCTATAAGCAATGGCCACTGTAATAAGAGAGAAAATAGAACAGTGTAAAGAAACACCCATAAGTCACTTACTGGATTTTCTAAGAGTTATCTGATGGGAATGATACTATTGGCTTAATTTTTGACATGAAAAACAAGCAAAAAAGCAAAACACATTATCCATAGTTGTAACTCAAAAGAAGAAACATTTTATTATTTAAAAGAGGGGCAGAAAAAGATATATATAATGTTTGTAATTCCTTAGACATAGATACTTAATTATATACAAAAACATCCTATTAATGATTTAAAATGATGACTAATCCCTCTAAGTGTTTACTGCATGCCAAGGTCCTGTTCTAAGCCTTTTGTTATGATTACCGCCATTGGATCCTCCAGTAAGCTAGTGAATTAGTTCAATATTCAGGCGAGAACACAGGCTCAGTAGTTAAGTGACTTGGTTATTACTTACATACCTTAAGTGACTTAGTTATTACTTACATACCTCAGGTTTCTTATGCTAGAAGTGATAAAGCCATGATTTGGACCCAGATCAGTGAGAATCTTGTGTTGGCATGATCAGTCACTGCCTTACATTGCTTGACTTCTTTTTGAAATAAAATAAAACCTGCCTTTAACAGTTAAGTCGAAGAATACTGATATTATGAATTTATTAAGTGTTTCTCCCTTTATGCAATTCAACATCCTGAGCTCCTGAGCTATCTCCTTTTTTTTTTTTTTCCTGAGATGGAATCTTGCTCTATCACCCAGCCTAGAATGCAGTGACATGATCTTGGCTCACTGCAACCTGTGCCTACTGGGTTCAAGAGATTCTCCTGCCTCAGCCTCCTGAGTAGCTGGGACCACAGGAGCACACCACCATACCTGGCTAATTTTTATATATTTTGGTAGAGAGGGGTTTCACCATGTTGCTCAGGCTGGTTTTGAACTCCAGACCTCAGGTGATCTGCCCGCCTTGGCCTCCCAGAGTGCTGGGATTACAGGTGTGAGACACTGCACTGCCCTGAACTATCATCTAAGACTCTGCCTCTGGTGGTCTAAATCTAGGCTTCTAGATTCATTGTAGAGCTGGACATTGCCATGTTTCTGTTAAAGAATAAAAGCCACTATTACCTCTTTGCTCTTTCTCTTTTCACAGTGCCCTCACCCCAGTTCATAGAAGCATAAAAACATTTTTAAGGCACTTGAAGTCATGTTTCCTGTATAGATTACAAACTGATTATCATTTGGCTATATTTTAAGAAAACAACATGTTTTTAAAAAATGAATTGGAAACATTTAACTGGATAAATGGAAATTAAGCAATTCAGGAGTAGTCATTGCCACTATGTAATGGCTGTTTAAGAAAAATAGTTTACCTAATGTCTACTTTTTAAGTTAAAAGGAAAATTTCTAAGTTTAAACCTATTAATCACCGTGAAAACAGCATCCCTCCCCTCAAATATCCTAAACATGAAAAAAAAAATAAAGTCACATCTTTTTAAGGAATTCTGGTAATTGAGGCAGAAAGGAAATCATTCAGAAGACTTTAAAAGAAAATGAACTTTGTTTGAAAAGTTAGTATGGGTTAGAAATGGGAAGAAAATCTAAAATGTAAGAGTAAAAGCAAGGCCTTCATGGCATTCTCTTTTAATATGGGCTTTTCTGTGTTAGTTAACATCTGATAATATGACCCCCCAATCTATTAATATTTATTATACTCATAAAATTACAGAAAAAACCTAAGAAAGGGTATGTATTGAAGTGGAATGAATAAATGCAAAAAATGTAGTACTTATAACATTTTGAAGAAAATCTTTAAAAATTTTTGTTTACACAGAAAATAATCTTAGAAAACAGTTCCAGCATATATAAAATTATTGGTTTAGTATGCCAACTGTTAGACTGATTGTTTTAAACCAGGAAGCTAAATATTTGCTATATATAAAATGTCTGTTTTTTCCATTGTACCACCTACTTAAACAGCTTTGAATTCCACCTCCTCACCATTCTCAGCTTATAACATCTCCTGTCAATGCACAGAGAAAATCAAAACCAGAGAACAGAGGATCTCCCTGAATATCCAAGCACCACATCTAATGAGACACCTGCATTCCCAGCAATCCATTGATTCTTTAACCAGGTCAAAGTGGAGAAAACATCTCTCTACTTGTGCTGTCAAGATTTTTCTTTCATTATTTTCTCAGGAATCTTACCTCCTTCTCTATTCATGCTTCCCCACGTGCATTTAAAAGATTTACTTTCTGTCTTAATAACAAAACCAAAAGTGACTCAGTACCCCATATCCCATTTTAACTGCCACCCTTTCAGCTCCTATTCCACTTATAAACTTCCCAATATGGTAATCTAAACTGGGTCTGTTTTCCCAACTCCCATTCACTCCTCAGACAATTTGTAAGCTTTTTAATAAAGAGAATACCAATATTGAGCAAGTAATTATAGGAATATTTCATTTGAGGAATGAACTATCTCTTACAAAGTAGAATCTAATTTTTCAATGTTAAAATTTTGATTGACTCCAAAAATCCAGGCAGTGACATAGTTGATTCTAATGAGGTACTAAAGGTGAGACCTTCTCCTCTTGTGTATTACCCATGTGAAATAAAGGCGCACTTCCTCAAAGAAATTTAGGATCTGGTTATTTTGAACATATAAACAAATTAATTTTTTGGTTAAAATGTATTCCTAATTTCTATGAAAAAATATTTCGAAAATACTGTTCTTCAACATGTTGTTAAAGGGATTATTCTGATAAAATTGTCCCATAATTTCCAATTAGAACATTCCTAAAAATATATTTAATAGTTGAGTTTCTGAAAAAAAAAATAGACCAGTATCAAAAATGGGATTCATCTCTCTGAACGAAAAAATGATAAAATTTATAATTATTTTATAATTATTGAACATTTTTGAAGTATAGTTTGTAACATTTTAAAAAATTAAAACTGGATTCAACATTAAATTTAGAAAAATTCATGTATAAAATAATAGTTTTTCTGATCGACTTCTGAACACATGAATGTGCTACATTTTTGCTGTAATAGACTAAATAATTGCACAGTTTATTTGAACGACATTTAGTAAAATTAAAACGAGTGATTTGGATATTGAAAAGTATTTGGTAGCGATTTTGCAAGGGAATGAATAAGAGATTCTGATCCTTACTTTGGTGGATTCTTATCAATTTCCTTGAAGAATTTGTCAAAAGAAGTGTGAACTCTAAGTTTTCTTCTCTTGGTAAAGGAGCCTGTAATAATCATGTAACTACAACTCTAGAACTGTGAAGACCTCTCTGAATCTGAATTACTGGTGAGCTTTTTAGTCTTGATTTTAAACTTATAATTTAAAATGCTTGTTTGTTTCATTCATCACTAAATGGGGGCTTTCAGACAAAAATCTTCAATGGTAGAAATCTGGCAGTTCTTTTTGATATTTGGACTGTGTTATTTTTCCTCATAATTGAAAACAGAGCCAGTCAGCTTAGAATTTATCACTTTTGGCATGACTAACCATTTCTATTTTGTCTCAATTTCATTATGTCTAAAACAATGCCTCTATTTTCCATTTTCTGGCCTTTTTAAAAAATAAAGGCAAAGCACAATAAAACATTATTATGATTGCTCATTCGTTGCTACATAGACAAAAATGTACTTTATATGAGAGCATAGCCGTGCAAATCAGGCAGGCAGGTAGTCTCACTGTTTAATAGCAGCTGATAATGTAAATGTCATAATTTAGCGAAGAAAATAACATTTAAAAGTGTGAGTATATACGATGTGGCATGCATATTGGATATACGAAAAATTCATTTTAGGTGATATCCTAAACGCATGTCTGTGTCTGTATTATAAAATCCTTAGTTGAGGTCTGTGTATTCTTATTTCTACATATAGGACTATATTTAAAGATCACCTTGAGTAGGCTGGTATTCAGAAAATATTTAATGCATTATTAAATAAATGAATGATTATCTTTTTGAAATACCTGCTTGTTAGGAAACTCAATAATGGAGCAAGATAGGCAGCAATATTAAACTTAGAAAATACAGAGGGGATACTAAGAATGAGTATGTATAGTCAGAAGTTGAAAGAGTGATAGAGCTTTTTTAGGAGAGAATGTGATGCAGCAGAAAAAGTACATTTTGCAGTTCTGTACACCTGTGATCAGATTCTGCTTATGACATTTCAAGCACTGAGAATGTCAGTATATTACTTATATTCTGTTTCCCATTCATAAAACTGAGCCTCAGCTTTTTCATTACTAAAATAAGAATAATTATATTTATCCTATTGAATTTTGTGTGTAAAACACTTCTTAACTCAGTACTTCATGCTTGGTAGACATTCAGAAATTCTTATTTTTTTTTCTTAACTCGAGGAGTTGTACTTGTCCACTCCCTATGACATCTGTGACCTATTACTCCAAAGTTATGCTTTTTGAGTCCAGATTTTGACATTGGCTCAGTTGCCCAATCCCATTTTGAAATTTGATCAATGTTGCCTTGCTGGTGGGAGCTTCATGGAAGCAATCCAGGCCACAGTCGTCTTGATGGTGGCTTGGTGCTGTGGGCTCACATGTGACTGTGATTGATGAATGGTGCTTGAGCAGGTGCAAGATTTGGCTACATTATTCTGGTTGGAAATGCACTAGCACTCTGCTTCAGAGTGAACACTAATATTGATTCAAAATGCAATTCAAGCTATCAGCATAGGTTCTGAAATTCCTATAGGGTATGGGCCAAAATTACCATACATACAGTTCTTTTTTCTTTTTTATTAGCTTAATAGTTGAAATTTATAATAATATTTATTTAAAATTTTCCAGGTATATAGATAGAAAATCTGTATCTTTGAAATTCTCTACTTGTTTTGATTGTCTTAGTTCATGACATTAGTTCATAGTGCAAGGCACATTACTTTATAATAGATGGTAGAGTGTCAGGCTGATAATCATGAGTAATCAATTATTTATAGATTGTCCACATGGCAACAAAAAATGTGCTTAACATTGCTGCCTGATGCTGGCTTCTATTTGTTATTGTTTAGAAATTTTCTGTGGTAGGTTTTAATTTACTCATACTTGAGGCTTTTTAATGTTAAATTTTTGATATATTAGATTTGAACATATTTATGGGATACATGTGAAATTTTGTTACGTACATAGATGTGTAATGATGAAGCCAGAGTACTTAGGGTCTCTGTCACCTCTTTATCATTTCTATGTGTCGGGTACATTTCATAGCTTTTCTGGCTATTTTGAAAAATGTAGTATATCGTGTTAACTGTAGTCCCCCGACTCTGCTATCAAACATTAGAACTTACATCTTCCGTCTTACTATATATTTGCATCCATTAACCAACCTCTCTTCATCAGTCCCTCTGCCTCACTACCCATCCATCCTTCTCAGCCTCTGGTATCTCTCATTCCACTCTCCACCTCTACGTGGTCTACTTCTGTAGCTCCCACATATGAGTGATAACATGTGATATTTGCATTCCTCTACCTGGCTTCTTTCACTTAACATAATAATCTCTAGTTCCATACATGTTGCTGCAAATGACACGATTTCATTCTTTTGTATGGTCAAATGATATCCACATTTTAAAAAGTCCCATTTATCCATTGATAGGCATTAAGGTTGATTCTATATCATTGAGATTGTGAATAGTGCTACAATAAACATGGGAATACATATATCTCTTTGATATATTGATTTCTTTTTTTTTGTTTTTTGGATAAATATCCAGAGTTGTGTTTTAGTTTGTTCTTGCATTGCTATGGAGAAATATCTGAGACTAGGTAATTTATAAGGAAAAGAGGTTTGATTGGCTCACAGGTCTGTAGGCTGGTCAGGAAGCATGGCTGGGGAGGCCTCAGGGAGCTTTTACTTGTGGAAGAAAGCAAAGCTGGAGGAGGCCTTTTCACATGGCTTGAGCGGGAAGAAGAGAGAGAGAAGGGAGGTGCTACGTACTTTTAAACCACCAAATTTCACAATAACTTACTCTCACCACACCACCACCAAGGGGGATGATGATAAACCATGAGAAACTGCCCCCCATGATCCAGTCACCTCCCACCAGGCCCCACCTCCAACATCGGGGCTTACAATTCCACATGAGATTTGGGTGAAAACACAGATCCAAGCCATATCAAGTGGGATTGCTGGATTGTATGGTAGTTCTGTTTTTAGTTTTTTGAGAAATCTCCACCCTGTTTTCTTTTTTTTTTTTTTTTTTTTTTTTTCTTTTTTCGAGATAGATTCTTGCTGTGTTGCCTAGGCTGGAGTGCAGTGGTGCGATCTCAGCTCACTGCAACCTCTGCCTTCCAGGTTCAAGCAATTCTCCTGCATCAGCCTCCTGAGTAGCTGGGCTTACAGACGTTTGCCACCACACCTGGCTAATTTTTCTATTTTTAGTAGAGATGGGCTTTCACCATGTTGGCTAGGCTGGTCTTGAGCTCCTGACCTTGTGGTCCACCCGCCTTGGCCTCCCAAAGTGCTAGGATTACAGGCATGAGCCAGTGTGCCAGGCCTTCCCTGTTTTCTATAGTGGCTGCACTAAATGTCTAAAAGTTCCTTTTTCTATACATGCTCACCAATATCTGTTTTTTTTTTTCTGTCTTTTTAGTAATCACCATTCTTACTGGAGTATGATGATATCTCATTGTGGTTTTAATTTGCATTTACCTGATGATTAGTGATGTTGAGTTTTTTTTTTTTTCAGTATACTTGCTGGCCATTCATATGTCTTCTTTTGAGAATTGTGTATTTATGTCTTTTGCCCACTTCTTAATTGGATTGTTTGTTTTTTCACTGTTGAGTTGTTTGAGGTCCCTGTATATTCTGCATATTAGCCCCCTGTTAGATGAGTGGTTTGTAAACATTTTCTCCCATTAAAAAGGTTTTCTCTTTACTCTGTTGATTGTTTGGCTGTACAGCAGCTTTTTAATTTAATGAAGTCCCATTTGTCTATTTTTATTTTTGTTGCCTGTCATTTTGAGATCTTAAAGATAAAATCCTTACCTAGACCAATGTCCTGAAGAGGTTTTTCTATGGTTTTGTCTGGTAGATTTATAGTCTTGAGACTTATGTTTCAGTCTTTAATCCAAATTGAGTTGATTTCTGTATATGGTAAGAGATAGAGGTCCAGTTTCATTCTTCTGTATATGGTTATCCAGTTTCCTAGTTTTCCCCTGCCCATTTATTTATTTATTTATTTATTGTAGAGACACAGTTTCACTCTATCGCCCAGGCTGGAGTGCAATGGTATGATCTGGGCTCACTGCAACCTCCGCCTCCCGGGTTCAAGCAATTCTCATGCCTCAGCCTCCTGAGTAGCTGGGATTACAGACATTCACCACAACACCCGGCTAATTTTTCTTTTATTAGTAGAGACAGGGTTTCGCCACGTTGGCCAGGCTGGTCTCTAACTCCTGACCTCAGGTGATCCTCCTGCCTCAGCCTCCCAAAGTGCTGGGGTTACAGGCATGAGCCAGGATGCCTGGCCGCAGTACCATTTATTGAAGAGGGTGTCCTTTCCCCAATGTATGTTCTTGACAGGTTTGTTGAAGATCGGTTTGCTATAAATATGTAGATTTATTTCTGGGTTCTCTATGCTGTTCCATTGATCTATATGTTTAATTTTATACCAATTCCATGCTGTTTTGTTTACTATACCTTGTAATATATTTTGGAGTCAGGTAGTGTGATGCTATTCTTTTTGCTCAAGACTGCTTTGGGCATTCTGGCTCTATTTTGGGTTTCATACAAATTTTATTTAGGCTTGTTTTTTCTCTTTCTGTGGAAAAATGACATTGGTATTTTGATAGAGATTGCATTGACTCTATAGACTACTTTGGGCAGTATGGTTATTTTAACAATGTGAATTCTTCTGATCCATGAATATAGGATGTCTTTCCATTTGTGTCCTCTTCAGTTTCTTTCGTCAATGTTTTATAGTTTTCCTTAGAGAGATCTTTATTCCTCGGTGTTTTTAAAACTATTGTAAATGGTATTGCCTTCTTGATTTCTGTTTTGGCTATTTCATTATAGGTGTATAGATATGCTACTGATTTTTGTATGTTGATTTTCTGTCCTGGAACTTAACTGAATTTGTTTATCAACTCTTAGAGATTTTTAGTGGAGTCTTTGTTTTTTTAAAATATAAGATCATGTCATCTGCAAAGAAGGACAGTTTGACTTCCTGTTCTCCCATGTGGATGCTTTTTGTTTCTTTCTCTTGCTGGATTGCTGTGGATAGGACTTCCAGTACTATGTTGAATAGGAGTGGTGAAAGTGGGCATCCTTGTCTTGTTACAGTTCTTACAGGAAAGGCTTTCAAATTTTCCCCATTCAGAATGTTGTTAGCTGTGGGTTTGTCATACATGCCATTTATTATTTTGAGTTATGTTTCTTCTGTGCCTGGTTTGTTGAGAATTTTTATCATGACGTGATGTTAAATTCATCAAATACTTTTTCTGCATCTATTGAGATGACCATGTAATTTCCACCTTCCTTCTGGTGATGTGATGTATTACATTTATTGATTTGTGTATTTTGAGCCATTCTTGCCTCCCTGGTATAAATCCCACTTAATCATGGTGTATTTTCTTTTCAAAGTGTTGTTGAGTTAGGTTTGCTAGTATTTTGTTAAGGATTTTTGTGCCTGTGTTCATCAGAGATGTTGACCTGTAGTTTTCTTTTCCTGTTGTGCCATTGTCTGGATTTGGTATCAGGGTAATGCTGACCTTGTATAATGAGTTAGAAAGGATTCCTTCTTCTTCAATTTTTTGGGAAAAGTTTAGAGAACACTGGTGTTAGTTCATCTTTATACGTTTGGTAGAATTTGGCAGTGAATTATTCTGATTCTGGGTTTTTCTTTGTTGCAAGACTTTATTACTGATTTAATCTCACTACTCATTTTTTGTCTATTCAGGTTTTCTTCCTGATTTAATTTTGGTAAGTTGTATGTTTATAGGAATTTATCCATTTCCTCTAGGTTGTCCAGTTCATTCACATATTTTGTTCATAATAATCTCTGAAGATCTTTTGTATTTCTGTGGTATCAGTTGTAATGTCTCCTTTTTATTTCTGATTTTATTTGTTTCTTCTTTCTTTTCTTGGTTACTCTAGCTAATGGTTTATTAATTTTATCTTTTTGAAGAACCAACTTTTCATGTATTTGATCGTTTGTAATTTTCTTAGTCTCTATTTTGTTTAGTACTCCTCTGATCTTCATTATTTATTTCCTTCTGCTTATTTTAGGTTAGGTTTTTTCTTGTTTTTCTAGTCCTTTGAGGTCTATCATTAGATTATATTACATTTTTCTACTTTTTTTATTTTATTTTTTTTAACCACGTCTCACTTGTCACCCAGGCTGAAGTGTAGTGGGATGATCGCAGCTCACTGCAAGCTCCGCCTCCTAGATTCAAACAATTCTCTTGCCTCAGCAACCCAAGTAGCTGGGTCTACAGGGGCGCACCACCACGCCTGGCTGATTTTTGTATTTTTAGTAGAGACAGGGTTTCACTGTGTTGGCCAGGCTGGTCTTCAACTCCTGACCTCAGGTGATCCACCTACCTCGGCCTCCCAAAGTGCTGGGATTACACGAGTGAGCCACCACGCCTGGTCACAGTCTTTATACTTTTTAAATGTAGGTGTTTTTTGCTATAAATTCTGTCTCAGGGAATCTTTTGCTCTACCCTACAGGTTTTGGTATGTTGTGTTTCCATTTTATTACAAGAATTTTTAAAATTTCCATCTTAATTTCTTCATTGACCCAGTGGTCATTCAGTAGCATGTTGTTTAATATCCATGTATTTGTATAGTTTCCAAAGTTTTTGATATTCAGTTTTAGTTTTATTCCGTACTGGTCTGAGTGGATTTCATGTTTTTTAAATCTGTTGAGACTTATTTTGTCACCTAACATAATGTGTATCCTGGAGAATGTTACATGTGCTGATAAGAAGAGTGTGTATTCTGCAGTTGTTAGACAAAATGTTCTGTAAATGTCTGTTAGTTCTGTTTAATCTAAAGTCCAGTTTAAATCCAGTGTTTCTTTGTTGATTTTCTGTCTTGAGGTTGAAGTTCCCCACTATTATTGTACTGCAGTCTGTCTCTTTCTTTAGATCTAGTAATATTTGCTTTATAAATCTGGGCGCTGCAATTTTGGATGCATATATATTTAGAACTTGATTATTTCTTGTAGGGCTGGTCTAGTAGGGATTAATTTCCTTAGCTTTGGTTTTTCTGGGAAAGACTTTATTTCTCCTTCATTTCCAAAGAATAATTTTGCTGGATATAGTATCCTTAACTGGCAGTTTTTGTTTTGTTTTTTTTTTTCCTCTTTCAGCCTTTGAATCTATGTCCCATTCTCTCAATGGCCTGTAAGGTTTCTGTTGAGAAATCTGCTGTTAGTCTGATGGGGGTTAATTAATAGATGATACTTTTGTCTTTCTGTTTTTAGAAGTCTGTTTTTGACTTTAGGCAGTTTGACCATAATGTGCATGGAGAAGTCCTTTTTTTGCCTTGTATCTGTTTGGACACATCTGTGCCTCCTGTATCTTATTGTCTAAATCTCTTGCTAGACTTGGGAAGTTTTCATCCATTATTTTGTTAAATAGGTTTTCTAACCCTTTCATTCCTTCTTCACTCTAGGACCCTGATAATTCATATATTTGGTTGCTTTATGGTGTCCCATATGTCACAAAGGCATTGCTCATTCTTTCAGATTCTTTTTTGTTTATTTTTGTCTGACTGGGTTATTTTAACAGACCTCTGTTCATGTTCTGAGATTCTTCTGCTAGATCTAGTCTATTGTTGAAGCTTTCAAATGTATCTTGTGGCCAGGCACAGTGACTCACACCTTTAATCTCAACACTTTGGGAGGCTGAGATGAGAGCCTTCCTTGAGCCCAAAAGTGTGATATCAGCCTGGGCAACATAGTGAGACCCTGTCTCTACAAAAAATATTTTAAAAATTAGTTGGGCATTGTGGCACGTGCCTGTAGTGCCAGCAACTTGGGTGGCTGAGGTGGGAGGATCACCTGAGCCCAGGAGGTTGAGGCCGCAGTGAGCCATGATCACACCACTGCACTCCAGTTTAAGCGACAGAGCGCGACCCAGCCTACCCGCACACTTCCCCAAAAATACAGATATGTTTTGTATTTCTTTCAATGAATTCTTCAGTTCCAGAGTTTGTTTGTATCTTTTTATGATATCAATCTCTTTGGTAAATTTCTCATTCATATTCTGAATTGTTATTCTGATTTCTTTATATTGTTTTTGGAATTCTCTTATATCTCATTGAGCTCCTTTAGATCAATATTTTGAATTCTTTTTCTGGGATTTTGTGAATTTCTTAAATTGGGTTCTGTTGCTGGATAATTATTGTATTCCTTTGAATGTATCAATTTGCCTTGCTTTTTTATGCTTCCTGTATCTTTATGTTCATATCTGCACATCTAGTGTGACAGTGTTTTTTTCCCAAATTTTAAAATTTACTTTCATATGGACGGATGTTTTTTTCTGAAGTTGTATCTGTGGTGTTGAGTGTAGCACTTGGGCTTCAATTCTGGATACATACAGTAGTACAGTCTGGTGTTATGATTTTTTTTGGGGGGGTATGTAAATAGCCTCAGAAGGGTCTATGATTTCCTTGGTGGCTTAGGCTGTGATTGTTAGTAGAGGCTGTGGCGAAGTTATTCTGGGGACTGGGATGACAGGTAGGCCAGCTTTGGGCCCTAATGATCACAGCGGGCTGAACATGCTTGCCCTTGAGCCCCATGGCAGCATATTGCTGGTGATGATGCCAGTAGGTCCAAGCAGGCTGATTCTTGAGCCTCCAGGTGGCTTGCTTGGGTGCTGGGGATGATGGCAGCAGTGGGCTGGGTGGGCGGATGGTTTCCCAAGTCCTTGGGCAGTGGTCATGGCATGAGCAGTAGTGGTAGCAGTGTTGGGACAACCCTCTGAGACCCATGTGGTCCATGCTGGTGTTGGCAGTGTATGTGATGGGTTGTACAAGCTGGTCCCTGGACCTGCAGGTGGCATACTGGAGTGGGTGCCAGCTGTAATAGTTGTGGCAGGTTGAGTGGGCCTGGCCTCAGACCCCAGGAGGCATGCTTAGGTGCTACCACTAGTGGGCTGGGCTGAGTGATCCCCAGGCTTCTGGATGGTATGCTGTAGTATTGGATTGGGGAGGAGGGCCAGAAACAGAGCCAGGCTGGGGCCCCCTGGTGGTACCTAAAGACACTGGCTGTGATTTGCAGGGATGGGGTGAGTCCCAGGCCACTGGTAGGGTGCTCAGTTGGAGGTAGCAGCAGCTGTGCTGCAACCCTGCTACTGAGGAAGGCAGAGTTGCTTTCCCTGGGAGCAGCCATAGGCGGGTGGCTTCCCCTCTGCCTTGCTCCACAGCAGTCTGCAGTTGCGGTGGTTGTAGGCAGTGGAATTTGTCCTTGAGGCCTCTGAGCATGCGCAGCTGCGTGGGATTGCAGCCCTGGTTGCAGGGCAGGATGCAGTCTGGTGAGGTGGGGGCTATGTTCGCTAAATGGTGCCATGCTGCTTCTGCCCTAGACTTGGGGGCTTGTGAGACCCAGTGTGAACTCTCTCTCTGTAGAAGTGACTTTTCATGGTTTCCAGGATGTTCCCTATGTTAATCTCAGAGTACACAATAGTCAAGGGGACCTCCCATGGCTAGGATTATAGGAGTCCACAGCAGGAATGTGGACTGCTGGGGGCTCTCACTTCCCCTTTTCCTGCAATGAGGAGTCTCTCCCAGCTCCTGGCCGATTCTGAGGCTTTTATTTTATTAGGATCCAAAACCAACAAGAACGATTTTTACCTAATAAATGTAACACACTTATTTGTTATGCAGAAATTACTGAAGCAATATATGAAAATGTAGAATTATGTAGTTACCTATTGCACTAATAGTGGCAGTTAAACAGTGTTAGGTTGCTAAATAAGACCTACAGTATCAGCAATGACAGTGCACACAAACATATATTTTATTGCAGGAAAATGATACAATATAGCAACAGCATTTAGTTAAGGATATGTGTCACATCCAAAGGCTGTTTCACAGCAGGAAGTTAGGAAAGGTAGGTGCATGCCCCAGTTGCCCTCTTTAGTAAAGATCATACAGGATGTACTTTCTCTCTCAGATCAGAAACCGCAGATGTGTGCACAAAACACTTCGGAACCAGGTATGCCCAAGTGGAGTCTTGGCCCAGATGACTCTGCTGGACATGTTGGCAGATTTTTGCCACATAGACAGCCCCACTAACAGGCCCTCTAAGGATCTCATAGAGAACAAATGCAAATCATCAATCTTACTGTTATCAGTTAAGCAGTGCTGACAAGCTGGTACAAATCTTTCCAAACTCCTTGGACCCACGGTTATAAAGCAACACTATTAATCAGTACATTTCATGCCTTACCTGGGTGTCTGCACTGTGCAGATATATTTTTTATTTTCATGAGACAGCTCAGGCAAATTCCAGGTCTGCTGGATTGCTGGATGTAGCTTTCACAAGCATACCTTTCCTAAAACAAGTTTCAGAAAACTTAATTCTAGGTAATGATGGCAAATTGAACCATGTGCATTTACTTTCACTCTTCCATGAAATTCTGTTAAAATGGTAGTAAAAGGAAGCTTTTTCAAAGGCATAAACTCACAAGGACAAAAACAAAAGAGGAGACAACAGCAACCCAATTTTGGAAAACAAAATGTGGATGAACAAGCGATAACTAACCTAGCAGTACTGAAATACTTAAACCCTAAAGTAATTATGCAGAAAGCCAAGAAGCTCCCTAGTTTACTTCATGGAGCCCAAAAGACAACAACTGGTGCCGACAGGTGCCTTTGGAAGTTAGTGTAAAGCAGGGCTAACACCAGGAGAATTGGTCAAAATTCTCTTTAAGAATTAGTTAAATCCCCAGACCTCTTACTGCCTCTGCTGATACTATCGCAGTACTGCACAGAGGCAGGAGTTGACAGTCTGAGAACCAGTGTTAGATTGATCGTTGAATCATGATTCTAAGGTGGCTTCCTCATGCTCACATAGCTAGTTAGTGACTGAGGCTTCATAAGCACTGGGTTCTGCATTTCTTTCTACCCACATTGAAACTACCTGATGACCTAGAATGGCAGTGTCAGGGAACTGTATAAGTAACAGGATAAAGCATCTCAAGATGCTGCTGGAACTGGACAATATCGTAAGAAATAATTGGCTTACAGAATGCATTAGATGACACTTAGAGAATTAGAAAGCAATGCATTTAGGTTATTGCAATACTTCAGGGAGGAAGTGAACTAGATTAGCCCAAACTATGGTGAAGTTACTGAGAATGGAAGCACAAGGACAGATTTAAAAAGGCTTAGAGAAAAAACAACCTGTCTTCTCAGAGTATTGTTTGGTGGCACCGAGAAACCTTCTTATTTAGGCTTAAGAAGCTTTTAAAATCTTTGCATTTTGAGAACTTTGCACTTTTTGTGTCATTATTTTTTTACTTTCCAGATAATACCTTATAAACTTTTATTCAAGTTCTTTTTAAAAAATTACATCAATTAGAATTTCATTATGTCAGTTACTATAATTGAATACAATTTAGAACATGATCCTATATATATATTGGATAATAAATACAACACACTGCAGTTCAACACATAATTTAGTTAATTATAATAATTAGTGTACTAGTGATCCTCAAAAATGACTTTACTCTGCACAAAAGAACTTAATGATAGCATGGACCATTTGGCAACTGACTGCCTTTAAGATTAGTATGGATGGAAAACTAACCATCTGGTATCTCCTCCTAATCTTCTAAGAGGAATAAGTTGGAAAGTAAAAGGACTCTATTCACTTTTAAATAGTCCCTGCAAGGTGGTTTAACCATGCTTTATAATTCATTATGTTAAAGACAGTTGATGAAGCATGAAGCAGTCATATCTGAAGTTCGTTTTAAAGGAGGTCATGAACTGATTCATTCAAGTTTGTAATTCCCTGTGAAATCAGCTTTAAACTAAAGATGTTTTGGGCCATATAAATGTGGACTAACATTGAAGCATATTTTCTCCTGTTACTTCCTTATTGAAGGAAGAAGTTGAAATGAGCAATAAAAATAATAAAAAGTTTACAATCCTTAAATGAAAGATGATTGTGTTTCTTCCTTAAGGAAAAGGAAGCTATTTTAGCATGCCATTTGTTATGAGGAATTTATAAATGTATAAGAACTAGGCAAGATATGGTGAATAAGGGGAACACAGAGATGTTTTAACAACAGAGAGTATTTTACTATAACCAAAAGTTTATTTATATAAACTAATTCTGGACTCCTCTCAAGAATTATGTTATAGACATGAGGTTGCTTTTCTTCTATTGTGGCAAAATAATTTTCTCAGGACTGTTCTCTCAAGTTCCAAGTGATTGTGTTTTGTAATTTTATTTCTTTAGTATTTGTCCAGAGTTGGTTTGTGTTCTTGCTTTATTCGATTTTCTATTGAAGCTGTACTACTATTACTTACTCTCTTGCTAAGGCATTCATGCTTTTTATTTCCTGTTTTATATTTTAACTTTAGGTGTAATTTGTAGCTTGACTTACATGAATGGTTCTCTAGGTCAAACTCCATTTTCTTTAAGTAGCACAAAATATCCCTCTTTCTGTCTTAGTTCTTGATCTGTTTTTTCCAAAACTTTCTCAAAAGAAAAAAAAACGGTGGGCGGGGAGGGGGGAGCGGAATAAAAAACAGTAGTAGTACAGCTGAATTTATTCTAAAAAGTAGATTGGCTTACCTTTCTAATGATCTTTCAATTTTGTCTGACTATGAAGCTAGGTTACAGTTCATCCACAAGGACTCAAATATAGAAGTACGGAGTCCTTCTTAGGCCATATTTAGTTTGTTTTAACGGAGGTGATTCCATAAAGTAAAAACAAGTTTATTAAGGAAGTAAAAGAATAAATAATGGCTACTCCATAGGCAGAGCAGCAGCATGGTCCACTCAGCTGCTTAAACTTATTGTTACTTCTTGATTATATGCTAAACAAGGGGTGGATTATTCATGAGTTTCCGGGGAAGGGGGTGGGCAGTTCCCAGAACTGAGGTTTCCTCCCCTTTTTAGACCATATATGGTAACTTCCTGACATTGCCTTGGCATTTGTAAACTGTCATGGTGCTGGTAGGAGTGTCTCTTAGCATGCTAATGCATTATAATTAGTGTATAATGAGCAGTGAGACAACCAGAGTTCACTTTCGTTGCCTTGAGTTTTAGTGGGTTTGGCTGGCTTCTTTACTGCAACCTGTTTTATCAGTAATGTCTTTATGACCTGTATCTTTTGCAGACCTCCAATCTCATCCTATGACTTAGAATGACTAACTTCCTAGGAAGGCAGCCAAGTAGGTCTCAGCCTCATTTTACCCAGCCCCTATTCAAGATGGAATTCCTCTGGTTCAGATGCCTCTGACAGTATCAGATACTGATTCATTTGATTGCTGGGGAGTAAAAATGGGAGAATAAGCAAGTTTTGATTAAAAAAAAACGATATTTTGCATGCATTATTGCTTTTTCTTGCTTTATCTCAATTATGGTTGTCAGATAGTGGACTACTGATTACTAATATCTTGGTGGTGGGGATTCCAGAGGGAACCTTAGTGGAGTTCAGTCTACTTCCACAAATTTACAGCTGTAATGACCCTTGGGTTGAAGTAGTTTTCTACATATCAACCTGAATCCTACTGTTTTATGTAATCTAAGATGATGTGGAATCCTTAGTAACCACATACATTATCCCCACCCTTTCATTGGGTGGACATTGGTGTGGGCATTGGTGTTCATGCTTGGCAAGTCTTTTATGGTTTACCCAGGAAGACAATTTACTGTCCAGAAGGCACTTACTGTAATGGCCATCAACAAAGATGGTAATTAGTTGTCATTCAAATTCGTCTCTGAACGACCTTGCTGCTGCAGCACTCTGAGCAGAGTGTTAGGTCAAGGGCATTCTTACATAAAAGCAGGTTAGATTAGTCTGGCAAGACAGGCTGAGTATTACTCACTATTGATTACTGATTATTTTTTATAGTCCTTTTCTTCAGGTATAGAAATCAAGTTAGGTGTCTTCATTTCCTGACTCTTCTTTATCTACTTTTAAAATATAGATACTTATTAGTAATTGTTTCCCATTTTGTTGTTTCTTAGCTATTTATCAGTCTACACAAAGTCTATAAACCGGAAGATGCAGTAGATGTAGTATTTTATTTATTTATAAATTTATTTATTTATGGTATATATTGATTTTTTCTTAAATCAGTAGTTGGCCTATAATAACTTTTACAGTTCTAAACATTTCCCTCAAGGGCCCATATCCTGAAATGTGTCATGAATTTAACCCAATAGGCCCAGCCAATTGTAATTTCAGTTTGTAGCCACAGTTGAGATCGAGTTTTACCTGGAAATCTCTACCTCAAACAGTTGGGTTATGGTGCAAACAACAGAACTTCTGCAGTTCCCATTCAGCTGTCCGAGGATTACATGCCCTCCTTACCTACCCTGCCCCTCTTCCATGGAGGGGGTCAGGGTGTGGACAAGCCAGGGCTGGTTAGAGCAAGATCAGAATGTTGGACAATACCAGTATTACTTGAGGGCTGGTTCAAAACTGCAGTGGGATGTAAAGTTGTTCTTCAATTTTAACTGAAAAATAAGCTTCACTCCAGCAGAGCCAAAGGATATATTTTTTTTTGTGGCTTCCTATAATGCAGGTACTTACTAGGGGATATAAGGTAATATGCTGTGAGGATTTCAGTATATAAAATTATTTCTGGAGAGAGAATATCCGTCTGTCTTCCTTTGCCACTCTCTCCAAATGCGTGCTCACACACACACACTCTCACACCATACACACACATGCACACGCACACACACCCACACACACCACAATAAAACTTTTCCCCAAATACTTTGGCTTTCTGAGGAAATATCTGTCCAGCTGGGTTTCCTGTATAATTTATTTTCTAGCAACAACTTTAGCATTTGGGATGTATAATTAAATCTTTCAGACTGCTGAAATAGATTTGTGTATTCATTTGCTAACTGTCATGCTAACAGTTAAAAAAAAAACACACAACAAAGAATGCACCTTTAGTTTCAAGTGTCTTTTCCTTGAGCAGTTTCTTTTTTCTAGAGACAGTGTTGTTAGTTGTGTAGTTGCTGCACAGGATATCTGCATTTAAATTCTGAGCTTTAGGTACTTACAGCCATGTAAAACTAATATCCCTTTGTATCCAGTGGCTTTTTAGCACTTACTGTGTAAAAGGCACTGAAAAGTAGATTGCTTAAAGAAGCAATCATTTGTATGCATTTGTTTCCCCCAGTTATTAATTATAAAGAATAATCAATATTATTACTCATATTGGAACCAATTCTCTGGATTCCGAGAAACCAGTTAGAGGAGCTTTCTGGAGTATATATTGCCTTCCCTTCACTGACACATGGGAACAGCTCTGAAAACCAAGTGGTGAATGGGTCTAGAAATTCCATTACATTCTTCTGTGTGACTGAAAGAAACACTGAATATTATAGATTGAAAAGGTGATAAGATTGCATATTTCCAAGATAATTTTTAAGGAAGTGTCCTAATTTCTCGTTTTAGGAAAATTTAATAAGGTCAAAATGGTCACACACAACAGCCAATATCTGTTATTTTCTTAGATTATATGTAAAAGTGTACAGCAGTCATCAAAAGTGTTAAGCTGGAGTAAACAGACTTTTAGTCATCTTAGTTTTTGGTCTTGCATACAAAGCTTGGCAGATATTAGATACATGATCAAAGTTTGTGGTGCAAATGTATTAACATACAAAATTAATCACGGTAGAATGTAGCCTTACCTATCTGGATCACTAACATAATACTAAAAGTATATACAAAGCAGTAAAATGTCAAGAATATTCCATAATTTTGAAGACAAACAGATACATGGTCAGAGAACAAATAGATGACTGGAATTAGACATTCAGAAAAGAAACACATGAATACCCGAAAACTTAGTAGATGATATAAATGGCATTACAAATCAGTGATTGTGCTGAGACCCAGTGCTACTCATATGAAAAAAAGAAAATTCGATACCTTTTTAAGATAATAACTATAGTTGGATTAAAACCCAAAATGTATAAAGCAAGCATTTATGACTCCTAGAAGAAAATTGAGAGAAGGGAATTCTTTCTTAAGGCAAATATATATAAGCCATAATGGAAAAAAGTGATTAAAAATGAATACTTTGAAGTTTTAAATGTCTGCACGTTAAGAGGCCCAATAAACAAAGTATAAAAGAAAAACCATGAAGAGGAAAGAGGTTTTGCAATACATTTAATCAAGAAGTCATTGATATTTAGCATATATAAAAATCCTCCAATAAATAAATATTTAAATTTAAAAAATGAAATGAGATGTCAGTATAATTAGATTGGCGAAATTACAGAGGCTGATTAATCTTAGTATTTGTGAGGCTGTAGAGGAGCAGAACTCCCTTAAAATGTGGATGACATTTAAATTAGAATTATTATCTTGGAGAACAGTTTGCTCAAATTAAAGATATGCTATACTTTGCTCTAGCAATTCTCCTTTTATGTGTATACTCCGAAGTAATTCTTAGACATGTGGAAGAAGAAACTCACATAAGGATGTTCATAGCAACATTGACTGAAATGGCAAAGAACGGAAAGCATGCAAATGCTCAGTGAAAGTATATAACAAAAATTGTATATATCAACACAATTTAAATTTCAAAATAAGAATGTTGAATTTTTAAAAAGCAAGTTGCGCAGGTAATACAAATGTATGACACAACTTATATATAGTTTAAACATAATACAACAAGAGCAAATAGTAAATTATGAATTTGAATGCATATGTGTGGAGAGTGTGGGGGTGAGTGTGGATGTGGGGGGATGTAGGGAAATAATGTAAAGCTGTGTATAAGAAAAGTAAATACTAAATCCAACATAATGAATAATTTGGAGTGAGAGACTTATGTACAAGGACCTTCAATTTTACTTGAAGTAGTTTATTTATTAAGTTGGGGAACTGGTTGATTTATAAACATTTACTTTTTAAGGTGGGTGGATGATACATTGGTGTTTGACACGTTAATCTCTATACTTTATGTATTTTGCTAGTCTAACATAAGCAAATGAATGTTTCAGTTAGGTAACCGAAATTGAAAACAATATAAGCTTCCCATTTCGAAGAAGGATAGAATAGTTCACAGTAGGGTAAGCCTTAACTAAAAACAAATAGAAAAATTAATTAATTACAAAAATAGCAAGCAGAACTTTTCAGAAGTGAGCTGAGAATCTGCAGTGTTCCCTCAGGGGCAGTTACTCAATCTCCACACAGGTTACAAGTTGCAAATATGGACTAGGCCCAGAGAGAAGGTCACTGTTAGGAACAGGAAACAAGCAGAGCTTTTTATAACCCTATTGGGCTGGAGAAACAAAAATGGAGCTTGAGGGTTTTCAAATGCATGTACATTTTTCAACTCTGACATTTCATGGATTCTAAAGCTGCACAAGATTTGAACAAAAACTTTGTGAAAACAGAGTGCATTTCTTGCATGTATGCACTGTTCAATAAATAAATACCTGCCAAGGGTTGGAGCAAGGGAAGGTACATGAGATCAATAAATGAGAGTTGAAAGTACTTGTAGGAGTACCAGTTTGACCTTGATCATCTCCTCAACCTCTTTTTCCCTAGGTTCACTTAAAAATCTGAACGTATTTAGAGGGTGATAAACCAGGCTTGCACCTTGAGGGAAGACCATTGCTGTGGTACAGGGAGAAAAAAAAAAAAAAAAAAAAAACAGAGCTTTTGGCAATGGAACAAGGGTTGGTGTGACAAAATCTGAAACTTGAGGGACCTCTAAAGAACATGCAGTCTACCCCTGAAGACATTAGTCAAAATCTGAAGCTACTCAAAGCAGAAATTGAAGAGGTAGTTCAAAAAGGACCAAAAAAATAGTTAAATTTTTGCAGTCCTTTATTGCTGAGGAGACAAATATTTACAACGATTTCCAAGGAAAATCATGAAGGGCCACTCTCTCCAGGAAAAAGGCAAAGGAGAGATAGACTTAGTCTTCCAAAAATGGTCATGTCACCTTGACGTAACTCTTTTCATGGCTCCTTTAAGATTATCGGAGTAAGTTCCCACCACGCCATTTTATCTGGCTAGCAGAAGGAAGAGCAAAGATCTTCTCTAGACAAAGTGATCATCATCTGGAGCCTCTACCATTTCATATTTTAAATTCACAATGTCTTCATTCAACAAAAGTTAGCAGATATGGAGAAAGAAAAGATAGAAGCATGAAATTGATAATGTAAAGAAACAGGCACTCAATGAGTCAGTTTTTGGTGTTGGCAAGAATTCATTTGAAAATAGCTATAATATTATGTTCAAGATTACAAAGGAAATAGGGGAAAAAGATGAAAAGATGGAAAACTGCAACTCAAAACAACAAAATAAATAAAACAATAAAATCAAATGGAAATTCTACAACTGGAAACTGACATTAAGAACTCAGTGGATGGATTTAACAAAGAGCAACAGAAAATAGGATCATAGAACTTGAAACAGGATATTAGAAGATATCCAAACTGAGTCACAGATTAAAATTAACACAGATAAACAGAAAAGATGATTTAGACTATGGAAACAAAAGTCCTCAAAACAATTCAACAAGGGAAAAGCACATGATCTTTTTGGTTGAGTACTTTATTCCAGGCTTCAGTGAGATGTGAGTGTATTAAGATCAGATGAACTCTTTGGAGTTTGATGCACTTCAAATATTTGTTTGCCATTTATTTAGAAGAGAGTCTGATAGCAGAAAAAGGTAAAAATAAAGATTACTGCCTGCGTGTGGTGGCTCATACCTGTAATCCCAGCACTTTGGGAGGCCAAGGTGGGCAGAACACTTCAGGTCAGGAGTTTGAGATCAGCCTGGCCAATGTGGCGAAACCCTGTCTCTACAAAAAATGCAAAAATTAGCCAGGTATAGTGGCTTGCACCTGTAGTCCTAGCTATTTGGGAGGCTGAGGCAGGAGAATCACTTGAACCCAGGAGGAGGAGGTTGCAGTGAGCCGAGATCACACCACTGCACTCCAGCCTGGGCAGGAGAGTGACACTGCATCTCAAAAACAAAAAAAAAGATTACTGCTCAGCCTTTTCTCTTACAAATGAACAATTCAGCTTTGGCTCCAAATGTGCCCTCTTCACTTGACCCTATAAATGTCCTTCATCAGACTCATTTTTCTTGGAAAGATATTTCCTGTTGTTACTTGGTATGACTTTTGTAATCTTATTTATCCAATGAGCTTATCAAAATATTCATTCAAATTACTTGGAGTATTCTTTCTGAGAAGCATTCTGATAATTACCAATTTCTTCACCTTATTACATTCTTAGTGAATTTGGAAATTTTAAATAAATTGATGGACATTACTTGCCTGGCCGGACCATCCCTCTTAGCCCAGTTTATTTTGAACTCAGTGTTGTTACATGGTCAAGCCGCATAAAAATTATATTGAGACTCAGCAGAGAAATAACTAAAATAATCACAGTTATAAAGTCTTTGAAGGCATCCAAAGAAATTGCTCTAAGCAATGGAAAATTGTAAGTTTTTTAAAATCTAAGGCTCCATGGGGAAATAGAGTGAGTAACATGAAGAAAATATTAAACTGAAAAAAAAGACACATCTTGAAAATGTCGAAGAAAAGTCAAAAGATCTTGGAATCAATACTTCCCAACATGAAGTGGAGTTTATCAAAAAGCAACTCAGACTGGATGCAGTGGCTCACGCCTGTAATCCTAGCACTTTGGGATGCAGAGGTGGGTGGATCATTTGAAGTCAGGAGTTCAAGACCAGCCTGACCAACATGGTGAAACCCCGTCTGTACTAAAAATACAAAAAAATTAGCCTGGTGTGGTGGCACACGTCTGTAGTCTCAGCTACTCAGGAGGCTGAGGCAGGAGAATCGCTTGAATTCGGGAGGCAGAGGTTGCAGTGAACTGAGACTGTGCCACTGCACTCCAGCCTGGGTGACAGAGAGAGACTTCATCTCAAAAAAAAAAAAAGAAAAAAAAACAAAACCAATTTTTACAATACTGCTGGAAATGAGTGCATGCCACATTCTCTGGATATTTAGTTCCCATTTCCCCTCCCCATCCTTGTTCCTCTGTAATTCCTTTTCTGCATTTTTTTTGTCTCTTTAACTACAATTCCGATTTCCGTGTACATGGCCTGGTATGTATTCTAAACATACAGGCTTTGACTGGTCATGGGGACACCTTTTTCTGTGGCCATTATCACAGTGTGTTACATCTGTGTTTACTGATATCTTTTATTCTCAAAAATTATGCTTCTTGGCTCTTAAGTATTTGCTGAAAGGAAAAAAGCGTAACAAATGCAAGTGAGCTCTTACAGTGGCCCAAACACATATCACCTCAAGGGGGCATTCAGGATTTATTCATTGTTCTTTCTTGAAAGAAGGTCCTTGTCCTGCCCACTGAATTGAGTGTCTGTGAACATTATAAAATTTGAAAATCCTGTAGTAGTCAGAAGTAGCTTTGTATTTTTGTTTAATTCTTCCATTATGATGGATGAATCTTAACACTTTAAGTGGGAAGCAGGTTGAGTGAAAAATGGAAATAGTAACCAGGGAAAGAGGAAAAGAGGAAACTTGCTTTATGACATTAGATAAGTTGGGGTCTGTTATAGCCATTTATTCCAAACATGCAAAGAGTTATTTCTTCTGTTGACACTTAAATTTTAGGAAGATGTTTATTATAAAGCAGTAAGGTGATATAATCAATGTTAAATAAAAGCAATTTATCACTATGAATATATTTTTCTGAGTTTGACAAATTGTAACACTCAGGGAATGTCTTTAGTTACAAACATCAGAAAATCAGTTACAGGTGGTTTAAACAAACATGGACTCATTTTAAGCAACTACACTGACATGATGGCTAAGCAATGTCAGAAGGAACCAGGCTTTTTCTAGCTCCTGATTAGCCATTATTATGATTATGGGGAAAGAAAAACCTCTTTTTTTCCTGCTTAGCATGATACTCTGCTCTTAACCTGTGTAGGCTGATATCTTCAAAGAAAGCATGCCCATTGTCCTCCCTCATATTCCTCCCCCTAGAACCCCAACTTTAATTTCTTTATGTTTTTATTAGTAAATATAGGAGGAAGAAAAAAGATATAGATTATGAGCTTGTGATTACCATTGGAGTTTTTATTGTTATGCTTGCATGATGACCTCTGTATCTTCAGGTTTTAGTTCTCTTTTTCAGGCTGTATTAGAAGGGGAAAGATGGAAGAAGCTAAAAGGCAAAAGATAGGAAAAGATCTGCTTGTAAAAATGCTTGCTCAAGTCCTTTGCCCACATACACTCTGATTTGTACTCACATAGCATTGGCTAAAGCTGGATCACGGTTTAAAACCTTGCCTCCAGAGAAAGAAAAGGGAGAAGGGAGTATTGGGTGGCTATGGGGTGACTATTGTCTACCACACTTATTTCCATCTCTTTCTTTTTCTAGACAATTACAAAAAATACTCATATAAAATTATAATGGATGAGTATGATTAATAAGTAAATACAATATCAATGTAACAAGTAGTGTGAACCATGGCCATAATTGAAATAAAACAAATAAGGATTTAACTTGTGAAACGGAGATGAGCAATTGAACCAGTTTGTTTCCATATCTTCAGAACAAACTTTTATCTACTCGCCCCCAAAACAAACTCACCTTCACTTCCAAAAGTGAAGGGAAGGGACAAGAAAAGAAGCAAAATTGAGGACATATTTTTTATCATTTAAATTCATTTAACATTCTATTATGCTGATTTTTTATTTTGATCATGAGCTCATAATCAACATTTTTCTTCTCCCTTCTTATGGTAATCAAACACTCTGGAATTAAATTAAACTTGACACTTTGGGTAGATGAATGCAATGACAATTTGTGTAACTCTTCTTGGGAATGTTAATCTATATAGGTGCAGGGCAACATGCCAAGTAGAAAAAAAGAGAGATTGTGTTTTGTTCTCATGGATAATAAAATTTTTCAAATAGGCCCTGATATTAAGTGAAAGAAGACTTTTGTGTCAAGGTAAGTGCTTCATTCTTTATCTATGTGAGCTCTGGTGTGGCAAGCGTGAGGAAAGCACTTTCAAGCTCTTCCTTAACCTTTCAAATAAACACAAAAGTTTACATCTCATCCCATTTGGTAAAAAATACAAATGAAGTTCAGAGAATGTTGGAAAATAATTCAAGACCACATTACTAGTGAATGTCATAGCCAGATTTATTCTCAAAATCTGCTTAATTTTCTTCCAGTCATATGAATGTGGAGACTAAAGGTATTAAGCAAGATAAGGTTAGTGATTTCAACACTGGATTTACACAGACTATAAAAGTAGTTCTCATTTGGAGCTGTCAATTAAGGGATCTTGTTAAAAAATGAAGAAATAAAAAATCCTAATAAAATATTTTAATTTTTATTTAATCAACAAAATATTTATTGAACCCTTACTATGTGCCCATTACTGCAGAGTGCTAAGTAAATGATGGCCACCAGTCTGGAGATCTCATTTGAATCAAGAATGATTGTCTCTGAGGAATGCATGAACTGTCCTTACAAGCATCTCTCAGAAGGATTTTTCTATAAGTTGGCCATTGATAGGAACTGAAGCTTAGCATTCTTATGATAGATTCAAACACTATAGGCTCATGAAGTGTATGTAGGTGGCCTGGTTAATTTTCATCTGTGAGTCTTGACATCTGAGCCCAGACTATCACAGCATTTTTTTCTAATGGAGATTGCTACTGACCACCCTAAAAAAAGATAACTGAAGTCTTTAAGCACAGGGAGTTGGCATGACAACTTTGGTAAGATCAGGACCCCTACTCAAGATAGGATTTTTGAAGTTTTGATTAATTTTGATAAATTTGACAAAATTAGTTTTTAAAATCTATGTTGCTTAATCAGAGCAGTTGTGAACTCTGTTATCAGACCAGCTTAGAAGAGTCACAGAGTTTATGTATTTTGAAGGAAATATTCCAGTAGTATAAAGCCAGGCGTGTTCATTATCCATAATGCATTTATTTATTCCACAAATATGTGCTCGCTGTTATGTCAGTAGGTGAAAATAAGACACAGTACTCTCATGAAGCTCTTAGTCAACTAGTAGAGACATGTGATCTGTTAAAATATAGTGTGCTGTGGTAGATGATTACTTAAGTGCTCTAGGACAACAGAGGAAGAGGCAATTATGCTGGGAGTCTTATAAATGGCTTCACTGAGTGGAGTCTTAAAAAACAATTCTTTGTGAGAGTTTTCTTGGTCTTCCCATATCATCATCTGAAAACAAAGTTAAAAGGCTTTTGTCCATTTTCACTGAGGTAGACCTGATTCATGGTATTTTTTCCAGCTTACTTTAGCACAGAGGTGGAGTCCCAACTCTTGGTCATCTTATCTAGATACTTATTTGTTGGATTTTTTTTTTTTCTTTCAAAAAGCATTCTATGAATGGTAACTTAAAATGATATAGTAGTTATATATTTTAAATAAATATATTTTACACTTTTTTCCTAGCAGTTTCAGTACGAAAATAACCATTTTGTGATTTGGAGGGGAAAAAAGTATGTCATATCAGTATATTCCATGAAAGGCAAAGGTGACTCCAATGCAGTTCACCCATTGAGTATGCCCCACACCCACTCTAGGGTATAACACCCTCAGGCTCAGAAAACAAGTACTGGCTCTAAGATAAATGTTTTAATTTACTTATGTATTTGCATTTGCCTATTGTATATCTATTTACAGTATATATCTACTCTGATTTACTTAAAATAATCCAAAACCACAACATCAAGTTTTTCTCCCAGCCTTAAGTATCACCTAATACCAACTTGCAGAGCCATCTTTAAACTGATCCCTTATGTCAATGTAATGCAAAATTCTAAAATCCTTGAATAATAAGAATTAATGCAAAGTTAAGGAGATTTTGGAATTAAGCAATTTATTTGTACAATGCCAAGGCTTGATGGAATAATGTTTTATTAACCACACAGGAAAGAAATATTACAGTTATCGTAAGTTGGATTCAGTATCTTGAGGGTCCATTTTCTTTGGGTGTGTAAAACTACCATCACATAAAAAGTATCAAGTCTGCATGATTAATTTCTGAGTTGTTTGTGTGTGTGTGGGGGGGGGGTGGTGCGTGTGTGTGTGTGTGCGTGTGTGTGCGTATACCTGTAATTTAGTGAGATCTAATTTTGGGTCCTCGTCTGAACGAATCATTCTGGTTATATGGAGGGGAAAAAACAATTTTCTACACACTGCTCAAAACTATCGATCCGCTGTTTATCAGGCATTATGACTAAAGCTCTGATCCACCTTTCATTATGTTAGCCAAAAAATTGTAAAAGTTCATATAAATGTAGTTATTATTTTTGTCATTAAATACAAAATATATTGTGTTTTGATAGTGACATTTAATATCCCAATGCAATCATTAAATCTCTCTGTAGTTATCACCAACTAAATATTAGGTAATCTTAAACCAAATGTAAATAACTAATAATTGTTCTAATCTTATGGATTCTAATAAAAGTATTCTGGGCACTTGAATGTTAAATTTATAAAAGAGCCTCATGGACCCAATGCAGAGTCATCCCAGGTAGGTTATTACCTCACTCTAATTAACTTCAGTTCTTAATTATTGGTCGAAAGGGGTATCTTTAAGAGACTTAGGAGCCACTTGCACTAGCTTAGAGCAAGTTGATGCTTAGAAAGAGTGAGCTTAACTTGATGAAACTGCATTAATCCTCTTTTATCTTAATTGACCATTAGGAATCTTTTAATGGAATTCAGTTCTATAATAATTGTCCTTTCCAAGGGGGCTTGTGAGAGATTCCAATATCTCTCTGATTATCAGATCATCTTTCCAACTGGTTTCTAGAAATTGTGTGAGGTTCTGCATCAGCAGGTTTCATTTGTATTATTTAAAATAAAGGAAAATTAAGTTATATGTGGACTGTATTACCCTTTAGGTTCTATGTGACTTGGGATTCACCAAAACTGCTTATACCTGAAAGTGACTTGACATTTTTCAACATCAGTATCAGTGTCAGTATATAAAGTGTAGATCGGATGGAATCCAACAGAATCTGCAATTCTATCATTCTTGCTTCAGTAACCATGCGTTTGTTGCTTTTCCTTATGGAAATTTAAAAAATTATCATTTCCTTTCTTTGACCATGTAGAAAAAGGAAACAAAACAATTCACTTACTTTTTAACCTGGAAGAGTTGAACTGTTGTCTGAAAAACCCAAATGTATTAATATCTTCAGAAATCAGCATCAAGTTTACCTTTAGAAATATTAGTTTGGTGTTTAGGTTAGTAGAAAGAAGTGACACAAGTTTTAGAGTTTGGCTGACCTGTGTTACCACCCCATGTCCAAAACTTATTTACTGTGTGACCTTGGGCATTTCTGAATCTTTGTTTCATCTTCTGTGAAATATTAGTCATTTCCAAATTATGGAACCATTGTGATGATCAAAGATAGTGTATATAAACCCAAATTGTGCATAGCACCTGGCACATAACACATATTCAGTAAAGGTTAACCCTTAAAATATTATTATTAAAACAGTATATACTTTTTAAATATGAAAATTTCAGGAAGTTTAGTACAAGCTATTGACATACATGCGTCCATTTAACCAGTTGTATCCAGATGTCTTTTCAGTAATTTTTATATTGTTTCATCTAAATTGTGTGAAACATGAAGTTTCCTTCAGGCAGTGTTTTAACAGTAAATTTATTTTTTATATTCTTTTTGAGCATTACTACCTTTAATTGCATAGAATATTTTCATGCATAGATAAAACTTCGTAATATAAATTTTATTTATGAAAGTCAGGGCTTAAGATTTGCCAGAAAATTGAAGTAATTGATAAGAGTCTGAGATGCTTAACCATATTAAATGACCTAAATTCAAACTTCTTAATCTGTTATTCAAGGCCTTCTATGAACTAGTTTCATCCTCTGCTCTAAACTTATGTTCTACTAATCTGCTTCTCCTTATGTGGGCTGAATTTCAGTTTCTGGCATCACAGATTTTTTTTTATTCATTCAGGATGTAAGGCATTTTCACCCCTCTCAATATGTTCACATATTCATTCTGAAAGTTACCTATTACAGAAAGCTCTCCCAGATTACCTCAGTTAAAAGTGCTTGCCCTTCCTCTGAACCCCCATTTTTGTCATCTTTATATAGAGGTTTTATAAGATCTATCTTTCACATGGTAATATAATCATAGCCCTCATGTCTTATCTTTTCTATTATATTATAGTAAAAGTTCCTTGGAAATGGGATCTGGGCTTGATTAATCTTTTGTGTAATTGCAGTAGTGAGCAGAGGATTTTGCACCTAGGAGGCACACCGTATATATTTGTTAGAAACTGGTCATGTTTCATATTTTTCAGTTCAGGATAGTGTATTGAAATATGAAATAAGTGGTGAAATAGGTAACTGTATACAGTACTTGCCCCCTGCCATTCATGGTTTTATTTTTTGCAGTTTCAGTTACTCATGGGCAACCATGGTGTGAAAATATTAGGTGAAAAATTCCAGAAATAAACTGTTCCTAAGTTTTAAATTGCACTCTGTTCTGAGTAGCGTGATGAAATTTCCCAGCTCCTCAATCCTTTTTGCCTGGTACCTTAATCATCCTTTTGTCCAGCCTATCCACACTGTTGACACTTCCCACCCATGAACCGTCTGTTATCAAATCTGTTGCTGCAGTATTTCAGTGCTTGTGTTTCAAGTAACCTTTATTTTACTTCATAATGGCCCCAACGTGCAAGAATAGTGATGCTGGCAATTCGGATATGCCAAAAGAGGCCGTAAAGTGCTTCCTTTATATGAAAAAGTGAAAGTTCTTGACTTTAAATAAGGAAGGAAAAAAATTGTATGCCGAGGTTGTTGAGGTCTATGGTAAGAATAAGTTTTCCATCCATGAAATTGTGTAGAAGGAAAAAGAAACTTATGCTAATTTTACTGTTGGACCTCAGACTGCAAAGTTACAGCCACAGTGCATGATAAGTATGTAGCTAAAATGGAAAAGACATTAAATTTGTCGGTGGAAGACATGAACAGAAATGTGTTCTGATTAATGGCAATCAGGTTCTCCATACTATACAGTTGCAGACATCCACTGGGGGTCTTGGAATGTATGCCCCACAAATAACGGGGGGATTGCTGCACTTAGTATTCCATAAAGACGTAGTGTGTATCTTCTCCCTATAGGAATTTTTAATGGCGCATACTTACATCAATAGCAATTTGTATTTAAATTTTTCTTTGTAAATAATGTTGAGGAATGTAACCCCAATCAATATATACAATAAACGGAATACAAAAATGGAACTCCAGTTATAAAATACGTTTTATAAAAGGTCTGATGTCAATGCAAATAAAGTAAATGTATTTTCTTATTTGTAATAACCAATTGGGGACTAATAAGCATTTTCATGGAGATAACAAAGGATTTTTATGTGTAATCTTTAATGCTTAAATAAAAGGTGATCGTTGAAAAAGATTTTAATTGCATGCCAAACTGCCCAGAATCATAATGCTAAGTAACTGCCATACTCATTTACAGTGGGCTTTTTGGTAAATTTTGTAAATCTCCTTGAAGTACAGTTTGTTCATCATTTGAAGATGAAGATAATAGCACATAGCCTGCCTACCCTGTGTGTTACTGAGAGGATCAACTATGATTATATAAGGAAAGGAACGTTTAATTTCTGGATTTCTTATAAAATACAAATATTACAATTGATTATAATGCTTGTTTGTAGTCTTTTAAGAAAAATGGTTTATATATCTGAGCAAAGGGTTCATACACAGGCTGACGACACCTCCCCTGTGTTCCCAAGAAGATCCTTGTGCTCAGCGTGGATGTGTTAGAAAGCTCACAGATTGCATTGCATGCAGATAACTTAGAGCACATCTAGTACACCCCTGTTCCCTCTGCATCCAGCGTATGAAAACTTTTCTGGAAAATGCTTAGGTATGCATGCAACAGTGACCCTTGGTCATCTCCCAGGATTCTGTATTTCAGTCCCCGTGGGGCAAGGGTTGGTGTCGGTCTACTGCAACACAAAGTGGCATGAATGCAGCCACATGTTCCGCATGGATATAGCCACGTGGGACCTACACATTGCAAGGAGCTGCATCTTGTGCCTACACTCCTTTCTCCTATGTCAGTGCTCTACCACTTGAGCCTGGTATGCATGTTGACTGTTCTCAGCAACCTCAAATCATGCACTGATCTCTTCCCTGGGTATTCCTTATCTGCCTTTTAACCTTGGCTGCATGCATATGTTATTCCATCCTGTGGCACTACCTGACCACCTGGTGAAACAATATCATTTTCGGCTGGGCGTGGTGGCTCACGCCTGTAATCCCAGCACTTTGCGAGGCCGAGGCAGGTGGATCATTTGAGGTCAGGAGTTCGGGAGCAGTCTGGCCAACATGGTGAAACCCTGTCTCTATTAAAAATATAAAACTTAGCTGGGCATGGTGGCGGGTGCCTGTAATCCCAGCTACTCAGGAGGCTGAGGCGGGAGAATCGCTTGAACCTGGAAAGCGGAGGTTGCAGTGAGCCGAGATCGCATCACTGCACTCCAGCCTGGGCAATAGAGTGAGACTCCGTCTCAAAAAAAAAAAAAAACGAAAACAAAAAAAACCACACACAAAAACAAAAAAATGTCATTTTAAGTTTTGTCCTACTGGAGGTGTTTTTGTACAATCTTTCTTACAAGTTCTCCATGATATTGCAGATGGTATTCCTGTAGTTTTTTCTAAACAAAAATGAAATAAAGTATACCTCCTGACAATAAAAATAAGCCTTGGCAATTTTGCATTAATTACTCTTCATGGCATCAAAAATAAGAGAGAATTTTGCCTCAGAAAGCTGACATAGCTTTGTGAGAAAAGATGTGGTGTAGCAAAGCAACTAAAGTACACAAGTGTGTGTAGAGGAGTGGTCAGGATTGAAGATTTGTTTGATGTTCAGTGATGTTTATATTTCTGAATTTTTCATGTGTAATGAACAACATACTAGTAAAAGAAAATAAGATGGAATTTAAAGGGACTGAAACATTTGGAAAATATGAAATGATTCAATTTTCTTTCTCTCTTACTTTTCGTGCCTCCCTCCATTATTTGAAACTGTTCTCATCTAAGTTTACTAACAAGGATACAAAGACACACATGACCACTACTGTCTTTGCTTTTCACTCTTGACACAGGTAATAAACTAATGTGGTTGTGAATTAATAGCAGTGACTACAGGTGAACAACAGAATCTTCCAATACTGTGAAAGGAGAAGGCTGTTTTTGATTTTTTTTTTTTTTTTTTTTTTTGAGTCAGAGTCTTGCTCTGTCACCAGGCTGGAGTGTAGTGGCACGATCTTGGCTCACTGCAACCTCTGCCTCCCGGGTTCAAATGATTCCCCTGCCTCAGCCTCCTGAGTAGCTGGAATTACAGGAGTGCACCACCATACCCGGCTAATTTTTTTTTTTTTTTGTATTTTCGTAGAGAAGGGGTTTCCCCATGTTGGCCAGGATGGTCTTGATCTCCTGACCTCGTGATCCGCCCACCTCGACCTCCCAAAGTGCTGGAATTACAGGTGTGAGCCACCATGCCTGGCCTGTTTTTTTTTTTGTTTTTTTTTTTTTAAGTCCTTCGCTATTTGCTTCTCTGCATAATCAATTTATTAAGAGATATGTGAGCAGTTTGTTTCTACATTTGACATAGACCTGTCGATAGAGTTTGTGTAAGTATATTGGGAGCATGTGAAATAATTAAGATATCTCGAAACTGTAGCCGGGGGCAGTGGCTCACGCCTGTAATCCCAGCACTCTGGAAGGCCGAGGTGGGCGGATCACAAGGTCAGATCGAGACCAACCTGGCTAACACGGTGAAACTCCGTCTCTACTAAAAAAAAAAAAAAAAAAATGCTGGGCGTGGTGGCGGGTGCCTGTAGTTCCAGCTACTCGGGAGGCTGAGGCAGGAGAATGGCATGAACCTGGGAGGCGGAGACTGCAGTGAGCCAAGATCACGCCACTGCACTCCAGCCTGGGCGACAGAGCGAGACTCCATCTCAAAAAGAAAAAAAAACAAACAAACTGTACCAAGAACTGGAAGGACTGTTACAATAAAAAACACCAGTAGTCACACTCAGTAACCTGAAAGAGTGTCCCAGAGAATGGTGAAATTGATAGATTACCCAGTATCTCAAAGGAGAGCACACTGAAAGAAGACATGTCTCATCTTCTGGGAGATTGAATCTTAGGATAATGATAATGAGACATAACACTGTACATAATAAACCCAGTGTGATTTGAGGTGCCAAGAGATTATTGATAATATATGTTTAAAACAGAAGCCCTGTGGGGAAAAGTTAAGAGTGAGAAAGTAGAAGGGAAAGAGACCTATCTCTGTATTGTAAGTATGTCATATATTGACTGGTTTATTCAGTCTTGACCAAGCTATAACAATCAATGGGTGTTCTACAGAGTTGCACGGAGATGGTAGTAAGGTAAACATAGTTCCTCCTCTTTTATTTCCTGTCTCAACTGGAAAAGAAAACTGAATATATACAGGATAATTGGGACACAGTTATTTCCTAAAATTGTATTTGGAGCTGGTGATTTGAGGTCTTGAGGTGGTGTATTTTAGGTACAAAATTAACAGCCAGGGTTCCAAGAGGAGAGTCAATAATTTTTTCAAGAGTGTCCACTAAGATTCAAACCCTTCTGCAAGTTGGATGACTTGAGCTTTTTCTAATATTGCCAGAAGTTGAACCTTAGTGGTATTTTTTTTTTCAGTAATCACTTTTTTTTTCAGATGGCCAAATGGCTGTTTCGTGACATTCAGCTATTTTTATATAAGCATTCTCAATGTTGCTGGGTAGGATATTCTCTAAAGTCTTGGGGTGTCTTATTTATTCAATGTATATACACAACTCAGCTAACAGAGCAAGTACAAGTATCATCAGGGATAATACTTTTTATTATGTAGTTTGTATCATTGCAGAATCCTAGTATGTTAGACAAATAACAGTATAAAATTTATATTATAAAATCATATTGAAATATGTCAGTTTAGGAGACTCTTGAATGATTTTTCAATTTCCTGTACCTGGCTGAGTCACTTGGAATACCAAATACTTGCCTAATAGGTGCTGTGTTTGTTGGTTATCTGATACCTCCTAGAGTTTTGGGAAAGGAATTTAATGTTGCTGTTCTGAATGGTGAAATACAAATCCTCCTTTTTTTTTCTTGTGGTAATAAAGGGTGATATAAATATGGTTTATTTATGATCATTGTGAAATCTTAAGGAGCTAAATTCATAAATGTACAATGTATGGATACTAGTAGCATTTTCTAGTCCTTTTCTTGTTCTGTAAAGATGCTACCATTTTGCCACACTGACTCACCTGCGGGATGCAGTAAGTCATAAGGAAGCTTCTACCACTTATGTGTCAGCTCCTTTGTCTGATAAGCACATTTTAGAACAATATCCTGCCCAGGTTGCAAAGTTGTATAATAGCTTTCAGTTTTATATACTTCTTTTCCTGACTTATCATCAGACAGTAGTGCCATGATCTCTCTAAAATAGCTAAAGTCTCTCTTTCAAGTTATTACTAACTTTTCTTATTTCCTTCCCTCTCACAGTGATACAGCCACAAGACTAGTAGACTAGTTGTTTCTTTCCTTGGTAAATCTTCTTTTTTTTTTTTTTTTTTGAGATGGAGTCTCACTCTGTTGCCAGGCTGGAATGCAGTGGTGCGATCTCGGCTCACTGCAACCTCCGCCTCCTGGGTTCAAGCGATTCTCCTGCCTCAGCCTCCTGAGTAGCTAGGACTACAGGCACGTGCCACCACGCCCAGCTAATTTTTGTACTTTTAGTAGAGATGGGGTTTCACCATGTTGGCCAGGATGGTCTCGGTCTGTTGACCTCGTGATCCACCCGCCTCGGCCTCCCAAAGTGCTGGGATTACAGGCGTGAGCCACTTTGCCCGGCCAAATCTCTTATGTCTGTTTTCTTTTTTCCACTTCCTTTGCCACCACTTAGGCAGCAACCCTTATAACCTACTGCCCAGTTTGTTAAGATCCCATTTAAAGGGCTTTATACTTCAGCCTATCTTGATATTCCATACAAGTTATTCCCTGCCTCACAGTCCTTCAATTGTCTTTTATTGCCTGCACCACATTTATTGTCTTCCTGCGCAGTCTAATTCTAACATATTTTTCATCTTTATCACTCATATTATACATCAACCATGAGTTCTCAGCAAATTGGTTTGCCAGAATGTGCTATGCAGAGTCTAGACTGACACCATGTTTTGCTTATTAGACACCTCCTTATCTTCCTCTTCCTCAAATATCTTAATTCTTTTCATCCTTCATGGCCAGGATCAGGTGTTGTCTCCTCCATGAATGCAGACCAACAAAAGCAGCATGCCTAATAGGCTTTAACTAAGATAATGTGGGACACTAGTTGCTGTTGCTACCTATAAAGTGGTCATTAAGCATAAGTTTCTTTACCTCTTTCTCTTTTCAACATGTCTCAGGATGATGATGCATTTCCAGTTTAACCTCACAGGTCACCATCTCCAGACTTCTGATGGCTCTGAGAGCCCTACAAATAATTTGAAAATTACAGATAATCTAAAAGTGAGCTAACTTTCTTGGTTCATTACTGCAGAAACAGAATTGACAAAAATTGCATTACATGGGTGAGGAAGTGAGGATTGGTGGGCCCAGTGCTTTCATAGAGTATTCTGGGTGATCCCAACTTATACAGTTGAACTTGATCAAAACCGTCAAACTCATATCTATGTATTGTATTTAATAACTTTGCAGGATCAATAATTACAGTAGGTTGTCTAGAAATACAGTCTTACTTTTAAGGAATCTGAACTATCTAGGCTATTTAAATATAGTGCCATTGTATATACTCTCCTAGATTTATTGTTCAGTATTAGCCTTTCACCATCTATTGTCCATGAAAAATATTTATTAAAACTAGTCCCTGTCTTATGTTTTTTATATTCCTGAAATTCAGAATACTTTTTAAAATTATGACTTTTAAAAAAATCCATTGTGTTTTTTTTAGACTGACAAATTTTCACAACCACTAAGTTTAAAATATGTGCAATTACTTTGAACATTTGCCCTTAATACCAAATATCCGTAATGGACATTTTTAATAAAGTGTAGAAAAATTAACATCTACAGCTTTTCTTTCTTCAAAAAGGATAATGGTAAGTATACTGAGTCATTACAAGGGTGGTAAGGATGGGAGAGTATTTTGTTTCAATATGGAAGAAAGAGATCAAACCCTAGTGCTAAAGATGATTCATACAGTTTCCTAGTTCTACAGTAATGTTTACAGCAACTGAGCATATCAAGTTCTTCAAGGAAAATGAGAAACTAAGCACAGCTGGTGGAGTGTGAAGCCCAAGATTGGTTAAATCTCCTCTGGCAAGATAGTTACTACCCTAACTTCTCTCCCCTGCTCACTGCAGGAACTGCTCTTGATTAGGTGGTAGGTTGATACTTCATTTATAATACAATATGAACAGTGATGTCTGAAATGGAGATATTTTGCATGTATCTCAGCAACTAAACTTTATACTAACTACACCAAGTAATGAAAATATAATAGATCCTAAATACATATATATGCCCTTGGCCATAATTTGAAGAATGATGGATGGATGAAGATGCAGATTAGAGCGATGTATTTATTTGATTTTTGTGATTATTGTTGTCTTGAAACTGTAGCATAAAGCATGCTGTTTTTCATAGTAGACAAAAGTGTATAAAGAAAATTTTGCTAAATTCCCTCACTTGCTTCTATTATTCTAATTTTGAATTTCTGTGTCTGCAACACTGTGAATAGATTGTGGTATATAAACAAACACTACATACTAGTGGGAGTTTGATATTTAAATAAAGCTAGCTGCAAATCCTTTTGTAAGATGAAGTTTTTGGTAATTTAAAGAATTATATTTTATTTAATATATGCCAGAACTTTAGACTTTTCTAAAAGATTTGCTTAACCTTGGCTTCAGGGTAAATGCTAAAAGGTGGTTTAAGTAAAATCTAAATAGTGACATATATACATATATGTACACACACATATAGTTATTAAATATATATAGTAATTAAATTTGTATATATTTAGACAGCAACATATTGTTAGTTTCCAAATAATAATTGAGTCAAGCGTCATTAGTGTGGCTTCTTGGTTCACGTATAGTCAGAAAACAACTCTCAAATGGATTAGTAATTTAAATGTAAATGAGGAAATTGTAAAAATGTATTTTTTAATAGACAAATCATTAACCTTATTTTTAACATGACTGTTGCAAATGATTTTCCCAGTTTGTATGTGTGTGTGTGTATATATATATATGTATGTGTGACAGTACACATGTGAATAAACATTTATGCAGAATTACTTTTCTAGTGCTTTCTAGAACTTGTTTACATTGCAGACAAGTTATGTAAAAAGTGTATAATACATAACAATATTTATGTGTAATACCATTTTAGGTATATATTTTTAGTTTTATCTTGATAATTTTTTTGTGCCTTTCAAGTTTTCTCCAATTAACTTACATTTCTCTTATAGTAAAAATGTTTTCGAAGTAGAATTGGTTCAGAATGTGTAATTAATTCATATTGCAAATCCAGGAGAAAAAATATGTAGTTAAAAAACCAACAAATATTTAATTAATTTTAAAAAATATTATTCCTTTAGAAAATAATTTAAATGTTTTAATTATTATTACTACCAAAAATGCCGACATATAATTGTACTGACATTTGTCTTAGCTTACTCCAAAATAGAATTTTTGGTATACTAAGTTACATTTGGATATAGTTCATCACTTGGGTAGTTTGTTAAAGAGGAATTTTCTTCCTCTTTTTGAAAATCCCTGCCACTACAACTTTGTGTCAAAAAGCCAATCTATTCTGTCAGGGACCAATATGGTGCTTAAGAAATTGAAAACATTTCTGCTGGCAGGTTCACTATTCATTTCTGACACTGGCTGGTACAATATTGAGCACTTTAATTTATTGAAGTTGCTATTTGGAAAATAAAAGCCATACATTCTTCTACATGGAACCTATTTCAACATTTCTTTATATCTGTTTGGACACAGTTCATAGCTTTTTAATAAAACATTGCACATTCATCTTTTTAAACTGCAATATAAATGATAGGTAAAACTATAAACATTTGAATTCAGGATTAATTTTTAGCATTTGCAGAAATCATAGGATATCAAACTAAGAGCATTTTGAATGTGAATTTACAGAGAATTTCTGTTTCATTTTATTTGAATATATCTTCACAATTTGAGTATTTTGGATAGGATTTCAAATATAAATGCCTGTTTATAAAAAGCCCACTCTAATTATTTTATGTCAAAGTTACTACTTACTTATTTTTGTAAGGGATAGAGCAAACCTGTAAATGTGTTGATCACCTGGATTAATTCTTGGAACCAGAGTTCAGATGGCCAGAAATGGAGTCGGAGCCAATTACATTAGAAAGAGCCAAAGGTCAAGGCAGAAAAACCAAGATAAGTCCAGAAACCCAAAGTCCTAGAGGTAGAAGCATGTATGAGGAACAAGTGTAGTTTTAAAAAGGAGTGAAGAAAGAAGGCTTCTGGGTGATTTCAGTGACGGACATTGAGTTTAGGATTTACTTTTATGGGCTATTGATTACATCGGCAGATTAGGATGGCCTAATGGTAAAGCATCAGGCACATTCTACTTGATAGATCTTGTTTTGTCTTGTTGGAGGCAGCTGTACACTTATCGTTAACAGTTTTTTTGTGTATGAATAAAGCTAACAACATCTATCCAATTTTGTTGAGCATGTTTGTGAACTTTTTTTTAGTAATAATGAACTTTTTTTTAGTAATAATGACTATTTCAAACAGGGCTCAATTTGAAATAGTCAAATCTTGTACTCATCAAATCTTATTAAGAATCCTTTATTTAAGTGTGATATTTGAATTAACACTATATACTATACACTATATTGGAATTATTAACACTGTACAATGTAATGTGATAGGATTTTATTCAATTTTACCTATATGGGTTGCTAATTTCCAGCAGTGAATTAGAGGCTGTAATTCTTATTAACAATATAAGGCAAAAGTTTTTTATTTTTTTGAGACAGAATCCTGCTCTGTCACCAGGCTGGAGTGCAGTGGCGCAATCTTGGCTCACTGCAACCTCTGCCTCCTGGGTTCAAGCGATTCCACTGCCTCGCCTCCCAAGTAGCTGGGACTACAGGCATGCACCACCACGCCTGGCTAATTTTTTGTATTTTAGTAGAGACGGGGTTTCACCATGTTGGCCAGGATGGTCTAGATCTCCTGACCTCGTGATCCGCCTGCCTTGGCCTCCCAAAGTGCTGGGATTACAGGCGTGAGCCACCGCGCCTGGCCAAGCAAAAGTTATTTTTTAAAGCAACAGTCATATTGTTATGTTTAATCCATATTTTACATGAAAATACCTGTTAAAAATATCCTTGTAAATTTAAAAAAAAAGCTCAAAAATTTTGTTGTCATTGCCATTAGTGTCTTCTTTGAGTGCACACTAGGTCTGCATAACAGATTTTAGAATATATCAAGGCACATCCTCAATCTGCTGAATCTAATATGTGTTTAACACACTCCCTAAATACAAAATAATAGCTGCATACTGCTCCCTTCTGTAATACTCACAGTAAGTCTCTGCCATTACCCACAACTGCAGTAATTCTAAAATTTTAGGGTGTAAACTTTCAATTACAGTTTATAAATGTCCCTTCCGGATACAGTAGGTCTTATATATACACATTTTTTAATGTACATTCTAGGTGATTCTAATACAGGATATCCATAGATCACATTTTGAGAACATCACAGTACTACCTATGGGCAGCAGCTAAGCTGCCCTATGTCAACAGGGCCTCCTCCTGGCTAACCATGACAATTTTAATCCAAGTTTGAATACTTAGCACCTTTTTCTTTTGTCCATTCAAGAATGCCATCTTCACAACACCCCAGAGAGTCTGGTTAAATTCATCTTCAGAAATACAGTTTATTGGTTTATACAGGCTTTGCCCTTCATCTTTTTTTTTTTTTCTAAACATTTGTCTAATTAAACCAAGAAAACTAATTTCCAGTGGTAAAGAAAAACAACCCCTACCACAGCTGGAAACTATAAGAAGTAGTGTTATTACATGTTATTAGGAAAAAAATAAAGCCCCACATTTTGAAATAAATTAAGATATAACAATCAAGTACTGTGATGAAAAACACTCAAAATTCTCTTTCAAATTTTTATGATAGATTCTATTGACATTCTCCATGTACCATGTATATCTGCTTTTCTCATAATTTTAGATAATAGAAAATCATGGTTGAAAACATCCAGACAGTTATTTGTATTTAATTTTTAAAAATTTTTCTCTTTTAAGTCAAAATCAATTGTAAAATTAAAGTATTACATATGGGAAAATGTATTGTGACATGTAAACTATTAATATTTATATACTTTGCATTTTTATATACATATTTTGACATGAGGAATCTGTAGGTTAGGAACTGTTATATTCTGCCAGTTCAGCCAAGTGTATAGTAAGCAACTACATACTTCTGCTATTGATAGTAGTGGGGAGTATTTTAAACATTGTTTCCAATTAATGATGTGAGCAGAGAACATCATTCTTGATCAAGGAACCCTAAGTTCATTTACTTTTGTTGTAGAAACACAACAAAGTCTTTGAGAACATCTAGTCAGTAGGAGCGATCTGCATCACTGATTTCTAAAATGTAGTCTGCAGACCAGCACCGTCAGTATCATCTTGGAAATTTTCAGAAATGCAATTTCCTGGGCCTCACTTCAGACTTACCAAGTCAGAAACTCCAAGTGAGGCCCAGCAATCATCTTTTAAAATATATTTTTATTGATATATAATAGTTCTACATATTTTGGGGGTACACGTGACAATTTGATACCTGTATACAATATGTAATGATCAAAGCAGGATAATTTGGTTATCTTTTCTTTATGTTAGGAACATTATAGTTCTTCCTTTCTATTTTGAAATATACAATAAATTATTATTAACTATAATTTCCTTACTGTACTATCAAATACTAGAACATATTCCTTCTATCTAATTGTATTTTTGTACTCCTTAACCAGCTCTCCAATGCCTCTTCCTTTCCCTCTCCAGCCTCTGGTAACCATCATTCTACTCTCTAACTCCATGAGCTCCACTGTATTAGCTCCCACATGAATGAGAACATGTGGACATTGTCTTTCTGTACCTGGCTTATTTCACTTAACGTAATGGCTTCTAGTTCCAAGCATATTGCTGAAAAAGATCACAGGATTTCATTCTTTTATGGTGGCTCAATAATATTCCATTATGTGTATATGTCAATTTTCTTTATCCATTCATCCATTGATGGACACTTAGTTTGATTCCATATCTTGGCTATTGTGAATAGTGCTTCAGTAAACATGTGAGTTCAGATATCTCTTTGATACACTGATTTCCCCCACTAGTTTTTTTTTTTTTTTTTTTTTGCAGTGGGATCCAGCAAACGTCTTTTAAGAAGTCCTCCATGTGATACTGTGTATATTTAAGTTTGATAACCATTGATCTGCATACATGGAGGTGTCACATGTGATGGGGAGTATATGACCAGTCGTATCGTAAGAATCCAAGAAAATTCTCAATAAATTATCTCTCCTTAATTATTACAGAAAAAAATGTTATTAAAGAAACAATCAGGGGATCCAGCAAAAGCTGACAATGCACAGTAGTTTAGAAACCATAAGATGCAAACAAAACAGATATTAAAGTCAGGTGTTAATCAGAGTACTGGCAATTGCATTGCTTCCATATGCACAGCAGATTGTAATCCATGAACAAAAACTCCAAAAGGACAAATAGAAAAAAATTCTCTCTGCTTTTCCTTTGTCAGAGCAACTTACTGCTTAGCATTCTGGGTGACGGTTCATCTGTTTCCTTCTTGTCAACATGCTGACAGCCAACACCAATCAACACTTATTCCTGTTTCCTTGTTTATCTCTTTTTTGTTTTTCTTTGTAAAACCTTCTTTGTCCAAAATCAGAGTTTTGGGCTGGGCACGGTGGCTCATGCCTGTAATCCCAGTACTTTGGGAGACCGAGACGGGTGGATCACATGAGGTCAGGAGTTTGAGACCAGCCTGGCCAACATGATGAAACCCCATCTCTCCTAAACATACAAAAATTAGCTGGGCATGGTGGCAGGCGCCCTTGGTCCCAGCTACTCAGGAGGCTGAGGCAGGAGAATCGATTGAACCCGGGAGGCGGAGCTTGCAGTGAGCCGTGATCACACCACTGCACTCCAGCCTGGGTGACAGACCGAGACTCCATCTCAAAAAACAAAACAAAATCAGAGTCTTGGATTCTAAGAAAATTACCTGTCATGGTAGCAGAGATTTTTTTTTTTAAATATGTATTCTACATTTCAAAGCTATATAATATTTTGTAAATTCTTCCACCCAAAACTACTGTTTTTCCACTTTTGACTTTGAAAACTCTTTGGACATAGCATGACTTACAAGATAGGGTGATACATCAAAATATAAATGGAATGTAATTAGTCCCATGAAATATATGTATACATTCCCCACTTTTGCTATGCTAGCCTTTATTCACTTTCCTCATTTCTGCCTTTCTACACATTTACTTCTTGTCACTCTGGGATGTTATCTTTCATTTTCATTTCATTATCTTATCCTTTATTCCCCTCCTTTTCCAACTTTCCTGTTTTAATAAGAGCATTTTTCCGAAGTATGAGATTCTCTTTTGATTCATTATTTGATTTACTTAGTCACATTTTCATTTTTTATTTTTTCAGGTTCGTTCATTCCCACCCCCATTCCTTCATCCATGTCCCCGTTGTCTCTTGCTGTAGTCCACCTTTTTCCTTCTGGGCCTTATTTAACTGTCTTTTGATATCTCCCCTTCCTGAGGACCTTCTGTTTCTTAATTTTTTTCCTCTTGTCTCCTTTTTTGCTCGTTTCTTAATAAAATGGTGCTCTGAGTAAAACGCATGTTGTGTGCAAAGTTCTAAATTTTTCTTAATCATAGCAAGATGAATAAGGCATGGTTCTTGCCTGTAAAGAAGGCAGCATTCACAAAGACTTTTATTTTTATTTTATTTTTATTTTTTTGAGACGGAGTCTCGCCCTGTCACCCAGGCTGGAGTGCAGTGGTGTGAGCTCGGCTCACTGCAACCTCTGCCACACGGGTTCAGGTGATTCTCTTGCCTCAGCCTCTGAAGTAGCTGGGATTACAGGCATGTGTCACCACGCCCGGCTAATTTTTGTATTTTTAGTAGAGATGGGGTTTGCCATGTAGGCCAGGCTGGTCCCAAACTCCTGACCTCATGTAATCCACCCACCTCAGCCTCCCAAAGTGCTGGGATTACAGGCTTAAGCCACCACGCCCGGCCTAAGGCTTTGTTTTCTTATTGTCTAGTATGCCAACTTTAACTGTGCCACCGCACCCAGGAGCATTCAAAAAGACTTCTGACGCACGCCTCTAAAATGTATCCTGTTCGTTTGTCAGCTGGGCCCTTAATATTTTGTGATAATTTTTTTACTCATTTCTAATTGTTTCACTTTCACACTTGCCTCATTTTCTTTTCTTCCCTGAAGCCCCATCTCAGTCACCATTGTGTTAGAAGCTGGCTTGCCTCCAGATTCACACACACAAAAGATACCATTGATCATACATTTTCTCAACTTTTGATTTCCTCTTCTCTCCCTTCAAGCCCCACACTTCACCTGGTAAATCGTCCAGTACATCTCAAGTTGCATACATTCCTACCTCATTTTCTATTTCACAAGGAGTGGCTCACCTCCTTGCCTGTGGCATAGTAATTTTTATATGCCCAGTACCTGGCTCACGAGAGGAACTTAAACATCTGTGGAACCAAATTAAGGTACATTTTCCCACCCGTACTCTTGAAACCATTTCCTCCACTCTTTATGGCCCATCACTTACTTTTGCCATGTTTTCATTTCCTTGACTTATTTTTGTTAGTTTTTGAGGGCAGAATTTCCATCTCTGATTCCCAACATCTTAGTAAGTAGCAGAAATTCTCAAAACAGTTTTGCAATGAGAGAATAAACACTGAATCCATCATGTTGTCTGCTATGAAAACTGGTAACAGGCTGGGTGCAATGGCTCACACCTATAATCCCAGCACTTTGGGAGGCTGAGGGAGGCGGATCACTTGAGGTCAGGAGTTCAAGACCAGCCTGGCCAACATGGTGAAACCCCGTCTCTACTAAAAACAGACAAAAAAAATTAGCCAGGCATGGCGGCTGGCACCTATAATCCCAGTTACTCGGGAGGATGAGTCAGGAGAATTGCTTGAACCCAGGAGATGGAGGTTGCAGTGAGCTGAGATTGTGCCACTGCACTCCAGCCTGGGCAACAGAGTGGGACTCCATCTCAAAAAAAAAAAAAAAAAAAAAAAGGAAGAAAAGAAAACTCCACTTTCAGCACCTCTACCATTCTGCACACTTATATCAAGGTTAATGGGAGTGATGCTGGGGCATAGTTTGCATAAGCCCAAAGACAAAAGATTTATAGCAAGGTGTTCTCATACTGTTTTCATATATATATATAGTTTTTTTTTTCATTTTTTTATTATACTTTAAGTTCTAGGGTACATGTGCACAACGTGCAGGTTTGTTACATATGTATACATGTGCCATGTTGGTGTGCTGCAACCATTAACTTGTCATAGGTATATCTCCTAATGCTATCCTTCCCCGCTCCCCCCACCCCACAACAGGCCCTGGTGTGTGATGTTCCCCAGCCTGTGTCCAAGTGTTCTCATTGTTCAGTTCCCACCTATGAGTGAGAACATGCGGTGTTTGGTTTTCTGTCCTTGCGATAGTTTGCTCAGAATGATGGTTTCCAGCGTCATCCATGTCCCTACAAAGAACATGAACTCATCCTTTTTTATGGCTGCATAGTATTCCATGGTGTATATGTGCCACATTTTCTTATATATATACACATACACCCAGATAGAAGTTGTGCTTTACATTTAGCATAAGTGTTGATATGAACTCATTTCTTCTTTTTCTTTACTTTGTCCTTTCCAGTTTGCATATCATGTATATTGCAAGACTATGTAGAATCAAAATATACATGAGATCCTCCTAAAACCCACTGTTATCTCTGGGAGTGTTAAATATTGCTTCAATAAACAAAATAGAGGGCCTTAAAGTGCTTCTTATAAATGATTTATTGGTAGGTGGACGTTTTCTCTGTACTTTAAATGTTTGAAATATAACAGCAAGAACAATAAAAATGTGTACTGTAAGAATCCACTTTTCCGATGGGTGTTGCGTTTTCTGATTTGTGATATTAGGTCACCAGCAGACTCCAGAACAGTTTGGGAATTTTTTGACTACACGTAGTTTCCTGGGTTTCTCAGAATGAATTACAGTCAAGGATATGGAACTAGAGACTTGCATTTAGGCTCTTTGCCCACCTCTCTTCATAGATCAGAAACTGAAGTCTGAGAACAGTCTCAGAGTGGGAAGAGATCAGAAAGAATTATGTTCTTCCTGCCCTTTCAGTTTGGAGCATTTGGTAAAGCTGCCTGAAAACCTGGCTTTTAAAACCAGGCATAACACTTCAGGTTATGTTTCATTTATTCTCACTAAAATATGAAGAGCTTATTCCACTGTGAAAGGATCAGAGAAATTGGCTCTAGCATATCTGTTCTTGTTGTTGCTGCTGCTTCTGCTGTCATAATGATATTTTTCTTAATCACCCCTAGTTTGCAAGATGCCAAACAGAAGATATAAGAAGATCGTATCTTTTCTTAGGGAATGCATATTCATAATAGAGATACAAATACACACACACACACACACACACACACACACACACACACACGTGCATGCAAAATGCCCTTTGCCAAATTCTCAGGGGGAAAAAAATTGTGCCTTGTTTTTGCTATTTTTGTTTTCTGCCATTTTATTTCTTCTGGGTGGGGATATAAAAAAAGATGGTCCTAAAATCTTTAAACCATAAAAATGAAGACACACCTACTGATACAGCACATAAAAGAAATCAGGATGATAATAATGACAATAATTATTGAATGCCTCTATAGTACCTCTAACAAGTACTTATACAAGACAGCAGGGCAGAAATAATTGTCCTTAATTTATGTGGAAGGAAACTGAATCTCTGAATGATTAAATGACTGGCCAAAGGCTACAGATATGTAAAGTACCTGCGCTCTTTTTGTCTAACATTTTGGAAGACATCAGAATGAAGGCAGCAGAATTGCTTGCAGAGAACAGTATTAGGAAATGTATTATCAAAGATGCACTGTAAAGTTTGAAAAAATATTTGAGAGACTAATAATTTTGAAATACTTGTAATTTATTCTCTGAAATTAAAATTGGCCTAGTATGTGTAAAAGTATAGCAACACTTGGTTTATGAAGCATTTAATTGGTGGTGACTGTGGCTTACCAACTTAAAATTATATAGAAAATCAAGTATATTGATGAAAAAAATTAAGTTACCTGTTTGGCTCCAAAATTTTCTTTTATATAGGTAGTAATAGATAAGAAATTAGAATCTGGAGTCAAGGGAAATATGCTAACAGTGAATAGGCTCAGATATATAGAATAGTTTTGAAAGCACAGTAATGTGTTTTATGTCACTTGATCTGTACAACATCCCTGTGGGGTTGTCAGGATTTGTACACGGGAAAACTGGGAACACCAATAGCCAAGCAACCTGATTATAAATGGTGAACCCACATCTTCTGATATCTATTGGGTTCATCAAAACATGATAACCATGAGTCATTAGAGTCATTAAAAAAAGATCAAATACAATGTTTCAGTTGTCTGTTATCCCAAAAACGTAGTGGCCTAGAACAACACTAGTCTCATTATTTTCTCATATGTCTGCAACTTGGGCAGGGCACTAGGGAGTTGCTCATCTCTGCTTCGTGGAGTGTTTCAGCTAGCTCAACTCAGCCGAGCTGGAGGATCCACTCATAAGGTTATTCACACATGTGTATGTCTGGCAAGTTGACTTTGGCATTGGCTAGAAGCTTATCTGGGGCTATCAGCTAGAAACTTCAGACCTCCTCCTCCTGGAGCTCTCCATGAGACTCAGGGCAGTTGGACTTCTGACAGGGCAACTGGCTTCCTCTAGAGCACAAAGGCAGAAGGTGCCAGGCCTTCTGAAGTCTGAGGCATAGAAATGGCTCAGTGCTACATTCACCACATTCTACTGGTTAAATATCGTCACAGGCCAATCCAAACCCAAGTGGGGAAGACTACACAAGGGCATAAATCATAGGTGGTATGGTTCATTGAACGCTACTGATGTAACAGACTATTACATCACACTGAGTTTAGAATATTCTGATCAACAAAGACAGAGACGTATACATTTTTTGGAAGATTTCCAACAAGTCACGTATTTACAAAGATAAATTTAAGTTAATGGCAAATATTACTTCCTCCAATAAGCCTGGGAAAAAAATCAAAAGAATAAACTAATTTCAAGAGCATTCTAAAATAATGTAACTTAACTATTTTTTCCCCTTAAGCAATGAAAGCAAAATTTGTAATCTGACCTCAACTAGATCTTTCCAGTGAGGATGTGATGGACTACCCATTGCTTAGCATTGGATCTTCTTAGGGAAAGTGGTCAACATTCCCCAGAATTCTCTACTGGATAGAGAGACAAGAGAATAGCCTCTCATTCGTATTACCATATTACCTTGTAGAAATCAATTCTATTGCATATAGGACACATTTTTGAGGATTAAGTGAATAAGATATCTTAGAGATTAGTTACAGGTTTGTCTGTTATGTGTTCGGCTCTGTTCAGCAAGAGGCATCTGCAATTCTATTAAGAATTGAAAAATCAACCATTGTCAACGACTTTACATCTGGGAAAGGCAACACAGTTCTTTCCATTTAAGTACATAGACTGACCCTGAAGGAATTTGATCAAAAATTTGAGCAAGTCCTTGCCAAATAAAAAAAAGAAAACACCACCCTCTTCTCCCCTGAGCAAGACTAGGATCCTTCATGGGATATTTATCAAATGCAATGTCTACCTTGCTAACATCCCTTTACACTAGTCTAGTCATTCTTTAAATCATAAATAGGACTCTCTGGAGTGTTTCAAGGTATAGCAAATCAAATATAACAGGACTTCAAAAGCAAGAGTTTTCCAATTTATTCTTCTACCAATCTTGTGAGCCAGAAAAGAATTTTCTGTCAGTTGGCACTAAACTGTAGCACTCTGCTGTGAATGCTCCTTCCTTTAGCAGCCAGGCTAAAAAGCAAGAGGACCAAATAGCTATGAGGGACATGTTTTTCTAAGAATGAGAAAGCATGACACCTTCATCTCAAGTAATCTATAGACCAGAAAATGTGAAAATTCTGGAAGCCATTAAATGAGAGCCAAGAAAAAACTAATTTGAGAGAAAAATTGTCTTCTGGAGTGTGTGACTGGAGTGCTCAAGTTCACTCAAGTTTCATCCTCAATTGCCTTGGAATTTATCCCAATTTTTTTATTGCTTTACATAACAATGTAAGAGATGTGTAGATTAAATACGGAAACTATTAAGAAAAATGAAATTCTGTTGAATTCATTACTTGGGATAAGACATAAATCCTGAGGGTTTAAATTTTGGAAGCCTTAAATCCCATTGCCTCCAACTCATGGTTTCCAAGTACCTTGTCCCTAGTCCCTGGGTCTGGCTATCTAGAGGGCAGAAGTAACAAAGACTGCTATGATCACTTCATGGTGACACAGAGGTTATGTAAGTAAAATAGCATTTTCAGCAAGCATTTGCTGTACATGATTCAGGCACCCCTCATTTTGTAGTTTTGCGTAGGTCTGGTACTTTCGTTGCATCTCTTTAAGCAGATTACAGAGAGGAATCACATTCACCTGAAACATCTGATTAGGTGCTATTATTTAAAACGTTATATGATTCACAGTGATGTCTCTAACTTTAACCTTGTGTATGTTCAAATGTTATCCTTACCATGTTGTCTAACTATTGATAGGCTGCTATGTGTCCATGCTCTTTTGAATCTTAGGATCCCTCTACCAACTCAGTCCCAGTGCAAAATGCAGCAGTATTTTAATATATCCATTAGGTATTGCATGCTTCCCCCCCCCATGTGAGTATTCCTAAGATAGTAGATGGGATGTAATAATAGCCAGATTAAAGTAAAGAATTCAGTGGCTTAATTATAAGGAATTAGCTTGACAGTTATCACAAAATTTACATTTTTAATCCAAATAAAATATTTTTGTATTGGGAAGATAAAACTCTTATTTGTGTGTGTGTGTGTGTGTGTGTGTGTGTGTGTGTGTGTGTGTGTGTATCTTTATGTTTCTATGTCCAGTATCTTTGAGTGGAGAAGGGATTAATCTATTTTATATGTGCCCAGCTTTGCACATATAAAATATGTGCAGGCCCTATCGTGTATGGGGCCTCTGTATGCTGACATGTGCATGACAGAATAGGATTGAAGCTGTTTTGGAGGCCTTGCCTCTTACTATCTCCATATTCAGAATAGTGGCAATGAGCAAGTGGTAGAATATTCCATGATTTGAACAGTGTGGGGAAATCAAAGCAAAGTTGCTCAGAATGATAGGCTTGCAGTATTTTGTATTTACTAGATGTGTGAAAGATGAAAGAGGTTTTTCAGGAAAGGGTTATAGTATAGATGTTTTATTTTGAATGGTAACAGATAAGGTTAAAGTTTGAAGTATTACACTGAGTAAACTAGAGATTGGAAATATTTTACATCAACTCACTACCAAATCAACTGAGCTGCGAAATAGTTGAGTAAAAATATATACCTTACAAAGGTGGTGATAGTAATACTCAATTTTGTTTTAACCATCCAGGCGTAGATTGGAGTACATTAAGTGGGGGAAATGAGGCTAGGGTGATTTTGCAGGTCCGGAACAAGATGGCTTTTAGTTTCAATACGGCATGTGCAGCAGCCAACAAGGAAAGGGATATGTGATATTAAGTATAATCGTGGTTATGATTAAATAAAAACCAAGTTTTAGAGAGTATTTTAGCAGCATCACATTGAACTAAAGAGCAAAGTAAAATTCAGCACAGTGCAGATAAAAAATATTCTTCATGGCACTTCTGCTTATTTATTTATTTAGGAAGGTGCTATTTAAAAAAAAATGTTCCAGGTCAATTAAATATAAATAGTAAGCCAGAAGACACTGAATTCCATTACTGACACTTGGTAATATTCTGTATATTTGTTTGTTTGTTTGTTTCTAATGGAAGCAGTGATGCTTGAAATTAACTGTAATTAAATGCAAAGGAAGTTACTCTTATTTTTTTTAAGTCAGAGTTTCTATTGCTATACAAATGTTAGTGTATTCTCATTGCTTGTATTATGAGATTTTAACATACTTTATATAATTAAGCAAATACTTTATTGCTGTATATACATAGGAGTTTAGTTTAGATTCCCGCCTCTTAAAAAGCCAACATTGTGTCCATTGAACTGTTGTGCCTGTACACAAGATGGTTCATTTTGTTGAGCACATTTCTTGCAGGGGCATATATAACACCTAATGGCAATGTCTGCAAGGATTGAATGACAGAACCAAGAGTTTCTTTGATGATTTCATTCAACAAAGGTTTATTAAACACATACTCTGTGCTAGCCTAGTGCTAGGCCCTGGGGGAAAGAAAAATGAAGATGATACAGCCTTGCCCTCCAATCCAGCATACACAGACGCAGGCCCCATTTTGGTGACTCTGAGATAGCAAGATTAGTCTACTGGAGCAATTAGAGTTAAAGGATAGCTACTTCTGATGGAAAGACATTGAGATGGAGTAGGGGAGTGAAAAACATAAGTAGGTATAACTAATTGGTAATTTTCTAATTATTTGGTTGGGCTCTGTCTCCATGGTGTTTATTAGTAGGCCGAGGTGGGTGGATCACGAGGTCAGGTGTTCGAGACCTGTCTAGGCAACATAGTGAAATCTCGTCTCTACTAAAAATACAAAAAATTAGCCGGGCATGGTGGCGGGTGCCTGTAATCCCAGCTACTCAGGAGGCTGAGGCAGGAGAATCACTTGAACCTGGAAGGTGGAGGTTGCAGTGAGCTGAGATCACGCCACTGCACTCCAGCCTGGGCGACAGTGCGAGACTCCATCTTAAAAACAAGCAAACAAACAAACAAAAAACCTTATTGATCAATTGCATGAAACAATAAAATTGCATTATGAACCATGGATTATAAATTCTGTGCATCTAAAATTCTCACAAGGAAGTAGGGCAGCAGTGATGTAGTAGAGATTGATCCCTTGGAGAAAAAAGAAGGGATAGCAATCAGTGGAGACAGCTATTACAAAATTTCTACTCAGAGTCAAGAATATCAGAGCTTCTTTACAAAAAATGTTTGTTCTATGAGGGCAGGTGATTTTTTTTTTTTATCACTGCTATCCCCAATGCCTTGTCGTACATAGTAGGTACTCAAAAATATTTCTCAAATGTTGACATAGTATGTCATAAAACTCTTTAATCTTTATAAAGTCACATCTTTAATTTCTTTGAAAAATTACAAAATAGGCCCCTGTACTAAGGAGTATATTGCTAAAATGGCAACATTTAGATTTTAAAGATCTCCTTTGGCTACTAGTAGTAATGTGATGAAATAGATAATACTGAATTTCCACTTCATATATAATGAGAAAGTCGAAAAATGCCTAAAATGTTCTTGTGAAGTACTTTAGAAACTCTTACAAATAGATTTTATTAAGATTATTGACAGCTTAAATTTATTCAAACTTTGGGTAAAACATTTAACACCTTATCTGACGAAGGTAATAATGTAACTTGGGATGAATAAGCTATGGAGCTGGATGAATTCTTAGAGATTATCCAATCTAATCCTTATATTTTGTAAATTTGGAAACTGAAAAGGAAGATGGAAATTATGAATTCCCAAATTACACATATTCAAAAGTGGGGAAAGCAAATTAATTGATCTATATATGTTTTTAATGGATCAGTTCTGAATCTCTAATAAGAAATATTAAGATGATATTTTTTGCTATAGCAATTATAAAATTTTAATCAGAGGTAAAATTTTTAGAAAATTAGAGACTTCTTAAAACATTTGCTGACATAAAGGGAGTTGATCGTATAACTTTAAAATATATTTATAATATTTTTTTCAAAATTAGTAATCTATTGAAATGTGGTTAAAAGATATGGTTAAAATTTCAAAAAATATTTATTCGAACTATACTAAGGAAAATAATTTTATAATAAAAATATTTTCACAATGTCTAGATAGTTTCATTTATTAGCACATTTGAGTTGCTATTGGCTAATTTTTATACTAATAATGAATAAAAGGGTAAAATACCATGGTTATGTGGGATTTAGCCCAAAAATGAAAAGCTAATGTAACATTCAAAATCACTTGCTACAGTTTTCTGTATTTACAGAATAATTAGAAAAATAAAAGGATCATCTCAATTAATGCAGAAAAAGCAATTGACCAAATCCAACACACATTTATGAATTTTTTAAAAAATTTCATAAAACTGTCAGAAAACTGAAAATGGATGGAAGCATCCTCAATATTATAAAAGAAATCTGTGAAAGACCTGTAACTAATATGTAGGATGGTGAACTATTAGATGATTTTCCTAAGATTGGAGATGAAGCCCAGAGGCCCCCTTCCACCACTTCTATTCCCCCTTTTGTTGGAGACTCTAGCCAGTAATATTAGGAAAGAAGTAATAGTAAAAGGCCCACAGATTGGAAATGAAGAAAGAATAAAAACATAATTGTTTATTTAGAAAACCCTAAATAGTCTAAAGACTAACTTCTAAAATTAGTACATGAATTTGGCAAGGTAACAGTTGAAAAATTAGCATACAAAAATCAGTTATGATTATTGATGCCAAAAGCAAAGTTACAAAATGAAATTTGAAGAAATAATTTATAATAATATCAAAGCAAAAGAAATCTAGAAAAAATAACAAAAATTGTAAAAGGCCTATAAACTGAAAACTAGAAAACGTTGCTGAATAGAATTAAGGAAGACCTAAATAAATGGTGTGATATATCATGTCTGTGGATTAGAAGACTTGTTATTGTTAAAATGTCAGCTCTCCCCCAAATTGATCCACAGACTCAGCACAATCTCAATCATAACCCTAAAAGACTTTGTGGAAATTTATGAGTCTAAAATTTATGTGGAAATAAAAATGACCTGACCTAGAATAACCAAAACATAGATACATACATCAGTGGAATATAATAGAGAATACAGAAATAGGCCTATACCTATATAGCCAATTGATTTTTACATAAGGTTCTAAGATAATTCCACTGAGAAAAAGAACATATTTTCAAGAAATTGTTTCAAAGCAATTGGATAAGTTTATGAGAAAAAAAGAATCCCACCTTTGTACTGCACATCATATTCAAAAACTAATTCAAAATGGATTATAAACCTAATTTTAAAAAACAACAGTATGAAGCTACTAGATGAACACATATAAATATATTTACAACTTTTTGGATAGACAGGACACATATAACACAAACAATATAAGAACATAATAAGTAAATTGTTTTTTATCTAAATTTAAAACATCTGCTCTTTGAAAGACAACACTAAGTAAAATGTTGAAAAGTAAGCCACAAACTGAGAGTATTCTAAATACGTATTTCAGTCTAAAGACTCAATACATATATCAAACAAACGACTGGTATTCAGAATATTTAAAGAATTCCTGTAAATTTCTAAGAAAAACAGGAAAATAAAAAAGAGGTAGAGCAAAAGACTTGAACACACACTCTTATGAAAAGAGGAGCTTAATATCATGATTATGGTTTAGGGAAACAAAATGAAGATATTAGCATTTAGATATTGACTAAATGTAATCTCAGTGTTCTGAGTAGCTGAGATTACAGGCATGTGCCACTATCCCGGCTCATTTTTGTATTTTTAGTAGAGATGGGGTTTCTCCATTTTGGCCCAGCTGGTCTCAAACTGCTGACCTCAAGTGATCCATCTGCCTCGGCTTCCCAAAGTGCTGGGATTACAGGTGTGAGCCATTGCCTCTGGTCCTTAACTTTTTCTTATAGATTCAGGGGGTACATGTGTAGGTTTCTTACCTGGATACATTGGGTGATGTAGAAGTTTAAGGTGCAAATTATCCCGTCACCCAGATACTGAACATAGTACCCAACACTTAGGTTAGTTTTTCAACACTTGACTCTGTCTCTTCTCCCCCTCTAGTAGTCCCCAGTGTCTGTTATTGCCATCTTTATGTCCATGAGTACCCAACGTTTAGCTCTCCTTTTCAAGTGAGAACATGCAGTGTTTGGTCTTCTGTTCCTGTATTAATTTGCTTAGGATAATTGTCTCCAGCTGCGTCCATGCAGCTGGCAATGGATATGATTTTGGTTTCTTTTATGACTGCATAGTATTCCATGATGTTATGTACCACATTGTCTTTATCCAGTCCACCACTGATGGACACCTACGTTGATTTTATGTTTTGCTATTGTGAATAGTTCTGCGATGAACATGCAAGTGCATGGGTCTTTTTGGTAGAATGATTTGTTTTCTTTTGAGTGTATATCCAGTAATGGGATTGCTGGGTTGAATAGTAGTTCTGTTTTAAGTTTTTTGATAAATCTTCAAACTGCTTTCTACAGTGGCTGAACTACTTTACATTCCCACCAACAGTGTATATGCATTCCCTTTTCTCTACAGTTATCACCAGCTCTGTTTTTTATCTTTTTAATAATAACCATTCTGACTGATGTAAGATGGTATCTCACTGGTTTTGATTTGCATTTCTCTGATGGTTAGTGATGTGGAGCATTTTTTCATGTTTGTTGGCTGCTTGTGTGTCTTCTTTTGAGCAGTTTATGTCTTTTGCCCATTTTTAGTGGGGTTATTAGTTTTTGCTTGTTTAAATGTTTAAGTTTGTTATAGATCTTAGAACTTTGTTGGATGCATAGTTTGCAAATATTTTCTCACATTCTGTAGGTTGTCTGTTTACTCTATTGATAGTTTCTTTTGCTGTGTAGGAGCACTTTAGTTTAATTAGGTTCCTCTTGTAAATATTTTTTTTTGTTGCAATTGCTTTTGAGGAGTTAGTCATAAATTGTTTCCTCAAGGCCAATGTCTAGAATAGTGTTTTCTTCTAGAATTCTTATAGTTTGAGGTCTTAAATTTAAATCTTTAATTCATCTTGAGTTCATTTTTGGATATGGCGAAAGATAGGGGTCCAGTTTCATTCTACTGCATATGGCTTGCCAGCTATCCCAGCTCCATTTATTGAATAGAGAATCCTTTCCCCATTGCTTATTTTTTTGTCAACTTTGTTGAAGATTAGATGCCTGGAGGTGTGTGGCTTTACTTCTCTGGGTTCACTATTCTAGTCCATTAGTCTAGGTATCTGTTTTTGTGCCAGAACCATGCTGTTTTGGTTACTGTCGACTTATAGTATAGTTTGAAGTCAGGTAAAATGGTATGTCTGGCTTTGGTCTTTTGCTTAGGATTTTTGTGGCTATTTGGGCTCTTTTTTAGTTCCATATGAATTTTAGCATAGTTTTTTTTCCAATTCTGTGAAAAATGGCATTGGTAGTTTGATAGGAATAGCGTTGAATCTATAGATTGCTTTGGGAAGTATGGCCATTTTAATGATGTGATTCTTCCAATTCATGAGTATGGAGTGTTTTTCCATTTGTTTGTTTCATCTATGATTTCCTTTAGCAGTATTTTATAGTTCTCCTTGTAGAGATCTATCACCTCCTTGGTTAGATATATTCCTAGGTATTTTTTTTGTGTGTGGCTATTGTAAATGGGATTATGTTCTTGATTTGGCTCTTAGGTTGAATGTTATTGGTGTATAGAAATGCTACTGATTTTTGTACATAGATTTTTGTATCCTGAAACCTTGCTAAAAGTGTTTATCAGTTCTAATAGCCTTTTGGCAGAGTCCTTAGGGTTTTCTACATATAGAATCACATTGTTAGCAAAGAGAGATCAGTTGTCTTCTTCCTATTGCAATGCCTTTTCTCTTGCCTGCTGCTCTGGCTAGTGCTTCCAGTACTGTGTTGAATAGGAGTGGTGAGAGGAGGCATCCTTGTCTTGTTTCATTTCTTAATTGTCCTTCCAGTTTTTGCCTGTTCAGTATGATGTTGCCTGTGGGTTTGTCATAGATGGCTCTTACTACTTTGAGGTATGTTCTTTCATTGCCTAGTTCTTTGAGGGATTTTATCTTAAAGAGATGTTGGATTTTATTAAAAGCTATTTCTGCATCTGTTGGGATGATCATATGTTTTTTCTTATTAATTTTGTTTATGCAGTGAATTACATTTATTGATTTATATATGTCGAACCATTCTTGCATTGCAGGAATGAAACCTACTTGATCAGGGAATGAAATCTACTTGATCATTGTGAATTAACTTTTTGATGTGCTAATGGATTCAGATTGTTAGTATTTTGTTGAGGATCTTGTGGCTATGTTCATTAGGGAAACTGGCTTGTGGTTTTCTCTTTTTTGTTGTTTCTTTGCTAAGTTTTGTTGTCAGGGTGTTGCTGGCTTTGTAGAATAAGTTAGGGAGGAGTCCCTTCTCAATGTTTTGGAATAGTTTCTGTAGAATTGGTACCAGCTCTTCTTTGTGCATCTGGTACAATCAGCAGTGAATCCATCTGGTCCAGGGCTTTCTTGGGTTGGTAGGTTTTTTATTAGTGATTCAATTTCAAAAGTTGATATTGGCCTATTTAATGTTTTCATTTCTTCCTAACTAATCTTGGGAGGTTGTGTATTTTCAGAAATTTATCTGTTTCTTGTAGATCTTCTAGTTTGTGTGTGTAGAGGTGTTCATAATAGTCTTTGAGGATCTTTTGAGTTTCTGTGAGATTCGTTGTAATATCACCTTTGTCATTTCTGATTGTGCCTATTTGGATCTTCTCTTTTTTTTACTTTGTTAACCTAGCTAGTGGTCTATCAATCTTGTTTATCCTTTCAAAAAACAAACTTTTGGTTTTATGGATTCTTTGTATGGATTTGGAGGTTTCAATTTCATTTAGTTTTGCTCTGATTTTAGTTATTTCTTTTCTTCTGCTGGCGTTGAGATTAATTTGTTGTTTTTTGTAGTCCCTCTAGATGTGATGATAGATCATTAATTTGAGATCTTTCTAACTTTTTGAGGTAGGCACTTAGCGCTATAAACTTTGTTCTTAACACTGTTTTTGCTGCATCCCAGAGGTTTTCAAAATGTTGTGTCTCTGTTTTCTTTTATTTCAAAAAACTTTTATTTATTCCTTGATTTTGTTGTTTACCCAAGTCATTCAAGAACAGGTTGTTAAATTTCCATGTAATTTTGTGGTTTTGAGATATCTTGGTATTGATTTATATTTTCATTCCACTGTGGACTGATAGTATGGTTGGTATAATTTTGATTTTTTTGAATTTATTGAAATTTGCTTTAATGGCCAAGTATGTGGTAGATCTTGGAGTATGTTCTGTGTGCAGATGAGAGGAATGTATATTGTGGTTGATGGGTAGATTATTCTGTAGATGTCTGTTAAGTCCAGTTGGTCAGGTGTTGAGTTTAAGTCCAGAATTTCTTTGTTTTGTGCCTCAGTAATCTGTCTACTGGTGTCATTGGGGTGTTGAAGTCCCCCACTATTATTGTGTGGCTAAGTCTTTTTGTAGGTCTAGAAGTACTTGTTTTATGAATCAGGGTGCTCTAATGTTCAGTGTGTATATATGTTGTATAGTTAACTCTTATTGTTAAATTGAACTCTTTATCATGATGTAATGCTCTTCTTTGTCCTTTTTTACTTTGGTTTAAAGTCTGTTTTATCTGACATAAAAACAGTGACCCCTGCCTTTTTTTGTTTTCTGTTTGTGGGGTAGATCTTTCTCCAGCCCTTTACTTTGAACCTATGGGTGTCGTTATATGTGAGATGGGACTCTTAAAGACAGCAGACAGGTAAGTCTTGTTTTTTAATTCAACTTGCCACTCTGTGCCTTTTAAGTGAGACATTTAGGTCATTTACAGTCAAGGTTAATATTAATATGTGAGGTTTTAATCCTATCATGAAGTTGTTAGTTGGCTGCTATGTAGTTTGTACTGTGTGGTTGCTTTATAGTGTTTGTGGGCTATATACTTATTTGTTTTTCATGGTAACAGGTATTGTTCTTTGGTTTCCATGTTTAAAACTCCCTTAGGCATCCCTTGTAAGGCCAGTATGTTGGTAATAAATACTGTTAGCACTTGCTTGACTGGAAAAAGATTTTATTTCTCCTTCACTTATGATTCTTAGTTTGGCAGGATATGAAGTTCTTCGTTGGAATTTCCTTTCTTTAAAAATGCTGAAAATAGGTCCTTGATCTCTCTTGGCTTATAAGGTTTCTGCTGATAATTCCACTGTTAGCTTGATGGGGTTCCCTTAGTCTGTGATGTGCCTTTTTTCTCTAGTTGCCTTTAATATTTTTTTCTTTAGCATTGACCTTAGGCAATCTGGTGCCTATATACCTTGGTGATGTTCATTTTTTGTAGTATCTCGCAGGTGTTCTCTGGATTTCTTGTATCTGGATGTCAACCTCTAGCAAAATTAGGGAAGTTTCCTTAAATTACTCTCTCAAATATATTTTCTGGGTTGTTTACTTTTTCTCCTTCTCTCTCAGGAATGTCAAGAATTCATGTTTAGTTGCCTTAAATAATACCATATTTCTTAAAGGCCTTGTTTATTTTTTAAAATTCCTTTTTTTTTATTTTTGTCTGACTGGGTTTATTCAAAAGACTTGTCTTCAGGCTCTGAAATTCTTTCTTCTGCTTGGTCAAGTCTATTGATTAAAAGCTTTAAATTGTATTTTGAAGTTCTTAAATGAGTTTTTAATTCCAGGAGCTTTGATTGATTTCTTTTAAAGATATCTATTTCTTATTTCATTTCCTGGATTGCTTTAGAAGTTTCTTTGTGTTGATTTTCAACCTTGTCTTGGATGTCATTGAGCTTCCTTGCAATCCATGCATTGAGTTCTTTATCTGTCATTTCTGAGTTTCCATTTTGGTTAGGGATTATTGCTAGAGAGCTAGTGCGATCCCTTGGTGGTGCCACTACATTCAGATTTTTCAAGGTGCCAAAATACTTGCACTGGTTCCTTTTCATCTGGAGATGCTGGCACTTCTAATTATTCTTATTATTTTCATGTAGACAGGATTTTTTTCTTTCTTCCTGTAATAGTCTGTTTTCACACTGCTGTAAAGAACTTACCCAAGACTGAATAATTTATGAAGGAGAAAGGTTTAATTGACTCACAGTTCAGCATGGTGAGGGAGGGCCTCAGGAAACTTACAGTCATGGTGGAAGGTGAAGGGGAAGCAAGGCACCTTCTTCATAAGGGGGCAGGAAGGAGAATGAACACACAAGGAACTACTAAACACCTATAAAACCATCAGATCTCGTGAGAACTCTCTATCATGAGAACAGCATGGGGGAAACGGCCCCCATGATTCAGTTACCTCCACCTGATCTCTCCCTTGACATGTGGGGATTATGGGGATTATAGGGATTACAATTCAAGATGAGATTTGGGTGGGGATACAAAGCCTAACCATATCACTTTCTTTCCCTATAATATTATTATTATCATTATTTTCTTCCCCTTTTCCTTTTTCCCCATTCTCTAGGGGGTGTGACTGTAGAGATTGCTGTGTAGGGTTTTGACTTTGCTTCTACAGCCGTGTGCACTTCTCTTGGCAGTGCTGTGGAGTTTATTGGGTTGTGGAGTTCAACCTATAAACCCATAGATGATGCTTAAAGGTAAGAGTTGGCTACAGGCAATGTGGCTGGGCATGTATTTGATTCTTGTTTACTGGAAGAAGCTGATTGTTACCTCAGACAATGGGCTTAGTGGAATGTATAGTGGTCTGAGCTCCCTGCTCAGTCCCAAGACACTGGAGGCCACAAAGGGCAGGGCCATACTGGGCAGGTCCACCTATAGGTCCCCCAGTGGTAGGCACTGGCACCAGTGCCAAGGTAGAGGTGTGCGTAGGCATAGAGCTAGGAAATCACCTTGTCTTCAAGTTCTCTGCACAGGGGTGGCCTAAACTTCTAACACAGGAGAATGGGAACTCCAGATGTCTGGAGATCTGCCTGTGCATGTAGAGGAGAGGGCCCCCCTGTACCAGGATCTCTGCTTAGGAAGAGTGTGGTGGCTCAGGCTCCTGATCCAGGTGAGCTGGTTCTCTGAATGCCTGAAGATCTGCCTGGGGGTAAAGTAAAGCGGGTCACACTGCAGCATGATCTATGTCCAGGAAGAGTAGGGTGGCTCAGGTTGCTGATCCAGATAAGCTGTACTCTGAATGCTTGTAGATCGGTTTGGACATGTAGTAGAGGGTGTCCCCCTGCATGAGGTTCTCTGCACAGAAGGATGGATCAGCTCAGGCTGCTGGTCCAGGCAAGCAGGTGCTCTGAATGCCTGGATTTCTGCCTGCAGGTGGAGCAGAGAGGGCCTCACTGCACCATGAACTCAGGAGAACAGGGTGGGTCACCCAGCGATGGCACAGGCAGCTCAGTTCCAGGTTGCCAAGCTGGCCCTCACTAAAAGTCTCATTGCCCAGGAGAAACTGCAGCTGTAGCAGCTCTGCTCCTGCCCCCAGACTTGTGATGGGGGAGAAAACAATTCTAGCCTTACTGCTGAGGCACTTGCCACAGCTCTGGCTGTGGAAGCCCCTATTCCACTCCAGAGAAGGCATCCCAATCTCTGGCCCCAAACTAAAATGCCTACACAGCCACACTGCCAGGTTGCCAAGGAATGGCTGACTTTGTATGCACCCAGATTAAAAATGGCATCCTGTTCTCAGTCCTGGGTCTGGGAAAACGTCTGTAGTGTTTCCTTGTGTCTTTCCCTCACAGCATCCCCAAGCCTCTCCCCAAGTTTGTTCCAGGGCGTGGGAGAAACAAAGTGCTCTCCCTTGCCCTGGGTTGTTCGGTCCTTGGGGAAAGATGAGTCACAGAGGGAGGCTCTCTGCCTCTCTCACATACTGAGGCTTTACTCACTTTTATTTTACTTTTCATCAATCAGATGCTATCATGGGAGCTGTTTGTTGGCATTCTCGCCTCTGGGATCTGGGGTGTCTTTGACAATTCTGGTGGATTCCCATTTTCCTTCTTGAATTAAGAGATCACAGAGTTGATCTTTATGTACTATCTTGCTGTTTCCAAGTGGTTGAGGCATGCTGAAAGCCTCTAATTCATCATCGTGGGGAAAAAACAAAACAAAATAACACTTCTGGGTTTTTTTTATTTGTTTATTTGTTCAGACAGGGTTTTGCTCTGTCATCCAGGCTGGAGTGCAGTGGTACAATCATGGCTCACTGCAGCCTCAACCTCCCAGGCTCAAGCGATCCTCCCACCTCAGCCTTCTGAGTAGTTGGAACTACAGGTGTGCACCACCATGCCTGGCTAATTTTTTTTCAGAGATGGAGTCTCACTACATTGTGTAGGCTGGTCCCGAACTCCTGGGCTTAAGCAATCCTTCTGCCTTGGCCTCCCAAAGTGCTGAGATTATAGGCGTGAGCTACTATGCACCTGGACCTGCTTTTGTTTTCAATGGAATTTTATTTCAAATTTTACTCTGATTTATTAAAAATATCAAAACCAGTAATTTTCAATCTTGGTTGCATGTTAGAATCACTTGGGATCTAATACTCAGCAATACACTAAAGCTCAGCCTCCATCACCAGAATCTTTGGTTGAAGGTCCTGGAGACAGCAGCATTCTTCGCATTCTTTTTGGTGATTCTAATGTGCAGCCAAGGTTAAGGGCCAATGATCTAAGTGATACCTAAATGCTGTATTATACTTCAGACTCTAGGTTTGAAGAAAGCGTATGTAAACTGCACTGAATTTGTGCCATGAAAATCTGATTTACCATTGCCAACTTTATGAAGATATGTTAGTTATTATACAACAGAAACTATGGGGAACAAGTAATACCAGCTGTTAACTGGAGAGGGACTGTTGTTTAAAGGTTTAAATAAAAAGTCTTTGTGGTGTTGAGGCTGAAACATTTGCAACCAACATCTCATTTAATGACCTATTTACCTACAATTTTGATCAGTTTATCTTTCTTTTTACTCTGATGATGTAGACAGCGAGATCCTTTTACATTTGGATCGGATATATTGGGCATAACCTACTACTTCAGTAACCAGTGCTGCCAACTGTGTTTTATTGGAAGTTGATGGTGCGAACCAAAGGTGGCTGATTGTACAATAGAAATAAGTTATTGGGCTTAAATTGAGGCCATTCATTTAAAACCCAATAAATGCAGGATGTAATTTTCCTGTATCTTTGTTTACAGACTTATCAAGTCACTTCTTAATCTCATTTATATAATGTCCGTGATTCCACCATCAAATAATTTCCCTCATGTGGCAAAACTTCATTGGTTTGGAATTGGTAGTCCAATCATAGTTTTGGCGTGAAAACTCTTCTCATTTCCATTTAACCTTGCTTTCTAAGTTTTTTTCTCTCTTTTTTGTTTCTTTTTTTCCTGATTTTTTAAAAAATGAATTTTTTCCCTCTTTACTACTTTTTCATTAGTTTTTTCTTTAGTTAAGGATGTTGCTTATGGTTAAAAATTGTATTTGCACTGTTTTGCACCTCTCCCTATCTCCCTCCTTCTGTTCCTCCCTCTCTCCCTCCCTTCCTCCTTTTCTTCTTTTCTTCATCCCCTCTGTGTACTTATCAAGCACCCCCTTATGAGGATCTTTCAAGAGCTAATTGAGCTTTTACTTTAGAATGGAAATCAGTACTTTTCAAAAAACAACCACTTTTAGAAATACAAAAGGCAGAATAAACTGCAGTGAACTACACACCTTGAAATTAAACTTGGTGAATACGGCATATAGAAACCTAGCCAAGTTTTCTTTATTGGTGAAATGAAGAGGTAGGGCAGTGGGGGAGGTGGGCGGAGCAGGTCATGTCTGAATTTTCATGGATGCCAAATATTACTCTAAATAAATCACCAGGGAGAATTTTACCTACCTTAACTTTAGAGGCTGTACTTTATGCCTTATTCATAGATATCTCCTACCTTATTTATAAACACCTCCTAGGTTCCTTATATATTTACTGAAAGAGTTGGATTCAAGGGAGGATGAAGAGAAATGTGTTAAAGGTACAAACCTACAGTAAGATAGAAAGAATAAATTCCATGTGTGATAGCAGAGTTGGATGACCATACTTAATAAAAATGTACTGTACTTGGATGATGTACACCTTGAATACCCTGACTTGATCACTACACATTATATATGTGTAAGAAAATTTCTCATATATCCCATAAATATATTTAATTTTGTTTTAAAGTTGGATTTGATTCCCTTCCAGCTCTGGCTGTTGACAATTCTATGTGCAGTGCCTTTTTTTTTTTTTAATTAGAGTTTATTTGGTAACCTCTTTACCAAGGTTTGCCACCAGAGAACAGGGGTAATAGTGATTCAATTCTGAGTAACTTCTAATTGTAACAGAAATAGTTATTCAAGAAAGGAGCTCCAAAGAAAGTCAATATGAGGAGTCCAAATCAGAGATGTCATGGAAGCAGGAAGTTTGCAAATAACATGAAGTAGGCCTTGACTGTTCCCACTGTTTAAGATATGCTTGTCCAACTTTCATCCTGGATAACGCCTACACATCCTGCAGAGGTGGTCACTGACCTTCCTGAGCTCTAGAGCCTAGATTTGGAACTACTGCCTCTGAATTTCTTTCCATCATAAAAAATAACACATGATAGGAAAATAATTTCTGGGATCATTTTCTGACTCCTCCACTGAGATGGGATCAGGGATCGTATTTTTCAGCTCTGAAACACGCATCTAAGAAATTATGAAACATTATGAATGCTCAATAATTTTTTAAGCAAATGCATGAGTATCTAGATACTTAGTCTGGCTGGTATAACTGTTCACAGTTCCCCTCTGCAGGTGGCTGCTTCAGTACTGATGAACCAAGCACCTCACAGCCGTTTGCAATATAAACTTTCAGTTATTGACATTGTCAAAGTTTTTCTCAACATTTCCCTAATGTAGCTTCTTCCGCATTTCAAGTTTTATGATTAACGTTTTATATTTTATGGCTAAACATTTTATTATGCATTTTAAAATGTAATATAACACTACTATAACACTTTCTAAAGTTGATGTCATACTTTTAAAATGCAAACTATTTGCACATAGGTTACACATACATGGCTAGAGACTGTGGATTAGAGTAAAGAGCACCAGTTACTTCAGTAACCAGCGATTTGAACTAAAGCAAGCCTTTCCATTTTAGTTTTAAAATAGTAGCGAAAAACCGTGATTCCTTTAGTGGATGAGATGTGGTGCATCTTGTATGAGATAATGTATTAGAAGAGTTTGAAAACTATATTTAAATACCACACAGTGTTAGCTATTGGTAAAATGGTGCTGTCTAATTATCTTTTCTGGATCCTTAAAGATAAGGAACTCTACTAGAAAGCATTCTTCCTCCCTGGGTGGTACAGATGCATGCCAGATAAACCTTGTTTACTGACACACCTCTCTTTTCCCTGAAAAAACTAACAAAAACATGGTAAGCATCATGTGCTCTCTCGGAATTCTCAAGGGATCTTAAGGGTAATTTGGGCAATTTAAATTCTAAACTCTTATTTTTGAAACCCCTTCCTGATCCCCATCCACCCACTTCCTCACACATACTTCCTATATTCCCTGATTTACTTGGCAGAAACCATTATCCAGTCAGTTGCCCAAGTTATACACCTCTGATTTCTCTCCTCTCCCTTCCCTCATGCTGTCAGTCACTGGGTTCCTCCAGAATGTCTATCGTCTTGTCTCACCTGCTCCATCCTTACTGCTGCTGCTCTCAGGCCAACCCTCAGCTTGTCTTTCTTGCATTATTGCCATAGCGTTTGCTCAGTATTCCTCTTAGCATCTGGCCTTTTCTTTCTCTCATTGAAGCCAGCATTCATGCTGCTGCTTGGATGATGTTTTGATGTGATCATCCCTCTCACCTGTTTAAAACCTCCATCTCACCAATTTTTCTGGGCTAAAAACCCAATATCCTCCATCTTGTCCCAAAAGTTTCCAAAAGGAGGTTGGTCTCCTTTTGTTTTTTTGAGCCCCATCTCCCTCCAAATCATCAGCAGTGTCCTCAGTCTCCTCCCACCACCACCACAGTAGCAGCTCACCATATGCTAAGTATTGTGCCGAGAATCAGTCATCTCATTTAACCTTTACCACAGTCAGGTGCAGAGGAAGAAATTGAGGCTTGGGGAAGTTTAGTAAAATTTGGGAAGCAAGGCTGCCAACTCAGCACCACTGAGATCTCAGAACCTCTGCTTTCTTGTCATTCTCCCCAAAGAACAGGAGCTCTAACTCCCAAGTGTTTGCCTATGCTGTTCTTTCTACCACAAATGCTCTTCCACCTACTCTGTTTGTCTACTTCCAACTCTCTTTTAACATTCTGCCCACATTCTGCTTCCCCAAGAATTCTTCCTGAACCAGCTCTTCCCTGACACAGAATTAATCACTCCCTAATAGCACTTTAGTGTAACTGTATTTAAACTTAACACCCTGTTTAGAGTTATTTACCTGTCTTCCTCTCTTAGGTGAAATTGTATCTTTTTTATAACCACCACTCCCTGGCACTAATAGAGTACCCATTACTTGGTACATGCTCAGTAAATATTTGAATTTATTGTATGTACAATTTCTCCTAGCCTGAAAAGTCAGGCCTGTGATGGATTGATTTGGGTAGCAATGGTAGGAACAAAGACTAGCTTTCACTAATAACTTGCTGATCAGGCAGCTGAGGGGCAGAGGGTTTATGGAAGCTTCCAAAGACCATACTGCTAGGAAATAACAAAATTGGGACTGGAAACAAGAAAGCATAACTTCAGAGATGCTGCCGTATTAGACACCTTTTTTTTCACCAAAATTGCTGACTTGGTGGACACCACTAGCACAGGTTTCTATCCAAAACAACCCTTTGACTACCATCGAATTCCACTTTGCAGCTCGGCCTCAGGTTTCTTGGAGGATGAGGATTAAAAGGGTTCTATCAACCCATCTCCCCAATTTTCCAGCATATAAACACAGTAATGATTGAAAGGAGAACTGTTTATAAACTTTCATTTATATTCCTGGGAAACATACTTCAAGTAAAACAAATACTACCCAGTTTCTTAGCTCTTTTAACTTTTTATCTTTCTTCATTGTATTGCATATTGCAGTTGAGAAGTCAAAACAGGTTAATTCCCTTCAAGGAGATGCTAAGCCTTTAAGTGGCTTTTGCTAACTGACATAGACGAGACTTGAGATTGATACACAGTAGGAACTCTGGTTATCTTTTCTTCAGCAGGAATTTAGCAATGCCTTTCCTCAGTAGCACTAATGAAGTTCAGCTATGGTTTGAAACTGCTCTGGGTACCTGAGCAGGCCTTTTTTTTAAGATTGCACTGCTCACTCTTTATAAAGAACGTTCTTTATGGTAAAAAAAAAATTCTGCTTCCCAAACCCAGGTGATTAGATTACTGCAAATAGTGGTATTAATTTTATGGTGGGAAATCCAATAGAAAATGAGTGAAAACACACAAAACAGTAGTATAAATAATGGTTCTTAATTGAAGGTGAGCAACAGAGTAACCCAGGAATATGTTTTCAAAATATGTAACAATGCAGCTATCTCCTGTTTTCTTTAGATTCTCAGTACACCTGGGATATCACCAGGTATTGAAATTTTTTTTTTCTGAAAGTTTTTGAAGTAATGATGACATACTATACTGGATTATAAATGTAAGTGATAGTCTCAAATCATGTTACTAGCCTTATACTGCTGTGAGATTTTCTCCTCTCATATCAAAGTCCATACAGTATCAGTGTCTGACATGCAAATTCAGCTTTCCAGTCAGGCTTGGGTCACACAAAATAGGAACTTACATCTTATTGTAAAGTATCCTTCCGCTTCTGGAATTAGAGAAGTCTTTAGCCAATCTTTCTTCTAATGGTGTTTCAAACTAGTTTTAGAAACTTAAACCATTTTTCCCCAAATAAAAGTAGCCCTAACTGTAAAATAGATGAAAGAGAAGACTGGATGAAGTCGAAGCTGCGTTAACTGTCTCTCACCTCCTCTGCCGCTTGAGTGACTCCTTGGTTGCTTTAGGGCTCTGTGGAACACAGATTTCAATACTGGTAGGTAGTCTCATCATATCATATCATATCATTTCATGGGTAAGGAAACTGCCTTGGAAACCAGTGTTAGAACCAGGGAGTCTTCATTGCTGGTCTGATGTACTTGGCATTGTTGTATTTATTTAATTCTGCCAAGAGAGGGCATTAAAAGATATGGTAGGCTGTCATTGTTGTCATTAGCATTTTGATCAACAATATGCCATCCCTAAACTCAGATTTATGACACTGCTAGAATAAATAGAAAAATACATGTAAAATTAAATTAGTTTTATTATTGCATTAAAGAAACCATTTGATTTTGTCAGTTGGGAAAAATCTAATAAAATCAGATGTTACATTAATTAAGTAGAGTCATATAATGAAGCTTCAAAATTGTAAAATTGGATCTGGATAAGGCCCTGTAGAGGAGGCGATATGTTATCTCATCATATAAAGTCTCATTGTGGCTTCTCTTTTATACATTCAACTGCAAAATATCTTATTTGTGCCAAAAAAGACTGAGGGAAATTACAAAGGGAAATGATGGTAAAGAAAACTGAGCCATTTAACTCAACATTATCTTCTTACTTTAGTAACCACTACACTTGCTGTAAAAACTTCGAAAGAGGGTCTGAATCAATTCGTTACTAATGAATCAATTTGTTACTTGCATATTTCATTTTAAATACACCTATTTACTAGTGAAATCATAGAATGTGCTTATTTACGTGCATTTAATTTAGGTTAAATAACTAAGCCATACAATACTGTGGTCATATTTTGTTTGGAAAAGGAAAAAAAAATAGTTAGTGTTAATCTCTACTGCCAGTCCTCCCACAAAAGGCTAAAAAGTTGCCTTACTTTGTGCATCTGGCAGAATACAGACTATTGCATTTCAAAATTTTATTTTCTTTATTTCATAATAGCATTGAACGATATTTGAAAGGAACGTATGTAACTTAATGGAATGCCACCTATTACATCACTAATGGCATTTCCTAAAGATCAAAACTTGAATAAAAATATAAAACAAATATTGAATGTTTTTGAATAGCGGGTGGCATTGGGCAGAGAGATAGCTTTCCTGTCGGCAGCATTAAATATCATTTCTCTAAAGGAGCATTCTAGAGATGGAGGAGACCTTCGGAGGCATTAGAATACTAAATCCTGCATTTATTGGGAGATGTAAAATGATGAGTGATATAGATATCACATATCCCTTAAAGGGAGAATGAATATGGTGTGTAATTCACTGATGAGTGTAAAATAAACTTTACCTGGTAGGATTTAAGACTGCCTTGAAATCCACTGAAGGTTTATGTGTTATCTGAGGGAAGAATCTGGCCTTAAATCATCAAACAAAAATAGCAAAATGTTTTGTTAAGACAAACCATCTGTTCCAAAGCGTCGGAAGGAGAAAGACTGAAGAAGTCTCCAGGAAGGCTCCTGGAGGTTCAGGGGTGGACAGATAGTCACATGGAGTTGATGCTCCCCTGGGCCTCACTCAAGTTCTTTTATTCCAGCCTAGTCAGCTTGAAGGGACTACCTGAGAATAAGAGAGTGAAAACACCTGAGGGTAAATATTCGTCCAAGTAACCAAGATTCCAGTGCTTAATAGCAAGGAAAAAGGAAAACAAATTGACCCTTGGTAGCCAAGGTTCTCAAGCCTAGCTACACAATAGAATCACCTGGGGAGTTTTGAAAAAAAGACTTAATGCTTCGCCTCACCCCAGGTCAATTAAATCAAAGTCCCTGGCAGATGATGAATAGGCAATAGAAGGATTTGTTTAAAACTCAGCAGGTGATTCAGTGTGTAGCCAGTCTTGAGAACTTCTGTACTATAATAAGAATACAATAGCAATTCTTCCACAAGAACCAAGAAAAGCCATCTCTACAATAAAACCATATACTGATATTTGACACATTTGACTTCTGCAAATGTAACTAAAGGACATGGAGGTCTTAACCCCTAAGGAAGAATCCATCTGTTTCTTTTGTGGACAAAATAATTTCCTAGAGTGTAAATTATCTTTTTTTTCCTTTTAAATTCTGGGAGAGACATTTCCAAGAATATATCAGCTTTTTGGCTGGCAGGAAGAAGTCACAATCTGGTTACAAAGAGAGCCAGTATATTATATAAGAACAACTTGTCATAGACTAAATTCTGTGCTTCTGGTGTGCACATGAATATTTTTGATGGTGAAGCCAAGGCTTAGATTATTTTTTCCCATAGCCAGAAGTGTTGGATAAAAGATTTTGTCTATGTTCAGTATCATAGTTCTTAAATTTGCAAGTCAGCGAACAAATTCAGATGCATAGACATCAGTAGGTTCATTCAGTAGAAAGCAAAGAAAAATAAAAATGTCAATGAATCAACCACTAATTGGGCCCAGGTGATTATTAGTGGCTTGGTGCCATTTTGTCATTTCAATGTGGGTATGAGTAACTGCAATGCCTGAAGGAAACGACTACCCTAAAAAGAGTGTCTGCTGGAGAATGCCTTCAATTACCCAACTTGCTGATGCTACCGCTGTTAGGGAGATCAACCAAATACTTCAAGGCACAATAGAGGGCAGCCTAAGTACCAGGAATATCCAGTTCCATGAACAGGCCTCCGAAATGGGGAATTTTAGGTGATGGTAGGGTGAACTAGAATTGCATGACAGTTATAGGAAATTTGTTTATTTGCCAGAGGACCCTAGTCAGAGGCCCATGGTATGAGATGCAAAGCCTAGCCACCTACAGAAAAAGAGGATGGCCAGGTGAATTATCAAGAGAACATACTGGCCGGGCAGGGTGTCTCATGCCTATAGTCCCAGTGCTTTGGGAGGCCAAGGCTGGGGGATTGCTTGAGCCAGAAGATGGAGGCTGCATGGAGCTGTGATTGTGCCACTGCACTCTAGCCTGGGTGACAGAGGGATACCCTGTCCAAAAAAAAAAAAAAACAAAAAAAAAAAAGAAAGAAAAGAAAACCATCGCATGAGAAGAGGTTCTGGAAATGGCCTCATTGTGACTGAGAGGGACATGAGCTGTATTAAGGACGCATCAAGGCAGAAGCCCAACTTATATACACTGGGCCATCATGGAGGAAAGAGGAGAAAATCTCAGCTACACAGGATCTCAGGACGAACCCTTCACTGCACTCTATTGATAGCTTCCAAGTCCTGCCCCAGCTGGGATTTATCTGAGAGGCTGAATCCAGAGCCATGTGCAAGTGGGGTTAAATCATTGATTCAAGTTTGTGGGGGCTACAGAAGAAATGAAGCAAGAGCTGATAGAGTTGCTCCTGGTGTGGATGATCGTGATCTTGTCCCTTCCAGAAATTGTCAACTGTGGTCTACTACTCTTCAAAGAAAATGAGTTTGTTCTCACCTGCCAAAAGAATTTACTTTTCTCCTCCCCTAACCTCCCCATTGCCAATGGAAATGGAACATCAGACTTGCTGAGAGAAGAAGCTATTTTTAAAGATCTCAGACTTGGACTTAGGCTCTAGGCAAAGGCTCTCAATTAGAGTGCATGTATTAACACTACCTTTGAAGCTTTTTCAAACTAAATACACCACTACCTTCTCTTTATCTCCATGTTTTTTCCAGAAATTCTGATATGCCCTTTCTCTCCCTATCTTAGCCCTCCTACCCAGATCCTGGACAAAACGCAGGAATCTCCCGTTTAAGATCCTTCTTCCGCATCATTCTCGATGCTTGTACTTATTTATTTAATGTTTCCTCTGCTAGAATGTAAGCAAGCCATGTTACTAATGTCTCTTGAGGGAAGGTTCTGTGTCTGAAGCAGGTAAAGCATTTAGTAAATATCTGAATGAATGAATGAATGAATGAGTCAATCAAATTACTCATCTATTCATTTTAATCTAACGCAGTCATTGATCTCCCTTCCTGCTTTAACAACTACCACATATAGAGCATCCCATCTTTTTATTTACTTTTAAATTACATGATATCTTGACCATCATTCTCATTTTAAATGACTCTAGATAAGGGAGAATAAGACAGGTCTATATTTATTCCCAAATATACTATGAAACTTGCTTTAAGATTTCTCACCTCTGCCACCTAGAATTATTGAAGGGAGAGGAATGTGGAAAGTATGTGAAGGATTCTAGTTTGCTGGATTCCCACAGATGGAGGTTGTACTTTTAGTCCTATCACCCACTGTCATGGGCATAACTAAGTAGCTTAATTGTATTGTAGAAATTCCATTTCCTCAGAACACAGCAGTACTAGGCAGGTGAGTGATGAACTGGATAACAGTACATTTATGTGGCAGGTTTGATCGTAGTCCCACAGTTTCTGCATTGTGATTATTTTTTAACTATGTGAGCTCCCTGAGGCTTGTTTTTGTTCTTTTATTTTAGCTCATTTGTTATTCAGAAGCTTTCACATAACAGTTTCGCTGCTTTGATAAGATTTAGAATTACCTTTTAATAATATTGGATTTTAAGCCTAATAAATCAGTGATGAAGAACACTTATATGAATCATGGGAATAACTGATGAATGAATAATGAATGCTTTTCCACCCACTGCTGGTTGCTTTAATGATAGCTCTCATTAGGTAGGTATAATTTTGCTAAAGCTCCATGTAGATTTACCTGATCTAATAGATTTTTATGGGCAAATGTGAGGTTTTAAAGTTTCCTGGTTTTAGAGGATCGATAATGTACAAGCATTCTCCTCTCAACTGTCTTTACATTTTTTGTTGCTTGTCTATTAGAACTTTACCCCTATTTTCTTTCTACAGTCCCAGTTTTGGTGTTTATTTTCCATCCTACTGTAAAGGGATTGTAACTTCTATAAGGAGAGCAGGTTGCCTACTTTGTCTCAACTTTCTATCTCTACTACCTAAAGCCAAGCCTAGGACAATAAAGACCCTCAATTAATACCCATTGTATTCTTAAATGATATAACTTTATACTCCCACTTTTAATAAGTCAAAGGTAAATCTGAATGGCAAATGTACACATTTGAAAGTGACTAAATAATGAATCTATCTTGCACCCTTACCGGACTTGACTTCTTGGTCTCTGTAGAACTCTGAAGGCGTCATCAGTTCTGGGTGTGTTTTTCTCATGTATCATTTGCATTGTCCAAGCAGACCTGTTTTTACTTTCATGTGTCCATATTTCTCTCCTCTTCTGCTTGAGTCCTACGAGTAAACTAGACCAGAAATATCTCTTTCTCCTCATTCTCCAAATTATTCTTTTAAATCGTTTCTATAAACTTTTAACAATTATCTAACTTGGGAAGTTTGCCCTCGATGACAAAATCATTAGGAATATGGAAGAATCTGAAGAAAGGCCAACCCCTACCAAAAAACAAAATCTAAATAGGGTACTCTTTAACTTTAGGGATATCTACTTCTCAGCCTGTTGATTTGGTTCTTTTATCAATCTTATTTTTATAAGCCCATTGGGCACAAGAGTATCATACAATATATATAAAACTGCTCCAAGTAATTTTGATACTCAATTCATGGTAAAAACAATATAGTCTCAATTGTAATGGCTTTAGGACTGTCCATGCTAGGAAAGGTCAGAGTTAAGAGAATTATTATCGATTTCAATTTTTGAACCTTGTCTTGAGATGTATTAAACTGTATTATTGCTGTTTTAAAGTTGAATTATCTTTTAAATCAAGTAAAAATAATTAAGATTACTTGTCTAATAAATATTTTTAGGTAGCTACTCTGGCTCAAACTTCAGTGTTTTTGGGGAAAAAACCCATAAATTATCACAAAAGAAGATTAAAACTTAAAGACAATAGCAGAAACAGTGTTTTAGTACATTTATTTGACTTATATTATAATTTATTTTAATTTACATAAATCATTCATGCCAAGAACAATCTATAATCCATATGATATTGATGGATGTATCATAACACACTCTCCTCTAGAACGAACACTTGTGAAAAAGCCGTACGTTTCTGGGCTAAAAGTGTACCATTAAGAAATGTTTAGCCGGGCGCAGTGGCTCACACCTGTAATCCCAGCACTTTGGGAGGCCGAGGCGGGTGGATCACGAAGTCAGCAGATCAAGACCATCCTGGCTAACACGGTGAAACCCCGTCTCTACTAAAAATACAAAAAATTAGCCAGACGTGGTGGTGGGTGCCTGTAGTCCCAGCTGCTTGGGAGGCTGAGGCAGGAGAATGGCGTGAACCCGGGAGGCGGAGCTTGCAGTGAGCCGAGATTGCGCCACTGCACTCCAGCCTGGGCGACAGAGCGAGACTCCGTCTCAAAAGAAAAAAAAAAAAAAGAAATGTTTATGTTGTTGGTGAGTTTTTTTTTTTTTAATTATATAGTCACGCCTGTGATCTAGTGGAAACTATCTTAAGCACCAAGGTTCATTAAAGTAGATTTGGGCAACACCAAGATACTCAAGAGCAGGGAGAGTGTGGATGCTAAGAGGAGGGATTCTGGGGTTAGGAAAGGACCCTGAAAGCAACATGGATCTCATTTTGTTTCTCCCCTAACAGGAAAACAGTGTGAAACAAAGACATATTAGAAAACGAAACAGCTAATATCAATCTGCATTCCCTTATTTCTTTTTAACAAAATAAGTACAATTGTATAAATACTTTTTAAAAAGGTAAATTATGACAACAATTTAAATTTCTACATTCCTCCTTTTAAAAATAGGGTTTATTCTCAGTAAAGATGATCTGTTTTCAATAATAACCTTTTGGAATTTCATCTCAATTCAATCTTTTGACATAGTATGGTAGTTTTGTTTCAACTGCAGGCTTTTATATGTCACCTCTTAATACTTATCACACAGGGCAAGAGTTAAAGGCAATAAATGGACCTGTACATGCATCATGTTTTAAAGCCCTTATCCACTTGTCTGACTTTGCTCTGACTTATCCAAAAGTGGACATGGAGCAAGCAATATTGTCTTTCATCATTATATTTAAATATAACAATTTAATTTTTACAATGTATTACTCTGCATACATCATACAGAGCTAGCTTGTTGAATTAGAGGTGAGGATGGCTCACATTGCAGAAACGTCTCAATTTTGTTCCAGTTACCAGAGTTCTTATCTAAAATAAGTAAGCCATTCTTCATATTTAATTTTAGCTGTGAAATTAATCCAAAGTATGTAGCAAAACACATTGCTGCCTTAGTGTATACCTTTTAACAATGAAATGTCCATCCACCTCTGAGTTATGAAGATTTTTGATGAAGTTCTATAAAACACAAATTTCTGATAAAAAACTTAAAACCAATTATGCCTTCTACTGATTTAAACATTCACAGTTTTAGGTCAAACACTCTTCGTTTTCTATATCTATACAGAAGAGTTTTGACAGTTCTAAATTATATCTGTCATTACAAAAATCAGATTATCTCAAAGTAATCATTGCATTTAACTCAGAAACAAAACTGTCCTAACCAAATTTCCACTACACAATGTACTGTGCTGTATTTCTAAAATACAATTATCTATTGTAGCAACAGGATATATTTATATATTGTTCCAGATGTGTACATGATATTTTGATGCTACAGCTTTGATGCAACCCTAATAAAGGGTTGTTTTTTTTTATGTTGGGGATCCTTTGAAGCCATCTTTTTACTAGGAGCAATTTGATGTGGGAGCATTTTAATACAACTTAAAAAGCATTATTTTCCATATTTCGTAACTAAGCGATAGGCAAAATAGGCATTTTCTCTCCATCCCTGAGGCACACTCCACTCAATGCTCCCAAAGGAAGGTGGAAATGAAGTGTTTTATGGGTGGAAGAAGAGACCAGAAGACAAAATTGTAGAACACAGAATATTATTCTCAGGCATTGAAACCTAATAGAGTTTGTCCAGTTGGAAGTGAAATTACTTAGAGCCAGGGATTCCTTTTTTCTTTCTGTCTTCCTCCCTTTGGAATGAGAATGTCTGTATCTGTTATCTTATGCGTTCCACCATTGTGCTTTGGGAACAGATAATTTATTTTCTAATTTCACAAGTTCATAAATGGAGGAAGAATTTTGCCCCTGGATGTCGCTTACCTACAGTCTCACCTGCACCTAATTTATATGATTTAGATGACATTTGGGACTTTTGAGTTGATAATATTAGAGGATTTTTATTTTAAATTGATGCTGTGATGGGTTGAGACTTTAAGGGGTAGGTATTAAGATGGGTGAATGCATTTTGCACGTGAGATGGATATAAATCTTTGAGGGCCAGCAGGTGGTTGAATAATGGCTCTTCAGACATGTTCATGTTCTAGATCCTGAAACCTGTGGTTACTTTATAAGGCTAAAGGAACTATCAAAAGTGATCAAGTTAAGGAACTTGAGATGTAGAGATTACCCTGGATTGTCTGGGTGGGCCTGATGCAATCACAGTGGCCTATACAAAGAGGCACAGGAGGAGTCAGAGTTAGAGTAGAAAGTGACATGATGATGGAGATTAGAATAATATGTTTAGAAGATGGAGAAAAGAACCATAAGCCAAGGAATACAATGGCTCCTAGTAGCTGGAAAAGGCAAGGAAACTGAACCCTCCCCAGAACCTCCAGAAAGAATACAGCCCTGCTGACATCTCAATTTCAGCCCAAAGAAACCGATTTCAGACATCTGACTTCCAGAATTCTAAGATAATAAATTTGTGTTGTTTTAAGCTACTAAGTGTGGGTAACATTTCAAGCTGCTAAGTGTGGGTAACGTTTTACAGCAGCAATGAGAAATTAATACAAGGTGTCTACATGAAACTGCTTTATAATGATGAATTCTGGTAGAAAACAGATGCTTCCTTGGATATTCAAGAAGATAATTCATACTTCTTGAAAAAAAAATCAAATACAAAAATAAAACTCTTTGTAATGGGGATGGGAGTTGGAGATGAAGTAAAGGTGAGGAATGTTTATTACATACATTGCTGGTTAATAACTAAGAGGAATTTCACAGTTTGACAATATTGTTTTGACTTTTATCCAAAAAACTACACCAATAACCATTTTCATCTTGGTTTTCCTGGATATTTTCTCACTGGTGCCCCTACCCTCACCCCTCCAGAGAATTTTAAAATAGACCTGCAGAGACTCTTCTGAAGGTTAAATGAAGTTCAAGGGCTTCAATTCTTAGTTTCCCTGCTGAGACAAAAGATACACTAATTAATGGCTTTTAAGAAGACTTGGCTTTACTGGAAATACAACCAAATAATTCCTCTGAAGAGCTTATATCTAATTGCTATTTTGCATAATTTGATTTGAATTTCTCATGGGAAACCGTTGAATGGAAACAGAGCTGATTATGAATCCAAAAGTTTTTTCATCTTAAGTTTATCATGCTATTTAGGCAGTATGTCATTTATAAATTTTCTTTGGCAACACACTTCCTGTTTTGCTGTCCTCTATGTGTAGGAATGCTTAGTAAATAGAGTGAGCCTTTGGGGAATAGAGGGCTTGTTTCATTAAGTAGAATAAAATCTTTACTATTTAGAACTCTCAAAAAAGTAATTTTTTTAGATTGAAACATTTTCCGAATAGAATTATTTTCTTTTAATCAAAAGTCTGCAAATATATATATATATATATGTGTGTGTGTGTGTGTGTGTGTGTGTGTGTTTAATTTTAAACATTTGGATGGAAAGGTTTATAATATATAAATTATATTTATTTTTGAATTTGAAACAATATATAAAATAAAACTTAGCCTTTACCCATTGATACTGTATTAACATGAGACATCAACACAGAAGAGCCCAGTGCCTGCTGAGATGTGTAAGACCTAAGTGTACATGAAGCCCAGGACATGACCAAGAAGAGCCACAGACAAGGTGGTAGTATTTCCAAAAACTAATGCAAAAAGTATAATACTATCCCTCACACAGTTTAGGGAAAGGAAAAACAACTTGTCCTGTTATTACCAAGCGAAGAAGGTCCTCATAAAAATGGCATGCTCTAATGCAATGAACAAAGTTCTCAACAGCATCCTTGTGGTATTACTACAATTATTTAAGAGAAGTTTTTCAAATAAAGAGCCTTCAGACTGGCTAATGTAATAAAATTTGAATGAAACAATCTCAAGCAGAATCTGCCAAGTCTTCAAATCCAACTTCTCGTAAAAGTTTGTGAAATTGTACCCTTTGAAAGGCAGTATGGCTTTCAGAGAAAGATTTATATTTCTTATATACTCTTAGGTGAAATCTGCTTTTTGTATGATTGATGATCTCTTATTCTGCTTGAAATTCCTTCCTTCATTCATTCATTCTTCCCTCTCTCTCCTTCCTTTCTTCCCTCCTTTCCATTTTCCCTCCTTTGCTTCCTTTTTTCTTTCTTCCCTTCTATTCCTTTTTTTTCCACCTCTTCTTCCTTTTTAAAATTTCTTTTTAGATTCCTTTGAATCCAAAATGCTGAGCCCATTTTTCCTGAGGCAAATATGAGGAAAACTATTTTTAAATAATTCTCAAATCTTTGAAAAAGTGAAAGGAGAATCTTCTTTCTCTCAACTCAGAAGGCACTGTATTGAAATGTTAATATAGAAAACCTCTTGGCACATTCTGTTCTCACTGGCCCTCTAGTTCTACTGACCAACCCTGAATGTAAACAGATTCTTGGACACTGGGGGAATGGAAGAGAATTAAGGGAGAGTGATCATTTTCTACTCAAATGTTTTATATTGCATATGTAACAAACGAATTATTAAGAAATCTATTGGTGTCCTGTCCTTTCTTGACATTATAGAATAATCACCTAAAGAATGAAAAGCTTTTTCCCCTGTATACCTCTGTGTTCTCAGGTTCTGAATTTTCTTGTCCTGTGAGTAGATCGGGCTAACCCTTATTCCACCTAAGAACATCATCATCAATTAAAGACAACAGAACTATGAACAGAATTCTGTCTCCACCATTCCCAGGCAGTGTAATTCAAGCTGCTGCCAGAACCTAAGAAAGAAGGCAAGAAGTGCCAAGATAGGACATTTTGTTCAGCTAGGTGAATGACTTCAGCCAGCCCTGGATTTGACTTGATTGGTAGAAAAGCAAAGTAATATGACATTGCTTGCACCTCAAGTGTTGTGGAGCAATTAATCTTTGTTACCGTACAAAATAATAGCATGAAACATTTTTATATGCCCCTGAATTTTAAATCCTATTCACTGGCCTATATCTTATTATATATAAATGCTTTATTCTTTAACTTGAACAAAGTTTTTGTTTCAGTCTCTCAGGATATAATCAAGATTAGTTCATGCTAGTACTGGAGTTAGTGGTTATGCAATTAATTGGATCAGGATCCAAGGAAAGACCAAAAAGCTTTGTTTTTCATACTGTCAGTCTAGGTCTAGTGATTACAAATTCCATTAGGTAATGAGAAACAATATTTGATTTGTTTTTGCCCCTTTCTAGTCTTTTCTCTCTCCCTTCCTTCTTCCCTTCATTGATAGTGCTATCCCTCTATCTCTACCGTTTTCTTTATTTTTATCTCTATTGCTATCTCTCTATTCTCCAACATTTTTAAAATGATAATAGCTAATAGGTCATCTTTATTGAGTGTTTAATGTGTGCCAGGTGTAAATCTTACATTCATGACTCTTACTTAGATTTAGAGGAAAGGTAAAATGAAGAACAAAGCCATTGTATGTTAAAATGTTATGAAAGACACATTTTGATATACATTTTAAAGTGTTAACAGTTCATGAGAGGAATACCCACCAAGGATATTTATGAGAGAATCCACTGAGGTATAATAGGTCTGACTAGACTTAACTGCTCAGAGTATCATTCACTGAACCACTCATTTAATTTATCCCTCCCTTAAGCATGTCTTAGGTGCCCACTATATATCAGGAGTTGGACCAATAGTTGTAGCTACAAAGCAAGGGAAACTTAGTTCTCATCCACCACAACCTGCCAGTGTCCTATAGAGTGTCTTGCATTTCTGTGATGAAGCTCAGTCTTTAGGGATCTCGGTTCTGATGCCAGTATATTTAATGCCAAGGTGACATCTGTCAGCACAGACCTCATATGCCAAGACCTTACTGACTGAAAATAATCCACAGGGTTCACAGCAGTTTGAGCAGTTCTAGATATGGCAAACTGCCATGGCCATGTCTGTCTGGCAGAAACATTTTTACAGCCATTACAGGGCAGCTTCTCATTTAATTGAGATGCCTTGGATAGCAGTGGTGCAGGTGGCTTCATTAGGTGCGTGATAGAATGCAGTTTGCTGCAGCCTTCTGAAATCCTAGGAACATGTGAACCAACAGGAGCAGTACATACCAATAATTGAGTTAGAAGCCTCCGACTAGAAAACATCTTCAAAACATGTGTCAAGTTTCCCTTAGAATGCATGCACTGTGTTATGTTTCTTAGAGCTCAGAATAGTTGTTAATTTATAGGATGAATAGAAATGAATTGGATAAAATTTAAATTTAAATTATTCTGTAAAATATAATTACAGCCAGTGTAAGTGTAATGTAATAACACCTGTGTCACTAGAAAGTGTATTTTTAGCATCAAGTCCAGATGGCTTACACTCATTCTCTCTTCATTCTTTTTTCTTTTACATCCAGTGATTTAAAGTCATGACATGTTATAATTTAGCATTTATTGTATTGCTTTCAATTCTTCCCAAGTTTTTTATTTTTGTTTTTTTCTGATTCATAGAAGCAGCATATTCCTTTACCTATTCTTCACATTTTTCATTTTTTCAATTATATAGCAAATCCCCTTTGCTCCCAATGAGATCTCTCCTACACTCCTTTATCTCCTACTTGAGTATGAATAGTTTGTTTTCTGGGCATGCTGTAAAGTTGTCATTATAAGACTTCTCTTAACTTTACTTCTGTGTTGGAGACACTATTTTCTGGGATTTTATATTTTCTTCTGTCTTGTTTTTACCCTCATTTTGCTAGGGTATATCCTTAAGTTGCTTTCTCAGAAGGAGGAATTAAAGACTAAAAAAGTAAAAGTCTGATAGTTGCATGCCAGAATGTGTCTTTATTGTGCTCTTATTGTTGCTTAATAACTTTATGAAACATAAAATTCTAAATCTAAATTATTATCCTTTAAAACTTGAACATATCACTTCAGTATTATGTAGTATTTACTTTTGCTCATTAGAAGTCTGATTCCAGAGTGAAAGGTTCTATTACAAATGATCTGATTTTTAGTCTCTGTAAGATTTTCTCTTTCTTCTTGGAGTTATGAAATTTTACATCTATGTCTGTGTGTGTGTGTGTGTGTGTGTGTGTCTGTGTGTGTGTATGTGTGTTAGAACAGGCCTTTCCTCATTCATTCTGCTCGAAGCTAGGTGAGCCATTTCAATCTAAGGACTTGTTTTCTTCAGTAATGTGCAATTTTTTGGTCACATCTTTGATAATTTCTTCCCCTTTTATTTCCTCTGTCTTCCTTTTCCTAAAATCTTTTTAGTCAGATCTCAGATCTCCTGAATAAATTCTATTCATTTTTATATTTTGCTCATATTTTCCATCTTCTTTTGTATTTTGATATAAATTATTCCATTATGTTTTATCCATCAGCACATCTCTGTCTATTTCCTATCTGCTTTGCCAGCTGAATCTCTGTTAGACTTTTTCAATAGGGAGTACTATGGGTTCCTATACCATGCCTAGACCCTGAAGATACATTAACTTGCAGAAATTTGTTGCAGACTCATTCACTGAAGATCTCCCTCTCAATTCTGTTTTATTCACTGTTGTAGACTTAAACTTTTCCTTGTGCATCTTCACTGCCAATTCAGCGGGATTTGGAAAGGGCTGGAGGGAAAACCTGTGTGACAATTTGGCCATCTTGAACTGAACAGGAGGCACATTTTTAATAGCTTAATTGGGTGAATAGCTTACTAGAAAATCTGGCTTTGTGTAGGAAATGTATCCCAAAAGACTGCATTCACAGACAGGAAACAGAAACTGCAACCTAAACTTCCACAGACAAGAATGAAATAGGAAATTATTATACTCAGTCCAATAGCGGGAACTTCAAACAGACAGCTTCGGCTGTCTACTTTTTAGTCCCCTTTTTCTCTGCTCAGATATGTAATCAGCTTAATTGAGTAGGCAGGTCTTAATTGAGTAGGCAGATGATATAGTTAGAAATCATCATTATTTTTATCTTCTACTTTCCCCTTAATCTGCTTGGGGAGGGACTGTACATTCTTGCCTCTGGAAAAGCCTATGACAAACCAATAGTCACTTTAAATTACCAGAGAGTCTCAATTAAGTAATTAAAATAGTTTGATCACAGATAGAATAAAAAATTCTGAATTTTATTTGAAATTAACCTTCCGTCTTTCCTTGTCCCTCTTCCTTCAGCAGGATAACCTAAATTTTCAGCTCAATTGGAGTTTGAAGAAAGCAAGAGAATGATAGTCTTGGATTCTCTGAGTTTAGCAGATGTTTGAAACTGACTCTCTCAATGGAAACTTTTGTGAATTCTGTGTAGAGTTCCACATTGGGTCCTTCTGTCTTCAACTGCCTTGAGATAGGCAGTGTTTCTCCTTTGCCAGACTTCTCCTGAGCTCCCTACAGTGTAATATACAGGCTCTTACCCTTGGGGTCCTCTTTCCCTAGCAGGCTGCCTTCTTTAACAAGACCTTTTTCACAATGACCCTCACTAATTCACTGCATCCCCAACTACAGGAGATCCATATCAAGTTCTCTGAGTTATCCCATAGAATTCTCTGTCACTTTTGTTTGGGATTAGAAGTCTCAGCTCTATTCTCTTCAAAGAAATCCTTCTTTAAAATTTCAGCAGTCATGATGATCTCTCTCAGAATCCTCTTTGGCCAGCATCAGCTATGGCCTTCAAGCCTCAGCCAAAACCGTGAAGGGAAGAGTCACATTTTAACAGCCTGTTATGTACAGGCTAATACTTCTTAGGACACAGTATTGAGGACAAGTTTGAATTGCTTTTGGGAAATTCTGTTAACTAAGGAAGATTATTTAGGCTTGAATGCCGTAACTGGAGTAGAAGCTCATTAAAACAAGAAATTAAATGGAAATGAATGGGTTGTTGCCAATAAATGGTTTGAGACAGTCCCTAATTTTGAAATAAAAGGTTCTGAGTGAGCACTAAGAATGGACTAGCTTTTAAGAAATTCAGATGGCATAAATTTGAGTAAGAATTGGTTGGGTCAAATTAAATAATAACAATATTATAGATAATTTCATTAAGGGAGCTAAATGTTAAAATAACTACTAATGTTATGATAAAATAATTTTAATTTCTAAAGAGAGTTCATAAAGGACAATGTTTGATTTTGATCTTCATGAATAGTGGAAAGTCATCAACTTAAAAATAATAGCGTGTCATCAATTAAAAAAATTTAGAGTAATATTTCTAATAAAAAAAGTTTTAGTTTGTCTTATGTGGCAGAACACCATATTTTTTTAAGTCAAAATACCTATCAAATAAAGTGGAATCTGGAAACATGCATTTAAGCAAGATGATTTGTAAGCTTAGTAAATTCTGAAAAACTACTCTCTGATAGAATAGCTAAGTGAACCTCTACTCTGGTCTCAATTATGAGAAATTGGTTGCAAGTTAATAGCTAAATATCTACTAAGGCTTATTGTGCACTAGGTACTTTCTTAGTTATGAAGGTTTTTTAATTAAATTAGTCTTCACAAAATACCTAGGAGGTAGGTATTATTATTTTCATTTTATACATAAATAAATAAGGCATAGGGAGTTAAATAACTCTATGATAATACAACCAGTAAGCAGCAAACTTAAATCTCAAGTCATCTGGCATCAGAGCTCTGCTTTTAATAATTAGGCTGTTGGAAGTGACCAGACTTTTGTGAAAAAATGGAAGTTATCATGGTGTCAGATTTCTGAAGTTCCTGAGTTAGTCATGTTTCCATGGCATTAAATTTTGAAAGATGATTTGAAGAGGATAGGAATGTTTCAATAATGCAATCCTGATCGTTCAATTAAAATTCAAAACTTTTAAACAAGCATAATGCAGAATAATAGGAGGACACTCCCATCCCCACTCCCCCACCCCCGATTGCATTCACCTCTAAATAATGAGCAAGATTTGGCTAAAGAGCACCATGTTTGTTTATTTATTTTTATTATACTTTAAGTTCTAGGGTACATGTGCACAACGTGCAGGTTGCATAGGTAGACATGTGCCATGTTGGTTTGCTGCCCCCATCAACTCATCATTTACATTAGGCATATCTCCTAATGCTATCCCTCCCCCCTCCCCCCACCCCACTACAGGCCCCGGTGTGTGATGTTCCCCATCTTGTGTCCAAATGTTCTTATTGTTCAATTCCCACCTGTGAGTGAGAACTTGCGGTGTTTGGTTTTTTGTCCTTGCAATAGTTTGCTGAGAATGATGATTTCCAGCTTCATCCATGTCCCTTCAAAGGACATGAACTTATCCCTTTTTATGACTTCTTAGTATCCCATGGTGTGTATGTGCCACGTTTTCTTAATCCAGTCTATCATTGATGGGCATTTGGATTGGTTCCAAGTCTTTGCTATTGTGAATAGTGCTGCAATAAACATACGTGCAGAGCACCATGTTTAAAAAAAAAAAGACTCAGAGTTTTGGTTTGTACAGATATGGTTTTGGTTGACTTAGTGTGAGGCCAAAGAGTTATCTGGTCAATATTATGATTTGCATAATCTGATGATGGCATGAGGAGTAGTGGCAAAACACAAGGGAAGGGAAGCCCTGCTCTAATCTGCACTGATATGGCTAGACTGGAGTACTGCGCACAATTACTGACAAACTGGGATATTCATAAAGGAGACAACTCTATACAACTCTATAGGGAAAGAACCTGAAATAAGGTTGGTGAGGAATAGTTGACTATTATCATGGAAAGGGAAGGGAAGGAAAAGGGAGGACATGATCTTTAAAAATAGTGTGAATGTTAAGGCCTGATCTTGAAAAGGGACTAGGGTTAGGTTTTGTTTGTTTGGCTCCCAAGAAGCAAGGACAGATGCATATAAATAAAAGGTTTCAGGTCAATATAAGAAAGTTGTGTTAGTATGTTTGTGTTGCTGTAAAGGAATACCCAGGGCTGAGTAATTGTGAAGAAGAGAGGTTTATTTTGCTCACAGTTCTTCAGGCTGTACAAGAAGCATGGCACCAGCATCTGCTTGGTTTTTGGTAAGGGCCTCAAGCTGCTTCCACTCATGGTGGAAGGTGGAGAGCCAGTGTTTGAGAGATCACATGGCAAGAAAGGTGGCAAGGAAAAGGGGAGGCAGGTGCCAGGCTTTCAACAGGTTCCATGGGAACTAATAGAGCAAGGACTGACATTACTGCCAGGATGACACCAAGTCATTCATGAAGGATCCGCCTCCATAACCCAAACACCACCCCCCCATTAGGCCCCACCTCTTACACTGGGGATCAACATGAAGTTTGGAGGTGGTAAAACAAACCAAATGATAACAGAAATACACTGTCAAAGTCAGAGCTGACAAAAATAAAATGGACTATGTTGTGATTAGTGATTGTACTAAGCTGGAGAAAATTTCAGTTAATTAACAGGTTGTAGTGTTTTGGGCTTTGTTTCCTTTCTATTCAGTATAACTCGTTTACCTGGTACTTTTTGACTGATATGCTCAGCTTGACTAATTATTTTGAAACTGTGAAGATGCATCGCAGTCAGTATAAATATGTTCACTATAATGTAAGTCCTCTTTTCATAGTAAAATTGATGTAAGATGGCACAGTCATTCTTCATTCAGTACAGTTTGCTTGAAGACATCTCTATTAACAAGAGCGTTTTACCTTCGCCTAGATTTCAAATGCTTTGGTAATTTGTACTGTGCTTAAATAAAGCACATCCTGGCATGAAAATGAATGAATGCCTCCTGGCACTCTGTGCGTGTATTCCTCAGAGTTTATGATAATTAGGATGCTTGTTTAATTGCTGTCCCTTTATTTCCACTGGGTTGTGGCAGCTAAAGGGCAGCTTTCAAACCATGTGTGTTACATACATAGGTAATTTATAAACTCATTTTGCTGTTACGAGCACAGGAAAAAATCCCGAATGTCAATAAGCCAATGTTTTAATTATTTTATCCCCACCATTACTGCTGATTGTACATTTGTTTTCGCTTCTCAGACAGGAAGGATGGGCCTTTGAGTTACTGCCCTTAAGGATTGACTCATTTGAGCCATGATGAGTAAGCATCATATTGCTACAATAGTTTTTACATAATAAGAATTCTTGAGATTTCTAATAGGTATAGCCAGTTTATAAATGCTATTATTTAAGTATCTATAAGTATAAAGTAGCTGTCAATCACATCAGGAGCAAATATTTAATTCTATATCAGTAGTAGTAAATAATTACTATCATTTAAAAGGACTATGTTTTAATAATACTTTTAATAATCCTAAATGTGTCCAATTTATTAAATTAAGAATGTTTAAAGGATATTGAACTTCCATGTGTTGTTAATATTAACTATAACAGTGCAATAATTATTTTCCAAATGCTATTCTTCTTATAGAAATCTTTCCTTATTATAATGAACTCAGTTTCCTGGAGTGTTATTAGGTCAGAAAAGCTCAGAAATTGAGGTGATATTATTTCTTATAAGGAGATCATTTGCAAGTTTATGTTAAAGAAAATAAGAGATCAAGATAAAGAATATCTCACTGTCTTTGTTACATGTTCAGACAAAGGGTTTTCTTTGTGTATATATATATTTGAAGCTATGGAATGAATTACTCATTAGATTCCTTATGCCTTCCCTTTTCATGTGAAATGTAAAATTTTAAATATAGTACATGGTTTTATTTAATCCCATTTATCTTAAAACTTACTTTGCTTTTGGCTGTGATTTAAATTGAATTTCCCCGTAGAGAATCATGAAATAAACAAATCCAACTATTATCCAGAGAAGCTCAAAAAAGTCATAGAGAATTATATACTCTAAGGACTCAAATAGAGTTATATTCAACAAATACTATTGAATAAATGAAGTATGTAAACATGATAGATGGGTAAATAGAAGAAAATAAAAGACCAGAGAGAAATATTAGAAAATAAAGCAGCTGTTGTGTAAGGATAGATGGTATTTGGGGAAATTTTTTTTTTAAGTTTTAACATAATTGAAATATTTTAAAGTAATCATTTAAAATGGGCACCCAGTGCAATTTCTTGGTAAGTTGAAAAAACAAGTGTTTTGACCCTACTTTATACCATATGCAAAAAGCAATTCCATAGAGATTGTAGAAATAAATGTGAAGGGCAAAACAATAAAGCTTTTAAAAAGAAATTATAGGGGAAACTTTTCATGACATGGGGTTATTTTTAATCAGAATATAAAAAGCACTAGACTTCTGGTTCCAAAATGGCAGTATAGAAGCAAGCTTCATTCACTCCCCACCACAGAAATCCAGAAACAAATATAGAGCACCAGAATTTTTCACCAGCAACAACCCAGAACTCAAATATGGGATGAAACAATTCCTGGAGCCACAGAAAAGTGGAGAAACTCCAAGCAGATAGTAAAAGAATCCAGACTCCCACATCCACAATGCCCCTCCCCCAAATTCTTCCCAGCGCCAAGCACACAGGAAATCTCCCCTCAATTCACAGTTTATGTACTTGAAAAAGTGAGATTGAGATGGTCAGCCGGCTTCCCCACCTTCTTGGGTTCCCAGCAGGAGACTTGTCCTTGCTTTAACCCACAGGAATCATCATGACTGAGTGAAGGAAGAAATATCCCTGCGGACAGGCAGAGACAAAGGAGGGGGCAGGACTGACATTCCCAGCCATGGAAACTCTGTGACTCAACCAAAGGAGACACCAAATCAGACTCAGCAACACCATGCTGTCGGATGGTACATTCCACAGATACAGATCCCCTGGGGATGGACACCAACTCAGCCTTCCGATCCTGCTGGGATAATCCCTTTGAGACCTCCCCATTCAGGACTGACAGTACTTCAGTAATTTACTAGTGCTGAGGTGAAACTGGGCTTATAGTGCCAACCAGAGCTGAAAAGGAAAACATTGGAGTTTAAACGACATACCCTATCTAATAGGCCAAACTGGCATTTATGGAACATTTCAACCCACTGCCACAGAATACATGTTATTTTCATTAGCAAATGGAACATTCTTGAGAACAGACCATATCTTAGACTACAGAACAAATCTGAATGAATTTTAAAAAATAGAAATCATATCAAGCATCTTTTCTGAACACAGTAGAACAAAACTAGAAATCAATAACAAGAGAAACCTCAGAAAATACACAAACACATGGAAATAAAACAACATACTCCTAAACAACCAGTGGGTCAATGAAGAACTCAAGAAGGAAATTAAAAAATTATTGAAACAAATGAAAATGGAAATACAACATACTAAAATCGATTGGATACAGCAAAGCAGCACTAAGAGCGAAGTTGATAGCAATAAATGCCTATATCAAAAAAGTAAAAAGACTTTAAATAAACAACCTAAGAATGCATCTCAAGGAACTAGAAAAGCAAGAACAAGCCCAGCCTATAATTAGTAGTAGGAAAGAAATAATAAAAATCAGAGCAGAAATAAATGAAATTAAGACAATACAATATAGAATATGAACAAAAAAAAGTTGTTTTATTGAAAAGGTAAAAAAAAAAATCAACAAACCTTTAGCTATGCTAAGGACAAAAGAGAGAAGACCCAAATAAATAAAATCAAAAATGAAAAAGGAGACGTAACAACTGAGACATCAGAAATACAAAGAATCATTAGACACTATTATGAACAATTATACTCCAACAAACTTGGAAACCTAGAAGTAATGCATATATTCCTGGACACATATCACTTACCAAGATTAAAACACAAAGAAACCTCAAAAAACCAATAACAAGTAACAAGATTTAAGCCATAATGTAAAGATTCTCATTAAAGAAAAGCCCAGGACCTGATTACTTCACTCCTGAATTCTACCAAACACTTAAAGAAAAACTAATGCCAATCCTACTCAAACTCTTCAAAAAAATTAAAGGTGAGGCAATACTTTAAAACTCATTTTATGAGGCCAGCATTACCCTGATAACAAAAGCAGGCAAAGACACACACACACACACACACACACACACACACACACACACACACACACACACACACAGACACACAAAACTACAGGCCAATATCACTGGTGAACGTAGACACAAAATCTTCAACAAAATGCTAGCAAACTAAACTCAACACATTAGAAAGATTATTCATCATAACAAAGAGGGATTCATCCAGGGATGCAAGGATGGTTCAAAATACACAAATCAATAAATGCAATATATCACATTAACAGAATCAGAAAAACCTTATGATTATTTGAATAGATGCTGAAAAAGCATTTGATAAAATTCAGCATCCCTTATTACAAAAAGCCTCATCAAAATGGGTATTGAAGGAACATACCTCAAAATAATAAGGGCCATATGTGACAAACCCACTGCTAACATCATACTGAACAGGAAAGTATTGAAGACCTCTCCTCAAAGGAGATGAACAGGACAAGGATGCCCAGTTTCACTATTTTTATTGAACATACTACTGGAACTGCTGGCCAGAGCAATTAGTCAAGATAAAGAAATGAAGGATATCCAAATTGGAAAGGAAGTTAAACCTAGAAAAACCCACCTAAAGACTGCAACATAAAAAACTGTTAGAACTAATAAATGGATTTAGTAAAGATACAGGATACAAAATTAACATACAAAAATCAGTAACACTTATATATGGCCAACAGCAAACAATCAGAAAAAAATCGAGAAACCAAGCCCATTTCCAATAGCTACAAAAATATGAAATACCTAGAAACCAATCTAACCAAAGAAGTGAAGATGTATACAAAAAAAAAAAAAAACAAAAGACAAACAAAAAAAAAACACTGTGCAGCTCTGTTTAAAGAAATTGAAGAAGACACACACACAAAATGGAAAGATATTGCATGTTCATGGGTTGGAAGAATTAATATTGTGAAAATGGGCAATACCAGCCAAAGCAATTTACAGATTCAGTGCATTCTCTATCCAAATACCAATGACATTATTTACAGAAATAGAAAAAGAAACTCCTAAAATTTATCTGGAAGCACAAAAGATCCAAAAGAGCCAAAACAATCTTGAGCAAAAAGACTAAATCTAGAGACATCCCCATACTTCAGTTTGTTTTAGGTAAATATAAAACTGCTCTTTGTAGGTAACCTGACCTTTCTCTCTGGCTGTTCTTAACATGTTTTCCTTCATTTCAACCTTGGAGAATCTGACAATTATGTGTCTTGGGGTTGCTCTTCTCAAGTACTATCTTACTGGTGTTCTCTATATTTCCTGAATTTGAATGTTGGCCTGTCTTGCTAGGTTGGGGAAGTTCTCCTGGATAATGTTCTGAAGTGTGTTTTCCAACTTGATTCTATTCTCCCTGTCACTTTCAGGTACGCCAATTAATCATAGGTTTGGTCTTTTAACATAGTCCCATATTTCTTGGAGGCTTTGTTCATTCATTTTCATTCTTGTTTCTCTAATCTTGTCTTCGCACCATATTTCAGTAAGTTGATCTTCAAATTCTGATATCCTTTCTTCTGCTTGATTGATTTGGCTGTTGATACTTGTGTATGCTTCACTAATTTCTTGTGCTGTGTTTTTCAGCTCCATCAGGTCAGTTAGGTTCTTCTCTAAGCTGGTTATTCTAGTTAGCAGTTCCTGTAACCTTTTATCAAGGTTCTTAGCTTCCTTGCATTGGGTTAGAACATGCCCCTTTAGCACAGAGTTGTTTGTTGAGATACCATCTCATGCCAGTTAGAATGGCGATCATTAAAAGTCAGGAAACAACAGATGCTGGCGAAGGTGTGGAGAAATAGGAACGCTTCTACACTCTTGGTGGGAGTGTAAATTAGTTCAACCATTGTGGAAGACAGTGTGGCGATTTCTCAAGGATCTAGAACCAGAAATACCATTTGACCCAGCAATCCCGTTACTGGGTATATACCCAAAGGATGATAAATCATTCTACCATAAAGACATATGCACATGTATATTTATTGCAGCACTATTTACAATAGCAAAGACTTGGAACCATCCCAAATGCCCATCAATGATAGACTGGATGAAGAAAATGTGGCACATATACACATGGAATACTATGCAGCCATAACAAAGAATGAGTTCATGTCCTTTGCAGGGACATGGATGAACCTGGAAACCATCATTCTCAGCAAACTAACACAGGAACAGGAAACCAAACACCCATTCTTCTCACTCATAAGTGGGAGTTGTGGCCGGGTGCGGTGGCTCACACGTGTAATCCCAGCACTTTGGGAGGCCGAGGTGAGTGGATCACGAGGTCAAGAGATCAAGACCATGGTGAAATCCCATCTCTACTAAAAATACAAAAAATGAGACAGGCGCAGTGGCAGACGCCTGTAGTCACAGCTACTCGGGAGGCTGAGGCAAGAGAATGGTGTGAACCTGGGAGGCGGAGCTTGCAGTGAGCCGAGATCGCGCCACTGCACTCCAGCCTGGGCGACAGAGCGAGACTCCATCTCAAAAAAAAAAAAAAAAAAAAAAGTGGGAGTTCAACAATGAGAACACATGGACACAACACAGGGAGAGGAATATCACACACTGGGGCCTGTCAGGGGCTGGGGGGCAAGTGGAGGGAGAGCATTAGGACAAATACCTAATGCATACGGGCTTAAAACCTAGATGATGGGTTGATGGGTGCAGCAAACCACCATGGCACATATATACCTATGTAACAAGCCTGCATATTCTGCACGTGTATCCCAGAACTTAAAGTAAAAAAATAAAATAAAATAAATAGCTCCAAAAGCACAGAACTATGAGGCTTTTTGGCAAAGGGGCATGCAAATTATACTCCCCCAAAATGTCCTTGTATAATTGTGGTTCTTATACAGGTCATTAAGATTGACCTTGTGTAAGTGTCACTTATGACCTCTTAGGTCATAAAATGAGGTTCTTAATAGACCTAACAGAAAATGTTGATGCTATACAAATGTATTTTACCTTAAGAAAAAGGAGCATATATCAAATAATTTTATAAAGATACCCATACAAAATAAAGTTTGAATCAAAAAATGTATATAAACCTGCTCTAAAAATGTCTACACAAGTGTTACAAAAAAAAAAAGTTGATTGAGGAAACATTCCAGAACATTGGTCTAAACAAAGATTTTATGGAGAAGACCTCAAAAAAATTACAGGGAACCAGAGCAAAAATAGACAAATGGGATTACATCAAGCTAAAAATCTTCTGTATAACAACAACAACAACAACAACAACAACAAAAATCAACAAAGTGAAAAGACCACTTACAGAATGGGAGAAAATATTTGTAAACTATCCATCTGAGAAGGCATTAATAACCAGAATATGTAAGAAGCTCAAACAACTCAATAGCAAACAAAAAACCAAAAAAAAAAAAAAAAAAAAACCACACAAATAATTTGAGTTTAAAATTGGCAAAAGATCTGAACAGGCATTTCTCAAAATAAGACAGACAAATGGCCAATAGGTATATGAAAAAATGTTCAACATCATTAATCCTGAAATATCATCTCACCCCAGTTAAGACTGCTTGTATCAATAGACAGGCAATGACATCTGCTGGTGAGGTTGTAGAAAAGGGGAACCCTCATACACTGTTGGTGGGAATGTAAATTAGTACAGCTACTATCAACTGTATGGATGTTCCTCAAAAAGTTAAAAATAGAACTACCATATTATCCAGCAATCACAGTACTAGGCATATATCTAAAAGAAAGGAAATTAGTATATCAAAGAAATACCTGCACTTCCATGTTTATTGTAGCACTATTCACTGAAATATGGAATCAACCTAAGTGCTCATCAATAGATGAATGGATAAAGAAAATGTATATATACAGAATGGAATGTTATGCAGCCATAAAACAAATGAAATACTGTCATTTGCAGCAACATGGATGGAACTGGAGGCCATTATATTAAACGAAATAAATTAGGTACAGAAAGACAAATATTGCATGTTCTCACTCGTGTAGGAGCTAAAGTGTGGAGCTCATGAAGACAGAGTGGAATGGTGGTTACCAGAGGTCAGGAAGGGTAGGGTGTGGGGATGAAGGAGAAAAAAGGAATATAAATGTATTTATTACCACAAAAAGGTAATTAAATGGCACGGTAGAACAAATAAATAAGTAAAACATTAACCATAACAACTAAATACCTATATATTTTGAATAAAATGAATCACAATGTCTCTTTTCATCAAAAAGTCATTAAACGTGAAGAAAAGTAATAAAGAAGTAAATCGAGTTATATCATAATAACAAATTTCTATTCATCACATGACATCAAGTAGTAAAAAAGTCTAGCCAGAGAATGGAGAACATACATGCAAAACCTTTATCAAGCAAAGGACTCTCATATCTAGAATACATGAAGAATGTTCACAAATTGATAATCAAATGCAGACAATCAAATAGAGAAATGAGCAAAAGTCTGGAACAAGCATTTTGCAAAAGAGGATATACAAATAACAAATAAAAATATGACAATATATTCAACTTCATTATATAAAGAAGACTTGAATCTACAACATACCATACCAAATGACTAAGATGAAAAAGAAAGAACTTGTAAGTGTTGACAAGGATGTGAAGCCACTGAAACTTTCATTCATTGATAATGAGAGTATAAGTTGGTACAACCACTTTGGAAAACTGCTTAGAATTATTTACTAAAGTTGAACATATTGTATATTCCGTATGACCCAGAAATTACACACCTATTATAGAGACAAAATAAATGTGTACATCTCTTCATCAAATGGCATGTATAAGCATATTCATGGAATCACTAGAACTGGAAATAGCTATAAACAACTGAAATGTCTACAAATATGTTGTGGTATATTCTCATATTTGAGTACCTTACAAAAATGAAAAGAAATGGGAAATGAAATAAGACACAAACTTAATGGATCTCACCAGCACAATGTTGAACAAAAGACATTATACACAAGAATACATATTGTAATTCCATCTATTGTGATAGAAATCAGAATATCTCTTGCTGAGGGATAACGTCTAGAAGAGTAGCAGAAAGGGGCTTCTGGGATTCTGATAATATTCTATGTCTTGTTTGGATGACTGGTTACAATAATTTATTCACTTTGTGAACGTTAATTGGGTGTACAATGATTGTGTACTTGTATAGATTGTCCTGCAATAAAGCTGACAAGGAGAGAGATGGGGGGATAGAAAAAAATGGAGAACATAAGACATTATATTGATCCTTTAGATTGTACTGAGGCTATTTAATTGACCTAATATATGACCAGTTTTGTAAATGTTTATGTGTACTTAAACAGATTGTGTATTCTGCTTTGAGAGACGAAATTTCATTTATGTCTCATGATTTAAACATAACAGTGGTTGTTAAGTTATATTTTCGAGGTTTTCTTATATCACTGTATATTTTTTCTGCATGATCTATATTTTCAGAAGAGGGTATGATAAAATCCTCAATCCAATTTTTAAATTCATAAATTACTTCCTCCTATTTTGTCAGTTAATCCTATATATTTTGAAGCTGTATTGTTGAATGCATATGTATTTATAATGAATGCATTCTGTTCATCTACTGTTCATTTTTAAAGTGTATGGCATTTTTATCTCCCATTCTTTGCTTTAAATTTTATGTTTTCAAGTGTCAATATTACTACAGATTTCTTCAGGTTTATTTTCACCTGATATATCCTTTTTCATTATATTAATATCATAGTTTCCATGTCTTTTGGTTTATGTCGTTTACATATATTGTAATTGCTGTTTTATTAGGTTTTTTTCCTGTATTTTTAAGTTTCTATACTATCATTTTGCCTCAGTGTGATTAATTTTTTCTTTCTTGGAATACTTAAAGTTTTTTCTTCTTGGTTTAAAAGGAATACATTCTAATTTCACATGTTATGGTAGTTACCATATACTAAAGAGCTATGTTGAGTTTATTTACTGCAATTGATATATTTAATATATCAGTATTGTAAAGGAAAGCAGATATGTTTCCTTTCTCTATTAGGTTCATGGCTAAGGCCCCATAACAAAAGACAGATTAAAAAGACAAAAGTATACAGATTTATTTAATGCAAGTTTTACATGACATGGGGGGCCTTAATAAGGAAATGGAGACCCAGAGAAAGAAGTAAACCTGTGTATTTTTTATGCTTAGGTTTGATGAAGACTAGACAGCTGTGCAGAAGTATGAATGGAAAACCCTGAATACTATTAGTGTCTTTACTTCCTAAGAGAATACAGCAAGAGGAATGAATATTAACTTTGAATCAGGAAAACTTGTGTTTTTATCTTGACTTGGCAGTTGACTGACTATGTAATTCTGGCCAAGTGACTCTGAGATGTAAAAATTTCTATTTTGGTAATTAGTTCTAATTTATAAGGTGCAAGAAACCAATTAGGTTATAATGTTCACTTTATGGAAGTCATTTTTGTTCACTATGTGTTACATTACTGCTAAAGTACCACATAATTAACCATTTGTTCCCTTCTTGGTTCAGTGCTTTTTATAAGATCCACAATAAATTAACAGTGCTAAATCCTGTATTTCAATGCAGAAAAGTAAAGTGAACTTTCTCCAGAAAAGCCATTTATAGGAACTGTGGAATCCTAAAGAGATGAGTTATATTAAAGACACATTACATTTGAAATGAATGCATACTCAATCTTATGAACCTAGGGTAATGCCCACTGTAAACACTGTTGGAAACCTTCAATCAACAACTCTTTGATGCCACTAATAAGTTTGCAGTAATATGGATTCATTCAAATTTGCTTCCATCTTTTATCAGTATTTCACAAATATTGTGAAATATTAACAATCTCAGTAGCCGTAGGTATGATGTTTATGAGCTATATTCCCCTAACCCATGGCCCAAACTTCTGCTTTAATTCTTTAACAGATATTTTTCAAACTTAATGTACGTTAATGCTTTTCAAGTGAGAAGGAAATTCACATTTACTGAGTGTTTATTAGATGTCTTACATGCATTATCTCATTTAATTTTGTAGCAACTCGAATGAGATAGATATGTTATACCTCCTTTGCAAATAAGAAACTGCATCTCAGAGTGTGCTATGATTTGAATGTTTGTCCCCTCCAAAACTCATGTTGAAACTTAATCCCCATTGTGGCAGTACTGACAAGTGGGGCCTTGAAGAAGTCATTGGGTCCTGAAAGTGCTGCCTTCATGAATGGATTAATGGGTTACCATTGAAGTGGGACTGGTGGCTTTATAAGAAGAGGAAGAGAGACCTGAGCTAGCCTACCCAGCTCCCTCATTATATGATACCCTGAGCCATCTCAGGTCTCTGCAGGAAATCCCCACAAGTAAGAAGGCCCTCCCTGATGTGGCCCCTTGACCTTGTACTTCTTAGCTTCTATAACTGGGAGAAGTAAATTTCTTTTATTCATAAATTACCCAGTTTCAAATATTCTTTTATAAATGATGGAAAATGAGCCAAGAAAATTGGTACTGAGAAGTGGCATGTTGCTGATAATAAATACGTAAAAATGCAGAAGCAGCTTTGGAACTGGGTAATGGGCTGCAGCTACAGGAGTTTGAAGGAGCAGGCTAGAAAACACTTATATTGAGGGGAGGGCTTAGAAGATAAGAATACTAGGAAATGTTTGTAACTCCTTAGAGATTGGTTAACTAGTTGTGACCAGAATACTGATAGAAATAGGGACAGCAAAGAACGTTCTGATGAGATTTCAGATAGAACTGAGGAACAAGGTATTGGAAACTGGAGAAAAGTCCATCCTTGTTGTAAACTGGCAAAGAACTTGGCTGCATTGTGTCTGTGCCTTAGTTAGGGCTTTATGGATTGTAGAATTTAAGAGCAATGAATTAGGATATCTGATGGAACAAATACCTAAGCAGCAAACCATTCAGGCTGCTGCATGACTACTTTTAACCACTTACATTAAGCTGTGAGTTTAAAAAAAAATGACTTAAAGATGGAATTTATAATGAAAAGAGAAGCAAAAAAAAAGATTTGGAAAACTCTCGGCCTGGCCATGTAAGAAGTGAAAAAGCTTGTTCAAGAGAGGAAACCAAGTAAGTGGCTGAGCAACTTTTGCTAAGATTAGTAGAGAGAAGGAACCATCAAGGTGGTAGAAGAAGACCCTGGAAGCATTTCTGAGATCTTTGAGGCTCTCTCTTCCATCACAGGCCCAGAGGCTTAGGAGGACAGAGTGGCTTTGGGGACAGACTCAGGCCTGCTGCCCAGGGTTACCTCAGGTCTCTGCTCCCTTCATTCCAACATAGTCCTCCTCAGCCACCCCAGCTGTGGCTCAAGTGGCCTCAGACACTGAGCAGCTCACTGCTTAAGAAGATACAAGTCGTCAACCTTAGTGGCATCCATGTGCAAATTCTGTAGGCTTGCAGAAAGAAAGAGTTGTGAAGGGTTGGCAGCATTCACCCAAATGTCAAAGGATGCTGCAGAAAGCCTGGGGGCTCAGGCAGAGACTTGTCACAGGGGCAAGGCCCCCAATAAAGGGCTCCAACTAGAGCAATGCTGAGTGGAAATGCGGGGTTAGAGTTGCCACAGAGAGTCTCCACTAGGGCAATGCTGAGTGGAGCCATGGAAGCACCACTGGGACTCCAGAGCTGTAGAGTCACCAGTAGCAAGCAACATCTGCCTGGGAAAGCTTTAGACACTGGATTTCTACCTGTATGAGCTACCATGTGACTAGCATGCAGCAAAGCCATAGAGATGGGGCTACCTGAAGCCTTGGGTCCCAATTCATGCCCCAAGATAACCAGAAGGTGGAACATGAAATCAAAGGGATTATTCTCCAGCTTTAAGATTTCATGTTTATCTTTCTGGGTTTCAGATTAGCTTGCGGCCTGTTACTCCTTTCTTTTTGCCTCCTCCTTCCTTTTGGAATGAGAATGACTGTCTTAGGCCTGTACTATTATTGTATCTTGAAAGTAGATAACTTGTTTTGATTTCATAGGCTCATAGGTAAGACCGGACTTTGGACTTTTGAGTTGGTGCCGGAACAAGATAAGACTTTCAGGCTATGGGGATGGAATGAATATATTTATGTGTTAGAAGGACATGCATTTTGGGAGGCCAGGGGTGGGATGCTATGGTTTGAATGTTTGTCCCCTTCAAAATTCATGTTGACACTCAATCCTCAATGTGGCAGTATTGAGAGGTGGGGCCTTTAAGAGGTGATTGGGTCATGAGCACTCTACCTTTATGAATAGCTTAATCCATTATAGGATTAATCGATTAATGGATTGTCACAGGAATAGGACTGGTGGCTTTACAAGAAGAAAAGAGGCCTGAGCTAGCATACTCAGTTTTCTTATGGTGTGATGTGATGCCTGAATCACCTTGGGACTCTGCCCAGTTCCCATCAGCTAGAAGGTTCTCACTAGATGCGACCCCTCAACTTTGCACTTCTCAGGCTCCGTAACTGTAAGAAATAATTTTTTGTTTGTTTTTCCTAATTACTCCTTTTTAGGTGTTCTGCTATAAGCAACAGAAAATGGACTAAGACAGTGTAGTTATGTCATTTGACCAGACTTATGTTAGTCAATTGCCAAGTCAAGATCTGTGCTTTCTTAAGAAGTAGTTAAAGGAAACTAGTATTATTCAAAGTTTTCATGGAAATTTCTAGGACTCATTGGCCCACCACTAAGAGGTGGCTTTAGGAATAAGGGTTAGTCTACGAGTGAATAGTTTTATAATTTCACTTCACCCATCAGGCCCAGTGAGTCACAGACTATTATAATAATGGTCATTGAAAGTATTAACTACTCACACAATATTGAGTTCTCTGACAAAATGAGTTTTCCCATTGCTCTGGTGACTCAGATGCTATAATCAGCATTGATGAGCAGATCTTGATCTGGTAAGCTGTACAATATAAATTTTATAGCACAATCAGTTGAATATTGCAATAGTAGTTCCTAACTCTTTTATATTAAGTACTGTTTACTGCGTTGCAAAAGTTCCGCTGTGTTCTGCAGCTTAGAAGAGTTTCTTAGCCCTTAAAAATGGCAGACTTTGGTCATAGTTTTTAATATTCGCTTAGAGATTGCATGTGACTTTTTTGTTTTGGACCTCTACTTCATGGCCATGTTATGCTCCTTCGTTTGAAAGCAATTTTAGGAGTCACTTGCATTTATTGTTTCCATCAAGCCACTGACTCTCAAAGTTACAGATCCCAGTCCCTGTGCTTTTCTAGCATTTCTTGAAAGCTCAGATCTCCAGAAATTTGTGAATTAACTCTCTGACTTCTAGTTTCTTTCACTTTCTCTTCTTAGATATGCATATAAGAGACTTGAGGGAAAACAGCTTCATGCAAAGCATAATGTTGTCCTTAGTGTCTTAGGGGAAGCAGAGGTAGGGGCTTAAGGCATGTGTGGGGAAAGGATGATGAAAAAAAAAAAAGAGCTCATGTTTTTCTAGGTGATTGAAGGTAGCTTACCAGAAGGGAAGCCAGTTGCATCAGTGCCATAAAAAAACAATTTTCCATTGACTTATCTTAGACCTTCCATAGACCCCAACAACCCTGAAGGCCATTGTAGAATTAAATTTGTACTCAATAGTGGTTCCTCAACCTTTTCTCATAAACAGGACTCTGATTTTATCAAAGGCTGTGGCTGAAGCCACTTTCCCAATTTCTTCCTTTATTTCTTCCTCTTTTTTTTTTTTTTTTGAAATGGAGTTTTACTCTTGTCGCCCAGGCTGGGGTTTCAGCATGTTGGCCAGGCTGGTCTCGAACTCCTAACCTCAGGCAGTCCGCCTGCTTTGGCCTCCCAAAGTGCTGGGATTACAGGCGTGAGCCACTGTGCCCAGCCTCTTCCGCTTTCTTCTCTCTTTTCCACCCATCTGAGCAAGAAGGTGTGGGAGGATTAACTGGGAGGCTCTGACTTCATTGGCGAGTACTGTTATTGCCTTTGATAAATGCATGCAGCAGCACAGACACCACTTAGCCCCAGGCTGCTTCCATTAGAGTCTCACTGTAGGAATGAGATGGCTCTGTGTGTAAAATGATTTTTTTACTATACCAGAAAAAAATATTATTAGGGAAGTGACTCTGAATCCTCTAGTTTAGGAATAGTACATTGAAATTAAAAACAGTTTGACCATAGCTTAGGAAAATGTATTTAAATGATAAGAAAATCCATAGTCTTATCAAATAAAGAACTGGCAAATAAGTACTAGAATTTAACCTGTTGAGAACTACTGTGATTTCAAATATTATTACACAAAAAGACAACTGCAAAGTTATTTAAAGCATAGATTAGCTTACCATCAGTAAATGAGGTATTAGAGTTTAATCACTGCCCTTAAAATATAACAACCTTTAATTTGTGTTTTTTCCTTCCCAAGAATGATTGGCATTATACATACTGCTGATAAACAAGTATGTATTAGATGCCTTCTATTTGTCTGGTGCTAGGCACTATGAAAAATACAGAAAATGTATGAGGTATATCCCCTGTCCATAAGCACAGTCTGTATTTGAGAGGCAATAATGGAAGACATCATTACATTGTCATAGGAACTTAGAAAATATAAAAGACAATTATGAGGTAAAGCATCTGGGATGGTATTTCAGGGAAAGTAAGGACAGAAAGCCTTTATTTGTATCATCATTCATACCCAAATAATGGAGAACTTTACATCATCCCTGAATTAGTGTCTTAATGCACGAAGAATCATCTGATAGTCTCTCTGCAACTCTGAAAATGCACAAAGATAATTATGCTTGCTATTTTCAGTGGCTGTTTACTTTATTCACCACCTTTATTCAGAAACAGTCCCCTGGGCCTGTCTGTGTCAAAACCAGTGAGTCTCATAATAATATTATTTCCCAGTAGATTTCAACAATACTGTATCAGGTAAAGTTATCAGACTGGACTAAAGCCACTGCTATAATGAGAGTAGTTCATGCTAAGGAAAACATATTACTTTTCCTTTGGAATTTGTTCTGAGTATTTAAAACATAATTAAATATCATCTTGATGGGATCCCTCTTATAAGATTAGTCCAGCAAACTGATATTTGGCTTTTCTCCATCCCTTAGAGCATCATTCCAAAGTGAAGCTCTAGAATGAGCTGAAGGTTCATTTTGCGGCAGTCCAGAGTGCTGTATATAGTGCAGATTTAGTAATGCATCAAAATTCATTGATGACTTCTGTGCATTGGCATCAGTATTACCTCTGTGTCATCCGTAGTTTCAAATGACAGGATTAGTAACCAGAGAAATGCTGGAATATGCCCATAAGACCCACTGAAGCTCAATCTCAGTGACATTCCACTTAAACTGGTGAAAAATGGATAGCAGCTGGATTGCTTGGCAAACTAACAAACGTAACTACAAGAAAAGAAGAACAACTGTAAATTTATTAGATGAACTAAAAATAACCTGGGAGCTCCTAGTAAATCTCAGCAGTAGCTAGTTCAACATACAGTTACCAAAGATGGTGTGGTTTTGTTTTTATAAACATTGTGTATTTCAAGAAACAAGGACAGATCCATAAATCAGAAAAACTCATTACACATGGGGCTAACCTCAGAAAAGACTAGTGAACACCTCATGGTATAAGGATGTCCTTTGAATATCTAGGGTGTTTTGAAATAAATTTAAATTACCTCATGCCTAGCATGGCCGTGGTAAGCCATATCATCCATGAGATTGGCCTTGGAAACTATATGAACCATTGTACTCTTGTCCATTTTATCAGTTGCACCTAGACTCATTCTCAGAACATACATAGTCATTGCCCCAAAGCTGCTTTTTTGAGGGACAAATGATGCATACTTTGTTAAGGTCTACCTTCTAAACTTAACTTGATTGCATGAAGTAGAGGAAGGACATAGGCATAGTTGTGGTGGCAGATAGAAAGGGACATTATTCGATATTGGAATATTATCAAAAGTAAGTAGCTAAAAAATGTAAGTGACTTATACTAATGTCACCAGCTAGACATATTTAAGTGCTAATATTTGCTAATGTGAAAATGATGAAATAACAGTCATTCACTATTTACTGAGTGGAACAATATAATGCATTATAATAGGACATCATTGTGAGTATTGTTCAAAGGAAAATAATTAAAAATCAAGATACTAATTGTCTGGTATTTCACTGTCTGTTGTGGTAAGTACTAATGACAAATGGCTGTTTAAATTTAATTATATTTCTAATGTAAATTAATTAAACTTAGATAAAATTAGGAATTCTGATCTTTAGTTGTACTAGTCACATTGCAATTGCTCAGTAACCAAAAGTGGATATTGGCTGCCACATCAAACAAGGAAGAACTTTCCATTATCACAAAAAGTTGTATTGGACAAGTGGTTGAGCCTAGGGTTAAATGGTTTCTGTATACCTGAAGAAGACAGGAAACACAAAACAGTCAAGCAAACACAAATGGTTAATAACAGTGTAAAAATATTTAGTAAGCTCTCAGGTTCTGTTGAACTTAATGTAGTTACTCTTTATAGGTAGAGTTGTCCTCAAATCCTTCGTGAAGGAGCAGATGAATACTGGAATTTTAAAAATGAGACAAAGCTTTACAAATGGAAGAAAGGGGTTAGTATTTCAAGCATTCACATCTTTAAAAGGGTATTCAAATGTCACTCTTCCAGTCTCATTATTTCAGCTAAATCCACAGAGCTGATAAAAATGAATCTAAGTGCACCCACCAGAAAGGGAGGTACTAAATTGCATATGCAGTTCTTCCAAAAAAGTGGCCAAAAGATGATGATATGAATGTTGGCTCATCAACCTCTGCTATGGACTGAGGTATGAAATAAAAACAGCTTGACCATAGCTTAGGAAAATATATCTAAATGAAAAGATCCACAGTCTTATCAAAGAAAGAAGTAGTAGTAAAGAAGTAGTAAGTAAGCACTAGAATTTAACCTATTAGGAACTAACTCTGCTTTCAAATATTATCACACAAAAAGGCAACCCTAAAATCAGGTTTTGAATTTCTAACTCCCAGTGTGATGGTGTTTGGAAATGGGGCCTCTAGGAGGTAATTAGCTTATGAGGGTAGAGGAGGAGGAAGAGGAAGAGGAGGAGGATGAGGGAGAGGGGGAGTGCAAAGGGGAGAAGAAAGAATAAGAAGGGAGGAGAAGGGGGAGGAGGAGGGAGGAAAGGAAGAGGAAGGAGAAGGAGACGACAGTGACATAAGAGAGCATTCTCTCTCTCTGTCTCTCTCTCTCCCCCGCCCGCCCTTCCCGTCTCCCTCTCTCTGCCTCTGCCTCTCTCTGCTATATGAAGATATAAGAGCACAGCAGCCTGCAAGCCAAGAACAGAGCCCTCACTTGGGAACTGAATCTACTGGTACCTTGATCTTGACTTTCTAGCCTCCAGAACTATGAGCAATAAATTTCTGTTGTTTAAACCACCCAGTCTATGGTATTTTGTTGAAGCAGCCTGAGCTGAGTAAGACAACCCCCTTTTGACTTGCAAGTTGCTGAAGCATGGTTACATAGTCAGGATTTCTTCAGAGACAAGCTGATTGTAATGCTGTGGCCTGTCCTCTCTGCAGTGCAGGGCTCGCCACTTTATGCCAAGTGAGAGGCAATTCCAAAGAAACCATGAGTGTACTTGACTTGAGTCTACTGGAGATTGGGAGGGAGAGTGGTTATGGATACCTGATTCATGCCTGTAAAAGTGTAAAGCTTGGTGGCTGTCAGCTGAATGGAGTTGCCTATGACAGCAGAGCCAAGACTGATGTTCTGGAAATGGCCTCCACTTCCAGAGATTAGAAGGACAGAGGTGCATTTTTTTCCTGAGCCTTATGTGGACTCCACAGAAGGGAGTCAGGCTTAGGTCATCCTGAAGTGGACACCAGCCAAGAGTCCTGGGGTAGATAATCTTTGGGGATAAGGTGATCTTTTGGAGGATATCATGGGGTGAACTACTGAAATACAGAGCTGAGGGGAGCTATAGAAACATCATTCAGAAAAGACATGATCCATGCCATAGAATTGCAGCTGGGAGATTCCCAGCAAAGGAATATGAAAATTCCTCAAAAGTTTCTCAAAGGAGAAAAATACAGCATTTGGGCATCAGAATCCACAGAGCACCAATATTAAGTCATACCCATACCAGTCAAGTAAGACCTGTCTGCTATTTACTTCTCCTTTGTCTCCCTACTCTAACCTGGAGGATCAAGAGGCAGTATTGTAAATGAAGGTAAAAGGCTAGAGGAACCAGAGAGTAAAGAAGTTAACTATACCCCGATCCATATGGGGGTACTGAGCCAGTGTCAGCCCTGAGCTGGGAGAGTAGAGAAATTTTCAGCTGGATGAGTCATTACATTTAACTGGACTGTTTTTTGAAATACCAAAAGGCAACTTTAAAAAGCAGAAGGGAAGAAAGATGTTAAACAGATTGTTTGAAAGGGCCTTGGTGAGAAAGAATCTGTGGACTTTCTACTCGCAATCCACCAGGACCGATCTATGCAATAAACCAGTTACCAATACCAAACGTTTCTCCCCAAAACAATTAGTACTATATTTTAAAATAAAGAGCTGTAAAAATGCACACAATACATTGTCAGGGACGAGCAGATGATTTCCATTCAAATTAACAAACAATATTTCTGCTCATGATTTGTTGTCATTGTTCTTTGCAGCAATTAGTCCCAATCCAAAGAGAGGTTGTAAGTAGCCTGGCAACCAAGAGCAGCACCCAGAAGACTTGATTGCTAGATATAGCAATCCCTCTAACTGCTAACTAGAGGCCAGCCTTTAATTCTTGGTACTTCTGTTTCCACATTTTCATATTGGCAATGAAAACCTCTAGAATATAATTCCCCCCACTTCCCCACATAAAGCAAGGAGGTTTCTCTTTTTATCTCTCTATGCCTAGTGCCAAGAACAGTGCCTGGGGAGATACTCAATAAATATTGAATGGATGCCTTTCCTGCCTAGCTCCAGGAATACTGTGAAGATACGATGAGGTGGTAGACATGACAACACGTTTTTTAAGCCTGACACCAAAGCAGAGATACACACAAAGTATCATTACACAAGACAGAAATGCTTTCAAATGTCCAGATGCCATTCTTTTCCAAGCAGATTCAACGTCTCTAATCATTCAACCGCAATTTATTAAGCATCTAACATGCTAAATTGTTTGCTTTGATGTTTTCATTCCAGTAGTACACATGCCATAAGTGAAAGGCTCTTGAAAGGAACCAAAGAGGTAAAGAAAAAGAAATTTTGGAACAACAGAAAACAATGTCTTCCTAAGAAAAGAATAAAAAGGATTTTGGGATAACTCTCATGCTACAAAATGAGGAAAGGTGCCAGAAGACCTGGTTGTTATAGGCATCTAAAAATGGTGCTGACAATAATGTAATTTGAGATCAGTGGACTGGCAGACGAGCATAATATACAAGGAAGCACAGATGCTGGGACTTCATTGATCACTGAAATGCCACCTGCTAAAATGCCAGAAGGAAGACATAATTAAAATTATGTAATCCAAGGAAGAGCTTTTTTTTCCCACCTTGAAACTTTCAGAAGTGTTCTCTACATTAGTGTGTGTGTGTGTTTGTGTGTGTGTGTTTGTGTTTGTGTGTATGTGTGTGTGTGGTGATTTCCAAAATGATGAAGCAAAATAGTTTGCAAGCCATATTTAGATTGAGACAAGTCTGTAAGTCCTAGGGCTGTCTCATCTCCTCTCATATTTCTATAACTGACAATGAGAATGTATACTTTTGTAATAGCCATTCCCTTTTATAGCCAACGGGGTTCTTGTGAGAGATTATAGAATTATAACAATCATAGAAGACTTACATATACTACACCTGATTTCCAGCAGCAGACAGACAATGAAATTTGAAAGTATCCCGTTTAGATTCTGTGCCTTGGGGCGAGCATAGGAGGAGAAAGAGAATTTTTTTCCCCATCATTTCGAAGTCAACATTGTATTTTAACCAAATGCGCACACATATGCCTGCACTTCTTTCCCCAGCTGCTCCTTCTGGTTAATTTGTTTACTCCTGCAAGCTACATCTTGCCAGTGGTTTTATCAGCCTCTCCTGCTACTATAAATCTACCCCATTACCTCATATGCAGCAGTAAATAATTTGTATTTGTGACTGTAAACAGTGCTGGCAACCTCTCTGGATGATGGGCACTTGACAGAGCCTGCAGAGTCTTTGTTGGTAGCAGACAGAACTCTGCTGTTTGTGTCCTGTGTAGAGTGCAAATCTAAAAATGTGAGCTTTACACATTACTTTGACAGTTGCCGCTTACCGCTTTAATGTTGAAGTATAACTTCTTTGGTTGTTATTTTGTGTGTGACTCATACTTTTGTCATATTTGTATTGAATAATGCAGTGGCAAGCGACATAAAATACAAGAGATTCTGTACCATGGAGTATTAAAGAATGAATCCCAGCAAGGGAAAAAAAATCACTACACCTATTTTTAAAAAGCATTTATCTCAACTAACAGGTTTTAAAGGATTAATAAGCGTGCAGTAATATAGTTGAGAAAAAAATTACTTTTTCATACATCTCCAGATGCTATGTAATTCTCCATTTGCAAGCTGTGCAGACCACTGCCAGATTTGGGTTATCAGAATTAACTCCTTGGCAAATTAGTATGGGAATAAGAGAATTGTTATGCTCCACAGTCTTTTTTATTTGATATTCAGTGCCAGCTTTTCTCAGGTTCTTTTTTCCTTTTCTTTTCATTTATGCACACAAATATATATGTGTACCTGAATATCAGGCTATAATGATTTATCGACTTTGTACATGACTTATACACTAATTTTGTAATTATGAGCACAGGAGATGCATGTGCGAAACCAGAAGCACTCAGAAACCAGTGTCCATTGAATTTAAATGAAATCAAAATTCCTACTTAAAAGTCGAACTGAAAAAAATATTGTTCTGACATCAGGCATAATATACCATTTTTTGCTGCTTTAAAGCACCTTTTTTTCATTCCCTCAGCAATTTTTCAAGCTAAGGCATGTAACCTATAACCTTCAAAGAAACAATCCAAGGATTATTTGTTATGACTTGAGAGAAAAATATCCTCCATATACAATGCACATCTTAAACCAATAGAATAGGAGGAAAGAAATTTGAGCTGCTGTTGAATGTGATCTCCAGTTATTACCAGGATGATACATTGGATTATTTGCCTCTACAGAAGGATTTTCCTGAGAAATTTTGTTCATAGTTCATTGGCTCACTGGAGTATGATAGAAATTTGAAACTTGAGGGGCATTCAGGATTTGTTTATCATTCTTTTTTTTTTTTTTTTGAGATGGAGTCTTGCTCTGTCGCCCAGGCTGGAGCGCAGTGGTGCAATCTTGGCTCAATACAACCTCCGCCTCCTGGGTTCAGGCAGTTCTCCTGGCTCTGCCTCGCGAGTAGCTGGGACTACAGGCGCCCACCACCATGCCTGGCTAATTTTTGTATTTTTAGTGGAGATGGGCTTTCATCCCGTTTTGAGGAGGCTGTTCTCAAACTCTTGACCTCAGGTGATCCACCCACCTTGACCTCCCAAAGTGCTGGGATTACAGCCATTACCAATTTATAATGGACACAGTGAAGAAGTGTCTGTTGTATGTACCTTTTTGTTTCCACTACCCAGCACATTGCCTGGAACATAGACAGTCCTAGTAATTATTAAATAAGTAGATGGATAAATAAATGCAAATAATGGCCTATGTAACCTGACAAATTTACACAGTTAGGCAGTGACAGAGCTCTCAAGGATGCACATGCACTGCCGATAAGTGTATAAACTGGCAAAAACCACTCCGCAAAATGATGTAGCATTATCAAGTTAAGTTGAAGATGCACATACCCTGTAACCTTGCATTGCACCCATAGGTATATATCCTAGAGAAAATCATGCTTATGTGCTACAGAATATATACGTTCATTGCAACATTGTTTTAATATATCCCAAACTGGATTCAACCTAAATGTTCCCCAACAGCAAAATGGATAAGTTGTGGTATGTCATAGAGTAGAATATTATATAGCAATGAAAGTTAAAGAACCATTATGGCTCAACTTTTCAGACATTATATTGAGCAAAACTGAAAAGTACAAAGGGACACACAATATGATTTAATTTATCCAAAGCTCACAAATAGGCAAAACTAAACTATTGTTTAGGTAAGTTATACAGAAGCAGCAAGCTTAAGATAATAAGGAAATTAGTACTCTGAAGTGAAGACAGTGGTTACTCCTATGGGAAAGAAAGAGAGCTGTGGTTGTGGAGGTATACATAGGGTGAGGAGAGCATCTGCTTGTTGGTGAAGTTCTATTTTTTGGCTTGATTTAGCTTTTTTGTGTGTGTGAATTTTGACTTATTTTTGATCTTAAAAAGAAGTATATGACCTTATAAATGTTAATATTTATAAAAGGTTCATACCATGGAAGCCACCAACAAAAAATGTCATCTTTCATGACCATAGCTCCTTCAAAGTTTATAAATGTATAAGAGAGTTCAGGCCTAAAATTTTTAGCCACTTTGGATACTTTCATGTAGTCTTTATGTAATATTATTTAGAGACAGAATTTCATTCTGTTGCCCAGGCTGGAGTGCAGTGGCATGATTGCAGTTGACTGCAGCCTCGAATCCCTGTGCTCAAGTGATCCTCCCCTCTCAGCCTCCTGAATAGTGAGGACTACAGGCGGACACCACACCCAGCTAGTTTTTTAAATTTTTGTAGAGATGGAGTTTTGCTATGTTGCCCAGGCCGGTCTCAAACTCCTGGACTCAAGCAATCCTCCAATCTCAGTCTCCCACTGGCCATTATTTGGTTTCTCTCATCTCTTCCTTGCACCATGTTTCTCACAACTTTTGCCCACAAATACCCTTCTGCCTTCTTTTTCCCTCTTCCACAAAACCCTCTAAGTTATTTTAAAGATACAGATATTTGGAAAACAAAAGCAAGAAATATTTGCAAGCTATTCCTTTTCTCTGCCATGCCCCATGCCTCTCCTAATGCAATAAAGTGCAGAGTCTGCTACCTGCTAGAATGAATGAAAGGGAAACGGGAAAACATTGGGAGGAAAAACATTGAGTTTTTGCCACTAAGTGTTATCGAGCCACACATAAATACAGATAATACTGTGGGATAAAAAAGAAAATCAATTAATGGTTAGAGACATGAGAAAATAAGGATAGGCAAACAAATGGAACTAGAAATAAAATTAGCACTTTTAAACAGGATCTTACCTAACTGTGAGAGGTAGACAGAAAATTTGGTTTTGAATAAGAGCAAAACATACAGCTGTGAATCCTCATGGGAGAAAAGTATATCACTTACTTGGAAGGCCCTGTGGCATGCCAGAAATTTTTTTTGTCATTCCTAATTCAAGAGAATACTGGTATTAAGTGGACAAGATCCCATAGCAGCTTACGCCAGTTATTCCAGCACTTTGGGGGGCTGAGGTGAGAGGATCACTTGAGGTCAAGAGTTTGAGATCAGCCTGGCCAACATGGTGAAACCTCGTCTCTACTAAAAATACAAAAAAAATTAGCCAGGCATGGTGGTAAGCACTTGTAATCCCAGCTCCTTGGGAGGCTGAGGCAAGAGAATAGCTTGAACCTGGGAGGAGGAGGTTGCAGTGAGCTGAGATCGCCCCACTACACTCTAGCCTGGGTGACAGAGCGAGACTCCATTTAAAAAAAAAGTGGACATGATCCAGACAACAATTCTTTTGTATATTAAACATAAGCAAAGGTGATGTTTACTTGTTTTTATTGTTGTTGTTTGAGTTTCATGGCTGCTCCTTAGAGTATTTCACACACAATACAAGCTGAGAGTATAATACTAAAGGACTGTTGAGAATCAGGCTATTTTATAAGAGGCCAAAATAATCTGATGCAAGAACACAACTCTAATTTAATTAATAAATATATTTATCGACATACCATCTTATTCTAAAGGGGATTCGAGGAGATTACACAAATACAATACACTACAATAAAGAAATAAATGTTTTGGCTGGGCACGGTGGCTCACGCCTGTAATCCCAGCACTTTGGGAGGCTGAGGCAGGCGGATCACGAGGTCAGGAGATCGAGACCATCCTGGCTAACACGGTGAAACCCCGTCTCTACTAAAAATACAAAAAAAATTAGCCGGGCATGGTGGCGGGCACCTGTAGTCCCAGCTACTTGGGAGGCTGAGGCCAGGGAATGGCGTGAACCCAGGAGGCAGAGCTTGCAGTGAGCCGAGATCGCGCCGCTGCACTCCAGCCTGGGTGACAAAGCGAGACTCTGTCTCAAAAAAAAAAAAAAAAAAAATAAGAAATGTTTTAAAAATTGGAAGGCGTATGGGAGCAGAAGCTTTTGGAAAGTAGAATAAAGCCAAGGTTAACATTAGCATGCTAAAATTTATTAACTGAAAATTTCTGAGTTTCCTAGTGAAGAATCCAGATGGAAACAAACATTTTAAACACTCTAATGTCCAAAAGATAAACATGAACCAAGTATCTAGAGAAACATAGCTTAAGACATGTGAGAAATTTTACCTATGGGACAGAAAGGGTAAATTATCTCAAATAGTGAAAATTTTTTTTTATTTAAAAGAAAAAATAAGCACAATGGCCATATGAGTTTCTGATAAAAGCAAGCACAGTGTTGTAATTTAAAAAGCAAAGGCTTTGAGGATGAAGAGACTAGATTTGGATTTCAGGCCTGTCACTTCCACCTGTGTGACCTCAGCTAAGTTTCCCCCAAGGGCCTCAGTTTCCCTTTCTGAAGAATAAAAGTACCAACGTCATAGGGATGTGAGGCATAAATAATTCCTGTAAAGAACAATGCCTGACTAATACCAAGTGACAAATTTATGTTAGCCTCTAATGTTACCATTATTCTTCACGATCATTTATTTAAAATAGATTTATTAAACACTTGCTATATGCAAGATGCCATTCTAAACACTGGATATACAACAGTGAACAAAACAGATCAAAATCCCTGCACACAGAGAGCTTTATTAGACTAGGGAGAGGCAGATAACAGACAAAATATTTAAATAAAATGCACAGTATGGTAGGATACCATTAAATGCTGTGGGGAGAAAAATCAGAAATGAGGATAAACAGTGCCAAGGTCAGTGGTCTCAGTTTTAAGTAAGGTAGCTGAAGGAGGTCTCTTCAGAAGGGGTTAGAGAATAGGCGTGAGGCTCTTTGGAGGAAGACACTCCAGAGAGAGGGAGCAGAATGGACTGTTTATGATTGTCTAAGGAACCATGCGGTGACCAGTTTGGCTGAAGAAAGGGAATTAGGAGGAGAGTGATAGATGAAGTCAAGGAGTTAATGAGGGACCAGACCCAGTAGGACCTTGTAAACACCTTGTCGCCTTCTGAATGACATGGGAGCCCCTGAAGAATTAGAGCAGAGGCATGATATGATCTGACTTGTAATGACATACGTTAATTTTTCAGTTGAGAACTGGCTGTGTGTTAGGGATGCAGAAGAGTCAAAGGAAATCAAGAAGCTTCCAGGTGAGTAGTAATAGTAGCTTGTATCATGGTAGTAGCAGTGGAAGTGGTGAAAGATAGTCAGCATCTGGAGTTTTTTGAAGTTAGAATCAACAAGCTGTGATGAAGGATTCCATGTTGGATGTCAGAGGAAAAAAAGAGGAAGTGATGACCCCAGAGCTTTTGGTTTGAGCAAATAGAAGAATGGAGTTGATACTAACTAGATGAGGTAAGAGGGGCATTATGGGAAGATTGTAGGAGCCAGTTTTGGGGAAATTAATATTGGCATCAACATTATCATCATTATTATCAGTAGTAGTGCTATTTTCTTCAGAGCAAAAGTGATGGCATACCCCCAAATTATGATCCAGAGAAAACACTTCAATGAGGATCTCAGAGAATGCAGTATACATGTGCAACTTATTGGTGGCCTAACTAAAGCAAGGATAAAATTTAGGTTATTAGGAGGAATAAATGAACTGCTTATCCTTCAGGCAGTTTCCCATATTATTTCTTATAACTGCAATTTTTATATTTGGACAACAGAGAATTCTTTGGCATGAAACTGTAATGTCCTTTATGCTGCTGCCTAGGGAAAATCCATGTACTTTGATAGCCAATTGAGTGGATAGTACAATTAATTATCCACAATGAAAATGAAAGAAACAGTCTCGGTTGAATAATCATCCGACCTTCACATAGAGTAAAGTGAAGTAGTAAATGTCAGATTTAATATTTTCCTCAGAAAACAATACTTAGGTAAATGGGAAAATAAAAGCCCTGAAATTCTTTTCCATGGAGCATTGCTCTAATAATTTTAGCCTGGCAAAATTTCAGAGAACCATTACGAATCACTGACCATAGAAAAATTTCAGTAATGGAGCCATGGGAGTTTTAATTTTAAAGTAATACAACTTCTTGATGAATTCTTCAGGAATAATTAAATGGCTAAAATACATCTCTGAATAGCTAAGTGGGTTAACTTTTTCTATAAGATGTCATGTTTAAATGACAGTTTAGTGTTGGAAAAATATCTCCCCCAAATAGATATGTTTTGCTTTTAGAATATTAGTCCTTAATTCATTTTTCTTGACAATAATTGGACATCATGTCTGTCTATTGAGACTTCTCTTGCTTTGGGATATTAAAAATATAAAATTGTCCACATTCTATTTACTGTGAAGGAGGTGCATGCATGCAAATCAGCCCAAATCAGTTCAAGTCATTAGGATACTTGTTTTAAAAGGATGGGCAAAGCATCCTGCTCTTTCAGACCACTTAAAATTATTACCTGAAATTTGGTCAGTTTTCTAGGAAAAGAAGATAGCTTGGAATTGGGGGGGAAGGGGATTATCCCCCTCTATTCTAAGAAAAATATCTAGAAAGTGTAAAAGTAGGAGAAAATCCACAACACAACATTGGAAACTCCAGAATAAAGCCTCAAAACTACCACTAATTTAAAATTCTTTCTACTTGAATAAGTGGAGCTGGAGCATGAACAAAGAATTTACTCTTAAATCATGGGCCTAGAAGAGAAGGATAGTCCTATAGGAGTATGCAGTAGATACCCTGGGGGACATAAGCCTTGCTGAGCTTGGAAAGTGAACTGTGAGGCTGATGAGGCAAACTCTACATAGGACCCTATTGAGTCAGCAGAGATCTTGTACACTGCAGGGGCGCCGGATCTGGGGACTCAGAAAAGTAAAGGAGCAGGAAATCTGCAGTAATGATGACTGCAGAGAGTTGGCTGAACACTCTAGTGACAGACTTCCAAGATGAAATAGAATTGGGACACCAATGGCTGTTGATCTGTAATAGTGGCATTCTGATACTGAGTGGGAGGTTTTGTTAACTGAAAAAGTAATAAGATTGGTCCAAAGAAACAAGACAATTGGTTCACCTGGAAGTATTCCAGGTCTCACCAAATCCAGCCACTGACCCAGAGGTTTCTGCAAAGACAGGGAAGAAAGCATGCAGAGACAAAGTTGGCCTGCTGGGATCATTCATTGCCTTAGCAGCTCCACTCACTCGTCTTACTTACTATGTGAACACATGAGAAGCAAGTCCTTTAGATTGGGTTTTAAAAGAACTTCTCTAACAGCATGAAAGTAGAAAATGAGGAAGCCTACAAAGAATCTCCTGCCCTATTTTTGTGGAGCTCTTATCAGGCATAGATAGTCCTCCACCTTTGAAAAACTCAAAGTGGAGCCTATGAAAAGATTTTACAATAAAATGGAGAATAAAGTATTCAAAAGGCAGAGGAAAAACATTAATTTAAAGTAGACTTTATCTTTTAGAGCAGCTTTAGGTTCAAAGCCAAACTGAGCAGGAGGTACCCAGAGTTCCTGCATACCCTGGTCCCCACACATGCATAGATAACCTCCCCATTATCAACATCTTGCAGCAGAGTGGTACATTTGTTACAACTGATGAACCTACATTGACACATGAATATCACCCAAATTCTGTGGTTTACATTGGGCCTCACTCTTGGTATTGTACATTCCAGGGGTTTGGACAAATGTATAATGATATGTATCTAGCACTATAGTGTCATAAAGAGTAGTTTCACTGCCCTCAAAATACCTCTGCGCTTGAATAGTCATATTCATCCCTCCTTTTTCCCAACTCCTGGAAACCACTAATGGCTTTACGGCCTTGATAGTTTTCCCTTTTCCAGGATGTCATATACTTGGAATCATACAGTATGTAGCCCTTTTAGGTTGGCTTTTTTCACCTAGTAATATACATTTAAGTTTCCTCCATGTCTTTTCATGACCTGTTAGCTCATTTCTTTTTAGCACTGAGTGATAATTCCATTGTCTGGATATACCATAGTTTATTTATCTGTTAACTTACTGAAGAACATCTTAGTTGCTTCCACATTTTGGCAATTATGGTAAAGCTCCTATAAACATCCAAAAACTTATTTAAAAAAATTATATGTGTGGCAAAATGTTCTAGATTCTATCTGCTTCCTCTTTTTGACAAAGGAAGAAAATGTAGAATACATAGGATAAGAGTTGATAGGTTAAAAAGGAGGGATTATTAAAATGGAGCCCTCTCAGAGATCAATAATATAGGAAACTAAGGTTCTGAAGTTATGGAAGAAATTTCAAAATGTTTTAAAAGCAATTAAGAGCAAAAACTACACAACAGAAAATTAAAGAGTGTATTGATTTCAGAATGCAGATAATAGCATTTAACTGAACAGAAAAAAATGTGATATGGAAAACAACAAAGAATTTCTGAAGAAATCAGAACAAATTAAACGAAAATTCTATTAAAACACGTAATAGGCCAGGTGAGGTGGATCACGCCTGTAATTACAGCACTTGGGGAGGCTGAGGTGGGAAGAGATTGCTTAAGCCCAGGAGTTCAAGTTTACGGTGAGGTGTGACCATGCCACTGCCCTCCAACCTGGGTGACAGAGCAAGATTCTATCATAAATAAATAAAACAACCATGTAATGGAAGGAAACATGTCAAAGCTTAAAGATATAATTTGGCAGATCACAAACTGCCCTCCAACTTGGGTAACAGAGCAAGATTCTATCATAAATAAATAAAACAACCATGTAATGGAAGGAAACATGTCAAAGCTTAAAGATATAATTTGGCACATCACAAAATTTATAAAATTAATTTTAAAAGACCAAGACATGGACATAGTCAAGATATTGAAATTTAAGCAAAAAGAACCTAACATTTTGGCAGGAAATAGTGAATAAATAAAACTGCTTGCCAAGAAAACCATATATTCTTAGATCTCTTTCACAGTTGTAGAAAAGAATAAATAACTAGCTTTCCATCCCACATTTGTTCTACAAGAGAAATTTTCAGATATATACAAAAGTAGGAAGACTTCCACATCAACCTAAATATACCCATTCCCCAGTTTAAACAGTATTGACTCATTGCCAACTGGTTTCATCTATATCTCTGCCCACTCTCCCACCCCCCAATCTTGTAAGCAATTCTAAACACTGTATCATTTCATTCATAATTACTTCAATATATCTCTCTAAAATGTAAGTACTCTGTAAAAAAAAAAAAAAAAACCCACATAACTACAAACCATTACCATACGTAAAATACACTTCTGTGTATTAGGGTATAAATCGTCCCCAGTTTATATGTTCACTTCTGGCTTATTCAAATCAGCATTCCAAATGTATTCACAAAGTGTTTAGTTGATATGTCTCTAAAGCATAACTTAATCTATGAATGACCCCCCCCCCTTATTTTTTCCCTTCAACTTATTTGTTGAAGAAATAGTTATTTCTAGAGTTAAACAGCCAATGCTATAATTTAAAAATTCTAACTTAGTTAACTCGTCATTTATTTGTTCATGAAATTAGAAAATGTGTCACCCATATCTCTCTCCTGAAAAGCAGCAAACAAAACATATGTAAAGAAAGAATCTCAAAGTGGAAATGTTGTGATATAGAACTGGCAATGAAAATAGGATTAAGTTTTAAAATTATAATGTAACTTACAAAGTAGAATGAAAATACTGGGGCTTGTTCTTAAAGCAAAGATACATAATGTAAGAGTCCATAATCCTTAATGATTTTGATAAAACCATATTATTAAACTGATTTTTTCATAGTGGTTAACACATTCTTTATTCTTGAAGTGAATAACTTAAAAAGGCAAAGTTTAAGAAACCGAAGACATTTTAAGAAAGATACATACATTTTTTAGGCTTTACAACAACCTTTGCTTGATACATAATCACAAGTATAAATATATTGAAGAGGATTTATATACTTGTTTATTACTTCTTACCAAATTCTGGACTCAACATTTCCAAGAACATTACATCTTTATTCTAACAGTCAATTTTCTGTTCTATATAAGAACAGAAAATTCTTACCTAGAATAACACCTAAAATAGGAAAAAGGGAAGAAAAGCCTTTTTCTTTAGCGTGCTTTAGAAACATATGCTTGCAAAAAAAAAAAAAAAAAAAAAAAAAAAAAGCAGAGAAATATATGCTTTTTAAATACTGGGAGTTAGGATGCGAGGAGAAATCACAAGAACCTTGGATATCCAAAAATGTTTGTTCTTAGATGTATATCTGGGAAATGTAAGACTCTTAGTTTTGCAGTCTTACTCTACCTGGGCAAACAAGAGGAGACTGACTGTGTGGTGCCTAGTTTAATAAGAGCAAGATAATAAGCTCAAAGATACATAGACGACTTTAAAATGTTTCCATGGGTTAAATTTGTGTCTAATCTATCATCGTTAATTTTGAGTTTAGTTTCATTGTGATTAAGGAATGTTGCCTGTTTCTATTCTAGTTTTTAGAATTGGCTGAGTTTAACTGACATCCTTGTAAGTGATTCAGTTTTATAAATGTCCCATAATTACTTGAAGAAGAACATTTAGTCCCTATTTGGTGGGTATGAATTTCTCTGTCTTTCTATCTTGATCTCTGCTTTTCTCCATGTCTACCCTCCACACACACACAAACACACACACACACACACACACACACACGCACACACACACACGCACTAGTCCAAGTTACTATTATATCCCTTCTTGCCTACTGCAGTCGACCTGAACTAATCCCTCTGCCCAACATATGACCCCCTGTGACCCTCGTCTAATGGTGAGAATAATCTTTTTGAAAACAACTCATGTAACATCACTTCTCTGCTCAAAACCTTTATTTCGAAAGTAGATTCAAAGTGCTCACCAAGGCCTAGAATGACAAGTACAATCTGGCTCTTGATGACACTTCTGGCCTCTCCTACGACTTCTTACTTTTTGGAACTGCTCTACTCACGGTGTACTCCCTGTTCTTCCCTCAGCCTGCCATGAAGAGTTCCACCTCAGGTCTTTTGCCTGCACCACTCCCCTCTCTACTACACTTTTTCCCAGACGTATTAATGACTTGCTCCCTCATTACTTTCAGGTTTCTACGAATACTTGTCCTTATTAAGGGGTCCTTCCTTAGACAACCAACCAAAAATAATACCTACCCATCCCCTTACCCTGATTGAATGTCTTCATTGCTGTTAGTTACCACCTGAAACACTAAATGTTAATTAATTCATTGACAAATTGTGTTTATTACATGCCTCTCTCCATTGGGATGAAAACTACATTGTTATATCCCTAGATCCTAGAACAGTACATTTACTTAATAAATATTTTTTCAACAAATGTGACCCACTTTCATCTCTTACTTTGTATACAGGTAAAATCCATACCACCCTAATACAAGATACGGTGTGGGCTTCCAGTAGTCATCTAGTTTGCTCATATCCTGCAGTCCCCCAGTTAAGAGGGTGCTGGAATTCACTATAGTGTAGTGCCCATTGGTTAAATAGCCTAACTACTACATTCATAGTCAGAGGTATTATTTCTGAAATTTGCCCCTGAGGTTAGTGTCATGCTTTCTGGATATAGAATCTTGACCATTTACACTATGCAGACATAAATGGGCAGCTGAGATATGTTTCCCAAGGTGAAAAACTGAGAGGCGGGGAGCAATGTTAAAGTTCTTGTGGCATTATGGAGAAACACTCTCTATGCCCCTTTCTGGGGGAAGTGTATCCCCAAGCTCCTTTCATTGAATTTCTTTTGGTGAGGGTCTTTCTGGAGATGCAAGGTGACAGCTGTGGATTTCTGAATTCCCACTAGGTGAAGCATTTTCCGTACCAAAGTGTTCTGGAAATACTGTCCCTAACTGAGTCAGAAGCTCATTTAGTCTGGTAGGGTAAGTGTGTGTTGTGGTCTGGGATGGGCTAAGCTTAGGCCTGAAAGGTGAAATGTTCAGTCACTGCAAGTATGTTATTCGCTAGTTTTTGCCTACCCTATTTTGAGGACAAAGGTATATGCACACTAATTTCAATTCTTCCTGTTTAAATTGTCTTTAAGTTATGCTTCCTGTGTGGGCAGAGTGTTCTGCTAGAAGCAGCAGGCACAAGTTTTCCATTTGGATCTGATAACTTCTGCAATTTGGAGGGTGGGGTAGAAATCACTGTCAAAAGTAGTTTTAAAATTTGTGTCCCCTTCAGAAATCTAAAACACCATGTAATTTTCTCAGAATTGGGAGGTACTCATGGATAAAGCCACTGTGTTCTCTGACCTTGAGCTGAAAGAATAATACCTTATTTATGAATTCACTACCCAAATGAAATTTTGAGGCCCTGGCTCATCTGTTCAAACAGCTTATGGCTTTTTCTCTTCCTCTTTGTCACTTGAAGTGATGGAAGCAATGCATATTTTTTCTAGTGTCACATATTCGTTAGCCACAGAAAATCCCCAAATGCTCAGCCATTCCTTCTTTAAGACTGTCTTGTGTTGCCTTTGAGTCCCAGATTAGCTTGACTGTCATGGAAAACAGTTTCCATGACCTGAACTGGAGATATTCACATCTTCTCTGCTGATATCTGATCTATAATGGCCACTGGAAAATTAAAGTCTGTTAAGGTAGACCCATTGACCCCAATGCCAATTCATTGTGTAACAAAATATTAAAATGGCACTTTCTTCCCTCCTAGTGAGGCTAAAAAGAGTAGAAAGCAATAGTAAACAATTTCTATCATGTTCTAAAGTAACATGCCACCTACACATCCTACAAAGGATGTTTTTAACATCCAGCTCTCTGGCCACCTATAAAAGATGACAGAAAAGATGAAAAGGAATTCTTAATTAAAGAGATAATTTCTTTGTAAAAAGTTGTTGGAATGCTGTGGCATATCCCCACATAGACCACGAGAGGGGCAAGATGGATACTTGCCCTCCAGCCTCAAGTATTTTAAGAGAGGTTTCAAAGAGACCATTCAGAAAACAAGAAGTTTCTCTGGGAGCTCAAGTGACACACTGTTGATTAGTGCCTGACATGCTTGGAAAACCAAAGGGCAGGAAATGGAAGTGACTCATGTCAGCTCAGTAGAAGGCTGTGATTGGTGAATGACTGTTTGGTCAAAGGTTGCTTTTAAAGAACGCATGTTCCCTGTGGATATATGCAGAGAGAGAATTACTTAATGTCTTATTGGGATTTTTGCTAAGAGTGCAACCTGGATATTTGGTGGAATTCCAAAAGAAAACTTTTTGGATGGGCATAAATTGCTGAGAACCAAAATCTAAAGTGGTAGGGAATGGGGATGAGGTCATCTCATAAGCAGCCAGCTGGAAAATGCATCAGAGAATTTCAGTGATGGATCCCAAGCAACAAGTATTCTTCAGGGGCCCCACAGGGCAGACTGAGGAGAGAAATAATTAAGCATATACTGAGCTAGAAAACTACTGATTCCAGCTTACAACTCTTTCAGTTTAGGAATCTGTTCTCATCCTTACTTTTCCCCACCACATTTCAAACTTCTCAGAACATTGGCAGTCTAGTGGATTGATACTGGGAGAAAGACAGCAGCTTCAGGTGTAGTCAGAAGAGAGGAAGTGACTATTTCCCCCTCTCCCATGGAAGTGTGTCCATCTATAGCGCATAGAAAGATATTGTATTATCTAAAAGTGAGCAAATGAGAGATGGGCTCTGCCTGACACTTTATCCAAGGACAAAGAAAGGCCTGGCTCCCACAGAATAAATATTCAAAGGCAATCATGAGAAAGAACAAAGTTGCCTTATTATTGCTTCTTTTTTCTTGACATCAAATGTTTGTTTGTTATTCAAATCTTGTACGTCCTAAGTAGAGTTTGCCTTCTCATTCTTTGATACCTGACATAGTAGTGATAAATTTAGTAATATTGTTGTTCTGCAAATTTTCTTCTACATTAGCAGATTTTGCTTTCTATACTTTAAATTTATGTTGTCTGATTCATAAAGGCTTGTAGTTGTTATATCATCTTAAGCCACATCAATTCCTTTGAATCCTATTTTTCACATCAATATTGTCAACTGTTCTTTTTTCTATTCATATTTTCCTAATATGTCATTTTGTATTTACTTATTTTCAAATGCATATGTCATTTGTTTTACTTGCTAGATTTGGGTGTATATGCATATACTTTTCCCAGTCTGAGAATTCATGCTTAAAATTATAGAAATGTTATGGTCTTATTATTGCTATATTTTTCTAGCTTATTTCTCTTTTTTATTTTATTTTATTATTATTATACTTTAAGTTTTAGGGTACATGTGCACAATGTGCAGGTTAGTTACATATGTATACATGTGCCATGCTGGTGTGCTGCTTATTTCTCTACTACTGAAAATTATCATTAAGTTTTCAATAGATGTATTTAAATACAAATTTTGCTATTGATGAAAACATCTAATCACTATCTATTAACTTTCCTGTGAATAGAAGACATTTAGCAAATGTTTATCTATTTCTTCTTCCTCCCTATTTACTTTTCAGATTTTGTAGTATTTTTTTTTTTTACAGTTTCAGCCTCAATGTGTTAAACTACATTTTTCCATTATCCCTCTTTCATGAATCCCTATGTAATAAAAGCAGGATACTTCACAGCTACATTATAACAATTATTTGGAGTTAAATACATTTTCCTGAACTCTTGGTTTGCCTTTCTTTTACCTTTTATATTCCTGTATCTTGGATTTTTGTTTTGTTTTATTTTGAAAAAATCGGTAAGAAATAATTTAAGGCTGGGGGCAGTGGCTCACACCTGTAATCCCAGCACTTTGGGAGGCCGAGGCGGGCGGATCACGAGGTCAGGAGATCAAGACCATCCTGGCTAACATGGTGAAACCCCATCTCTACTAAAAATACAAAAAATTAGCCAGGCGTGGTGGCGGGCGCCTGTAGTCCCAGCTACTCAGGAGGGTGAGGCGGGAGAATGGTGTGAACCTGGGAGGCGGAGCTTGCAGTGAGCCAAGATTGCACCACTGCACACTCCATCCTGGGTAACAGAGCGAGACTCTGTCTGAAAAAAAAAAAAAAAAAAAAGAAATAATTTAAAATGTTCATAAACCCTAACATTTTGAAACTTTAAATACATGAATATAAATATGACTTCCAAATACTGATTTAATGTGACAGAAGAGCTGAGGTTTGAATTATTCTTTCCTCATGCCTTATAGAGATTGTACTATGTTTTTTTGTAAAATTATTTCATGTTTTAGATTAAAAGTCTGATGCAAGTATGATTCAGCACATTTTTAATTTTTGTATGGCCCTGTGATTTTTTCTTTATTTGGTTCTGAATTTAGCTTAGCTATGTCCAAGTGTTTTTTTTAATTTCAATATTTCTCCCTATTTTTTTCTTCAATTATTTTTCCTCTCTGTTGGTTCTGTTATCTCTTTCTAGAATGACTGTTTTGCTAGTTATTTGATCTCTAAAATTGACCTTTCTTATCTCATAGTTTTTTAAGTAAGTTTTCCTTTACATTGTGTTCTAAGATAATTTCTTGTTTTGACTTTCTAGATTCCTAATTTGATCTTTTTTTCATTTTTTAATCAATTTATTTTCTCTTTAGCCTTCAATATTATTAGATTCAGCTTCTTTTTTGAACCTTTAAAATAATGATCAGTTTAATTTTTGAGAATTCTAATGGAATATGGTTATTCATTTGATATTATAAAGAATAGAGTCTAGATTGATCTGTACTAGTTGCTAGACTGGGTTTATTTTTGTCTAATGATCCTCAGGGACAGTGAACCTAGATTCTGATTATAGATTCCCTGGCTGTCAGGATTGGATGGGGCATGTGTTTGACCAAATGGACTCTAGCATTGCGTGCATGACTAGTTCACATTCAAGGTTCATGAAGAGATCCAAAAGTTGCCTGGGACATGATTGCACTTTTGACTTGGATTCCAGCACCCACAGTATGAATCTCTGGTAGAAGATTGATTACTTTAGAGGGTTGTTCTTTCATCTTTAGCTGGAGCAAACTCTGAAGTGAGAAATTTTGAAAGCAGAGGAGTTAAACAGGTATTTTTTTGCAGCCTTTTTATTAATGGGCCCACTGATAGCCCACCCTTCAGCCTTTCTCCCAGTCTCTGCTGCCTCAGGTCTTGGGTTTGTTACAAGGATCTTCTGAGAAGGCTCATTTTTTGGCAATCCTGTTTTTATACTGTTGTGAGTTCTTACATTTTATATGGTTTCTCCACCAATGTTACATGATACTCGTGTTATCTTCCAGAAACTCTTTAAGATTTGATTTGATAGCACTCTTCCTTAACCATTACTATACTGGGTTTATTTTTACATTAATTTATATTTTTAACAGTGGGTTTAAGAAGAACAAATATATTCAGATGCTCTCTGGTTTTAATGACCTGGATTATTCCATTTAAATATCTGATTATTAAAACGCAGATACAGAGCTGGGCAGGGGGGCATGCACCTGTAGTCTCAGCTACTCAGGAGCCTGAGATGGGAGAATCATTTGGGTCCAGAAGTTCAAGCCCAGGCCAGACAGCATAGCAAGATCCCATGTTTTTTTTTTTTTAATTTAATTTATTTTTTTTATTATACTTTAAGTTTTAGGGTACATGTGCACATTGTGCAGGTTAGTTACATACGTATACATGTGCCATGCTGGTGTGCTGCACCCATTAACTCGTCATCTAGCATTAGGTATATCTCCCAATGCTATCCCTCCCCACTCCCCCCACCCCACCACATTCCCCAGAGTGTGATGTTCCCCTTCCTGTGTCCATGTGATCTCATTGTTCAATTCCCACCTATGAGTGAGAATATGCACTGTTTGGTTTTTTGTTCTTGCGATAGTTTACTGAGAATGATGATTTCCAATTTCATCCATGTCCCTACAAAGGACATGAACTCATCATTTTTTATGGCGCATAGTATTCCATGGTGTATATGTGCCACATTTTCTTAATCCAGTCTATCATTGTTGGACATTTGGGTTGGATCCAAGTCTTTGCTATTGTGAATAATGCCGCAATAAACATACGTGTGCATGTGTCTTTATAGCATCATGATTTATAGTCCTTTGGGTATATAGCCAGTAATGGGATTGCTGGGTCAAATGGTATTTCTAGTTCTAGATCCCTGAGGAATCGCCACACTGACTTCCACAATGGTTGAACTAGTTTACAGTCCCACCAACAGTGTAAAAGTGTTCCTGTTTCTCCACATCCTCTCCAGCACCTGTTGTTTCCTGACTTTTGAATGATTGCCATTCTAACTGGTGTCAGATGGTATGTCATTGTGGTTTTGATTTGCATTTCTCTGATGGCCAGTGATGGTGAGCATTTTTTCATGTGTTTTTTGGCTGCATAAATGTCTTCTTTTGAGAAGTGTCTGTTCATGTCCTTCGCCCACTTTTTGATGGGGTTGTTTTTTTCTTGTAAATTTGTTTGAGTTCATTGTAGATTCTGGATATTAGCCCTTTGTCAGATGAGTAGGTTGCGAAAATTTTCTTCCATTTTGTGGGTTGCCTGTTCACTCTGATGGTAGTTTCTTTTGCTGTGCAGAAGCTCTTTAGTTTAATTAGATCCCATTTGTCAATTTTGGCTTTTGTTGCCATTGCTTTTGGTGTTTTAGACATGAAGTCCTTGCCCATGCCTATGTCCTGAATGGTAATGCCTAGGTTTTCTTCTAGGGTTTTTATGGTTTTAGGTCTAAGTTTAAGTCTTTAATCCATCTTGAATTGATTTTTGTATAAGGTGTAAGGAAGGGATCCAGTTTCAGCTTTCTACATATGGCTAGCCAGTTTTCCCAGCACCATCTATTAAATAGGGAATCCTTTCCCCATTGCTTGTTTTTCTCAGGTTTGTCAAAGATCAGATAGTTGTAGATATGCGGCGTTATTTCTGAGGGCTCTGTTCTGTTCCATTGATCTATATCTCTGTTTTGGTACCAGTACCATGCTATTTTGGTTACTGTAGCCTTGTAGTATAGTTTGAAGTCAGGTAGTGTGATGCCTCCAGCTTTGTTCTTTTGGCTTAGGATTGACTTGGCAATGCGGACTCTTTTTTGGTTCCATATGAACTTTAAAGTAGTTTCTTCCAATTCTGTGAAGAAAGTCATCGGAAGCTTGATGGGAATGGCATTGAATCTATAAATTACCTTGGGCAGTATGGCCATTTTCGTGATATTGATTGTTCCTATCCATGAGCATGGAATATTCTTCCATTTGTGTCCTCTTTTATTTCGTTGAGCAGTGGTTTGTAGTTCTCCTTGAAGAGATCCTTCACATCCCTTGTAAGTTGGATTCCTAGGTATTTTATTCTCTTTGAAGCAATTGTGAATGGGAGTTCACTCATGATTTGGCTCTCTGTCTGTTATGGGTATATAGGAATGTTTGTGATTTTTGCACATTGATTTTGTATCCTGAGACTTTGCTGAAGTTGCTTATCAGCTTAAGGAGATTTTGGGCTGAGACGATGGGGTTTTCTAAATATACAATCATGTCATCTGTAAACAGGGACAATTTGACTTCCTCTTTTCCTAATTGAATATCCTTTCTTTCTTTCTCCTGCCTGATTGCCCTGGCCAGAATTTCCAACACTATGTTGAATAGGAGTGGTGAGAGAGGGCATCTCTGTCTTGTGCCAGTTTCCAAAGGGAATGCTTCCAGTTTTTGCCCATTCAGTATGATATTGGCTGTGGGTTTGTTTTAGATAGCTCTTATTATTTTGAGATACATCCCATCAATACCTAATTTACTGAGAGTTTTTAGCATGAAGGGCTGTTGAATTTTGTCAAAGGCCTTTTCTGCATCTATTGAGATAATCATGTGGTTTTGTCTTTGGTTCTGTTTATATGATGAATTACGTTTATTGATTTGCATATTTTGAACCAGCCTTGCATCCCAGGGATGAAGCCCACTTGATCATGGTGGATAAGCTTTTTGATGTGCTGCTGGATTTGGTTTGCCACTATTTTATTGAGGATTTTTGCATTGATGGTCATCAGGGATATTGGCCTAAAATTCTCTTTTTTTGTTTTGTCTCCGCCAGGCTTTGGTATCAGGATGATCCTGGCCTCATACAATGAGTTAGGGCAGATTCCCTTTTTTTCTATCGATTAGAATAGTTTCAGAAGGAATGGTACCAGCTCCTCCTTGTACCTCTGGTAGAATTTGGCTGTGAATCCATCTGGTCCTGGACTTTTTTTGGTTGGTAGACTATTAATTATTGCCTCAATTTCAGATCCTGTTATTGGTCTATTCAGAGATTCAACTTCTTCCTTTTTAGTCTTGGGAGGGTGCATGTGTCCAGGAATTTATGCATTTCTTCTAGATTTTCTAGTTTATTTGCGTAGAGGTGTTTGTAGTATTCTCTGATGGTAGTTTGTATTACTGTGGGATTGGTGGTGATAACCCCTTTATCATTTTTTATTGCATCTATTTGATTCTTCTCCCTTTTCTTCTTCATTAGTCTTGCTAGCGGTCTATAATTTTATTGATGTTTTGAAAAAACCAGCTCCTGGATTCGTTGATTTTTTGAAGAGTTTTTTGTGTCTGTATCTCCTTCAGTTCTGCTCTGATGTTAATTATTTCTTGCCTTCTGCTAGCTTTTGAATGTGTTGCTCTTGCTTCTCTAGTTCTATTAATTGTGTTGTTAGGGTGTCAATTTTAGATCTTTCCTGCTTTCTCTTTTGGGCATTTAGTGCTATAAATTTCCCTCTACACACTGCTTTAAATGTGTCCCAGAGATTCTGGTATGTTGTGTCTTTGTTCTCATTGGTTTCAAAGAATATCTTTATTTGTGCTTTCATTTCGTTATGTACCCAGTGGTCATTCAGGAGCAGGTTGTTCAGTTTCCATGTTGTTGAGCAGTTTGGAGTGAGTTTCTCAATCCTGAGTTCTAGTTTGATTGCACTGTGGTCTGAGTGACAGTTTGTTATAATTTCTGTTCTTTTACATTTGCTGAGGAGTGCTTTACTTCCACCTACGTGGTCAATTTTGGAATAAGTGCGATGTGGTGCTGAGAGGTATGTATATTCTGTTGATTTGGGGTGAAGAGTTCTGTAGATGTCTATTAGGTCCACTTGGTGCAGAGCTGAGTTAAATTCCTGGATATCGTTGTTAACTTTCTGTCTCATTGATCTGTCTAATGTTGACAGTGGGGTGTTAAAGTCTTCCATTATTATTGTGTGGGAGGCTAAGTCTCTTTGTAGGTCTCTAAAGACTTGCTTTATGAACCTGGATGCTCCTGTATTGGGTGCATATATATTTAGAGTTGTTAGCTCTTCTTGTGGAATTGATCCCTTTACCATTATGTAATGACCTTTGTGTTTCTTGAATTTTGTTGGTTTAAAATCTGTTTTATCAGACACTAGGATTGGAACCCCTGCTTTTTTTTTGTTTTCAATTAACTTGGTAGATCTGCCTCCATCCCTTTCTTTTGAGCTGATGTGTGTCTCTGCACGTGAGATGGGTTTCCTGAATACAGCACACTGATGGGTCTTGACTCTTTATCCAATTTGCCAGTGTGTGTCTTTTAATTGGAGCATTTAGCCCATTTACACTTAAGGTTCATATTGTTATGTGTGAATTTGATCCTGTCATTATGATGTTAGCTGGTTATTTTGCTTGTTAGTTGATGCAGTTTCTTCCTAGCATCAATAGACTTTACAGTTTGGCATGTTTTTGCAGTGGCTGGTACTGGTTGTTCCTTTCCATGTTTAGTGCTTCCTTCAGGAGCTCTTCTAAGGCAGACCTGGTGGTGACAAAATCTCTCAGCATTTGCTTGTCTGTAAAGGATTCTATTTCTCCTTCACTTATGAAACTTAGTTTGGCTGGATATGAAATTCTGGGTTGAAAATTCTTTTCTTTAAGAATGTTGAATATTGGCCCCCACTTTCTTCTGGCTTGTAGAGTTTCTGCTGAGAGATCTGCTGTTAGTTTCTTGGGCTTCCCTTTGTGGGTAACCTGACCTTACTCTCTGGCTTCCCTTAACATTTTTTCCTTCACTTCAACTTTGGTGAATCTGACAATTATGTGTCTTGGAGTTGGTCTTCTCGAGGAGTATCTTTGTGGCATTCTCTGTATTTCCTGAATTTGAATGTTGGCCTGCCTTGCTAAGTTGGGGAAGTTCTCCTGGATAATATCGTGCAGAGTGTTTTCCAACTTGGTTCCATTCTCCCTGTCACTCTCAGGTACACCAGTCAGACATAGATTTGGTCTTTTCACATGGTCCCATATTTCTTGGAGGCTTTGTTCGTTTCTTTTTACTCTTTTTTCTCTAAACTTCTCTTCTTGCTTCATTTCATTCATTTGGTCTTCAGTCACTGATACCCTTTTTCAGTTGATCAAATCGGCTACTGAAGCTTGTGCATGCATCACGTAGTTCTCGTTCCATGGTTTTCAGGTCCATCAGGTCATTTAAGGACTTCTCTACACTGGTTATTCTAGTTAGCCATTTGTCTAATCTCTTCTCACAGTTTTTAGCCTCTTTGCGTTGGGTTCGAACATCCTCCTTTAGCTCAGAGAAGTTTGATCATCTGAAGCCTTCTTCTCTCAAATCGTCAAAGTCATTCTCCATCCAACTTTGTTGTGTTGCTGGTGAGGAGCTACGTTCCTTTGGAGGAGAAGAGGCACTGTGATTTTTAGAATTTTCAGCTTTTGTGCTCTGGTTTCTCCCCATCTTTGTGGTTTTATCTACCTTTGGTCTTTGATGATGGTGAGGTACAGATGGGATTGTGTTGTGGATGTCCTTTCTGTTTGTTAGTTTTCCTTCTAACAGTCAGGACCATCAGCTACAGGTCTGTTGGAGTTTGCTGGAGGTCCACTCCAGACCCTGTTTGCCTGGGTATCACCAGTGGAGGCTGCAGAACAGCTAATATCGCAGAACAGCAAATGTTGCTGCCTGATCGTTCCTCTGGAAGCTTCGTCTCAGAGGGGCACCTGGCCGTGTGAGGTGTCAGTCGGCCCCTACTGGGGGGTGCCTCCCAGTTAGGCTACTCCGGGGTCAGGGACCCACTTGAGGAGGCATTCTGTCTGTTCTCAGATCTCAAACTCCGTGCTTGGAGAACCACTACTCTCTTCAAAGCTGTCAGACAGGGACATTTAAGTCTGCAGAAGTTTCTGCTACCTTTTGTTCAGCTATGCCCTGTCTGCAGAGGTGGAGTCTACAGAGGCAGGCAGGCCTCCTTGAGCTGTGGTGGGCTCCACCCAGTTCGAGCTTCCTGGCTGCTTTGTTTACCTACTCAAGCCTCAGCAATGGCAGGCACCCCTCCCCCAGCCTCTCTGCCCCCTTGCAGTTGGATCTCAGACTGCTGTATTAGCAATGAGTGAACCTCCATGGGTGTGGGACCCTCTGAGCCAGGCATGGGATATAATCTCCTGGTGTGCCGTTTGCTAAGACCATTGGAAAAGCACAATATTAGGGTGGAAGTGACCCGATTTTCCAGGTGCCGTCTGTCACAGCTTCCCTTGTCTAGGAAATGGAATTCCCTGACCCCTTGTGCTTCCTGGGTGAGGCGATGCCTCACCCCACTTCGGCTCTTGCTTGGTGGGCTGCATCCACTGTCTGACAAGCCCCAGTGAGATGAACCTGGTACCTCAGTTGGAAATGCCGAAATCACCCATCTTCTGCGTCGCTCATACTGGGAGCTGTAGACTGGAGCTGTTCCTATTCGGCCATCTTGGAACCTCCTGTATCACAATTTCTTTATCCACTTTTTGATTGGTGGGAATTTGAGCTGCTTCCATGTTTTTGCAATTGCCAATTGTGCTACTATAAACATGTGTGTGGAAGTATCTTTTTTGTATAATGACTTCTTTCCTCTGGGTAGATAACTCATAGTGGGACTGCTGGATTAAATGGTTGTTCTACTTTTAGTTCTTTAAGGGATATCCTCACTGTTGTCCTTAGTGGTTGTACTAGTTTACATTCCTACCAGCAGTGGAAAAGTGTTTCCTTTTCACCACATCTATGCCGACATCTGTTTTTTTTAATCTTTTGATTATGGTCATTCTTGCAGGAGTAAGGTGGTATTACATTGTGGTTTTGATTTGAATTTCCCTGTTCCATAGCTTTTTTTAATATGTTTGTTGTACATTTGTATATTTTCTTTTGAGAATTATCTATTAATGTCCTTAGCTCAATTTTTGATGGGATTGTTGGTTTTTTTGTTGCTGATTTGTTTGAGTTTCTTGTAGATTCTGGATACCCGTCCTTTGTCAGATGTATAGATTGTGAAGATTTTCTCTCACTCTGTGGTTTGTCTGTTTACTCTGCTGATTATTTCTTTTGCTGTGCAGAAGCTTTTTAGTTTAATTAAGTCCCACCTATTTATCTTTTTGTTTTTGTTGTATTTGCTTTTAGGTTCTTGCCTAAGCCAATGTCTAGAAGGGTTTTTCTGATGGTATCTTCTAGAATTTTTATGGTTTCAGGTCTTAGATTTAAGTCCTTCATTCATTTTGAGTTGATTTTCATGTAAGATGAGATTAGGATTCAGTTTCATTCTCCTACATGTGGCTTGCCAATTATCCCAGGACCATTTGTTGAATAGGGTGTGCTTTCTCCACTTTTTGTTTTTGTTGGCTTTTTCTAAGATCAGTTGGCTATAAGTGTTTGGCTTTATTTCTGGATTCCCTATTCCATTTTATTGGTTTGTATGCCATTTTATACCAGTACCATGCTCTTTTGGTGACTATGGGCTTATGGTATAGTTTAAAGTTGGGTAATGTGATGCCTTCAGATTTGTTATTTTTGCTTAGTCTTCCTTTGGTTCTGAGGGCTATTTTTTTGTTCCATATGAATTTTAGGATTTTTTTTCTAGTTCTGTGAAGAATGATGATGGCATTTTGATGGGAATTGCATTGAATCTGTAGATTGCTTTTGGCAATATGGTCATTTTCACAGTAGTGATTCTACCCATCCATGGGATGTGTTTTCATTTGTTTGTGTCATCAGTGATTTCTTTCAGCAGTGTTTTGTAGTTTCCTTATAGAGGTCCTTCACTTCCTTGGTTAGGTATACTCCTAGGTTTTTTTGTTTGTTGTTTGTTTTTGAAGCTATTGTAAAAGGTGTTGAGTTCTTGATTTCTCAGCTTGGTCACTGTTGGTGTATAATGGAGCTACTGATTTGTGTACATTAATTTTGTGTCCTGAAACATTGCTGAATGTATTTACCAGTTCTAGGAACTTTTTGGAAAAGTCTTTAGGGTTTTCTAGATATATGATCATATCATCAGCAAACAGCAGCAGTTTGACTTCCTCTTTACTGATTTGCATGCACTATTTCTTTTTCTTCTCTGATTGCTCTGGCTAGGATTTCCAGTACTATGTTGAATAGAAGTGGTGAGAGTAAGTATCCTTGTCTAGTTCCAGTTCTCAAGGGGAATGCTTTCAACTTTTCCTCATTCAGCATTATTTTGGCTGTGGGTTTGTCATAGATGGCTTTTACTACATTGAGGTATGTCCCTTCTATGCCGATTTTGCTGAGGGTTTTATTCGTAGAGGAATGCTGGATTTTGTCAAATACTTTTTCTGTGTCTATTGAGATAATCATGTGAATTTGTTTTTAATTCTCTTTATGTGGTATATCATATTTATTGACATGTACCTGTTAAACCATCCCTGCATTCCTGGTATGAAGCCCATTTGATCATGGTGGATAATCTTTTTGACACGCTTTTGGATTCAGTTAGGTAGTATTTTGTTAAGGATTTTTGCATCTATATTCATCAGCGATGTTGGTGTGTAGTTTTCTTTTTTAGTTATGTCCTTGCCTAGTTTTGGCATTAGGGTGTTACCAGCTTCACAGAATGATTTAGGGAGAATTCCTTCTTTCTATTTTGTGGAATAGTGTCAATAGGATTGGTACCAATTCTTTGAATGTCTGAAAGAATTCAGCTGTGAATCTGCCTTGTCCTGGAATATTTTTTTTTTTGTTGGCAATTTTTTTTATTACCTTTTCAGTCTGGCTGCTTGTTATTGGTCTAGTTATAGTTTCTGTTTATTCCTGGTTTAATCTTGGAGGGTTGTATATTTTCAGGAATTTATCCATCTCCTCTAGGTTTTCTAGTTTATACATGTAGAGATCTAATAGTAGCCTTGAATGATCTTTGGTTTGTCTGAAAAAGACTGTGTCTTTCCTTCATTTATGAAGCTTAGTTTTTGCTGAATACCAAATTCTTGGCTGATAACTGTTTTGTTTAAGGAGCCTGAAGATAGGGCCCCAATCCCTTATAGCTTGTAGTGTTTCTGCTGAGAAATCTGCTGTTAATCTCATAGATTTTCTCTGTAGGTTACCTGGTGCTTTTGCCTCACAGCTCTTAAGATTCTTTCCTTCATCTTGTCTTTAGATAACCAGATGAGAATGTGCCTAGGCAATGATCTTTTTTCAATGAATTTCCCAGGTTTTCTTTGAGCTTCTTGTATTTGGATATCTAGTTCTCTACCAAGGCCAGGGAAGTTTTCCTCAATTATTCCCCCAAATATGTTTTCCAAACTTTTAGATTTCTTTTCTTCATCAGGAACATCAATTATTCTTAGGTTTGGTTGCTTAACATAATCCCAAGCTTTTTGGAGGCTTTGTTCATTTTTTCTTATCTTTTTTCTTTGTCTTCGTTGGATTATGTTAATTCGGAAACTTTGTCTTTGAGCTCTGAAGTTCTTTCTTCTGCTTGTTCAGTTCTGTTAATGAGACTTTCCAGAACATTTTGCATTTCTCTAAGTGCATCCTTTTTTTCCTGAAGTTGTGATTGTTTTTATTTATGTTATTTCCCTGAAGATTTCTCCCCTCATTTCTTGTATATATGTATTTTTTATTTCCTTGAAGTGGACTTCACCTTTCTCTGATCCCTCCTTGATTAGCTTAATAACTGACCTTCTGAATTCTTTTTCAAGTAAATTAGGGATTTCTTCTTGATTTGGTTCCATTGCTGGTGAGCTAGTGTGATTTTGTGGGGATGTTAAAGAGTCTTGTTTTGTCATATTACCAGAATTGTTTTTCTGGTTCCTTCTCATTTGGGTAGGCTATGTCAGAGGGAAGGTCTAGGGCTCAAGGCTGCTGTTCACATTTTTTTGTCCCATGGAGTATTTCCTTGATGTAGTACTCTCCCCCTTTTCCTATGGATGTGGCTTCCTGACAGGTGAGCTGTAGTGATTGTTATCTCTCTTCTGGATCTCGCCATTCAGCAAGGCTGCCAGGCTCCAGGCTGGTACTGGGGGTTGTCTGCACAGAGTCCTGTGCTGTGAACCATCTGCAGGTCTCTCAGCCATGGATGTCAGCACCCCCTCCGGTGGAGGTGACAGGGGAGTGAAATGGACTCAGTGAGGGTCCTTAGTTTTGGTTGTTTAATCCTATTTTTGTGCTAGTCTGCCTCCTGCCAGGAGGTGGCTCTTTCAGGAGAACATCAGCTGAGGTAGTTTAGGGAGGATCAGGCAGTGGGCAGTGCCCTAGAGCTCCCAACAGCTTTGTCTTTGGCTACCAGGGCGGGTAGAGAAAGACCATCAGGTGGGTTCAGGGTGATGTATGTCTGAGCTCAGACTCTCCTTGGACAGGGCTTGCCGTGGCTGCTGTGGAGGATGGCGGTGTGGTTCTCAGGCCAATGGAGTTAATGTTTCCAGGGGGATTATTGCTGCCTTTGCTGTGTCGTGCAGGCTGCCAGGGAAGTGGAGGAGAGCTAGCAGTTACACTCACCTCCCATGGAGCCCAAGAGGCTGGTCTCACTCCCACCATGCCTCCCCAACAGCACCGGGTTTATTTCCGGGCAGCCAGTAAGCAGAGCTGAGAACTTGCCCCGGGCTACCGGTTTCCCAGCTGAGAAAGCAAGCTGGGCTTTCAGTTTTCACACCTTCCCTCCTGCCATGGCTTCTGTGCTGTGTCTGCACTCCTGATTCACTCCCTCCCTCAACTTCTGTCTTGAAAACTTTACATTCTGTCAAAATTGTTACAAAGTTCAGCTGGAAGTTTCCTTCTCTCTGTGGTCTTTTCCCAGTTCCTCTGGCAGCCCTCCCCAAGGACCTCTGTGGGACAGTCAGAAATGGCTTCCTTGGGGACCAAGACAGCCCACAAGTCTCTTCCTGCTGCTTCTTCTATCCCTGTATTTCACTCGGCTCTCTAAATTTGTCTCAGCTCCAGGTAATGTCAAATCCTTCTCCTGTGATCTGAACCTTCAGGTTCCCCAGTGAGGGTGTGTGTATGGGGGACAGATGATCCCTTTTTCACACTTTCACACTTTGGGCACTCACAGTTCTCAGCTGTCTCCCAGGGCCTGCAGGAGCAATCCATTTCCCTTGAAGAGTCTGTGGATTCTCTCAGCTTTCCTGGTATGTTCCTGCATACTTGGAGCAAAAGTACACGATGTGAGTCTCCACACATTGCTCTGTTCATCCGAGTGGGAGCTGCCATTTAGTCCTGCCTTGTATCCATCATTTTCCTCCCAAAAATCTTAATTTTGCCAAATCACATTAAATCTGATCAGGAGGAAATGATATACAACAACCAAAGATACAAGAGGCTGATGTAGAAGCCAAATTGCTAGTTTAATATAACTCTGGTTCTTAACCCTGGGTGCCATGAGAGTCACCTGTAGAGTGTCATTGCTTAAGTCCAATCCCAGGGAATTCTGATTTGATTGGTCTGAAATGGTGCCTGATATCAGTAGTTGCTAAAATTTCCCAGATCATTCTAATATGGAGCCACTTTGAAGATCACAGAATTACATTGGGAATTGTAATGCCAAGTAAAGTATATATCTTTGTTAGCTAATCAGCACATTCTCAATCCTGAAGAGATGTCTACATAGGCAGTCAAGAGGAAGTTGGTGGCTTGCCCGAGAAACACAGAATCACAAGAGAAGGAGTCAGATAATCTGAGGATCTAGCCTAATCAGGCCTGATGTGCACACCTTCACTATAAGATAAATGTGCTGGCGAGGCTAGCGTGCAGGTATGCCCTCCGGGACCCTTTGCCAATGGATATATTATTGCATTCTGAGCCCCCATTTTCTACACTAAAGCAGGTAATCCCACCTCTGTTCTTTTCCTTAGTTATTTAAAACATAGTTTCAACATTGTTTCACACAAAGATTATAATTCTCTTTATTCCCATTTATATTTCCTAAATCATTTGTTTTAGTGTCAATTAGGATAATGTATGATATTAAATGTATATATTCTACTAATTATCACAAGGTTAATGCAAGAGCTCTAATATTTGAAGACAAAGCTGAAACATGGTTGTTTAGAAGATATTTTGGTTTTGGATTATAGAATAATACTACATTTTTCTGTTTAGGAAAAAGTGTTCAATGTAAAAGGGAAATTATGTTTACAAAGGCACTTTCTTACAAAGACACATCAACTTAAAAACTGAACAAGTGCCAATGAAGTGTTTAAGGGACTCTATTTTAAGAAAATGGTTGACCAAGAATTATCCTTTTTTTCAGGTAAAGTTTTATTAAACTCAGTGGAAATTTAACAAGATCATTTTCAAATATGTAAAAGGAGGAAGGTAGTGATCAGGATTTCTTTGTGAAGTTCTGTCAGGCTCATTGAATTTTCCTGTCTGTCAGAATGATAAGACTGATTGATATATCGGCTAAAGTAACAGCTGTAATTTACCTTGACTTTAAATGAGCTTGGCTTCTACTTGTTTGGCATACAAATTATAGATTTTTTAGATTAGACTCTTGCATGGTTACAGTTCTATTTATCCACATCAGAGACATATTTAAAGCTCTCTGATTTTTGTATCTGTGCACTGAGATTTTTTCATAATCATGTCTAGGTTGTATTTGTATATTTGTATATTTGTAAATTGTATATTTGTATATTTGAATATTTGTATATTCTCTATACAAAAGTGCAGATGAACCAGTTTTCCGATGTAGGTATAACAGGAAAGTGTGTGTGTGTGTGCGCACGCGCGCGTGCACGTGTGTGCATGTATGTGTGCACGTGCACGTAAACCATAGGCAGAGCCAACTATATGCGAATAGGATGTCAGCTTGGTTTGGAACAGTAGGACTGACCTGGAGAAGCCATAGTATATAGCAGGGAATAGATAGCCACTTCTCCCTCAGTCCTTCTCATTTTCCTTTCGCTCCGTTACCTGCTGGCCTGGAAGACTTAAAGCCAACGTCAGCATTGTAAAAAAGCAAAAAGAAAAGAAAGAGGAGTCTAGGGAGCTGTACAGTAGGATAAATACTTTTAAAGTTTGGAGACCAGTTTCTCAAATACAATTGATATAGCAGGAGAGACGTGGTTCAGAATATGCCTAATGTAAATCTTATTTGCTTATTTAAATAAGCAAATAATGTCAACCTTGTTCTCCTGGAAAACTGAGTATGCTAAGAGAGGAAAGTAATGTTAGAAATAATAAAGCCTTTAAATAGAAGTTTCAGTAATAAACAAAATTCCCATCTGTTATCTCCTTTGCTACTCAGAACATCTCTCTGAGGTGAGATGGCAGTTTTTACTGTAATACCACGTTTTCATATGAGAAAATCAAGGTCAATAAATGTGAGTCTTAACCATGCTAAAAACAATCAACTTAACAAACATATATTGAATGCCTGCCACTTTCCAGCCAATGTTTGGGCCTCAGCCATCCCTGAGGATCCAGAAGTATATACAGGGACCTGCTGGTTGTGCATTTCTGTGCCTGGGATCCATTAACGAGCAGCAGTAAGCCCAGGGACACTCTCCCTGAAGAACATGTTTAAAATGCCAAGCCTTTAGTTCAATTTACTGACTAACTTCATTTGCAAGAATTCCATGTACGTAAGTTCAACATTTCCAAATAGAAACTTATCCACATATGGATTTCCATAAATGGGACAGTCCATACTTTTCTATGTATGTCCCATGATTTTCCTAGATTGAGAACCTCTAAAAAATATGCTCACACATTGGACTTTATGGAATGATGACATTTGCTTTTAGGGAAAATTCAGACCAACTGGAACGAGATTAGCTTTTAGTGTTTTCCTAGATTTGAATCCAAGTTTCATAGTATTTAAAAAATCTTATGAAAAAGATTATGAAAATCTTATCATTTTGGGAATGAGCCCATTCCTTACTTCATTAAATATATATATTTAGTTCTGTTGATTTTGCTGGACTTTAAGGAAGGGGAGTAAAATAAAAGTGCCATTTCTCCATCATCTTGAAGTAGCTTTCTCCACTACTTTTTATTTTCATTAGTTTTTATTTTCATTTTTATTTATGTGTTCTTCTGAGATGGAATTTCCCTGTGTCACCCAGACTGGAGTGCAGTGGTGCGATCTCGGCTCACTGCAATCTATGCCTCCAGGTTCAAGAGATTCTCCTGCCTCAGCCTCCCAAGTAGCTGGGATTACAGGCACACACCACCACACCCAGCTAATTTTTGTATTTTTAATAGAGACGAGATTTCACCATATTGGACACACTGGTGTCCAACTCCTGACCTCAGGCTATCCGCCTGCCTAAGCCTCCCATAGTGCTGGGATTAGAGACATGGGCCCTCACACCTGGCTGGATCTCTCCATTATTTTTAATGAATCACTCTAAATGCTGTACTCTTAATAAATATACATCGAATTGTAGAGTACAGCATGTTTTAGTCCCTTAAAAATGAGGCCCAACCAACACATATATAATCACCTAATTTATGGCAAAGAGACCTACAGAACAGTTGAGGGAAGTGACCTTCATATAAATGAGCAGTTGGATATAAGAGAAATGAATATGACCCTGTATTAGTCTGTTCTGCATTGCTGTAGGGAATGTGTGAGACTGGGTAATTTATAAAGAATAAAGGTTTATTTGGCTCATGGTTCTGCAGACTGTACAGGAAACATGGCACCAGCATCTGCTTCTGGTGAGGGCCTCAGAAAGCTTCCAATCATGGTGGAAGGCAAAGGGGAAGCAAGCATGTCACATGGCAAGAGGGAGTGAGAGAGAGAGGTAGAGGTACAAGGCTTCTTTTAAACAATCAGTTTTTGCATGAACTAATAAAGAACTCACTTATCACTAAGGTGATGGAGCTAAGCCGTTCATGAGGGATCTGCCCCCATGATCAACACCTCCCACCAGGCCCCACCTACAACATTGGGGATCACATTTAAACATGAAATGTGGAGAAGACATACATCCAAACCACAACAGACCCCCTAACACATACCATACATATAAATCAACTGCAAGTCATTTCAAATCTGTATATCATATGTAAAACAATAAAACTTTTAGAAGAAAACTAAAAAACATCTTCAAAGACCAGTTGCAAATATCAGGTCCCCAGGTTATTCATACTTCTGTCAGTCCTGGCTAGAAAGTCAAGGGTTCCCTCGAATCCCCCCTCAGGTTTGATAATTTTCTAGAACAGCTCACAGAACTCAGAAAGGCACTTTACTTATGATTACCAGTTTATTATAAAGGATACAACGCAAGAACAGTCAAATAAAAGACATTCATTAGGGATATGGGTGGGGGGCATGTGGAGCTTCTGTGCCCTCTCCAGGCCCACCATCCTCTCAAGATCTCCATGTGTTCATCAGTCCAGGTACTCTCCAAACTCCATAGGTTAGGATTTTTTATGGATGTGTCATTATGTAGGCATGATTAATTAAATCATTGGTAATTAACTCAAACTCCACCCCCTCCTTCGCTCCTTGGAGGTCAAAGAGTGGGGCTAACCTCGCTTTCTGGCAACCAGATCCAATCCTGATCCTGATGCTTCTTAGGAGCTCACAGCCACTAGTTATTTCATTAGTATGCAAAAGACACTATTATCACACCTGAGATTCCAATGTTTTTAGGAGCTGTGGAGCAGGAACTGGGGACAAAGGCCCAATATAGGTTTCTTGTTTATCACAGTCAGTTTCATCAACTTCTTTTTTATTATTATTTTTTGAGACGGAGTCTTACTTTGTCACCCAGGCTGGAGTGCAGTGGCGCGATCTCGGCTCACTGCAGCTTCCGCCTCCCAGGTTCAAACGATTCTCCTGCCTCAGCCTCCCACGTAGCTGGGACTACAGGTGCACACTACCATGCCCAGCTAATTTTTGTATTTTTAGTAGAGACAGGGTTTCACCATGTCGGGCAGGCTGGTCTTGAACTCCTGACCTCAGGTGATCCACCCGCCTTGGCCTCCCAAAGTGCCGGGATTATAGACGTGAGCCACCATGCCTGGCCTTCATCAGCTTCTTTACAGAATGGCCATTGTACTCCTTGTTTTATATTTACAAGCAGATCAAAGGCAGAGAGAGTGACTTCCAAAAGTTGACTCATTATTGTACTGTAGCAGCTTTTCCATAATCCATCACCAATTTTGTCTTTATATGTTTTTGGGCTGAAATCATCATATACTAATTTCTCAAGCAAATTCTGAGGACCAGCAGAATGGCTGTGGTGTAGGCTGCTCATCTTGACTGAATCACTGGGGCAAGTCATTTGGTGTTACTCTGAGTAAATTAGACTAGCAGTTCTCAAAGCATGGTCCGTGAACCAGCAGCACCGGCAGCACCTGAGAATTTATTAGAAATGTGATTTTGTGGCCCCATTCTAGACCGACCGAATTAGAAACTCTTGGGGTGCTCCCCAACAATCTGTATGTTATCAAACACTACAGAAGATTCTGTACACACTTATTTGTTTCTCTTCTATTTTCTATTGTGGTAAAATACATATAACATAAAATTTGCCATGTTAACAATTTTACAGTATGCAATTCAATGTTATTAAATACATTTATAATGTTGTACAGCCATGATCACCATCCCATCTCCATTACTCTTTCATCCTGTAAACTAAATTCTATACCAATTAGACAATAACACCCCATTTCCCCTTCTCCTCAGCCCCTAACAACCACCACCCTACTTTTTGTCTATATGATTTTGACTACCTCATATATAAGTGGAATCTTATAGTATTTGTCTTTTTGTGACTGGCTTATTTCATTTAGCAAAATGTTCTCAACTTTCATCTGTGTTGTAGCATGTGTCAGAAGTTTCTTTTTAAGGCTAAATAAGATTCCAGTGTATGTACATAACCACATTTTGCTTATCCATTCATCCACGCTTGGACACTTGGGTTGCTTCTATGTTTTAGCTATTGTGAATAATGCTGCTATGAGCATGGGTGTACAAATATCTCTTTGAGGCCATGTTTTCAATTCTTTGGGGTACATACCCAGAAGTGGAGTTGCTGGATCATATAGTAATTCTATTTTTAATTTTTTGAGAAACTTCTCTACTGTCTTCCACACCAGCTGTACTATTGTACGTTCCTACAGTGTACAAGGGTTCTGATTTCTCCACTCCCTCATAAACACTTGCTATTTTCTGTGGTTTTGATAGTGGCCATGCTAATGCGTATGAAGTGGTAAGTTTCACTGTAGTTTTGATTTGCATTTCTCTAATGCTTATTGATTTGTGGCATCTTTTCATGTGCTTATTGGCCGTTTGTTTATCATCTGAAGAAATGTCTGTTCAAGTCCTTTGCCTATTTTTAAACCAGATTTTTTTGTTGTTGTTGATTGTTAGTATATAGAAATGCAACTAAGTTTTTTGTATTGACTGTATCCTGATACTTTGCTGAACTTATCTATTTGCTAAAATCAGTCTATTTTGTCTAATATTAGTATAACCACCCCTGCTCTCTTTTGGTTAGTATTTGCCTGGAATATTCTTTCCATCCTTTCACTTTCAATCTATTTGTGCCTTTGGATATAAAAGTGAGTCATCTGTAGACAGAATGTAGTTGGATTTTATGTTTTCATTTATTCAGCTAATCTCTGTCTTTTGACTGATATTATTTCATTTACATTTAAAGTAATTAGTGTCAATGAGAGAGTTAATTCTGTCATTTTTTCACTTGTTTTCTATATACATTAGTTTTTTTATTCCTCACACCCTTATATTACTGTCTTTTATGTTTAGTTGATTTTTTGTAGTGAAGTGTTGAAATTACTCTTTTATTTCCTTTTGCATATTTTCTATCACTATTTTCTGTGTGGTTACCACAAAGATTACAGTTAACATCCTAAAGTTACAATATTATAACTTGAATTTATACCAGCTTAACTTCAGTAACATACAAAACTCTGATATAAAGATAACTTTGTTCCCAACCCTTTTCCTGTTGTTGATGTCATAAAATTACATCTTTGCATGTTTCCTGCCCTAAAACATAAACTAATGGTGGTTCTTTTAAATACATTAGTCTCTTCAAATATGTAGAAAACAAAATGTGGAGTTACAAACCAAAGTTATAAGAATACTAGCTTTGGACTAATAATTTTTTTCAAACGTACTTGTCTCTTAGGTCATGTGGAGAACAAAAAGTAGATTTACAAGTCATTATTATAATAATACTAGCTTTTACAATGGTTCATGGATTTACCTTTATTGAGTTTTTTATTTTTTCATATGGCTTCAAGTTACTGTCTGGTGTCCTTTCATTTCACCATGTAGGACTCCCTTGAACGTTTCTTGCAGAGCAGGTGCAGTGGTAATGAACTTTTGTTTATCTGGGAATATCTTACTTTCTTCCTTAATTTTGAAAGACAGTTTTGCTGATATAGGATTCTTGGTTGACAGGGTGTTTTTGTTTTTGTTTTTGTTGTTTCATTTTAGCCCTTTGAATAGGTTGATTCACTGCCTTCTGGCCTCTAAAATTCTGGTGAGAAATCTACCAAAAATCTCATTGAGAATCCCTGTATGTGAGAAGTCATTTATTTATCTTTTACTGCTTTCATGATTCTCACTTTGGAATTTAAAAGTTTGATTAAAATGATTCTTGGTGTGAATCCGTTTGAGTTCATCTTACTTGCAGTTCACTTGAGTTTCATAGAAGTTTATATTCATGTTTTTTATCAAATTTGCAAAATTATCCATTATTTCTTTGAATATTCTCCCTACCCCTTCCTCTCACTTTTCTGGGAGTTCAACAACACATATACTGTTTTGCTTGATGGTGTCCCACAGGTCTCTTACGGTCTGTTCACTTTTCTTCAGTCATTTTTCTATCTGTTTTTCAGGCTTGATAATTTCCTTTGTTCTGTTGTCAAGTTTGCTGATTTTTTTTCTTCTCCCTGCTCTGCCTTTGACTCCTTCTGGTGAATTTTTCATTTCAGGTGTTCTACTTTTCAGCTCCAGAATTTCTTGTTTCCTTTTAAAAGATTTTTTTGTCTCTTTCCTGATATTTCATTTTCTTCATACATGATTTTCGTGATTTCTTCCAAATTTTCCTTTAAACCTTTGGGCAACTTTAAGAGAGTTGTTTTAAAGTCTTTGTCTAATAGATCTGCCATCAGATCTTTTTCAGGGACAGTTTCTATTTTTTTTTTCCTTTGAATGTGCCATACTTTCTGGTTTCTTTTTATGCCTTGTGATTTTTTTGTTGAAAACTGAACATTTGAATCTAATAATGTGGTACCTCTATAAATTGATTCTTCCTCTTTCCCAAGATTTTCTGGGTTTTATTGTTGTTTTTGTTTATTATTTTGTAAGTTAAAAAAGTTGTAGGCTATCTCTGTGCCAAGTACTAAACTGAAGTGTAAACTTAAGATCTTCTTAGGTCTTTTCTGAGCCTGTGCCTTTCCCTGAGCTTGTACAATTGCTTTCTAATTTTCCCTATATATGCAGTTGCTTTTTAATATTATAATCATTAATGCCTGGTTCCTAAAAGGGGTAAAAAGAGAGAACTTAAGGGGAGGAAGGTCAGTGGTCGTTTAATTCCTTTGGAAGCCACTTCAGCTGGAGGAGGAAGGGCTTGCAACAATGGGAGGGGGATACAGCAATGGCCACTCATTTGATTGTCTGCACGTCTGTGATCAGAAGCAGTAATCAGTAATCAGAGCACAGATTCCTGATATTTGGATGACAGAGTTCATTCTGCCCACTCTGGGCCCCACAAGCCATGTACCAATTGCTTCAAGAACACATGCATAGTTGCCTGCCATAGGGCTAGGTCTAGGGGTTGGGTAGCCAGTACTGTGCTAATAGCCAAAATTGACCAAAATTAACCACAATTTGCCATTCAGTCATCCCTCTAAAAGTTTCAAACCTTCCATAGACGCCAGATTTCTAAAACAGTTATAGCAGACAGATTCTGCCAGTGCAATTGTTTTCTAGGTGGGGAGACAGATTCCTGGTGCTTCCTACTTCACCATCTTTCTAGAACCCTCTCACCTCTGTGCACAGTAAAATTTGAGAACTACTGTTTTTGACTAATCAGAGGCCACCTCTGTACCTAGAGTCAAACCCTCATACTACATGGCAAATAATTATAAAGGTTTGGAATGTACATATAGCTATAAAAATTTATAAATTATATTTATTTGATAATGAAAAATTTTCAAAAGCATTATGTTTAGTCAAATGAAGTTGTAAAATGTAATTTCCTTGAGTATATTTTAAATTAGCTAAATTCTTTTCTATTTGGATTATTTACACCATTGTTCTTCCAATTTTGGATTGTGATTCTTTTAGGCAATTACATAATTATTTTAATCACAGATATTTTAATATTTTATATGTAATGTAGAGAATATAATAGAAAATAGAGTGTAGCAATGTGACCTTTCCTTTCAAATATGTACCTATGTGTATGAACATGTATGTTTTACCATGTTGCAATATAAAATGTTTAACAACTATTTGTGTGGGGGCAAGATGCCCTAGTTGTAGTATTTGCCAATTTCTGTGGAGTAAATAACCTCCCTCACACCACTTCATAGCAGATGTCAAGCTACCAGTGTGTCATCACCGAAGGAGAATTTGGGCAAGATGCACAATACACACCATTGTATATTTCCACAATAAAAATACTATAGACATAAATAACCTCAAGAGCATATAGTAAAATGTAGTAAAGGAGTTAGGCAGTGATATGTTTGAGTGTTTATTACTTTTATTTTAATATAATTAATTTAGAATTATATAATTGAATCTTTAATAATGGCCATCTTTAGCAGCTGTCTTACAAGCTTCCTGAGAATATAACAGTTGGCTCTCAAGAGCTGATATAAACCAGCTTAAGCACGCAATTGGACTGTGCCATAAAATTTGAAAGTCCTTGATTTAGGCTACTCCTCATGGTCCTTACTGCTGACTCAAAATTTATGAGAGAAAATGGCAAATGTAATAAACGATTTCAAGACCTTTATCCTTTCCCTGGACTACATAAGCTTCTTTATTATAAGAAGAAAATCTCATTTCCATCCATTCCTCTTTTCCATAATCAAATTATTTTTCCCCTAAAAATTGGCAGCTGTATCCATCTTTATCTTAGTATACCCGATGAATTGGATTGGGGCACTGAAGGGAAGAGAGGAGTTGAAAACCATCTGACATTCAAAGGTTGGTGTAATTTTGCATCATTAGCTTCAGTGAGGAGACAGGAATCGTAATAATTTAAATGCAGTTAGCTTCTGTTGGCTGGATCACTTTCACCATTCTGAAGATTCTTTCAGTATAGATTCTTCTCATAGTAATCTTTAGCTCATTATAACACATTATATATTTTTTAAAACTAATGCTAATTATACCCATTCTGTCTGCATTTTATTTCTGTTTCCTGTAAAGGATACCAAAGGAAGCACCTTTTTCAGAGAATAAAATTTCAAATATGACAAAAAGGTAAGTGCCATATAAATTTGTTCTGTGGCACTTTTCCTCAGAGTTTTTGAGATTGTTTATGATAAAATAAATGAGAACGTATCTGTTAATGAAATTTGGTTTCTACTTCAGCTTCTGGAAAACACCATAAGCCTTTTCCTGAAGGTACAACTTAAGTTTCATCTTTCTTGCAAAATCTTTCCTAATGAGTTGTCCTGGTTATTTATTTTGTCTGTTTCTGATAACTATTATAGTTATTTTCTTGGTGGCAAAATTAGGACTTCATTGTTCTCTCACTATCTTCTTATCTGGGCCAAATTTTAAGATCTATAAGGGCAGAATCTTTTATTTTACTAATATCTCCATAATGCCTAGCAGTATCAGGAACATAGTATCATGTTGTGCCTTTTAAAGTTTATCAGAAAGAAGTGTAAGGTTCTCCACGTGAGTCTATACGGTCATCTCCTCCCTCATAATATTACTAATACACTAATAGCCTGTATTGTTTACTGCTTACTAAATACTAAGCACTATTCTAAGTATTTTACCTGTATTGTCTATAAAATTCTTCTTACAAACCCAAGGTAATAGGAAAAAAAGATATCCTGTGATCGCATGGGTTAAGGACTGGCACCCAGAAAGTTTGACTCTAAAATCTGGACCCATAATCACTTACTTGACCATTTCACATACCTATATGATAAAGCAATAGCACATGTTTCAGATGTCTGCCAACAAAAGTCCCAACTTTGATGGATTTCAGTGCTTTCAAGATTATGTAAAAGTGGAATTTAGAATTTCCAAAGTACTCCAGGAGTAGCCAAGTAAAAGATATGAAAATGCAAAGTGTAAGACCAAATGTAAAAATAGATATGAGAATAAACTGAGTAATATAGACATTTGATTTGAGCTTCTTTGAAAGTGAGAGATAAGAGTTGTATGGTAATTCATTGAAATTTTACTACAAAGACAGGAGGCATTTTTAAGATCAGACCTGACATTTTGGAACTATAGTTCACATCGTTGGCAAGGCCTGTCCAACCCCAATGATCTGAGCAAGAGCTAAGACAAGCTGTGCTTTGGGCTATGTCATCCTTTCAGAGCTCTGCCTTACTCAGGTCTGAGAAACTAAATTATTCCATCTTTAATCTTTTATATAATTTCTAACAAAAATCCAACTGAAAAGGACTTTCTGAAGCAGTTAATTTAAATGATTTATATGAGGAGTTCATTGCTAAAAACCAAGAATCCTGTGCAATTTTTTTTTTTTTTAAAAAAGGATCTATTTTCACTTAATGATTAGAAAAACCCAAAGCATCAAAGGTATGATCAATGTCCTCATGGCCCTGCTTCAGTAGTATCTTGAAGGGGTCACCTGAAAACAAAACAATGGAAATGCAAGTTCTTGATCTGTATGAAATATAATCATTCTTCTTTTCAGAGAAGAATTGAGTTTACCCTATTTTAAGTAGAATTGTTTTTCCTGTAAGAAGTTAAAATTGTTGTTTGCTACAGAAGATTTTATTTGATCAACTGAAAGTTTCATGACATTCCAATTAAGAAGAAAAATATAATCCAAACCATTTCTAGAAATAAAATGTACAGTGCTAATAGTGGTCAGTCGTCTGTTTAGTAGAATCAGAATTCATCCAATATAAAGTAGAGCGAGGCAACACAAGATAGTGGTTATGATCATAGGGGGTTGATGTGACATTTTTTAGATTAAAAACTCAGCTTTTCTGATTATTAGTTGAGTGAACTGAAGTTACCTAAAGTTTCCTAACCTCCACTTGCAAATCTTTCATATGGATATGAATGGACATATTGACTCAAAATATCAATGTAGGGAGGAATAGATATGAGATGCTGAGTGCAATGAATGAAGTTACAGTGATATTGTATATACTCAACCCTCTGCTTTTTATTTATGTATTATCCACAGCATGATTGATCACAAGAATGTTTTTCAAATTTGTATTGGCATTGTGGTCATTCTGCTCAATTGTTTATGTGTTCACATAAATAAGATGCTAGTTTAAAGTATCCAAGTTGTTCTGGAAAGGGAAGGTCTTTTAATAATAAATAAGTAAATAAATTTATTTAGATTCCAGACAAGGCATCCTCACAAGTTACTTTGGGGGTGCCTGCTACCTGCTGTATTTTAATCCTTTGTATGAAACTAAGATTTTCTTTCTAAGCTGTAATGTGAAGAGGAAAGTATTAAGTTTTAAGCAAAAGGAAAATAGTTAATAAAGTAAGAGAAAAATTAGTCCATTGAACTTGTTTGAGTTTGTGTATTTATTTTATTTTATCTTATTTTATTTTTTAGTGACAGGGTTCCAACAGTCTGTTGCCCATGGTGGAATACAGTGTGTATGTTTTTAACATTGCATAAAGTGTTCATAAAAACATCAAACATATTGTCTCAGTCTGTTCTTACTGCTATAACAAAAATACCTTAGATTGGGTAATTCGTAAATTATAGAATTTTTTTCCTCACGGTTCTGGAGGCCGGAAATGCTAGATCAAGTCTCCAGCAGATTCAGTGTCTGGGAACAGCTCACTTTCTGCTTCAAAGATGGTGCTTTGTTGCTGTGTCCACACATGGCAGAAAGGGCAGACAGGGCAAATAGCTCCCTTGCATCTTGTTAATAAGGTTATAATTTCCACGCATGAGGACTCCACCCTCATGACTTAATAACCTCTTGAATGTCCCATCTATTAATACTATTACATTAGTGATAGGTGTCAACATATGAATTTTGAGGCGATACATTTAGACCACAGCAGATATATATTTAAATGTATTTCAAAAAGAACGCCAAGAAGCAAATATACGTTATTTTACTTATCTAAAACATGGTCTAGTAGTTGAGATTAAACTGTTAAACACAATAGCACCAAGTGATAAAATATAACTTCATACACCTGCAGGGAAAGTGGACAATTTGAGGAAGATGTGAGTTGATTTTCCTCTTCTTTTCAATAAGGTTTTTTTTTTTCCCCCTCCATCTCCAAGGGCCTTTCTCACAATGACTTTTGTGAAAGAAAAGCTCAGTGACATTATCTGCAGATATTATCTGCTGCTTCTAAGTCAGTCACAGGTTTTGCTTAAAGGCAAGGAAACACATTGCTCCCAATCAGACCTTGGTGTCCCAACTTCAGAAGGCTCACTCTCCTATAAATGCAACCTCATGCCTTATAGTTGGACTGAAATATTTCAATGAATTCTTCTTAAGGAAATGTTAATAATGGCCTAGCTTCATTGATGTGTCCTGGGAGCCATTTTTGTTTTTGTTTTATCCTGAAAAGACATAAGATGCTAAGATAATATCAAAAGAAACAATACATTTGATAATCAGATTTGGAGCTATTCAGTATACATTAAGAAATTTTCATGTTATTTACGAATATTTCAAGAAAGATGGTCTTGAGGCCGGGCGCGGTGGCTCACACCTGTAATCCTAGCACTTTGGGAGGCTGAGGAGGGTGGATCACCTGAGGTCAGGAGTTCAAGACCAGCCTGGTCAACATGGTGAAACCCTGTCTCTACTAAAAATACAAAAAACTTAGCCAGGCATGGTGGCACATGCCTGCAATCCCAGCTACTTGGGAGGCTGAGGCAGGAGAATTGCTTGAACCTGGGAGGAGGAGGTAGCAGTGAGCTAAGATCCCGCCACTGCACTCCAGCCTGGGTGACAGAGCAAGACTCTGTCAAAAAAAAAAAAAAAAAAAGGATGGTCTTGAAAATAAAAGCTGTTAACTTGTTCTCAGTAAGCTGTCTACCTTGTTTATATAATTTTTAACTATTATCACTCTTTTGTTTTTGGAGACAGAGTCTTGCTCTTTTGCCCAGGCTGGAGTGCAGTGGTGTGATCTTGGCTCACTGCAACTTCTGCCTCACGGGTTCAAGCAATTCTCCTGCCTCAGCCTCCCAAGTAGCTGGGACTACAGGCGCCCGCCACCACGCCTGGCTAATTTTTTTTTTTTTTTTTTTTTGTATTTTAGTAGAGAATTGGGTTTCACCATGTTGCCCAGGTGGTCTCAAACTCCTGAGCTCAGGCAATCTGCCTGCCTCAGCCTCCCAGGGTGCTGGGATTACAGGTGTGAGCCACAACTCCTGGCCTATCACATTCATTTATAATAAAAAATGATACAACTGTGTTGTAGCAGTAGGCCTCCGGATGGATGCAAATTTGTCTACAATTTTTTTTTTTAGTCAACGTAATCACCAGCAGGGTAGGAGACATTCACATTCTGGAGCTGACGGGAAGGGATATTAAGAAAAAGAGCCAAGCCGACTGACCCACTCAGGACCTCATTAATACTAGACATCTTTATCTGTGTTTAACTATAATTTATTCTCCAGAGAAAAAGTGAGAAGAAAACCCAAGTATTCTTTTGGGTTATTACTTCATGTAGGGCCTCCCTCGAGCATTATTTTTAACTCAAAAATAGATTTTTGGCAACCATGTTGTTATAATAATAATAGAGCAAACAGTAAAAAACAAAAATGTCACATCAAGATTTTTAGAAGAAGGCTGCCTTATTACTTTGAGTTACTCCTACGTGTTTGTAATCCTTATATTATAAACTGTTGGCTGCTGATTTTTTGTTTTGTCCTGTCAGCCAGAGTCTGACATGATGACATATGACTGGCAGAGTTGTGTTCCTTGTAGAGCAGGGGAGCAGAAGGCCATTCCGTGGTTAAGACAATGAGGAGATTAACAAATTGGCTTTTAAATCAAAATGCCATTTTGTGTAGAATTTGTATTTTGTTTGTCAAAAATACTTGTTTTCCATTCCTAGGAAAAAATCAATCAATCAAGCAAATTAATTCAACACACCCTTTATGAGCTTGATACAACCTACAAACATAGATACAACCTAGAGTACATAGTGTGAGATTAATGTATTCATTGATTCATTTATTCATTCATTCATTCAAAAATATATATTAAATATCTAGCGTGTGCCAGACACTGTTTATGACATTGGGGTAAAGCAAAGACCATACGTTGTAGTCCAGTAGAGGAAAGTAGATAATAAGCAACCAAAAATATACATATATAATATGTTAGTTGGTGATAGTGCTTGAAAGAAGTAAAAAGTTTAGTAAGGGGGTGGAAAAGGATGGGTAGTGATGCCACTTATTGTTCAGTAGGAGTCTCCAAGGGCCATGAAACAGTGAAAGAGCATATTTTTCTGGAGTGATACCAATTTTGGAAAAATTCTATGGACTACTAATGTGCACTATCTGAAGGACTGTAATCTTATAGAAAAGGATCTTATGACTCAGGTCTATGATAAACAATTTTTCAAAGTAAATTACTTTTGAGAGTGGGCTATAAAATGGTTTTAAAATCAAATCTAATCAGTGTTGGACAGGGACACTATAAGAAAAGATAAATACATAATACTCTTTCTCGTAACATAAATATAAAAAATCTTACAAAATAGAACATAATGATCAAGTTGGGTTTATTCCAATCATGGAAGATTAAAAAGCAATATAACTTACCACATTTACAAAATAAAAGAAGAAATGAATGTTTTTCTAAGTAAATACAGAAAAGAAATTTGAATTTAACATTTTCGATAATTTAAAAACACTCAAACTTGTAATAAAAATGAATTTTTCCAACTTGACAAAGTGTGTCTGACATCATATTTAATTATGAAATACTTGGCCAGGCGCGGTGGCTCACACCTCTAATCCCAGCACTTTGGGAGGCTGAGGAGGGCAGATCACCTGAGGTCAGGCGTTCAAGACCAGCCTGACTAACATGGTGAAGCCCCATCTGTACTAAGAATACAAAAATTAGCCGGGCATTGTGGCACATGCCTGAGTCCCAGCTACTTGACAGGCTGAGGCAGTAGAATAGCTTGAACCTGGGAGGCGGAGGTTGCAGTGAGCCGAGATTGTGCCACTGCACTCCAGCCTGCACAACAGAATGAGACTCCATCTCAAATAATAATAATCATCATAATGAAATACTTAAAACTTACTCCATAAAATCAGGCATAAGGCAAGAATACCATTGTAGCCACTTATATCCAATATTGTACTGGACCATGTATTTACTGAATAAAATAAAAGGACACAAATATCAAGGGATTAGAAAAATAACATGGTTGTGTATGAAGGTGCAAGGACCTCCTGTGACGCTATTCCTGAATAGTCTGAAACACTCATTCTACAATAACAGAATTGTAGCAATCAAATATGTAAGGTGAGCTATGTAGTGGTATTCTGAGAAGCAGCATGGTGTGGTGGTTAAAATTATGGACTCTGGAGCCAGGCTGCTAGAGTGTAAAAACCCTATGCCACCTCTTGCTAGCTAAGTAGCTTTGGGAATCTTACTTATTAATCTGTGCCTCAGTTTCTCATCTGTGAAATGGGAATAACATTATCTGCTTTATGGGATTATTATGAGGATTAAATAAATGAATGCTTGTAAAACACTTAGAATAGTGCCTGACACATAAGTGGTATGCATTCATTTAGTAAATAATGACTTGGAAAAACAAAATTTGGACTATGAAATTTTGAAATTTTAAGTTGAAAATTAAAATGGTTTTATTCACTTATATTGTCTGTCCAAATAATCAGTATCACATGGTTACACTTAAGTAGTACATGTTAACAAATGTGCCCATGGTAAGAATACATTCTAAATCTTAATAAAATGCATCTTAAATCACTAGTAATAGTACTGAAAATGTGACCTACCAAATACTTATGATTGTAAAGTAAAAGTTAAAACTAGTATTATATAAACAACTTTGATAATATACTGTTGAATGATAATTGTCATCCTGGAAACATGAAACTACACTGGAAAGCGGTTTCTAATTATCATTCATGTCTTTAGGTATAACATGTGATTTAATTAATACATACAATCATTACAAAATCATGACAGATAAGAAAAAACTATGGTCAGCATTAAAAAGTGACTAGCCTATTATGTCAGATGTTATGCAGATTGTCAGATATTATGTTTACTTATTAATAGCAAATTGTATAAATTTTTTAGGACCTGAAAGACTGTCTTTCCCACAATGTTGATTCTCAAGAATGGAATCGTAATTTTTTTTCTTGAACACTCATTTTGTCTCCATTCAATAATAAACTCTCATCACAATATCCTTCCTCTGAATCCTCATCCTGATATATATCTGTGAGTTCTAGTACCAAGGGCTCAGCAGTGCATCTCACCAGCTTCAAACCCCATGTCTCTATTTGATTTCTGCTATACCCATAGGGTGTGTGTTTGATGCCATTAATTTAATAATATCAAGAAGGTCCACTAAGTTCACTGGCATAAGCATTCCCAAGAATGGTCCCAGTAATCATTTTCTACTGTCAGATCATTCCAGAAAACACTAAAAATCTGTTAACTCATTTTCCTGGGTTTAGCAATTAAAATTTAAGTAGAAATAGTAGTTTTTATATTTTAGTCTTCCTTTTCTTGAATTAGGAAATAGATTTTAGTCTTGGCATTCTAACTTTAAATTTTAAATAATACAAAACATATTGTAATCCAGTGCAATTTATTGGAATACTGTAAAGAATTGGATTTTAAATAATAGTGTATGGAGTGCTGTGAGGTTATTTTAATAATTATATGGTAGTCCTGTATGTTTTTTTCAAAATGTTGATGTCTAGATTATATTTAGAAACAGAAGGATCTTTCCTGAAGCAGAAGGAGGGCCTGGGACTCATGGTTATGATTTGAGATTGTCCCACCCCCATAATCTCCACTGCTCACTGCATAGTATGCTCATGATCCATTCACTCTGTTTAAAATGTTACAATATTAGTTAAGATTGGGTTCATCTTTTAGTTTTACTTTGAGAGATATAGCAAACCAGTTTCTGAGAGCTGATTTCTATTTAAAGAACTGTGCAAAGCACTGAGGAAATGTAAAATTAAAAATAAAATATACACCTACTTTTCCACATACCTTGATCAATTTCATATAGCTATTATAGGGGCACATTCAGAGCTGCTGCTCTAAGGATTCCTTATTCCACAAAGAAAACAGTTTCCGTGGGTTTTGGCAGCCTAATATTTTGTTATGCTTTATACAGGTAGGAAGGAGACTAGGCTGATTGAAGAGATTCATTATAATATAGTTTCAGCTCCTTCATCCTGTCTGATGGGGAAAAGTGAAGAAGAATCTGCTAAAAATAGATAAGCAGAATGCTGGATCAACAAAATAAGGAGACCTTTTCTTCTTTAGGTTTGTTTCCTAAAAAGGCCTGTGGGAACTCTTATTTCTAAACAAGACCCGTGAATTAATTAGCAGATAGTAAAAATACGTGCATTTCAAAAATAAAAATCGACACTTGATTCATTTGTACCACATAAAAAGAGCTAAGACTTGGTGGGAAGAAGCATTCTTACACGCAAGCTATCCTTTCACAGGCAGAACAGTTTTATCCTTTCAAAGTTAGCTGAAAAGGAAAAAAAAATCTATATACCAAACCCCATCTTCTAAATTACCCCCATTGAAAATGAAAGATGGGTTTTGGAGTTGAAGATTTCAGAGAGCAGATGTAGAAACTGAGATTTTGGCAGCTTCTATCAGAAACTAATGAGCTTTGGGGAAACCCAGCTGATGCAGAGTTTGGTAGATTACTATAAAAGCTACAGGGTGTCTAACACCTGTAGTGAACCAGCTTCAAGATGGAACATGGAAACTGACCAGAGGTAGCCTTTCCAAATTACTTATAAGATTATTCAACAGTATAAAAAAAATGAAAACACTGCCTAATGTAATATTATTCAATATATCTAAACTTTACCTTCCTATTAATAAATACACCACATATGCATATTCCTTTAAAGTAGGAGTGATGATACCTTAAATTCTTGGTGGGTGGCTTACATGGTCCATTAGTCACCATAATACTATGGCTGGGCTTTTTTTAGTGGTTGCTACCTAAGACAATCAGTGGATAATACAATGGCTCTCAGTGAGAGGCCTGGGGCCTTTGGCCAGGTGGTAGGAGAGCAGAGGGATAGTGTGAAACACTGTAGTAGAAGAAAGTGCTGGCAGACCACAAAAGCTCACATTTCTTATACTCTGTAGTAAGGAACTTCCTTTCTGTGGCTGGTTCCTCTTACAGTTTTGCAGTTTACTTTCTTGCCATGAATGGTAATATACTAAGCAGCTAATTTCAGTGTGTTCATCCTAAATATAATTAGTACATGTTTGGCTCTTCAGGAATCTGCACATCTGACTGTAGGTTTTACAGGGATATACAAATTAGACAATCGTTATGTGTTGATGCTGGTAAGATGCCGTTATGGGACTTGAAGTCAATATTCATACACATGTATTTTTCAGTTGCTCAGTCCTGCTGTATCAATATGTGTGTTTGGAAGGGTATGAATAAAAGTGGAGGTGGGGGCTATTAACAAGAATGGACAGAAATACCTGTGCCAAAGATTGTGGCCCCCAAGTGTATTAGACCTTTCCAAACCATCTCAGCATCCTACCAACACCTTCCCAATTCATAGGTCTAATTCAGTGTTTCCCATAAACTCTAATCTCACTGTGGGCACTACCCCTTGAGTCCAGTGGATCCATCTTGGTAGCTCTTAGCCTGTAGAACCTCTAATTACTTACCATTAAATTTTAGCATAAAGTTCAAGTCTCTAATCACAACCTAAAATATTCTATACAAGTTCATCTCGTCTACCAAATTGTCACTGTTGTCTGGAAAACATTCAGGTATCCTTTCTCTTCTCTGAATGTTCCGTGCTCTTCCTTTGTCAGAGTCTTTGCCTCATCCTTTCCTCCGCTTGCTGTGCTCTTCCTCATTCTTCATTTTTGTAATTGAAGTATAGTCTTTATTTGGCAGTATCTAAGGAGCAGAGCTGTCAGATGTTAAGTGAAACATGGTGAAAAATGGCAACTGCAGTGATATCAGTATTTCCATTTGTTTGGATTTCTTTATGACAAATTATCATATACATGTGGGAGAAGTCTAAACGTCCTTCTGATTTTTTTGTGAAAAAGTGAAGGAATGTTAAGTCATTTTCCATGTGGCACATTAAAGCTGCCAAAAACAAATCTAGCCTGAATTTGGGTACTTAATTATATAATTAAGAAATCTGTATCGGGCACATTTTGTATTCAGAAATCTGCAGTGATTTCCACTTAGGACCTTAACAGTGTGTTTGCAGAGATTAGTGATTCCCAAGTTCAAATCTTGTGAACTCATCTCTTAATCCATAAATACTTATTGGACAACTACTACATGTAAGTCTTTCTAAAAGTGAGCATGTCAAATTTCTAGTTATCGTGTAAACATGTCCTGAGAGAATAGAAGCATTAGAATCAACCTGGGAAGATATTTTACTCTCTTACAAGGGTTACTTAAGAATGTATAGTGTGCCCATCACTGTGCTAGGCAACAAACTTTGTTGTTCCTTGAGAATTAAGAGTTCCTGATCTCAGAAAGGTCACTTTCTGGCAGAAAAAGTCTTAAAATTTAATTTCAGTGTATTCTCATAAATACAATAAAGTAAACATGTTAACGATACAAAATAATTAATGGTGAGAGAGGTGACAGTGGATCATTAGGAAGGTTTTCCTGAAGTGCCTGAGTTTTGAAAAAAGAAATAACTCATATTATCATCATAGAGTGTTCCCAGACTCCCCCTGCCACCTGGAGCCAAGGTTCTTTTCTTAGTTTCTTTCTCTCCATTGCCTTGCTAGAAAGGGGCTGCCTTTGGCTGATCAGTTTTTTGATTATCACAATCAAGAGATGGAAGAAGGTGACCACATGAGTGAACCAAGGCTGGGAAAGGAGTTTGGGGTTAATTTAGGAGGACAAATAGGGGATGCTATTGTCTATCAGAAGAATAAACAGGAGAGAAAGGTACAGACTTTAAAAAGTGTAGCTCTTCTACATGATGTATCACATTTATTGCTTCAAGAACTTAAATGTCGTAGAGTAGCGTAGAGACACGTGAAGTAATAAATGTTCCACCCATTATTTTCAGATCTGGGAGTGAACCATATGGGACACAGAAGGGTAAGTGGATATTTACTGGGAAGATGAAAGTGACATCCAACCAGAGAAATCAGAATGGCAGAGGCATAAATACATGAAATAGCATGGGCTTTTAAGCTGACTCTAAGAAAGTTAGTATTGACAGCTGTACAGAGGGAAGGGAAATGTAATGGCATGGACATGTCAGTAGATGCAGCTGTGTCTATAGGATACGCCATCTTAATATGGATAATTTCTAATCAGTCTAATGGTTCATAATTTTAACAGCTGTTTGACTGACTCTTAGCATAAATTGCCACACTACCAGCTAATTGACTTGACGTCTGGTGACAGAGTCTTAATTGCTTGTAAAGAAATGATGATTGGATATTAGGCTGAATTGATCCATTTAGCACATTTACAATCTTTTGGTATTGTCATCTATCCTTTCCCTTGTGTTTTACCTTCTATCTCTTTCACAAATAAAGTGTAGCAAAATGGTATTGATATTAACATCACTTCATTCCTGTGAAACGGGTTGTATTGTCTCTGGTCTGTATTGTTACTGTCTTATCTCCAGAGGTAGATTCAAGGTAATATTAGTCAAGACTAAGCTTCAGGACCTATCACTTCCCTTGGGCTCATTTCACGTGGATCTAAATTTTGACATATAATCGTATCTTTTTTCTTAAACAGGAACCCCAAAGTTGTATAAGATTCAGGCCCTATAAAACCTGATTCTACTCCTGCAGTTATCTCTGACACCAAAGGTGCATCGCAAGGTGAAATAGTTGTCAACAGTATTTTAATAAGTCCTTGAAGCCACATTCTAGTTTCTTATTATTATCATTTGGTAGACTCCTAAAATTTGATGTGATTTTTGACCCAGATGTTAAAATGTAAATTATTCAAGGTGTAGTTTGCTCTCCAAAGGGAGTACGTAAATGTGATTATAAAGTGATTCTAAAAATTCTGTATTGCCAATTCAGATATAATTACTGGGTGATTGAAGACTTTGTCTCCTCATAATAATAAATAAATATACCTGCTATGCATTGTAAATATTAAATCAGATTTTATACATCTTTCTACTAAACAACTTTATTAGTTCACTAGGGCTGTCATAAGAAAGTGCAGTAGATACCCCTCTATTAGCAATTTTGCTTTCTGCAATTTCAATTACCTATGGTCAGCTGCAGTCCAAAAATATTAAATAGTAAATTTCGGAAATCAAGTTCTAAGTTTTAGATTGCACATCATTCTGAGTAACATGATGAAATTTCATGCCATCCTTCCCTGTCCCATCTGGTACCTGAACCCTCTCTTTGTCCAGCATATCCACACTGGAGACACTCCCCACCCCTAAGTCGCTTAGTAGCCCTCTCCATTATCAGTTCCACTCTCAAGGTATCACTGTGCTTGTGTTCAAGTAACATTTATTTTACTTAATAATGGCACAAAAGTATAAAACTAGTGATGCTGGCACTTCAGATATACCAAAGAGAAGCCATAAAGTACTTCCTTTAAAGGTGAAAGTTTTTGACCTAAGAGAAGAAATTTTTTTTTTTGCTAAAATCTACAGTAAAAAGAAACCTTCTATTAGTGAAATTGTGAAGAAGGAAAAAGAAATTTTTGCTAGTTTTGCTGTCGAACTTCAACTACAAAAGATACAGCCACAGTGCCTGATAAGCACTTGGTTAAGATGGAAAAGGCATTAAGTGTGTGAGTGGAAGACATGACCAGAAATGTCTTCTGATTAAGATCTACTGGGGGTCTTGGAATGTATTCCCCACAGATAAGGGGGTACTACCATACCACATACTGGCGGGCTCAAACAGTAGAAATTAATTGTTTTACGGTTCTGGGGTCTGAAAGTTTGCGATCTAAGTAAAGGCAGGGTGGGTTCCTTCTGAAGGCCATGAGGGAGAATATGTTCCAGGCCTCTCTCCCAGCTTCTGGTGGTTTGCCTGCAACTTTTGTTGTTCCTTAGCAGCAGCAGCAGCCAAGGCAACAAATCTCTGCCTTTATTGTCACAAGGCATTCTTTCTGTGTGCATGTCTGTGTCCACATTTCTTCTTTTTACAAAGACACCAGTCATATTGGATTAGGGGCCCACCCTACTCCAGAATGACCTCATCTTAACACAACTAATTCTATCTGCAACGACCCTATTTCCAATTAGTTCACACTCTGAGGTCTTCAGGGTCAGGACTTCAACCTATGAATTTAGGGGGGCAGTATATACAATTCAACCCATAACAACAATTCATGATAGTAAATGGTTCAGAAAGAACACTGTCAACATTCATTAATTGGTTTGCTTCTGCTGTAGACAGTGCTTAGCATTCAAAAAAGCAGCTCTAGGTATTTATCTTCAGTAGTCACAGGCAGATTTGGGACAGCTAAAAGTATTGAGCATTTGTTTAATGTCAGTAGACATGAATATAAGCGTTTATTATTTTTATGGTCTGGAGTTTAGAAAATATCATATTTGCCCACTGGGTTGCAGCCTCAAGTCACATTTCAATTCTGGGGCCTGCAGCAGAAAACTTTTAAAAAGCAGCTGATGTTGAAAGATATAAATTATGATCCTTCTTGTCCTATTACACCTTCACAGCTTCTTGGTTTTTCCTTTCAAGGGGGGATACTGTGGACAGTTTTGGAATTCTGTCGAATATTCAGGGTATCTGTGTCTTAATAAAACATCCTGTATTGAATCTGTACTCACCCATTAAAAACAAACTATAGATACTTCATTAGAAATAGAATTTGAAAATTCCATCCTCTACACCTCTCACTGAGATAATGGCTTCCTTAAATTTTTGAGCAAAGTTGAACAATTCATTTCATCATCTATAATTTATTCTTAATTTTAACTAATGAAATGGAATCATTAAGAAGGAAATTAAGGGGGAGACAGCAAAGAAGAAAAAGAAGAAAGGGGGATCACCAAATGTGAAGAAAAGAGAAAATACTTTTTTTCTGAATTTTCAGAAAGCCTCTCTTAAATAAGTATTGAAGTTCCGTAAATAATTCTGTCTGCAGAGGATAAAAGGAGCAGATTGACCAATTACTTTCAAAGTGTTTGATCATATCCATGTTTTCATCAATTATTCAAGCTTTAGGAGTCATCAAAGAATCCTAATGCGTAACTCAAAATGAGGAGCAAAAGCTAAGATATTGGCAAATGCTTTTCATGTTTCAAATTCCTCCCACTTATAAGCATATGTGCTTTTGAATGTTGGGCAGATTTAAATCTTTGTGCGTGGGAAGGAGGTTGACAAGTTAGCCTTTTGGACAAAAGGGAAGAAGGACATAAAGATGTTAAAAAGCCACGTTGGCAAGTAGAGCTGGAGGTACAGGATGAAATGACACCCTTGGGGTAATGTGACCCAATCTCAGGTTATATTCCATTATGCCACACCCTGTGCCTGGCTACACATTTGCCACTCCAGGCCATGCAGTGATTCACCATATAGAATAGTCAGACCTGAGTCTTTGAACAAAAACTAGCTGCCAAGAACAGTTTAAGAATCATAAGAAGAATAAAATTAGGTGATTAGACAGAAGAAAGAGGAAGGATGATACAGTACGATCCTATAATAATGCAAAAGTAAGTTCCAAAGAAACGTTTCTACTAAGTCTGAAATATATTACTTAGTTTTATCCGGATTGTAAGTTACCAGACCATTTTATGGGCGCTATAATGTCACTAGAAGTGCATGTCTAACAAAATAATAGAGTACATTACCAATTCTGCTGTGATGGCTACTGCAGAGAAACTATTAGACCCATTTGTCAATGTACCTTGGTGTCTAACAATTTTAAAGAATGAGTAGTTGTGGAAACTGTTCAACATTTTAAAGACATCATTTCTCCTCAGACACATTCCATTGAATCATCAATTTTGGGTACATCTATTTGTCCACCCATGCTTTTCCTGTAAAGCTGATTGAAAAGAAAACAACAAAAACACATTTTGAATGGCAGAATAGAAAATACTAACGATGTATGAATTTGAAAGGTCTATTTATTGTTTCAAACAAGATTGATATTTTGTTATATTTTGGGTATTGTGCAAGTTGGCACAAAACATTAAAATAGAATATATACAAAGTAGATCTTCAAAATATGAAAATCTGCTTTGCAATGAAATAAATTTGAGGTTGGAGATAGCAGTATTCGTGCCATTATAAAGAATTTCTTTAGAGTGGATACATTTAGCAGGCATTTTCAAAGCATAGCTTTAGGAACAGTTTATAGTAATAGATTAATGCAAAGGAGTTTGCTTTACCTGCTCTCCCTTCAACCTTCATTCACTGATCTTGTGTTCCCAATCCTTTATAATCCTAAACACCAACCCACTTCACCTTCCAACTATTTTAACAATTATTAAATGGGTGAGTTAATAAGAGGAAAGAAGAGAGCATGGCGATTTATTCCAAAAGAAAGAACTCCTTGTTTGCTCTGTGCCCTTGAGGAAGTCAGTTCCGTCAATCATTAGATAGGGGGCTGGACTCGGTAATCCATGAAGTCCCTCCCAGATCTACTGTGTTAAGATGCTAAGTGAGGACACTAAAATCAAGGCTTATAAAAAAACAAAAGCAAATGGCAGTGTGAAACCAACTTTCTTTTTTTTTTAGGGTTATTATAGTTTTTTTTTAAATTATACTTTAAGTTCTAGGGTACATGTGCACAACGTGCAGGTTTGTTACATATGTATACATGTGCCATGTTGGTGTGCTGCACCCATTAACTCGTCATTTACATTAGGTATATCTCCTAATGCTATTCGTCCCTCCTCCCCCCACCCCATGATAGGCCCCGGTGTGTGATGTTCCCCACCCTGTGTCCAAGTGTTCTAATTTGTTCAATTCCCACCTTTGAGTGAGAACATGTGGTGTTTGGTTTTTTGTCCTTGTGATAGTTTGCTGAGAATGATGGTTGTGTGAAACCAGCTTTCTAAATTTTCTTCAAATATTTGAAAACAACTTTTCAGATATAAGCTTCAGCATTGTAATATTTTGGATTGTATGCTACTTGGGAGGCTGGGGCAGGAGAATGGTGTGATCCCGGGAGGCGAAGCTTTCAGTGATCCTAGGTCGCGCCACTGCACTCCAGCCTGGGCAACAGAGTGAGACTTCGGCTCAAAAATAAATAAATAAGTAAATAAATAAATAATAAATAAATAAAAGAAATGCTGTTTACTAGTTTTGGGACATGGAGTAGATCACTTCACCTTTATAAACCAAAATTCCCCACTGTGTAAAACAAGAATATTGATATTAGTGTATAGGTAGTTGAAGATTAAATGAGGTGGTACAGGCAAAGGTTTAGTTCCAACAAAATGTTCAGTAATATTAGCATTTATTATTTTTATCTAGATGTGTATTGGCAATAATTAATGTATTCAGTTACTAATTCAAAAATATGCATGTATATTTTAGATCAAGCATTGCATTAAATGCTAGGGACCCCACAGAACAATCTCTTCTCCTCCCTGTTAGTTACTATTTGATTATTTAAGAGTGAACTGATATATGTTTGTGGGAGAGCATATATTTTGAATGTATTAGCTTTTGTTTTAAAACTCTGTATGACTGAGATGGAAATGTAACAAGATTCAAGTGAGTAAAACATAACTTTCATATTTCTGCTAGTAAGCACAATTCAACTCTGGTCTTCCTTTTATTGGTAGCAGAAAATTCAGTCTTGCAATTTGAGGTAACTTGGCTACCTCCTATCTCAAAGTGATCCTCTTTGGGTTCAATTCAGGATATCCCACCACTGTAATCACCCAATGGGTTTTTCTTGCCTGCTGCACAGACAAAACCAGTTCACCGAGACCGTGGTATTGTAATAAAGAAAGAGTTTAAGTAATGCGATGCTAGCCACGTGGTAGAATCACTTAAATCAGTCAAAAGGCTCAGAGGGTTAGAGGCTTTCAAATAGTTTTGTGGGCAGAAGACTACAGAATAGGTGCTGCTTATTAGCTGGGGAACCAATTTTCCACATCATAGGGATGTGGAAAATGGCCCTCATGCGCTGAGTCTGCCTCTGGCTGGGGCCACAGGATGATTGTGGATTGTGTCTGGATGGGGTCAGTCAGTTGCCGGAATGTGAAAGTCTGTAAAACATCTGGAAAGCGCAATCTTGGGTTCTACAGTCATGATGTTAACTATAGGAGCAGTTGATGAAGCTATAAATCTTGTGACCCCTGGCTACATGACTCTTGAGCAGTAAGGGATTATAGAAACCATGCCTACATTTTAGCAGACTTCATGCCCCTCCCACCTAATCTTGTAGCCTTCCATTAGTCTTACAAAGGCAGTTTCAGCCCCCAGAGAGGGATCAGTTTTAGGGAGGGACTATTACCATCTTTGCTTCAAAGTTAAAGGATAAACTAAACTCCTCCCATGCCTAGCCAGCCCCACACCCAGGAATGAGCGAAGCCAGCAGCCTGCGAGGCTAGAAGCAAAATGGAGTCAGCCATGCTCAATTTCTCCCACTGTCGTAACCTCTGCAAAGGAGGTTTCACAGCTAGGGCTGCCCACTCTGCAGCTTTGTGCAGCTGTGGACTCCCATGACATCAAGCTAGAGTGACTCTTTAGGCTTGCTGATTGTCAACCCTTAACTCTGTTTTGTTCCTTAGCCATGGTGTTGAGAACTTGTGAGTGCTAAAAAAACAAAAAACAAACAAACAAACGAAACCACCACAGGTGGGGCGGGGACTATCTTAGGCCTTCTCTTTACCCAGAGCTGCCTTGCTGACATTTCCACCTATTGCAGCTTAGTTTGTTGAAGGCAATCAGCAAGGTTATTTTCTTCTCAAGTTTCAGAGTTCACTGGGAGTGAGTCCCCAGTACAAGAGTGACTAAATATTTTGGGAAGTTTCTATCACCCAACTGGCCAGAGTTTCAACCCCAGAGCAGGTTCAGGGAAGACGGCAACCCATACTGTCTACACTCCTTTTGTTTCACTTTCCCTATCTCTCCTCTTCAGTGCTGTAGAAAAACTGCTCATATGGCATCACTTATCTTTTCCACCTTCACTGTGGCCTTGAACCCTTTGCTCCCAGTCCTATAAGATTTGGTTCTTGATATTTAAATCCAAGCTTTTGGAACTTTTTTTCTCTCCAGCAGCTGGTACTTGCAATTCAAAACCATGGTTTTAAAGACGATTGTCTGCACTGTTGACTTACAAGGGTCAAATTAGTTGCTCAAAGGCCAAAAATGTGCATCTTTGTTCTCTCTGAATCAACCTTACCCTGAGGCATAAAGTCCTTTTTGCTGCTTATATATGGTAAAAAAAACATAACTAAAATAAATTGAAAAATTCTTCACTTAGTTTAATATCAAAATACCCCGCTACAGAACAAACCCACAGTGGAATAAAATGATAGTTGTCCTGTATATTTATCTAAGTTTGCCTGTATATTTATCTAAGTTTAGCTTATCTCCATAAGCTAAAATAAAAACAAAACAATAAATGTTTTAATTATATACCTCTGTAGTCTAACTTAAATAATGTTCCTCCGTTAAAACAAAATTAATGCTAAAATGTTTTTGCTATAATAGAGCTGCACATGCTGTCACTAAATTTGCTTTTCCAAAATGTTTCAACACGGCCATGCTGTCTTGGTACAATCTTAGCTATAAACATGATTCATTTATATATTGAATGCCTATGTGCCAGGCACTAGGTGTAAGCAACTGAGAAAGAATGATGGTCATGTCCCTAATTTCCTAAATGCTGAGAATTCCTCTCTGACCAAATGAACATCATTTTTCAAACAGTAACAGCCTCCCAAAGCTTGCCTTTCCAGGAAGTTCACAGCCAAACCTGGAATCTTCACCTGTTCTGTATGGTGGTAGAGTTAATTGTGTATTTTGTATTTCTTTCTCCACCACTGGAGAGAGCACTCTGTTACATGCCCAAAAGAGTTATTTCAGGATGCACAATTTTAAGGCAGAGTTAAAAAGTTAAAGGCAGAGTTTAAAATCCTTTTTTTGAAGGCAGAGATTAAAAGTCTCTTTTAAGTGAATAGTATACAGAAAAACAATGTATTTCTTTTTTTTTAGAAAACAATTAAAACATATTTCCAACCTAACAGCTGTTATTTTCCCAAGATACAGTTAGCTGTAGAAGGGTAGGAAATGATTCTGTAAGTTTAAACAGCACAAATTTTGTGTCGTTCCTTTCCTCCTGCCTTCTTGCTTTCAAATGGATGCAGCATAAAGACATCTCTCCTCACAGTTCTTGGTTAATAAAATAATCTCATAGTCTGACTCTAATATTACTAAACTCAAATGAATAATATATCAAAATCTGAAGAGATGAATCATATTTTTTGGCTACACGGGGGCTTTCAAATCTCCATTATGTCTAGGTTTTTAAAACAAAAACATTTATTTTGAGCTTTCTTTATTCTTATAGTACATGATCTGATGGGAAGTAAGTATGAATTAAAGATGATCATGAGATTAAAATAAATTAACTCTTTCAGGACACCAGAGTTTTATAACTTAGACACTACATTTTCACAAATGCGAAATTTGAAATATACATTGTTCACCTCCTCCAGGCCATTGTTTCTCAAACTTCTACAATATATACCGTGTCTTTAAGACAAAAACAAAAACTAGTACAAAAATCTTCTCTTCGAACCCCAGTGTTAAATCATTTTTATTACATTGTTACTTAAAAATATGCAAACAAAACCAAGCATAAACCTGACCAACACAGTGAAACCCTGACTCTACTAAAAATAAAAAAATTAGCCGGGCATGGTGGCAGGTGCCTGTAATCCCAACTGCTAGGGAGGCTGAGGCAGGAGAATCACTTGAACCCAGGAGGCAGAGGTTGCAGTGAGCTGAGATGGCGCCACTGCACTCCAGCCTGGGCAACAGAGCCAGACCCTGTCTCAAAAAAGAAAGCCAAGCATAAACACTCTGTGCTTATATCTCTCACAAAACATAATTATAACGCAGTGTGCTGTATTATGATAATTCTAATATTTTTTGGAGCCTCTGCACAGTATCGTTGTTTGCCTTTTGCTATCTCTGTTCTTTTCTCATTAAAATTTCTTGAGGCCAGTGGCCAGGCGGGGTGGCTCACTCCTGTAATCCCAGCACTTTGGGAGGTGGAGGCAGGCAGATCACCTGAGGATGGGAGTTCGAGACCAGCCTGACCAACATGGAGAAACCCCCTCTCTACTAAAAATACAAAATTAGCTGGGCGTGGTGACGCATGCCTGTAATCCCAGCTACTCGGAAGGCTGAGGCAGGAGAATCACTTGAACCTGGGAGATGGAGGTTGTGGTGAGCTGAGATCGCGCCATTGCACTCCAGCCTGGGCAACGAGAGCAAAACTCCATCTCAAAACAACAACAACAAAAACAACAAAAACTTCTTGAGGCCAAAACAATAGTATCTACAAACATAAACACTGGGTTCATATGGCAGTACTTGGCTAAATTATTATGGGAAATCAAAACACAAATAAGAATATTCAAAGATAATTTTCCAAAGGGACAAATTCAAATATAAAAAACTATCAAAATGTTATTTAACTCAGTTATTAACAAGGAAACCAGTAAAATGTTAACTGGTTTAATATAGAATTCAAATTAATACACATATATGGTTGAGTCAGGAATGTTGAAATGAATCTACAAATAGATGAAAAACTGGCTTTTTCCCCTAGGTTGCAGTGGAGAGAAAGATCAGTTGTTCCTCCACCAAAAGGAATTTACATGTCTTTGGATAAGTATTATTTTAATTGCTACCATTTATATATAATTTATAGCCTTGTAAAATAGCTCAATCAGCCCTCCATAGAATCAGATAACTTGAAACTATATGTTAAATATATGTTAAATAATGCCTGCTTTTCCAATGAAGATACCTGGTGTTCTTTTGGTTCATTATTTGGCTCATAATTTGTTCATTCAGTATATTTAAGAGGAATGTACAGACCCTATAGAACCTATCCATGGATCGCATGGAAATTCCAAAACCCTCTGTCTCTATTGCACACAACAAGCATCTTCAATGGAGCTATCTCCGTTAAGAACTGACCTCTAGCCACATATAGAAGCTCCATATGAGCCCTATTGTCTTTAAGGAATATATGGCTCTTACTTCAGATATAAACATAAGCAACCTCTTTTAATAAGTTGGATGACCTCTTCTGAGGGAATAACTATGACAACTAATCTCACATCTTTATATGTGAAAATTTTCGCCTAAGGATAGATAATTACAATGATAAGCCAAGCCTTCAGTAAAAATGTATTGAGTTTTGTTCTTTCTTTTTTTGGGAGGGAGTGGAGTGGAGAGCAATTACTATACCAGGTACTGTACTAAGTACTTTATGTCAACAAAAAAAAAGTCAAACTCTATAAAGTATTTAAAAAGGTTTATTTTGAGCCAAATACGAGTGGCTAAGGCCCAAGACAGTCTCAAGAAGTACTGAGAACGTGTGCCCAAGGTGGTTGGATTACAACTTGATTTTACACATTCTAGTGGGACAGAACTTACAGGCAGGCGTCAATCAATACTATGAGTTATACATTGTTTGAATCCATAAAAGTGGGACAACTAGAAGCAGGGTCTTCTAGGTCGTAGGTGGATTTGAAGATTTTCTGATTGGCAATTTGTTGAAAGAGTTAAGTTATTATCTGAAGACCTGGAATCAATAGAAAGGAGTGTCTAGGTTAAGAAGAGATTGTGGAGACCAAGGTTCTATTATGTAGATGAAGTCTCATAAGTGGCTACCCTTAGAGGCAATAGGTGGCAAATGTTTCCTATTCAGATCTTTAAAAGGTGCTTAACTCTCAGCTAATCTCTTCAGGCTCAGAAAAAGAACTAGAAAGGGAAGGGGATTCTCTACAGAATGTACACTTCCCTCACAAGAGACAACTTTGCCGTGGCCATTTCAAAATATGTCCAAGAAATATATTTCAGGGTAAAATAATTTCTTTCAGGGCCTGCAGTCTGTCATGTGATGCTAGACTAGAGTGAGTTAGAATTCGGTATCTTACAGCTGTAAAGATACTTTTACATTTTGTCATTCTTAAGATCTCTGTTTCAGTGCTAATGCTGGTCAGTTGTGCCTGAATTCCAAAGGGAAGAGAGTATAGTAAGGCATGTCCAACCCCCACTTCCCATCATGGCCTGAACAAGTTTTTCAGGTTTACTTTGGAATCCTCTTGGCCAAGAGGAGGGATCCATTCAGTTAGATGGAGGGCTTAGAAATTTATTTTTGGTTTACATGCATATATATTTTTTCATTAAATATCAAAATATAATGCTATTAATGTGTACATTTTATGGGTGAGAAAATTCTGCCTGAACCACCCACATGGCAAGTTTTGAAAAAAAGATTATTTGAATGAAAAACAGGACAAAACCAAGTGTGTCCTGTTTGTGTAAGCATTTGATGAGGTCTTCTGTAACTAACAATCAGGATAGTATCTTAATTAGATTAGATGGAACAACTGGTTTGCTATCCCAAAGTCAGATGTTCAGTCAATATTTATGGAACGTGTCCTAGTCATTCTCACTTCATCTGGGAAATTGAGTGTCCAGGCTACATATTTCATAGTGCTATGTATACAGTTGTCATAGCACTTGACAAATGGCATTAAGTTATCTTGTATGTGTTTATGTCTCCTTTGACTTCAATGGCTAAGCTACGAAGTTAATTTAGAGGAATGGCCGTGTGTCCTTAGTACTTTGCATGAAGACTGCCACATCCTAGGAGCTAAATATATGCTTTTGAATTAATCTAAACTATGCATATGCATTAAAGATAAGCCGTAAATTTGAACCTCTGGAAAAATTTACTCCCAAGTCACTAGTTCCAAAGATTTCACTTCTGTTTTCAAAATGTTCAGTGCCATTAGTTAGATTTTAGTGTCAATAGATGCATTAAGTTATAGCTGCTTAAAATTTACTCTCAGGACACAGAGGAAAGGCTTGTCTTAGCATTAGATACAAGCCCTGCAGACTGAAGGTCGTGATATCTTTGGGCGTTACTGGAGAAGAAAGCCATGGCCATGAAAAACCATTAGAAATTATCTAGAATTCTGTACCACAATTATGTATCTAATGGATTGAAATTTGAGAAAGTCTTAAGTGCAAATATTTATGAGATTCTTCAGGCTGGACGTGGTGGCTCACACCTGTAATCTCAGCACTTTGGAGGCCAAGGCAGGTGGATCACAAGGTCAAGAGATCAAGACCATCCTGGCCAACATGGTGAAACCCCAACTCTACTAAAAATACAAAAATTAGCTGGGTGTGGTGGCGCATGCCTGTAGTCCCAGCTACTCAGGAGGCTGAGGCAGGAGAATTGCTGGAACCCAGGAGGCAGAAGTTGCAGTTAGCCGAGATCGTGCCACTGCACTCCAGCCTTGTGACAGAGTGAGACTCTGTCTCAAAAAAAAAAAAAAGAAAAGAAAAGAAAAGATGCTTTATATCTCACAAACTAAATACCACATTTCCTTTAAAGTACCGTATTTAGGCCGGGCACAGTGGCTCATGCCTGCCCAGCGCTTTGGGAGGCTGAGGCAGGCAGATCACTAGGTCAAGAGATCGAGACCATCCTGGCCAACATGGTGAAACCACGTCTCTACTAAAAATACAAAAACTAGCTGGGTGTTGTGGCGCACGCCTGTAGTCCCAGCTACTCAGGAGGCTGAGGCAGGAGAATCACTTGAAGCCGGGAGGCGAAGGTTGCAGTGAGCCGAGATCACACCACTGCACTCCAGCCTGGTGAAAGAGTGAGAACAAATTAAAAAAATTTAAAACAAGTACCATATTTATGAGAAAGTAAATATGAAAGAATGACGAGGAAATACAGAGAACTGATACTCACACTGGCCAAAAGAAAGAATAGAAAGCAAAAATATTGAAGTGGGATTGGGAGAGTAGAAATTGGAGAAGAAGGAAAAATCACACAAGAATGTTGGGAAAATGTTCTGTTATGTTAACTCCTTTAATTATCAACCATTTGGCTGTAGAATAAAAAATAAAACATGAGATTTAAAAATGTTTATATTTTTGTTAAAATATGTACTTTAAAAAAATATTAAATATGTGAAATGTATACAAACAGGAACTATAATTCCTCATCAGTAATAAAAGATTTCTTTTGAATTTATCACTAACCAGAGTGAGAAAGTAAAGAAACTGTCCTTGTAGAGTTAGGATTCAAATCTGACCATGTTTTCTGAGGGTGTAAAGTGGCTCATCTATTTGAATTAGTTGTTTCAAGTCCCACTTACTTTGTTCAGAAGGCCACTTTTTGTCCTGCCAGTAGACTGTAGCCCAAACCCTAAATTGTCTGGTCAGAGACTGGGAAGGTAATGTTGTGCGTGTTTTGCTGATTAAATATAAAACATTCAACATCCTTTATGGCCTCTGTTTAAAGTAAGCTTCTCATTCCAAAGCGTATTTTTGAACTACCCACTGTTATTGGCATGTTTCCTCTTAGAGTATTCTTTAACAGATATTGGTTTCCTTCTAGACAGTTTCACAAAATAACAATAGGTTAGCCTTCCTTAGAAGGCTTAAAAATCCAATAACTCTTTATATGGTTCATATTTTATTTATTTTTCTCATGTTAATAGTATTCTTTTATCTGTTTAATCTTATGACTCCTCTCATTTTGGAGAGATTTTGAACAAATTGGTTGGGAAACCAAAAAAGAAACAAGAGGATTTTTTAATACTAGTTAGGCTATAAAATATTTTCATATGCTTTAAAAATGGGATTGCCCACAGAAGGACTTCATTTTAAAGTGTGAGTTTGGTAGTAGTGAGGGGGATATATGTATCTGAAAGCATTTTATATTGGAAAACGGGTCTATTTGTGGTTATACTTTGTTTGTATATCAAATACTGCACCTGTCACAAGCTTGGATTTATCGTGAGTATGCATAATGCTTGCTTTTGGGAAAGCCTGCAAATCCCCCATTGGCAGCAGAATGACCAGAAGTAGATGCACCTGTCTTCCCAGCTGGGACTTGCTCATGGAAAAGAAGGTCATTTAACACCATGTTATTCCTGTGGACAGCTGTATATGTAAAATGCCTTAGGACATAGACGACCTAAATTCTGTTAAAAAAAAGGTCTTCAATGGCCAAATGAAATTTGACTTTGAAAAGTATTTTAATGTTTTGATTCATTAGATTTGGAGCATATATAGGGTTGGTTTAATAGAAAAACATTATTTGTTTTGCTTTGGTCTAAGCACTCTATCAGCTTTTAATGACTCAGCAAACACCAATATTTTCAGCACACATTGGCTTAGGGTTTAGTATAAAGTAGTTCATTCTGTTTTGATGCAACTCTTGGTTAAAATATAGGCCTTCTCCCAATGCTACAGTGATAATTCTTTGTTTTTGTCTACTTTAATTGTCTGTTTTCCCCCAACAGACTCTAATGTCTGTGAGAATAAGGGCTGTGTCTATTTTGCTAACCATTATTTTTTCTAGCACACTGCCATTGTATTAATTCTGGGTATATGTGTGCTTAGTAAATCTTTCTCAAGTGGATAAATGAATGAAGGAATAAAGAACTGGTTTTCACTGTACAGTTCATCTTAAAGACTGTCACTCAAAATCATACCAAAACTTGAGAAGCCTCGGTCCTATTGTTTGTCTGTTTGTTTTTTAATGTAAGTACAAGTTGAGTTACAATAAAGTATACAGATTTTAAGGTCACAGTTCCATGAATTTTGTCAAGTATATACACCCATGTAACCATTATCCAATCAAGATAGAGAATTTTTTCATTATTCCAGAAAGTTCCCTCTTGCTACATTTCTGTCAATTCCTCACAGCCACTGTTCTGATGATCATTATAGCTTATTTTTGCCTTTTCTAGAACTTCATATAAATGTAACTATATAGTATGCACTTTTTTGTGTCAGGCTTGTTTCATGCAACTTTAAGATTTTTCGATTTATCCATAGATGTTTAATTGAATTCTTGGGAATCAAGAACTTAGCCATGTTAAAAATAAGATTAATAATGAAGGACTATGATATTACAAAAAAAAAAAAATACTTTGTGTCTCCTTGGAGGATTTATTGATGACATTTTCCCCAATCTACAACTATGTGCTTTTAAGAATTCTAAAAATATACAGAATGATTGTTAGAAGTAGAGTTCAGAGGTGCCATCAAACTAACGTCATTGTACTATGAACTTCCATAGGCAGATCATTTGATAAGCCAAGCAGATCAAGAGGGGCACATTTTAGAGCAGGTAACTCAGCCTGGGCTTTCTGACTTCTCCAGTGTTATACATCACTACACCATTGGCGTCCTTTTTCCAGAACACACTTCTGTAGATAATGACCTATGCATAACAGTTTGTAAAGGTTAAGGAAAGGCTCCAAAATCAGGTATTCCACTGAAAGTCTTCTTTAAAATAGATTTTTCAGTAACAGATAACTGGGGTGTAGAGGTGTTTGGGTTGAATTGCAACAAGGTTTACAAAGAAACAGTCAGTTTGCAGGCAGTGGAAAGAAGCTTGCCAAGTAAAGCCTGTAGAAAATGGCTTCATTGAATTAGAACAGTCTGTGATCAACTGCCAAAGCCAGCTTATTTTCCTTGCGAGTTCCAGAAAAGAATGCCTGAGACTTTGTGTTGTTGGAAGGCTATCTTATAGAACATGCTGGCAGAACACACTTT